>NC_000013.11:105627979-106252979 GCF_000001405.40 Homo sapiens
AACTCTTTAATAATGAAAACATTGATGTCTTTGGATATTTTGTCTAAAGAATATGCTCATATACTTTAATATTGCATGTATACAATTATCTGTTATTATTATAAGATTGTAATTTGATCTTGATTACAGAACATTTCATTCTTAATACAATATGCTATTTGGTAATTTTTCTACAAGCCAAAGAAAACAGATTATTTAAAATTCACATAAATTTGAAATGTGCTTATATTTTAGATGTGATGTGGTTAGCACTGGTATTTTTTCTAAGTTCCATGGATGTTAACAATACTTCGACTCTTTAATCAAAATTCAAGGTGCAGTGGTTCAAGAAAGAAACATTGATAATTTTACAACAATCGGTTACTTCTATTTGTGACTGGGAAATAAACTCTACTTTTCCTTACTTAAATTAATGACAATTTAACAAAAAAATGATACAAGATTTATGAGAATAGAATAGTTAATATTACTGTCAAATGTAGATGAGATTACTCTAGATATTAAATTGCTATTTATCATTTTAAAGGCAACATATATATTTTGTATTGGATTACCATTATAACTATTGAATATCAAATAACTTTTCAAATAAAGTTCCAGAATCAAGTAATATATTTCAGAGGAACACTTAGGTAGAGTGATAACAACTGATTTTTGTCTACCCAATATCAATCCCCCCATTCCCAAGAGATGAAATACAATTGGCCTAACAACTCCATGTTCCCACCTTCCATCCCTCTCTCACACCTAGACACGGACACATGACCCAGTTTCTGCCAAAAAGGTGTTAAGTATATGACTGCCAAGAGGCTTCTAGGAAGGCTTTTTGCTTTCCTGATGATGCAGAATGAATGACGCTGTATCCTACCCTCTTCTTGTTTTGAATGTAGGCATGAAGTCTAAAGCAAAAGCAATCACTAGCTTTCAGTCCTTGACACCATTGTTGCTAATCCAATGTCAACAGGATTCCAGGAGATTTAAGGAAAAAGAAAAGACTCATCATTTGTTTAAAACTCTATGAGTTAGATTTTCTTTTACGTGTAGCTGAAGGCTTTCCTAATTCATATTGAGAGCTTTAACAGAAAAACTCATTATTTAGAAATTGGATTTTATCATATCACCAAATTCTTTGGTCAAATAACAATTTGATTTAGGATATCTACTTACATGCTTTCTTTGGGTCTTTCCTTGCTCCTCATTCATGTGTTTGCCTGAAGTCTCTATGAAATATCTACATTAACAAATAATTATCCTCCTAGACTAGAGCACACAGGATTTGAAAATCAATCTTAATATAAATTCCTTGAAAACCAGATAGCTTGATCTACAAATGTTTTAGAACCAGATAGCTTGATCTACAAATGTTTTAAAAGACTTTCTTAAATCCATGGTGTGGGTGGGGAGCTGTGGACGAAATAAGACATAAAGATTCCCAGTTGGGTCTTACACTAGTATTTGTACATGTCTTAGGATACCTCATAAACTTCTTCCAGCAGTTTATTTTTATTTTTTATTCACTTTTATTTTTTGAGATGGAGTTTTGCTCTGCTGCCCAGGCTGAAGTGCAGTGGAGCAACGTTGGCTGACGGCAACCTCCACCTCCCAGGTTCAAGTGATTCTCCAGCCTCAGCCTTCTGAGTAGCTGGGACTACAGGCGTGTGCCACCAGACCTGGCTCATTTTTGTATTTTTAGTAGAGACGAGTTTCACCATGTTGGCCAGGCTGATCTCGAAGTCCTGACCTCAAGTGATCCACCTGCCTCATCTCCCAAAATGCTGAGATTACAGGTGTTAGCCACCACGCCTGGCCTTCCAGCAGTTTATTTATATGGATGATACCCCTGGAAGGCAAAACACTAGTGTGATGAGAAGGTGCCATGCACAGTAAGATTAAAAACAACACAGCCTCAGTGGCAAAAGCAAAGCAAGGCTTAAGACAACATAACATCTGCCATTACAATTTTTTTCTGGTCCTTTCCACACTTGATTCATATACCACCCCTATAAACTGCAAATGGACCATGTTATAAACAATAGCTAGCAGTTTCCACTTCTGGTTAGGAATTAGAAAGCCATAAGAGAACTACAAATGAGAACAAGATGGATAACTTGAAAACAACAATAACAAAACACAGTTTATAAGAGCCAATGAAGAGCTGGAGATGCAAAAAAAGCCTAACTGAAAGAAAATCTAGAAAGTCATGATCTCTTCCTATGAGAGAGGAATGAAGTGCTTCCCTGATGCTAGGTGGAGTGATGGGAAGAGGAGGAGGGATTTGCCAGCAAAGGGATGTGAGAAACAAGTCCAATTTTCAACACATTTTAAAAAGCTTATGAAGTGTGATGACTCAGGTCCCTGAGGAAGCTCCATCAGAGGCAGCTCTGCACCCACCCACCTCTCTGTCCCAGGGGGCCTTTACTTTAGTACATGGACATAATGCACCCAAGTTTGGGGGCACAGTAGGGGATCTGAAAAATGGAGGCTTATATAGCTGACTTGAGGCTGGGAGCAGCTCAGGAGAGCCATGAGAAAACCCTCTAAGCCAAAAAGCTGTTGCGGAAAGCTGGGTAGAGTAGGACAGCAGTGGGAAACACCTCCAAGGCTCCCGGGGACTTCACTGAGTCCACTCAAGCCTCAAAGGCTCAGAGCTGAGCAGCAAAGCGTAGAAATCTGAGTTGTGAAAAGGCTGGGTGAGCAACCAGACAGCAAAGAGAATTCACTGGAAGCCCGGACTCAGGGAGTCAGCAGCTGGGTTATAAAGCCCAAAGAGAAATCCGAGGCTCTCCCTTGCTTAGATCTCATGCCCTGTTAAATGGAAGGGATCGTAAAAAATTACAAGACATGAAGAAGCTATATATATATACATTATAGGATGTATAAACATAACTATGCCATATGGGCAAGGGAAGAAAGAGAAATAGAGGCAGTTCCAAATATAGATGTTGAAATTATCAGAGAGGAGTTTTATATTAAATATAATAGATATGTCAGATAATCTAACACTATTTTTAGACAATTTTTCAGAAAAAAAATGAAGAATTTTAGCAGAGAAATAAACACAACTAAAAAGCCAAATGTCAAGAATAGGGAAAAAAAATAAAATATTGAGATGGGGAATTAATTGGACAGGTCTATTAGTAAACTGGCATACCAAAGAAAAGAATCAGTAAACAAGAAGATAGATCAATAGAAATCACCCACATTGAAATATAAGAAAAAAAAAAGGAGGGAGGGAGAGATGGAGAGGAAGAAGGAGAAAAATACAGAAGAGAAGAAGGAAAGGAGAGCCATGCCTGTAATCCCAGTACTTTGGCAGGCCAAGGTGGGTGTATCATCTGAGGTCAGGAGTTCGAGACCAGCCTGACCAACATGGTGAAACCCCATCTCTATTAAAATACAAAATTAGCTGGGCATGGTGGCAGGCACCTGTAGTCCCAGCTACTCGGGAGGCTGAGGCAGCAGAATCACTTGAACCCAGGAGGTAGAGGTTTCAGTGAGCCGAGATTGCACCACTGCACTCCAGTCTGGGTGACAGAGTGAGACTCCTCTCAAAAATAAAATAAAATAAAATAAAATAAAAACGAAAAGGAGAGCCATCTGAGATGTGTAGAAAATATTATGCCATCAAATATATTTACGTTAAGGGTCTTGTAAAAAGAGGACAGATAATGAGGTAGAAGACATTTTTGAAGAGAACATGGGTGACAATTTTCTAAATTAGATGAAATATATCAACTCACATATATAAGAAACAGTAAATACATTCAAATATAACAAGAACTAGGCAAACGATCATCAAATCGGTGATGAAAACCAAACATGAATAGAAAATCTTGAAAGAGGCTGGAGGAGATAAAAAACACGCATTGTGCTCATAAGATGAATGAAACTAGAAGACCATAAAATGTTTTTAAATTGTTGAAAGATGGCCGGGTGCAGTGGCTCACGCCTGTAATCCCAGCACTTTGGGAGGCCAAGGCGGGCAGATCACAAGGTCAGGAGATTGAGACTATCGTGGCTAACACTGTGAAACCCCGTCTCCACTAAACATACAAAAAAAAAAAAAAAAAAAAATTAGCCGGGAGTGGTGGCGGGCGCCTGTAGTCCTAGCTACTCGGGAGGCTGAGGCAGGAGAATGGCATGAACCCGGGAGGCGGAGCTTGCAGTGAGCCGAGATCGCGCCACTGCACTCCAGCCTGGGCGACAGAGTGAGACTCCATCTCAAAAAAAAAAAAAAAAAAAAAAAAAAAGTTGAAAGATAGTAGAAGATAAAAGACTGTAAACATGATAGCAAATATCCTGAGACAATGCCTTAAAAGCATTTCTGTATATTTTTATATGTTCACCAGAAAAATCTGAATCGTCTGGAGCAGACCTGTTCTATAAAAAATGCTGAGGTAACTTCTTCAGGCTGAAGAGGAAAAATACCAGGTTGGAAGGAAGAAAAAGCCCCAGAAAGGGTAAACATTTTTAAAACAACAAAAATTTCCAATTAAATATGTGGATAAATATAATCACAAAGCTTTAAACTACATAAATGTAACAATTTAAAAAACTGAAGGAGAATTACAGAAAAGACTCCAATCACAGACATTAAACATGCTTTTTCAGCAATTAATATAACTAATAGAAAAAAATTAATAAGGACCTAGAAGACTTCAACAATATCAATATTAGTCTAAATGACACATATAGAACATTATATTCAACAATTGAAGAATACACTTTATCTGTTCTATGCATATAAAACATTCCCTCAGGTAGATCACCATCTCAACCACAAAGCAAGTTGTGATAAATTTAAAAGGATTGAAATAATACATGACATTTTTCTCTGACTATAATGGTATTCTATTAGAAATCACAAACAATAGTATAATATATCTGTAAAAATTCCCAAATATTTGGGAAGCAACATAATTTTAAATAATCTGTATGTAAAAGTGGAACTGACAAGGGAAATTAGGAAATATTTCAAATTGAACAATAATAAAAATAAACCCTATAAAATTTTGAAAGGTAAAATTTGAAGAATACAGCTAAATCAGTTGTAAGAGGAAACTTTCATCTTTAAATGCCTATATTAGAAAATAAGCAAAGTCTAAAATCAGTTATCATCTCTGCTTTTATCTTAAAGATAGAAAAAAGCACAAATTAAACCCAAAATAAGTAAAGGAAATAAAATATTGATGGGAACTTATAAACTCAAAAGAGACAAACAAAAAGACAATGTTATAAACCAATTTAATACATGGAGAAACCGTAACGGGCGTCTACTACAATGTGTTATTTTCTGGGAGTGCTGCTTGTTCAACACTTCTCATTTTTCCCTGGAGTAGACAGAACTCTCACCTCCTAGGCATGTGCAGCTTCTTGTACCCTGCTCACAATTTCCTCTGATAAGAATGATCTTGCTCTGCTTAAAGAAAAAAGAATGCTTGACTCATTTTCATTTGGGGTTCTCTCTTTTTTGGAGCCATCCTCGCCGTTGGACATGCATGTTATTTGCTGCTGGATGCTGAAAATTTCTAAAGACTAGCATTTCACAGTTGTTAGGAAAAAAGCCTGCCAATTTAGTAATATGTTTAATTCAAGAGAAAAAGTTGGGAAGCCCAAATGTATGATCACAGTAGTGAGCCACCTTCTTCAACATCTGTAACAAAACTGGTATATATTGATCTGCATCACTGTGTTTTCTCCATAGTTTCCAAATTCTAAAGGAAGGTTCTGGCTGAAACCCCGACACTAGCCAGTCCAGGCAGTGCCCTGCCCTTTGTGTCCGGAACCTTTCTGCCCTTCTTTCATGTTGGCCCTGCATTTTGACATCCGTGATGCCCTCTTGCATGAAGCACTTTACTTCTCTACATTCTCTATTTGAACTAGATAGAAAGGTCACTCATTACATAAAGTGCAGAGGAGGATCAAGGAATCCAAAGGATATAGAAATTTACCCTCAGGTGATGCTAAGCACTTTATTAAAACTCTCACCAGCTCCGATTGATGACAAATATCAAAACATGAGCAGCAGGAAAAGTTAAATATAATTCATTATGTCATTGTTGGAACAATTCACTAAGGTGAGAGTTAGGGACTAAGATGACGCAGACTCCGTGCCTGTGTCCATATCTTCAGCATATTTCACTGTTTCTGAGGCTGACATTACCTTTAAAATCATCACCAGTTTACCTACAAGTGGTGGAATGGAGACTGTCCTGGGCTTAAAAACTTGTGAGAATGTGTGTGATGACTCAGAGTGCAAAATGCTCTTTGCCAAAAAAATCATCCCCACATGACTGAAATTTACCCTCTGAAGGCTACAGAATACTCTGGTGACTTCTGAAGTGCCAGTCAATATTCTGGAATTCCAAACAGTTAATGCAGATCAAACAGGGCAGCATTTGAATCCCATTATTGAGTGAAAAATCTCAATAATCACAACTTCAGATTATGCATTAATGATTCCAGTACAAACTGAGGTGCGCCAAGGAACAATGCATCTCAAAGTATGCTCGAAACACGTGCTTACTGAACCCAGATGCGGCTGGTATCACATAAATATAAACACTGAAAATATTTTTCTATAAGAGGATAAATTAGGGAAGTGAGGTTTTATTCTTATTCAGTTTTGGTTAATTTTCTATTAATGTACTCTTTGATAGAATTGAAAAAGTGAAAATAAGATGCTCCGGACAACTACAAACATAATATTTAGGCATTACCAAAGTATTACATGAAATGCTAAGATCAAGTTGTAGAGTTACATGTGTGTATTAACCACCTGTTTCTTGTTGAAAAGTTGAAAGCATGGCAGTGTTCAGAACTGCATAGCAAAGATCTGGGTTAAACTGACAAAAACCAGGAAATTCGGAGTTAACTTTGTCACATCATATTTAGAATGCCTCTGATATAAAAATGAAATAAAACCACTAATGTTTGATGTCATATTTGTAAATAATATTGAAATGTGAAATCACTCTGTAATGTGTATGCCACTATTCTTGCCCAAAATTTGTTTTCCACTTCTTAGGTAAAATATAGAATACTCTGAACCAAAAAAAAAAAAAGCAATTTTTACAAGGCAAAGTCAGCCAGCCAACTGTAGAGTTGAACTGTTTGAAGTGACTGTATTGTCTAAGGCAGAATGGAGTTGAATCATAAAACACATGGAAATCGTTTCCATCAAATGATAGGACAAGAAAGGTGTCCTTGGATAGCTTAGCATGATGAATATAAACTGAGCATCAGGAAATTGATCTCTAATGCAGGTGTCTTTCATTTAATTTTTTCCCAAGGTAAGGTCATTGAGGAACTATTGTATAATTCTGTTAGGGAATTGGGATATTATCAAGTGTTTCTTCTTCACAAAAAAATTCCTATTAGAATATATTACTTGTATATATAAATAGAACAAAGGTCATGTTATAAATATAGTACAAGCATGATAGAATGAAATGAACCTAATTATTTCTTTAAACACTTGTGAATATTGTTAACACTTAAGGGCACAATTCTCAACAGCGAAAATCTTTCTATTCCACTCTTATTTGCAAGAAAAAACTGAAATATATGATATTACCAGCTGATTAAAAAACTCTCCCTTATGAGTTAGAGAGAAAACTATAATAAATGTGCCCTGACATAGCAATTACCTATTGTGCTAGATGCAGTGTATATATGACATATAGATATCCACATAAGCACACACATACAAACAAATGTTTGTGTGTATATGTGTATGTGTGCACATGTAATATAATACATCTGTTCCTGCTCTCCAAGACAGACTCTAAGCGTTGAATGAAAGATTATGTTTTCCACTAGTGTTAGTTTTAGAAGAGATGAAAGATTTCTGCTACTTAGAATTTTACCTCCAAGGCTGTTATGGACTAAATATTTGTGTGCCCCAAAGTTCATATTTTGAAATTCTAATCCTCAAGGTGTTGGTATTAGGAGGTGGAGACTTTGGGTGATTAGGTCATGAGGCGGAGCCCTCGCGAATGGGATTGAAGCCCTTGTCACTCCAGGAAGTCGCTGCTATCTGCCACTTAAGCATACAAGGAGAAGTCAGCAGTGTGCAGCCAGAAGGATGGTCCTCAACAGAAGCTGTCACCCTGATCTCAGACTTCCAGCCATCAGAACTGGCTGAGAAATAAATGTCTGCTGTTAAAGCCACCCAGTCTATGGTATTCTGTTAGAGTAGACAGAACTGACTAACACAAAGTTTATGTTTTTGCTCTTAGTAAAAACCTTTGTCTTAAATATGTTTTATCATGGTAAATACCTCTTTGTGTCTTAAATATTAATATTTATACCACATTTTTTCAGCCTGATGGACGTTACCAGTGTTCACCAATATTTCTGGATCTCCTGTGTTTCCTGGTCAAATGGCCTTGTCTTCCTGAGGATAGGCTCAGGCATGACTATGTGATGTGCTTTGACCAATAAAATGTCAGTAGAAGTGACGTGCATCATTTCCAAGAGGAAGCATTTCAGAGGTAATGTATAAGTCTTAGAAAAATGTATGATTGGCATACATTTGGAAAGGAAATGGCAATAATAAAATTACAAACATCCACATTTTAGTATCAAAACACTTCCATCTACATAGAAGCCTGAATAAATTTTTCTTCTTTCTTAGAGAGTAGTTATGGATGTATGAATGCAGGATGAAATAATGGATGTGTGAATGGATGGATACATAGATGTTTGGATGGATGAATAGATGGACAGGTAGATAAATGGATGAATTGGTGGATAGATGGATGGTTGGAGTGCTGACTATTTCATTATAAAAAATAAATAAAATTGAATATTGAAAATGCCCCAGCTTACAAAGGATATTTTCCTCCCCTTTGAACTCTAAAAATATACTTATTTTCACGACCACATATTTAATATTTACCATATATTAAATCAAAGACATTGTTTTTAAACAGTATTGATAATTGAGAATGTCTTTTTCTTCATCTATACTAAAAATTTGGAAAGGAAAAACTACCTGCCTTATTTCCATGTTATACTCCCCTACATGAAGCTACATTTCATCGTAGAAAAGGATTTTGAAGCCATCAGTAGATTCAGATTGTATAAGCGTACTTCATTTTTGTGACTGTAAGTAAATTATTTACCTTAAGTCTCAATTTCTTTATCTGAAAAAAGAGATAGTATCTGACTTAAATATTTGTTAAAATGTCATACATATAAAGCACCTAGCACATATTAGGAGATCATCAAATATTAAGTTTTTTTTGTATATCTCTCACTCATAAGCTTCATGCAAATTGATGGCTTTAAAAAGAGTTGGGTTAATAATTTAATAAATATGAAATGAAGTTACCTAATCCATCATCATTTGTGAGTTATTATGTTATTTGAGACAAATGTTTTAAGTTGAACAGATGGTTGTCTGTTCAATCTAGTCTGTGAGCTATAAATTTTATTTTTCTCACTAGAGATTTCCCTGAACATTTAGTGATTTTAAGTTATTTTTAAGATTTAGACAAAAAATAATTTTATAGAAGAATTGCAAATTTTGGCATAGACTCTAATGTCTTTTTTATAGCAAAAAAAAAATCTACATTTTAGGCAAAGGATTCAGAGTGATTAAACCTAAGAACATTTAACACAATGCCAATCATATTTGGTAACATGGTGGAAATAGTATAATCTTTCATATTGAACCAATGAAAACAGGTGCAGAAGATATTCAGTCTTGCATTTAGAACTTCAAATGACTTAAAATGCCCTCCTGAGAAGCATACTTTAAGATAATGTTAGTTAGGGGGATAATGTCAAATTGGTGGCCAACTTTTTATTCATCTGGTCAACAATTCTCTACTCTGTTTATTTAAAGTGGAATAAGAACAGATTGCAATATTATAAAGAGTAGCTTGCACTAGACCAGCGATTTGACAGGACAGGCTGGGAAAAATTCAAGAGGACTTCTGGAGTTAGAATTCATGAAGCAGTGTGATGAATGACATGTGGGGGAGCAGGAATGGTTGGTGATTGTTGAAATTTCTAGCTAGAGTTATTGGGTAAAATAGTTCCTGCCTTCCCATATTGCTATTGGATTCCTATTGGATTACTTGGCCTCAGAAGTTTTCCCTTGAACCTTCCCTATCTTTATTGCCTAATCTTACATATAGTGTAAAAGGCCAGCAGGATTTAAAGTGTAGAAACTGGATCAACTGATAACCAATCTAAGAAAGCATTCTTTATACAGTACATTTTTTTCTAAAATATTTTTAAAGCGATAATTATTGGATAGGAAAGGGGAATACTTAAGGCTAGATTTATCTTGATTTGAAACTTAGGGATGGAAAGTAACTGGGAACCATCTTCTGTCAAAAAAAAAAAACCTCCATAAATATGAAGATTATTAAATCACTCTCCAGCTCCCTCCTCTCCAGGATAAAACACACCAATTTATTCAACCACTCTTCATAGTCTCAATTATGCGACCCACGAGCCATTTCCATTCTTTTCTTTTAAACTCTTTCTTATAAATACTAACTAAACTAACTGAAACTTTTCTCACACCCATACTTTACTTCCGTACAGGTGAACAAAAGACAACAACTTTAAATACTAAGTTTCAGCATTAAGCCACCAGACTCCTGAGGTTCTGGAGCTGACTCACACCAGCTAGCAAGAGACAGCTGTGGTCAGAATTCAGTTCCATCTTGTGAGTAAATCATCCATGGTTGGAATATTTATATCAGGGAGATTGGCAAATGCTACAAATAAGGCCTTCCCTGACCACCTATGAAAACCTATTGTTAAACATTTATCAGCAGACACCTGCACAAGCCACAAACCTACAAGACCTCTGTGGCCATTCCTTCTATTTCAGTTACCTAATGACAGATATCTACAATTAATTGATCTCAGACTTTAGTAGACTTTGTCTTGGAATTGTACATGATATAGTTCAGATATGTGTCTTCTTTGAGTCTCACACTGACATGTAATCCCCAATGTTGGAGGTGAGACTTGGTGGGAGGTGATTAGACCATGGTGATAGATTTCTCATGAGTGTTGTAACATCATCCCCTTGGTGCTGTCCTTGCAATAGTGAGTGAGTTCTTAAGGGATCTGATTGTTTAAAAGTGTGGCACTTCTCCCTACTCTTGCTCCTGCTCCTGCCATGTGAGACACCTGCTGACCCTTTGCCTTCTTTTTCAAGACTCTCCAGGAGCAGATGTCGGTGCTATGCTACCTGTACGGCCTGAAGAACTGTGAGCCAATTAAACCTCTCTTTTTACAAATTACCCAGTCTCAGATATTGCTTTATAGCAACACAAGAACAACCTAACACACTAAAGAAAATCTTTCCAAACTCAAGGCTCCAAGTTGCCACTGATGTGTGATTAGAATTGGCTCCTGATTGAAAACCTATTTCAAATTTTAGCACATCTCTGATATGTATGAGAAACAATAACTTGAGATCATGACCATGTAGACAGTGAGTAGAATATATAAAGGCCCTTATTCCTGATTCCAAGGAAATTTCACTGTTGCTGTCTTCCCAATATCCGAAGTGTTTTCGTTTAATAAAGAACCACAAAGTTTTCAACAGTACTTCCAGCTTATGCAATCAACTTGTTTGCCAATTAATTTTTCGACCATCTGACCCTCCCTTTAACAACAGCTCCATGTTAAACTCCTTTTTTGCAATGGAAGTTCCTAAGGCTATGACTTTGGTTATTTAATGTTACACAACTCCTTAATTTGTGTAAATGTAGTCTCAGTCAAGAGAAATCTTGGGATCACATGTCCTTTTGTCAACTGAAGAGTGCCATGCAAGGGAACATGCACTTCTCTCTTCTGATTCCCTGCTCTAATTTCTGTCATCAGTATCTTCATTCCTCTCATACCTTGAATTAGTTGCTGGATAAATATGCATGTTTGGACACACAAATAATAGAACGTTACTGCAAGAAATACTATTGCAAAACTAAAGTTAATCCAGATAGGAAAACTGAGCTGTAAGAAACCATGTACTTCATTTTGTATTTCATCTTGATTAATGCTTTATCTGAGTGCAAAATTTTTAATTCACAGAGCTCTTTCCCTGTTATTTGGTTTTTTGTTTTTGCCAAAGCATTTTGAAAGTATTCTGTAATGTCTGTTTTTAAGAGTTAGGTTTCTAGAGAGGCCTAATTGTTATTTTTTGTTGGTAATACTTTTCTCATGTTTAGTTTTTAAGAATATGGCCTTCCAATTTTTAAAATGTATTTTTTATCATTTAAAAATTCTTAAATTATTTTGACTATGTATTTATCATGTACAAAACGTTGTTTTGAAATACTTATATACTGTAGAATGGCTACATCAAGCTAATTAATATATGCATTATTTAATATACTTATCATTTTTATAGTAAGAGCATTTAAAATCTACTCAGCAACTTTCAAGAGTATAATAAATATTATTAACTGTAGTCACCCTATTGTAAAATACATCTCTTGAATTTATTCCTCCTGTCAAACCCAAAGAGAATATGGATTTTGACGTGCTACAATTTCATTACTTTGTGCCTCTGTGCGGATTTATTTTCATTTATTTTTCTCAGTACGAGACACGCACATCCTATCTGAAGGCTCATGTTTTTCTTCAATTGTGGAAAATTCCTTACTTTTTTCAGTATTGTTTCTCCTTTATTCTTTTTATTGTAAACCTCATGGTTATA
The DNA here is from genome assembly GCF_000001405.40 of Homo sapiens. Classification (NCBI taxonomy): domain Eukaryota; kingdom Metazoa; phylum Chordata; class Mammalia; order Primates; family Hominidae; genus Homo; species Homo sapiens. Next base: position 105,640,674 of record NC_000013.11, read on the forward strand.
TGTCGGAGTCTCTAAATCTACCCCTCCTATCTGTGAATTGTTCTTTTCTATGTGGTGTGTGTGTGTGTGTGTGTGTGTGTGTGTGTGTGCGCGCGCGCGCATGTACATGCATGCAATTCCTTCGCATATTCCTTGGCATTTTCTCTAAGCTGCATCCTGGGTGAATTCTTTCCTGGATGTCTAGTCTGGAAACTCTTCTATCTATTAAATATTTTTGTTCCATGACTCCACTTTTTCCTGAATCCACAAATTTATTTCTATATGCATTTATTGGACAATATTTTTTGTTCCCTTTGTGGATGCTGTGGTAGACACATCAATGCCCCCTTCCTCCAGGATATGGAAATATGTTACTTTACATAACAGAGGTGATTTTCTGTGTGTGACTAAATTAAGGATTTTAAGATGAAGATTATCTTGGATTATCCAGGTGAGTCCAATAGAATCCCAAGGGTCCTTGCAAGAGAGAAGTAGAAATGTGAGCGACAGAGCCAACGTGATGGATGAAGCGCAGGCTGCAGTGATGCACTTTGAAGATGGAGAGGCAGCCAAGAGCCAAGGAACGCAGCAGCCTCCAGAGCTGAAAAACCAAAGCAAACGATTTTTCTCTAGAGTCTCAGAAAGAAAAGCAGCTCTGCCAACACCTGGATTTGAGCCCAGTGGGCCCCATGTTGGATGTCTAAGCTGCTGTAAAGTAATGAATGCATGTTGTGTTAAGCTACTAAGTTTGTGGCAATTTGCTATAGTAGCAATATGAAGCTCACATGAATGCTGTGTCTTTTTTGGAAGATACTTAACCTATGTAGGGTCTTTTCATATTGTTCTATTTGTTTTAGTACATTTATTTTAACAAGAGGACATCCATCTTCTCTCTTTCTTCCTTTCTCTTACTCTTGCTTTTCTCACTAGTCACACAGGTCTTCTAGATTGCTTTTGCCTCCTTCCTGCCTGCCCTGTGGTCTCCCATCCTGAGCCACATCTCAGTATAGTACCAACCTTTTCCCTGTGATTGCAGGATATGTCAAATCCAACAGGCAGCTTGGCCCAATCTTGGGTGTATGACTGTTTGCTTTTTTATTTTCTGTAAGTAAACCTCACTAAACCTTAGTCCCAGACAATGATCAGTAACACCTTTTATTTCAGCATTATTTTGCAAGGTGGGGGCCAAGACATTGTTTATGTTAAGCAGTAAATTTTGCTGGCCAGTCACGTTATGAGTGGTACTTACAGACCTCGGTGCCCCAGAGTGCCCAAGAATGCCACTGTGAGTACCTGCTTCCAGACCCAGGGCCTGGGATGCCTCCGGCTTCAGCCCTTTTTATCATTGCCTTTTCTTCTTGATTTCTGGCTCATGAACATGCTTATTTTGTTTTCTATCATTTATGCTGTCTCTTTATATTCTGTATCTTATTTTTTTTCCTGCAATTGAGAGAGGATTTCAAAACATAAACTTAAAAAAAAGCAAAAATAACACCTTTACACTCATTGGTTGACAATAGTTTCTTTTTTTTTTTTTTTTTGAGACACAGTCTCACTTTTTCGCCCAAGCTGGAATAGAGTGGCATGATATCTGCTCATTGCAACCTCCACCTCCCAGGTTCACGCCATTCTCCTGCCTCAGCCTCCCAAGTAGCTGGGACTACAGGTGCCCGCCACCACGCCCAGCTAATTTTTTTGTATTTTTACTAGAGACGGGGTTTCACTGTGTTAGCCAGGATGGTCTCGATCTCCTGACCTCGTGATCTGCCTGCCTTGGCCTCTCAAAGTGCTGGGATTACAGGCGTGAGTCACCACGCCTGGCCGACAATAGTTTCATTTTTAAAATAACTCTTGGTAAGAGGCAAAAGAAAATAGGATCTATGTGGCAGCCATGCCAGTTTTATTTTCCTATGCCAGTACAGACTCATGTCGAATCGCTTCCTGGAGCACTGTGTGGAGAAAGATTCCAAGGTTACATCTGTTCTCACTGGAGAATTGTGTCAGCCTTGGTTAATGATCCCTGTTGTGGGCGCTGAGGGAGGACGTGCCCCTCTCTCCCGTAACGTATTTGCTATGATGCAGACTGCACCCTGTTGCGGCAGTTAGGTTTACTTAATGTCATGCAACACAATCAACCCAGTTACATTAATTTTTAGGTGGCCATTTATTATAAAGACATTAGGAATTCACAGGACCAACAGGAACTAGAGAAATATTCTTTGGATGACTCAGGGTAGGTCATCTTGCCTGCACTCCCTTAAGTAGCGTACTGAAGAGTCACATTGACACACTGCAGGCAAAATCTTATAAAAGTGGCATTGGTAAGAGTTGTTGCATTGTCTCCTACAAGGCAGCAAGCTTCAAGCACACGCATGAATGCAGTGAAGAGAATAGCATTACAAATGTAAAACACATCAAACTCACAAGAAGTCCGAGATCAGTATTTTCACACCTTTTTCAGCGCTCCAAGTAGATCCTAAAGAGGATGATCTTAATATTTTAAATTTCCTTTTAGTTTTGTTAAACTAATATTGACAACAAGGTGTGGGGATTTGGCACACCCCAAATTGCAAGTAGATCTATAAATACAAAACATCGCTTGTGGTCTGGCAGTTTCACTATACTTTACACATTTGAGAAATACATTTCTATAGGTTTTGGGGGATGTGTCTACATCTAGATATAGACATATCTATATATCTATAGCTATATATGTAGTTTAAGTTGAAGTACATATCCAAAAAGAGATTAAAATAGTTTTGGTGATATTAAAATTACAGGCTGTTTATTCTTATTTCATAAACAGAACTCTTTTATCTGTAAAGAAATGTGGACATTGGTTTCAAAGATATTATTTCAAAGAAGAAAAAAAACAAAACTATCCCCTAACTGAAATAAACATTGATTAAAAAACTTAGCTGAGCTTGAAAATGTACTTAATAAAGTTTAATTAGTATAATACTATTTCACTATTTGAAATGATTTAAAGATAATTTAAAAATATAGCAAAATGTCAATATTCTTTTAATAATTCATAGCTTGGCCATGGAAAAATTACAATTGTGGTTGTAAGTAAATACTTGTAGAAGGCCAGTCAGTTCATTTATTGTCAAATTCTCTATCTTTGCAATGATCCTTAAAAATGAAAAATACTTGCTTATACCTTAGACTTCACTAGTACTTACATGATGGTATGTGACAAGCCCATTTGCAAACGTTGCAATTGGTTAAAAAATGCAACTTCTAATACCTTTTTCTCCTATATATTCTCTTTTAATAGTCACTGATTTACATGACATACTGATTTAATGTATCTAATCCAAACTGGTACGCTTTCCTTTTAGTGCATTTGGTTTCATATCACAAATCGAATCTCAAGGTTGTCATCTGCTCTTACACAATATAATCTCTAGTCACAAAGAAAACAACCTTGGTCCTCTCTTTCACGCACACCCATAGAATGTCTTTCTTGCTCTCGCTCCTCAAGGCCACAAACACTGAAAGATCCTAATTAAAATACAAGGTTTGACTCTGTTCTCTTCAAGGATTACTGAAGCTAAGAATGTGAAAGTCATAGAGATTAAAAAAAAAATACTCAGGCCCTAACAAAGACTTTCTTTGAGTTTCACAGTTAGCTTTTCTTTTCTGCGGCATCATGCACTCTGGAAAGAAAAAGTTATGATGAAAAAACTGAGAATGTGGACATCATTCAAGCTAGTTTAATGCATACATTCTCATATTAGTTTAATGCACGTATGTCAATGTGAACAGAATTTCAGACAAAACGTCTAAGCAAGGATGCATGCAGAAAGAGCTTTGACATCTAACGACTTCATAGAAATAAGCACACATAAGACACATATGTATTCCCATATCTCTGCACATTTTTTTAATATTTGTGAACATATATTGTATTTTATTTTATAATTTCAACATTCATTTTAGATATGGGGATACATGTGCAGGCTTATTATGTTGGATTCTGTCTTTTAAGACTATCAGCCAAGAAAACAGATGTATTTTCAAGAGCTAAATGTCAAGAGTTACAGATCCAGGTCAAGCTCAATATAATAATAACTTCTCCATGATGTTGAATCATCAAAGAGTTTCTTTTAAAAAATATTCTTCCTTCCTCTTTCCTTCCTTCTTTCCTTCCTTCCTTCCTTCCTTCATTCCTTCCTTCCTTCCTTCCTTCCATCTTTCCTTCCTTCCTTCCTTCCTTCCTTCCTTCCTTCCTTCCTTCCTTCCTTCCTTTTTTCTTTCAGGGAAAATGTATGCATATCAAAAGAAAAAAATGCAACTCTGTGTGGTCACCACTTTCTAGTGATTCTACTATAAATAGACTCAAGCTGATATAGATATAAAGTCATGCTCTGGTCTTAGTGTCTTTGCTTACTCCTTTACATCCTTTATACTAACACACATTTAACCTCATTCACCCATAAAAGGTCTAACACTGATACAGAAAAGAATTAGCTTGATATTAGTTTATATTTTCTACATTTCCCTAATTTTCAGTTTTAGTAACTCTGAATTAATACCACTTGCTTCCATTTTATTTTAAATCTCTCTTTCCACCAAAAAAACATGATTTAATTGAGGGAGAAAAGCCAAAGAATAACAATCAGCCTTTCTAAAGTTATAGCTGTACATGGAAAATCACTGAAAATAAAATGGAAAGAATACATTTGTGTACAGAATACATGATAATGATCTCAAGAAATATCTCTGAGTATCTTTCAAAAATTTTATTACAATATTTCTTCATAGAAATTTAGCCTTAGACTTTCATCACTACTTAGCCACTCATCAGGACCTTCTCTTCTCATCATAAGGACTAGAGAGGTATTTTATGTCATTGAACATTTGATACCTTTGGATTACTTGAGGAATCTTTTAATGTTTGACTTCATATTAATTACCCAAATTCCTTTCACTTTATATAACCTTAAACCCAAAGGCTAAGTTTCTATTAAAGAAATGTTTGAAGCTATGCTCATTTATTTTTACTGTCATAATTGCATGGACACAGTCTCTTCTATCAGAATAAAAAATGCTAAGCTCCACTTTCTGCTCAGCTATGGCTTTGGGGAGATGACATTTGTGAGTGCTAAGGGGCAAATTAGGATTCAGAGGATAAATGACCAGTCCAAGGAGATCCAGCTAGTAAAGATAATTTTGCATTAGCTCTCAGATCTCCTTGTTGTCTTTCCCAAGGTCTAACTACAAAAACATGCTGTCATCAGGGAAAACATGACCTTTAAAATGCATCATGGAAAATTACTTTTAGGGTGATTTTTGTGTAGTTAAATCTATTTTATTAAAATTATACAGAAATGGTCAAAGGTCACATCTAAACCAAACATGTATAACAAAATAGAAAGTAAGTAAAATATCCACATCATTGATATCATGTTGATAAAGCACGTGTTCTAGATGGCAGTCAGAAATTTGTAATGTTCATGGAGGTACGGTCTACAGTCACACACATATTTTTATTCTCCTTTTATGTGACTGTAAGCATGTCTTCTCATACTTGTCCGACGCAGCCTCTTTTCTACTATGTTTCAAACACAACATAAGTAGCGCATCAAAGCAGGAACAAGCAAATACAAATTTGAAATTAAATTAGCCAAAATGCCAAAATTTTACATCTATGAATAAAATTTAAAAGTGAGAAAAGCAGTTTGAAATTATCTCGTACACAGAAGTGAAGAAGCCAGGTTTGAGGCATATCGTGAAGAATTCTGCCCCTCTTCCCCAAAAGACAAGGGTTCGCCAAATTTTGGTGGCATTAATTAGGACTCTTACTCAGAATCATCTTAGTACTCATGACATTGAGCACCAAAACGGGACATTAGACAACAGCCACACAGGTGCAGCTTTAGGACCACAGCGGACTTCCTCAGCACATCTAAAAAAGGGAGCTAGAGAAGATGCACCAATCATAGACTATGAATAAGAAAGATTATAGTTCATCTACTAGGGAAAATACATTTGGGGTATTTCTACAAGCTAAGGGAATAATAGAATACCAAAGTTCAGGTAACTTCAAGGCTGGTAGCTACAACATTGATTCAATATCAGATCTCTTTGGGGAATACTGCTTAGAACCTGAATTCAAATAGAACGGTCATATTTCACAAAGTTCTGATCATAGTTATTATGTCTCTTTATATAGCTTGGATTGTTCAGTCCATAACAAGAGTCCAGTGACCCAGGAACATAACTGTATTTCCCCTGCTGAAGCACAGTTTCATATATGTTGCTGCTTGATCCTTTTCCAAGTTCTTGTCAATACCCAAGTCTTCTAAGAGTGAATATTTCCGTCATAAACAATTATAGCTATCACAGTATCACCTGAGGTACTTCATTTAGAGTGAGATGTTTAATGTTCTTATATAAGAACTACTATAACATCTAAATTTTTTCCAAATGTAAAGCCAATTTAGCATTCAATTCAATCCAGACTGGTTACTCTTCCCCACAAAGCATTTAAAATATCATTTTTCACACAGATTCACATATCCATCCCACTGCACAATTGCCCTATGGCAATTGGACTTTATTTAAAGACACAAAGTTGGCAACAGCATTATAAAGATTTGGTTATAAAGTTTTATTTGAACATTTGCCAATGGAAAAACCAAGACTTCTGAAAATAATAATATTGACTCTAACACAAGGAAGAGATCAATCCTACATAAGATGCTATGGAATAAGAACAGCAGGGGACCCACAGAAAAGGACTGATAAAATTTGAATGATATAAAAACAGTCTTCCCTCACTAAGAAATCTGTCCAGTCCATTTTGGGAGAGGAATTGGAAATTACTATCAGAAAACTACCATATATTATATGCATAGAATATATAAAAATGGACAAAATATTAAAATGGCTGCAACTCATATGACATATTATGGATTCAATATTTCTATAGTTATTTTATATGATCTACATGACATCCTTAGAAAAAAATGCTTTTGGGTTTTTAGATATGAATACTCAGATTTATGAATGTCACCTCACTATAGAAGTCAAAATTTTGTTGCAAAAATTGGACAAAAACAAATTAATGACACCCCATAAAAAATTTCCAAAGCATAATTTTTTCTAAGTGTCTCTCAAAAAACTGTTTCAGACAGTCCAGGTTCATATATATTATTACAGATGAATTATTAATAGCACGTTCTTTTACTCTCAATTTTTTTTTTCTGGTTTGGAACATAAATTAAATGGCAACCACACTTAGAGCCAAATGTTTTCATGGTGCTTTTGTTTTATATTGAGGATAGAGAGGGCTAACTGGATTGAAAACTTAAAGCAGGCAAAGAGACACCTAGAGAAATTGTTAAAATACAGATTGTTGACTTACAACCCCAGAAATGATGATATAAATTATTGGGGAGGAGAATATTCTAGAAAGATGGTGGAGTAGGTAGCACTAGAAATATGTATCCCTACATAGAAAAAAATAATGCCCTGACAGAATCTGTCTGATGTTACTATTTTGGAATTCTGGAAACTATTGAAATTAAGTTCCAGGGAAAGACTTGCACTTCAAACTCCCAGGAGATGGCTTAGACTGTCAGTTGTGGTTAATTGTGGTCAATTTTAGCTATTAGCACAATAGCACCTATTCATTCCCCACCTCTCAACTCTGTGGCAGGCAGCGGTGCCTGGAGCAGCTACCACACAGCTTGCAGAAACTAGGGTGGGCAACAAACAACCCTGCCTGCCAGATAACAGAGACCCGTGCTCTGATCACTGATCACTGCTTCTGATCCCAGAGGTGCAGACAAAGAAACAGTGGCCATTGTTATGCTCCTCCTCAATTATTGTCAGCCCCTCTCCCCTGGCTGAGGTGGTTCCCAGGGAATGTAAAGAGGGTGGTGCCTCATTTTTTCTCCCTTTGTTTTTCTCTTTTTACTCTTTTGGACGGCTGACATTGAAGATAAAGACATTCACAAGCAACTGTATATATGGGTGAAATTAGGAAGTCACCATGTAGACACAGTGGGAAGATACAAGTTCAGAAAAAAACCTGAGGAGAGAATAAGTTTACACCTCATGCTAATACTTGGCACAGAGACAGCTGCAACAATAAAAAAAAGTCAAGAACAAAACAGCAAACCCTCAGAAAGAAAGAGAATCCGGTTATCAGAGTTAACATATTATTAGATTCAAATGCTCAGTTTTCAAGTGAAAATCAGAAGGCATACAAAATACTAAGTGTAAAATACTGTCAACCAACAATACTAGATTCAGCAAAACTGTTATCTAAAATGAGGGAGAAATTAAGGCATTCCAGGTAAACAAAAGCTGGGGGAGTTTATTACCTCTAGACCTTCCCTGCAAGAAATGCTCAGGGGAGTTATTTGGGATGAAATTAAAGGACCCTAGACAATAACTAAAAGCTATACAAAAATTAAATCTGAATTAAAAATAGGCAATTTTAAAAGCTAGTATTATTGTAACACGCTGTATAACTTCATTTTGTTTTCTACTTCATTTAAGACACTAAAACATTAAGATAATTATTATGCTAAAAGTTGGTATTGTAATTTTGGTTTGCAATTCCACATTTTGTTTTCTACATAATTTGAGAGATGAATGCATCAAAGAATTATTAGTTTATGTTTTCGAACATGAAATGTATAAGATATAATTTTATAGCATGAACAGCTGAAAGAGGTGGGGACAGAGCTGTAAAAAATATTTGAGTGTATTATTAAAATTAAGTTGGCACAAATTCAAATTAGAATGTTATAACTTTAGCATGTTGAATATAATCACCATGGTAACAACAAAGAATATAGAAGAAAGAAAATAGCAGAAAAAAAGACTTTTAATATTTAACTGAAAAATCAACTAGATGAACTAAACACAAAACACAGAAATGTAGAAAATGAGGTATGAGAAAGCTATAAGGCATATAAAAAACAAATAGCAAAATTGCTTGCTTATCAGCAATGATTTTAAGTGTAAATGGATTAAGCTCTCCAATCAGAAGACAGAGGTTAGTAAAATGGATTTTAAAAAATGATGTAGGCCCAGTCTACAATAGACTCACTTTAGACCCAAAGACACAGATACACTGAAAGTTAAAGGATGAAAAAATATATTTTGTCCAAATAGTAAGTGAAGAAGAGCAAGAGTGGCTATACTAATATCAGACAAAGTAGATTTTAAAACATACAAGAAGGACATTATATATTATTAAAAGGTTTAATGTAGCAAGAAGATATAAAAATTATAAATATTTATGCATCTAATAACAGACCATAAAATATATGAAGCAAAAAGTGACAGAATTGAAAACAGAAACATACAGTTCTATAATAATTGTTGTAGTTATCATACCCCACTCTCAATAAGGAATAGAACAATGAGACAGAATATAAGTAAGGCAACAGAGAACTTGAATGGCACAATACACCGACTAGGTCTAATGGACAGATACGGAACACTCTACCCAGTTTCTATGGCATACACATTATTTTAAGTACACATGGAACATTTTCCTGGATAGAACATATATTAGGTCACAAATTAAGTCTCAAAAAACTTACGGTAAAAAATATCATACAAAACATTTTTCTGATCAAAATGGGATAAAGTAAGAAATCAGTAACAGAAGAAAAACGAGAACTTTTACAAATTTGTGGAAATTAAACAACATACTCTTACCAATGGATCAAATAATAAATTACATGAGAAATTAGAAAATACTTGGAGATAAACGAAAATGAACAAACAATATGTCAAAACATATGGGACATAATGAAAGCACTGTTAGAAAATTTAGATGCATACATTACAAAAAACAAGAAAGATCTTAAATCATCAACCTAACTTTACAACTTAAGGAACTAAAAAAATAAGAATATACTGAACCCGAAACTAGCAAAAAAAATGAAATAATAAATATTACAGCTGAGATAAAATAGAGAATGTAAAATAATAGGGAAAATAAATGAAACCAAAAGTTGGTTCTTCAAAATAGTAACAAATTTAGAAAACCTTTAGCTAGAAAGAAAGAAGAAAGACTCAAGTTACCAAAATAAAAAAAAAAAAAAGGAACATAGGAACATTACTTCCAAGTCTACATAAATACAAAGATCAGCAGAGAGTATTACGAAAGTAATGATATGCCAACAAATTGAATAACCTGGATGAAGTGGACAAATTTCTAGAAACGCAAAGCCTACTAAATCTAAACCACAAACAAATAGAAAATTGTAATAGACATTTTAAGAGTCAGGAGATAGATTACTAATCAAAAATATCCTGACAAACAAAAGTCCTTGGCCTGATGGCTTTTTTGCTGAATTCTACCAAACATTTAAAGAAGGGCTCACCCCAATTTTCAATAATTTCCAAAATATCAAAGAAGAGGGAACACTTCCTAACACATTCTATGAGGCCAGAACTACCTTGATACCCAAGTCAGACAAAGACATCACAAAAAATAGAAAACTAAAGATCAATATTCCGTATGAACATTAATGGGAACAATCTTCAAAAAAGTACTAGCAAACTGAATTTTGCAACATATTAAAGGAATTATACACCATTTCTAAGTAGGATTTATGCCTGGAATACAAAGATGGTTCAACATACGAAAATCAAAGTAGGATTTATGCCTGGAATACAAAGATGGTTCAACACACAAAAATTAAACAGTGGAATATACCACATTAACAATGGAATACACCACACTAATGAAGAAAAAAGACATGTAATCATCTTTTATTGATGCAGTAAAAGCACTTGAGAAAATTCAATAACCTTTCATAATTAAAACAATACTCAGTATACTAGGATAGAAGGAAACTACCTCATCACAATTTTTTAAAAAGTTTTTCCTGTCAGATCAGGAACAAAGCAAGGGTGTCTGCTTTCCTCACTTCTATTTAACGTAGTACTGGAAATCCTAGCTAGAGCAATTAGGCAAGAAAAAGAGAGAACATATGTTGGAATAAAGGAAGAAGTAAACTTATCTCTGTCCATAGATGATATAATCATATATGTAGACAACTCTTATGATTCCACCAAAAAATCCCATATGAAACTAATAAATGAATTCAGAACTAATAAGTGAATAATTACATATGGTTATATCAGCTGGCGTAAAACAAACATGTTGGCCAATAGAATAAAATACTTACATGGCCAAATTATTTTTGACAAGGGTGGCAAGATCATTTAATGGGAAAAAGACACTATTTTTAACAACAGATGCTGAGAAAACTGAATCTCCACATGCAACGGAATGAAGTTGAACCTTATATGAACCTCCATATAAAAATTAACTGAATATGAATCAAAGACCCAAATGTAAGGCCTAAAAATATAAAATGCTTAGAATATAACATATATAATGTGATTTATATATACAATGGAATATCATTCAGCCTTAAAAGGGAAGCCAAGTCTGACATAGACTACAACATGGACAAACCTTTAGGATGCTAAGTGAAATAAGCCCATCACAAAAAGGTAAATTCTGTATGATTACACTTCTATGAGGTACTTACAGTGATCAAAATCATACAGACAATAAGTAGAACTGTTTGCCAGCAGCCGAGCTGGGGGAAGGGGGGGAATGAGGAATTGTTTAATGGGTAGAATTTCAGTTTTGAAAGGTGGAAAGAACCCTGAAGATGGAGGATGGTGATGTCTACACAATGTAATATATGTATTTAATATCACTAAACTGTTCATTTAAAAATGGTTAAGATAGTAAATGTCATGTGTATTTTGCCACAATAAAAAAGAAAAAAAAATGAATTAGGGCTCAGTTCTTAAAATCTGTTTTTTGTTTGTTTGTTTGTTTGTTTGTTTGTCAATCTCTCTCTCTCTCTCTCTGACTTGTCTCTGAGCACAGGAATTATTATTCTGCTTATGGTTGACACAGTCAATCGTATCTAAACCTTCAAAGAGAAATACAAAGTTACACAGATTGTAGTTTCACATTGAATGTATCGTTATTGCATGTAATCATGACCATAGACCTTTGAAGCTAGAGCAAATCGGAGCAGAAATTGCTAAGTGTTCTGGGTTTATTACGAAGCTGCCATACAAACGCTGGGAAGGAGGAGCTCCGGGGAGGGAAGGAGAGGAAGGAGTTGAAGGAAAGAATCAAGTGCAATGAATAGCTGCAATTACAAATTAGGTAATTGGGCATGGATGCATTTGCTTTACTTTGCACACTCTGCTATGCATTCTGAATTCACTACTGTCTATTTGTGTGAGTGCATCCTTATTTCTTGTTCCTGAGTTTCTTTAAAAAATAATGATCTTTGGCTGGAAATAAAATACTCTATGTGACACATTATATAGAGGAAACCGTATCATACATAACTGTATAATGATAACCCTCTGTGTTTTGGTTATCAAGACATTTTAGGAAGTCTAAAAAATGGAAAAACATAATGTCATGTCCTGACAAAGGAATTGATGACTCTGGAAATGATGTTATAGTTGTAAACTAGAACCACCAAATATGCCTTACAATTCCATAAAAAATGGAAAAAATACATATACTAAAATAAAACAGCTAAAGAGAAAAGTACCTGAAAAGTTAGAATTACAAAAAAAAAATCTATATTTATAACTATAGCACAAATACATCTTGAGCTTTCGGTAGTAGAATAATTCTCACCTAAACTCTCATGCACTGGTAAATAAAAAGTGTTTCCTGGCAGGTAATGATTAAAGAGTACTAGCAAGGATGACCACTACCAACAACATATTTCTTCCACTAAGATTGAAATAACTAAACTTTAAGGACATTTTAGAGAACTGCAGTCAGTAGGACAGATTTACTATTTTCCCTGTGGAGTGGCACTACAAAACAAGTTTGGGATGAACTAATTGCTCTGATGACACTATGATCAGAACATAATTGGAATTGCCAATGAAACCACCAGCAGAATTGTGGCAGTTCAATAGTTTTCCCCTACTCATATTCTGACATATAACTTGCTTGGAAAAACTTTGAAATCATAGTTTAACTGTGTCATAGTTTTTAAAACACTTTCAGGTCAACCTCTCTAATGTTGCCGATGTGTGTGTGTACGTGTGTGTGTCCGCTCTGGAAGGTTGAGGGGGCTCTTTTTTCTTCCAAATAATCAATATAAACGCTGATAGCAAAAAAAAAGAGACAAAAGTGACTAGTCCATTAAAATCTGAGCTACCTGATTTTTATACTGATTAAAGTAAGTGGAATTTAGGACACTGAATTTGGAGATGAGAGCATTTATCTGTCTTTCCTTTTTTAAATTTTACTCTAGATTCTGAGAAAATGTGTAAAGAAAATTATGAGAGACATTGATAATGGCTAATTGAAATATATGACTCCAATATCATTCTATGATAGAACAGTAGGTTGTATTACTGTTCAAACAATAAGCCACTGATCAGGTTCAGCATTTCACTTGCTCTGGCCAAGGAAATGACAGCAGAAGTAACATGTCTCTTCCAAGCAGATCTTCTGAGACTGCATAGTGTTCACCATGTTCCTTCTCTCCTTCATTATCAGGTATCTTGTAAAAAGATATCCAGCCAGGCTGAGTTTGGGAGTGCAGGTGATGTGGGTGAAGCAGCAGTCAAATGGCAATGGCCATGTGGCACAGGTGAGACAGCAACCTTTATCAGATGCTACTGAGGTTTTGAGATCACTTGATACTTCAGTTAAATTAGGTATCTTGATTAGTAAAGACAACAATCAGATTATAACATGATAAACATGTTAAAGCTATCTGCTCATTAATGTATATTTGACGTGATATACCCAAAGAAGCAGAGTTCGTTATATTCTATTTATTGTAGAAATTCAAAAGTCTCATTTTAAAATCAGGTATGCTGCTGTTTATTATTTCTGTAGATTATATAATGAGATAATGATAAACACTTAAAATATAATTTCCCCAAATTTAGAAGAGGAAAAATGTAAATGAGGATGGTTTCAGTTTTATGGTTATCATAAAATGTAATAAACCAAAGATAACCAGAGATAAGGCAGGACATTGATAAATGTCTTCTATAGGGAAAGTTTTTCTAACAGATGTTTCCCAAGCATTAAAATTACATGGTTATAGCCAATGATTCAATGCTAGCCATATTTATAATAAAAAATACTAAGTGGAGAAAAAGTTTCTCATATTATAATTATGGGTTTTAATTGCCCTTAGAGTTAACATGTACAATTCACTAAATAAATATTAAAGAAAGCATTGTTAATGATCTGTACCTAAATATATGGTCCCTGACAAAAAATAATTGCTTGTATTCCCAGAAATCCTTGTAAGCACCAAAATGTCTCTCTATGCTTGCTTAATACTTTAAAAAATATTTTTGTTTTGTTTTCAATTAAGTGTATTATAATCGAAATTCCCAAACGTTAGTATTTGCTTTTATATAATTCTATCAGTATGTGGAGCTTTTCTTTTAGCTAGATACAGATATAAATATAGATGTAGATATAGATACATATATAGAAAAGCTATTGTGTAAGGCTTGTTTCAGTGTGCATGTGGTCTACTTTGGATGTTGTCCAAGAAGACATACTTTTTAGAACTACTCACAAAATCTCGTGGCATGCATCCCACAGTGGTAGAGTGGTAAAATTATAAGCATTTATGTAAGAATTTTTTGCTTTATGGAATTCAAATTCTAAAGATTGGTTTGCATTTTCATGGAAAACTCCATCTTGGTCAAATCTAGTCACAGCCAAAATTCACCTGATTTCCCACACTATTAAGTCAGGTCAACCTCCCCAAGGAAAATCAGTTGAAGGCTCTACACTGGCGTCTCACACTCCACATCTACTTTGTCTCAGTGACTTAAATAATTGAACAGGCTTGGAGCTTAACGGATCTTCTGTTCTTAGCCACACCTTTTCCTCTCATGAGCCTCTGGCCATAACAACATGCTTCAGCTGAATGGGCTGTGACCTTGTAATTTGTCTTCTTAATCTTCTTATTAACCATTCATTGATTAACAAATGAGATCAATAACATATTTTTGTGATTCAGTCATTGAAATACCTGAACTTCTCTAATTGCTTTAGCCTATGTTACCATGTATAGATGTGTGCGTGTGTGTGTGTGAAAGAGGTGCCAAAGAAACCATTTATTCAGCATAAACACAGTAGTAACATTGAAGTTTGTGAAAATTCATGATCTTGAAATTGCACTCTGCTCATGGATTAAACTTAATACCTGACATAGTGCTGGTAATAGTGTTGAAAATATCATAGTATTCCTTCAGTTTTGGAGCTAACTACCCATAAATCAGTTCAAAAACAATATAAGAAAAATATCAGTATAATGAATAATCACAATCTTAACTACAGCTAAACTTCCTATTTTCTATTCAGCATTCTATTTCTAATAAACTTTAATAAAAGATTAATAGAAATGGAATACTGAATCCTTTTATTAAAAGGTAAGGGAAATAAAAGACTGAAGACAATAAACTGTAAGACAAAGAAAGTTGACTTTTAAAACTTGTCAAGTGAAGGGAACTGTCACGCAGATACTAAGCACAACTGTGAGCTTCAGTTGCAGGTTAGAAGTTAGGGTGTTGAGAAGGAGGAAGAGCTGATGGTGAACTGTGTGGTGTCAGGGAAGGTAAGAGAAGGGAGCAGGGTGTCATTGAGGTGAAAAAGGTGAACATGATGTGAAAGGTATGTCTTTTGTAAATTCACTTCTCTGTAAGAAACAGAGCTGCAATTCATAACGCATTAGTTGCATAAAGCATGGAAGCCTGTTATGGGAAAAGAAGGGAACATATTTGGGAAAAGAAGGGAACATATTTGCAAATTGTTCAAGGACAATGACTCCTTCTATCAGAATGGAGTCACAGTTTTCAGGTTGTCCCCCAGTGCTATTTTAATTATTCTAATTCTCAACCATGCCTTCAGTTTTGTGTCAGAAATGTAAATGATTACCAACCTTCTCAGACTTAAGAATTGTTTCTTCCCATGTAATAAGTGGTAAATATATGCATGCATATTAAAATAATTAACATTAAAAAAGATGTGTAGGAAATATGAAGTTTAACATTAAGGACAGAAAAGTTTACTAAAATGTGTGCTAGATTAGAAAACAATAACTATTCCCTACAGTTGCAGAGATTCAAGATTTATTAGGCCCACATTTCAAGCAGCTGACTTTGATTTTCATGTTTGACATATAAGATATGATTTCTGCTTTCAGGCATGTGTATCTTTGAAATTTTCTCACTTCTCAATTCTGTCAATTCCTTAGTGATCAAGTTTTCAATAAAAACTACCTTCAGTATCTTGGTGCAATTATTGATATGTGTTTTATTTCTATTTCAATTAAATAGATCCACTGAAAAGATAAATGTAAGCCCAATACAGAATTGCCCTTGTTTTTACAGTTATCGGGTAGCTAAAATGTGAACTTCTGTATCTCTTTTTCCAAAACCCTCCTCCTTTTCACTTTGTCATATGGTCCACCAATAAAAATACATTGAATGCTAAGACATGGAATAGTATCAGAAGCAAAACAGCTTAAAGGTTTAAATTGATTATTCTCCTATTTTTAAGATCCTTAATATCCAGTGAGAATCTCAGAGGTTAAGGATTACTGATCCTTTAGTAATAATTGATTAATCACACACACACATATTATGGTGGCTGCTCGATATTTGGAAAAGGGCAAGATGAGGATCACAGGTGCAAGAGAGGTGGGGAGGCCTTCTGAGTACTAATAATCACCTCAGGATGCTGTGCAGCATTCTTAAGCCTCAGCCATCTCCGATCATGTGAAAAACAGACTAATTTGCTGCTAAGTCCTTATAATCTTTAAGAAAGACCACTGGATATGTTCAGACATGTGAGGTGTCCAGAACTGCACCTAAAAGTCCTGAACACTTTCCAAAATGAGGAGGCACTGAAGAAGCTAGAATGTGATAGTGAAACTCTGACCTTAAGAAGTTCCCTGATAAGCTAATATTTTTCCTGTTCTCAATACCTTCTGAATTAGCATTTGATTCCTTTTTTTTCTAAATTTCTCTATCAAAATTTTAAAGGGAAATCCTATTTAATTTAAACCTTTCAGAAATCCCTTAGACCTGATCTGTCCCTACCAGATGCTTGGAAAAACATATGCCCAAAACATCGTCCTAGTGTGGACTAGATGCAATGGAGGTTTATTTTTCTTGGGAAAAACATGTTAGCGCCCAGTCCTATCACCAAGCATCTTACATAACTATCATGTAACCGTGAGCAAGTTACTCAACATGTAGTTGTTGTGTCTTGTTCTGCAAAGCTGTCTCAAAAGTTTCCGACTACTTAGTTAGTGAATGCAAAGCCCTTTGAAAAGCTGTAAACATAAGGAATTTTTAACAAAGAGAAGTGAGATGTCCTAATTATGGACTGTGGGTACATACGAATACTTACAAAATATTTTTTACGGGGCAAGAAGGTTATTTAGGGGGTGCGAAATGCACGGTGATACCTCTAGAAATAAGGATGGATACTAGTTGGAGAAATATGTGTTTTTAATCAGAAAATACAATTTCAAAAAAATGACCTATGAATTGGAAGTTAGAACTTTTCGTAGCAGTGATGGGATGTGCTCTCCATTGTTTTGAAATAAAAGTTTAACAAAAGCAGAGACTACTTTTGAATGATCATCCCTCTCTGTCTGTCACCAGCACATTTAGGTGCTTTTACAAGGGCAAAATCTTGACATAAACCGTGCTAAGCAAGGGGAAGATATCCATCCTTCTTTCTTAGAGCCGCAGGCTCTTTCAAGAGCAGTGTGAAAAAACAATTGAATGTTAGGAAAGGTCAAAAGCCAGGATGAAGAGACATTCTGATTAAAAGCTTTCCCTAAAGGCAGCAAGACCTTTCCCTGTTCTCTAATTCAAACATAAAGACATTTAGCTCATGCTAGTTTTCTGGTTAATTTTTCAAGAATATGGGTTGTTAGGGATCAGAACACTGTATAAGCTTCAAAAGATTTGAAAAGCTCTGGCTGGACCCAAACTCTTTAAATTGGGTCTCACTGCTAACGTAGCTCTTGTTCGTTCTTTTAATTTGTGCTTTTCTTCTTTCTTCACATTTCTTTCTGATATCCTTCACAGTTTTAAAAGGCTCATTTTTTAAGCTATATGATTTAAGACAAAGAATTTCTACAAAGTCTTGTAGGAGAACTGAGTTTTTTTACCTTCCAAAAGAAGCTAGTCATACAATATTTTTTAGAAATCAGTGGTATTGATATATGAACCTCAAAAATTTTAAAGGCTTAATTTTTATCCCAGTTACTTTGGTAAAGAAAACCTCAGAAGATCAAGTTTTCTTTTTATATTTCTATTACTTCCTGGTTTCAGTCAGATCTGAAATACCACAAAACAGCTTGATTTGGATTTTTTTTTTAATATGACACAAAAGTTTCCAAGTTTGAACACTGATGGAAACCCAGATTTCTCATTTATATAATATGGAAAGCAAAAGTGAAAAAAAGTGAAAGACTAACATTTACAAGGATTGATTTACTGTCTACATGTATAGATCCATAAGGTTGCTGTCACGCCCTGTCCCTAATAATATTTGCAGGACCCAGGGCTACAGTGGAGATCTGCATGCTACATGTGCAAATAGTATAAGGGAAAGCCAAGGAAACGATAACTTGTCAGTTCTTCAAAATGTTAAACATACAGTTTCTGTCTGATCCAGCAATTCCACTCTTAATTATATACCCCAAAAAATTGAAAACAGGGACTCAAGCAGACACTTGTACAACAATGTTCATAGCAGCATATTCACTGTAGTTAAAACATGGAAGCAAGTCAAGTGCCCAGCAACTAATGAATGGATAAGCAATATGCGGTACACACATGCAATGAAATATTATTTATCTATAAAATTATGTGAATGAAGTACTGATACACGCAACAACATGGATGAAACTTGATAACACTGTGCTACAGGAAAGAAGCTAGACATAAAGGGAAAACACTGCATGTGTCCACTATATTCAGGATCTAGAATAGGCAAATGCAGGAAAGCAGAAGGAAGAATAATGGTTACCAAGGCCTGAGGGTACAGGGGATTGGGAAGTTAGCGTTTAATAGGAACAAATGTTTCGTTTAAAATTATGAAAATGTTCTGTATATAGTACCGATGGTTGTACAACATCATGAATGAACTTAAAGCCACTGAATTTCACACTGAAAAATGATGAAAATGGTAAATTTTATGTAGGTTTTGTATATATTTATATTTTCTGTATATTTTACCACCTAAAATTACTTTATATAAAAAAGGAAACAATTTGTTAAACAAGTAAGGTATATCCTATTCTCTTCTCTTAACTCCTTATACCTTTTGGTATGATTTGAATTTAGGCTTGGCGGATTTCACTGTCTTCCATCTGGAATATTGTGAAAGCCTCCTGCTCTATATTCCTTACCTACACACACACACAAACACACACACACACACACACACACCCCTGTAGTGAATTCTCTGCTATTCCTGCCTAGCCTGCCACACCTTGGAGGGTCCCAGTGGTCATGTACATTAGCCCCACGATCAAACAACATCCTCATCCCCTTGCTGGAGAGAGGCCCATACTGGGGATGGTGTGGTGTGACCACAAGAACATGAATCCAAGCAAGAGATCTGCTCTTGCAAATGAGCTCCACACTCTGCAAGGAAGAGCCACAGAAAGCATTGTGCAGAAGGAGACACAGGCTAATTGTGTGTACGTTCCCTTGGCTTATGGCGTTCTTGGACTTCTTGCCCCATGCCGAGGGGTGCATTGTCCACAAGAGGGTAGGAGTGGGGATCCTCTACAGTACGGGGTCCAGCATAGCCTCCTCTCTCCTTGAGGTCTCAGGGCAGAACTGGGTCCTGTGATTGATTCACAGACTTTTCATGCAACCTCACCAGTCGCACTGAGTAGAGAGAACTTCACCAGTTCAAAGAAAAAAATAAATGTCTCATCTAGACTTCCTACAAAAAAAAAAGGTCTCTGAGCTCACTCACTTCTTTCAAGTTTTTCTATTTTAAGAAACGGCTGTGGTGTTAATCCATATAGAATTAACACCAGCAGCCCTCTGCGGCACATAACCTTTTGACATCCAGATTGGTTTGTTTAAACACTCTTTGTTGTGGCTGCTCAGTCATTTCTCTCAAATGCTGACAAACTTGTGCACAGACAGACACTCCAGAAAATCTATTTTGGGGTCCCTAAAGTGGATTATTGACTTTGTTGGACAGCTGCCATATATTTTTACTTTATACACCCCTTTTCTCTCCTTAACTTTATCTTCCAATAAGTATCAGAGGCCCTAGTAGTCTGACTATTTTAAAGAAAAAAGTGATGGTGATTTTGAATAAATAAAGAATCACAGCTTTTTCTTCTCATTAAAACAAGAAGTAAAACTTGACTGATCATGTATTGATGTCTACGCCATGATGAACATCCACTTGTACCTTTCCCATCTCTTTCCAGTTTTAAAAGTACATACCTATCACAATACTGCCATTTCTTTGGAAGATCTCGACCTGCAAATAGAACTTGGCTGTATTGCTTTGGTTTTCTCTTTGAATTTTGCAAGTATATCTAGTTCTTCCTGTTGTAAATATATTTAGTTGCTTCCATATTAAGAAGATCAAGAATACTATCCTTATGACCAGAAATTCAAACTACTCATTTTTTCTTTGGGTCTCCTGATGAAACCAAATTGTCTTAACTTTTTAAAATTTGCCAATGAGACGTTTACCTTTCAGAATTAAGCTAGAAATGTGATGTCTGTGGTTTCTCATTGGCTCATTTATATATCCCTACAGAAATCATCACATTAAACACTACATAAGTAGTCACTGCAGGCAAAAGCCATTATTGATGCTAAAATTAGTGGGCAAGTGTATGATGAAAAACAGAGTATTTCCATAGCCTAAAAATATCTTCCCAGAAGACACTTACAAGTTATAAATTTAAAAAAAAATCACTTAAAAGACATCTGACAGACAACATAGAAATCAAAACAAACAAACAAACAAAACATAAAAAAAAAATGATCCACTGAGCATGGTGGCTCATGCCTATAATCCCAGCACTTTGGAAGGCCGAGGTGGGTGGATCACGAGGTTGAGAGATCCAGACCATTCTGGCCAACGTGGTGAAATCTCGTCCTACTAAAAATGCAAAAATTAGCTGGGGGTGGTGGCGCATGCTTGTAATCCCAGCTACTTGGAAGGCTGAGGCAGGAGAATCGCTTGAACCCGGGAGGTAGAGGTTAAAGTGAGCCGAGATCATGCCACTGAACTCTGGCCTGGGGACAGAGCGAGACTCCGTCTTAAAAAAAAAAAGGAAAAGAAAACAATGATCCGTGTTTACATCTCATACATCACATGCTATCATATAGTGGAAAAGCACAGTATCATCACATCTGCCGCAGTTTTGAAAAACTGCATAACCTCAATTTAGTCATGTGAAAACATCAGACTAACCCAAACTGAGGGGCATTCTATACACAATAACAGACCAAGCGTTCTCCATGAGTTTCAAGTTCGCAAAAGACAAGAAAAGAGTGAGGGACTGGCACAGATTGCAGACAACAGTGGTGACATGACACATAAATGCATTGTGAATCGTGGAACCAGAAGAAAGACATTAGTGGTAAAACTGAAAATATTTTAATAAGGCCTGTAAATTAGTTAATATTATTAACTAAAACTAGCAGTAGTACTATCATTACTATCCTACATTGCTGTATTTAATATTATATACTATATTTTGTTATTACATCATTGTATTGTGGATAAGTAAATAATGATACTATTAGTTAATAATAATTAGTTATAGCGTAACTAATACCAATTGGCTCATAGTGAATGTTGGTTTTCTGATTTCAATAAATATACCATGATTATAAAAGACGTTATCCTTAAGTGAATCTGGATGAAAAGTATACAAAAACTTTCTACTATCTTTACAGTTTTTCCAAAAGTCTAAATTTATTTGAAAATAAGAAATTAAAATAAAACAGGGCATATTCAGCAAACTTTTTTTTTTGTGCTTTGATCTTATTCCATCTGCCTGGAATGAAGGATCAGTGCTGCAAGGGGAGCAGGCAGAAGGTACCAAGGACGAGGGTGATTACCCAGAAACAGAGGGGCCATGGCTCACAGAACTGCGCTGCTGCAGAAGCTCATGCTGCCTGCCTGCCAGTCTCCAGCCTCTTGTCATATGGGAAAACAAACAAAAACACGAAAAACAAAGTCTGTATATTTAGGCAATCCACCAAAAATAATAAGATAAATAATTCTGATATTTAAACTCTATCATTCTTTGGAAATTAACATTTTTCATTAACAAATTATTATTATTATTTATGAGATGGAGTCTTGCTTTGTTGCCCAGACTGGAGTGTAGTGGTGCAATGTCAGCTCACTGCAACCTCCGCTTCCTGGGTTTCAAGCGATTCTCCTGTCTCAGCCTCCCGAGTTGCTGGGATTACAGGCATGCACCACCATGCTTGGCTAATTTTTATATTTTTAGTAGAAACGGGGTTTTACCATGTTGGCCAGGCTGGTCTCGAACTCCTGACGTCAGGAGATCCACCAGCCTCGGCCTCCCAAAGTGCTGGGATTAGGATTACAGGCGTGAACCACTGCACCTGATTCATTATATAATAATTAAATAATTATATATTTATATATAATTAAATAATAATTTAATTAATAATTAAACAATAATTAATTATATATAAATAATTAAATTATTATTCTCAATGATTACAACAAAATCTTTGAATGCTATATACTTTAACAGTCAAAGATTTGCATGCTTCTTTTTTGAGAGGAGGGTGCACAGTACCAGTGTCTGCCTAACTTGGAAGTCACTAAACAAGATTTCCTCAACATGCATTGGTGATGTCTATGACAAAACATCACTGACATTACATTCAATCAACTTTACACTGATGCAATAGCTTACATTTTACAAAATATGTCAGATGCATCATCTTACTGAACAGCCCCAATAATTCTTTGAGGTAGATATTGTTATTTTCATTTGTGGAGAAGACTGATGTTCAGCGAGGTTTAACTACTGAAGCTCATATGGCCACCATGGTGGTATGAAAATACACCCTTTTTTTTATATCATTCCTCACTTCATACAAGGGAGGCTAGTTTTCTTGCTCTGAAGTATGACCACCCTTAGTGACTCACTTCCAATAAACTGAATGTGTATAAATGGTGACTTGTGACGTCTAAGACCAGGTCAAAAAGGCATTATGGTTTCCTTCTCACCCTCTCTTTCTTGTATCTCCCATTCTGGGGAAAGTCAGCTGCTAAAAAGTGAGGCCAGTCAAGCTGCCAGTGAGGAGTGGATATCTTCTGCCAATACCACATAAATAAGATACCTCGGATGCCGATGCTGCAGCCACTGTCATACCTACAGGTGGCTGCTGCCCTGACTGGCATCATCACTGTAACCTCATGAAAGATCCCAAGCCAGAACCGTCCAGTTTAGCCATTCCCAAATGCTTGACCCATCAAATCTGTAAGAGATAACAAATACTTACTGTTTTAAGCCACTAAGTCTTGGGATAATTTGTTACACAGCAATAGTTAACTAACACAGCTACTGGTAACAAAGGCTGGATTGGAACCCGGATTCTTTGATCCAAGATTCAGAGTAATTTTTACTATACTACAGATGCTTTCTTCTTGAAAAACTATAAACCAGTTCATTATATTGCTGCAAACATGAATAATCCACATGTAATTGTAGCTTTGTAATCAGCACTCTCAGTAATGGGAGGCATTTGCCATTTTGCAGATATTTCCTGTCACTGCTTCAGGGCTCACATCCCCAGCATGACATAACATTTAGTGGTTAATAGGAAGAACAGGCAGAGAAATTCTCACGTGCAACGAAATCCATGCAGTATTCGTGGAATAAATCATGCAAGTGTTTTAGAACATACTTTATTTATATAGCATATAAATAAAAAGATTTTATCCCTGCTAGGGTTTATACCTGCGATAGTCCAATCACTCTAGAACAGGTAATTAATTAGAGTAGCTATAGTTAGCCACTGTATTGCTATATAATTGTTAAATTTTATATTAATCCTGTTTGTCTATATGTTTTCTTTGTTTGTCCAAAAAAAGATGATTATGAACAGAGCAGTTACCAGGACAGAAGAATATATTTTGCACACATGAATATTATCAAAGGTATAGGATTTTTTCTAAACATATAAAATAATTAATATTTAATAATTATAGCTATGTTTAATAATTATAGCTATCAATTAGTAAAGCTATATTTAATAATTATAGAAATCAATTATTAAACTTTATTATTTTGACATATCCACACAGGTGCGCATGTGCACACACACTTATTCATGTCCCCCCTGCAGACGTCTTGATGCCTCTTCTCTCTCAAGTCCAAAAATGGAAGCAAAGGCAGCAAATGTCTGGAACAGCTTTAACAAAACTTCAATAAGAGAACAACGCATGGCTTGCAGGTTTTAAAGCTCTACCCCATGTGTTCTCATCTTGGAATAAGTCATTTTTACAGTCCCATACCATGTCTGACAAAGGCCAGATTCTATGTGGAAATCATGTGCTTCCTAAAGCTTTGCCTGAAAATGGGCCATTCTTTTCAACAGAATTTGCCATTTCTGGTCAAATGGAAGAGAAATACCACAGGCAGGGCTAGTAGTAACCTGCCACTGTCTCACTCTTGTAATGCTGGTTTTTTTCCTCCTTATTTGAGCTCAACTAAGGTGCTAATCACTTTGGTATGTGTATGTGCGTGCCTGAGTCTTAGTCAATGTGGCCAACAACTGACTCTTTTTCTCAAATTTTTCAATTCTCTACTGTGCTGTGTGCTGTGTTTCTACTCTAGATGCAGGAATACATCAGAGGTTGCTAGGAAGTTTTTCCTGGTGTTCAAAGAACTGCAACTGGGTTTCATTAAAAAAAAGAGAAAGCAGGTGTAAAATTACTTAAATAAAAAGTAGCCTCCAAATTGTTGACATCTATTTTTTGTGGGGTACATACAAAGGTACCTTTAAAACTGTAAGAATTATAGCTTACATTTGCTAATTGTGTTTATCTGTGGATTCTACATTACATAAACAATTCAAACCTCAAGCATAAACATTTAAAAAACACATATGAATAGCAAAACAAAAGAATAGAAGATTTTTTAAAATCAGAATGTGTGGACTTTCAGTTTTATCTCCTATGTGTGAAAGCTTGGACTTCATTATTCCTGTTCTTACAAGGAAAAGCAGGACAAAGTGAAAATCAATGAATTTTATTGGATGCATCAGAGAATAGAAGTTATAGGATAAAGCACCACCTCATCCAGCAGATGCAGCTGAGATCCGCTTAGGTGGAATAATAAGTGAATACAGCAAGGTTACAGGATATCAGGGCAATATAAAAAGTCCATGGCTTTCTCATACATGAAAGACAAAGATTTGGAATTAAAATGTAAAAAAAACCTTATAATTTACAATAGCATCCAATAAATGATATACTCAAATATAAATCTAACAAAATATGCACAGGATTTGTATGTTGAAAACTATAAAACATTGATGAAAAAATCAAAGATCTCAATAAATGGAGCAATATTTCATGTTTATGCATTAGAAGACATAACATTGTTGAGATGTCAATTTCCTTCAACCTAATCTGTAGATTCAATGTAACCACAAAAAGAAAATCGTGGCAAGCTATTTTGTAGATGGAAACAAACTGATTCTAAATTTCATACAAATGGCACAAGACCTGGAAAAACAAATACAGTAGTAAAAAAGAATAAGAAGAAAGTCAAAAGACTTGTCCTATTAGCCTTCATGATTTACTGCAAAGCTACAGTAATCAAGATAGCATGATATTAGCCAATCAATAAACACTTAGATCAATGGAACAGAACAGAAAAGACAGATATCATCGGTATTAGTTTATTTTGTGCTCCTGATAGAAACTGGGCAATCTACAAAGAAAAAGATGTTCAATGGACTCACAGTTCCACGTGGCTGGGGAGGCCCACAATCCTGGTGGAAGGAAAAAGGCATGTCCCACATGGCGGCAGCAAAAGAGAAAATGGGAACCGAGTGAAAGAGGTGCCCCTTATAAAACCATCAGATCTCATGAGACTTATTCACTACCACAGGACAGTATAGGGAAAACCTCACCCATGATTCAATTATCTTTCACAGGGTCCCTCCCACAACACGTGGGAATCATGGGAACTACAATTCAAGATGAGATTTGGGTTGGGACACAGCCACATCATATGATTATTGTACAGAAATACCATCATTTAATCTTTGACAAAAGGGCCAAAAAGGTTGAAAGAAAAAGAGAATAGTTTTTTCAACAAATGATTCTGGATTAATTGAACATCCACATACAAAAATAAATAAATAAATAAACTTAGAAAAAGACCTTATACCTTACACAAAATTAAATCAAAATGGATCACAAATGTATGTAAAATACAAATGATGAAATTTCTAGACAAAAACATAATAGAAAATCTGTCTGACCCAGGATTTGGTGATGAGTTTTTAAACATAACACCAATAGCACAATCAATTAAACAAATAGATGTGTTGGACTTTATCAAAATTAAAAACTTATGTTTTATAAAATAAATTGTTCAAAGAATAAAAAGACAATCCACAGACTAAAAGGAGATATTTGCAAAACACATATCTAATAAATTACTTATATATAAAATATACAAAGCCATTTTAAAACTCACCAAAAAGAAAACAACATAATGAAAATAATTGTTGACAATGAAATGGAGTAATGGGAACTTTCATCCACTGCTGATCAGAACTCAAAATGGCACAACTGCTTTAGAAGACAATTTGTCAGTTTCTTAACAAGGAAAAATGTAGCATTATCATATAATCCAGCAATCAGACTACCAGGTGTTTAACTAACTTATTTGAACATTTATATCCACACAAAAAGCAGCATGCATATTTATACATGTGGCAACTTTATTTATAATTGTCCCAAATTGGAAACAATCAAGATGCCTTTCAATAGGTGAATGAACAAATAAACCATGGTATATCCATGTGATGAAATATTATTCAGTGATTTAAAAATGGGCTATCAACATACACAAAGACATGGATGAATCTTAAATCCATATTACTAAATGAAGGAAGTCAGTCTGTAAAAGCTACATACCCATGAGTTCATTTATGTGATATTCTGTAAAGAGCAAAACTTTAGAGCCAGTAAGCAATCAGTAATTTCTAAGGGAGGGAAAGGTTGACTGGGTGAATCACAGGGCTGTTCTCGGGCTGTAAAATTATTCTGTATGATACTGTAATGGTGAATACATGACACTATGAGTTTGTCAAAACCTTGGAGAAATGGTTAATCCTGGAGCTACATAAGGTAATATACAAGATAAGCCTGGAGCATCTTGACATTTTAGAAAGTAAGAAAGTGCTAAACAGACCAAGCTGCAATAACATCAAAAGCACACAGCAGCTACTTAAAGTGTCCGATGACCAAAGCTGGAACAATTTGAGCAAAAATAAAAAAGATTGGATTATAACCCAAAGTACAAGAGAAATGTCCATGAGTTCTTATTGATATAGCTAAAATACAATATAGAAACAGGGAAAAAATTAACTTTACAGTGGAGAATCCTGACAAATACTACCTCAACCAGGTGATCAGTGTTAACATCAATAGTTTTAAGTCATGTCAATAGTATAAACCCTTGATATGCTGTGATGAGAATGTATTTTACCTCTGTGACAGTCCATCCCCACAAGCCCTAAGTCCAGTCTAATCATGGTAAAAAATCAGAAAAATTACAAGAAAGGAACATTTTACAAAATATCTGACCAGCACTCCTCAAAACTGTGAAGGTCATCAAAAATAAGAAAATCCTAAGAAACTGTTATAGCCAAGAAGCACCCAAAGAGACAAGATTAGTGAAAGTTCTGTGGTATCCTGGATGGAATGGAATTCTGGAGCAGGCAAAATATATATATATTTTTTTACATGTGTATATATATTTATTTTATATACATTGTATATAAATATATAATATATATTTGTTACATATTTAATAATGAGAGCAAAACTTTAGAGCCAGTAAACAATTCAGTGATTTCTAGGGGAGGGGACGGGATATATAAAATATATATATAATATACGTATTTAAATATATGTGTGTGTGTGTATATATAATATATATATATATGTATAACATATATGGAGCATTCTGTAATCTCTGTGTGTTTTTTTGTTAATTTAAAACTATTCTAAAAATAATGTTTATTTTATAAAGTCAGAATAAAAATAAAAATCCAGAAAGTGTTATAACTGTGAAACGGGACATTTATTAAGAAAAGGAACAAAATAATTAGATTTTTTAGTAAGTTTTTTTCTCATTATTCTGCTCATACATAGTCATAAATATTCAGTCAGTGTATATAAAATATTGAGGCATATAAGGAGTATCTATATTGAGCAAATAATTTTTATTTATTTGCAGCAACATATTGAGTCAAACATGATAATTCACTTTCATAATACATATTTTGGACTTTGTTGTCCAAGTGATTCTGATATTTCTAGAGTCTGTCCTTCATATTTTCCTATTTCAAAAACTAATGTAGTTATATTCTGAATGGAGAATCATAGCTTCATATAACAGAGTGGTGAGATAGAAGAAGTGGGGGAGTGAAAAGTTCCAGTCCCTGTAACGTGGTAGTTACTAAATTGCTATGGCCTAAATTTTTGCATGTAAAGTAGTATATGTCTATCCTTATACAACTGTATGTTTAATTGATAGTGGTTTAATTCCCCAAGTGGTTTAATTCATAAAGCAATTCCTTGGCAAGAATGTGGAGAGACATCATGAGTGTCCTAGGTATTCAATAATAGATTTCAAAAGTTGTCCTTGCAATTAATGTTTTATTATCAATAAAACTTGAAAGATAACTAGAGCTAACAAAAAGGCAATGACTGCAAAAATTACTGAACTTAGCTTCACTTTTATAGTGTTTTTTTCTAGAGGCGGCTGGGTTCAAGAATAAGGTTAGTGTATTCTTACTTTAGCTTATTACCTCTTTTTATTTTAACAAATGAGAATAGGATTTATTCTTGGCAGCCTTCAGAAAAGGAAATATCTTCCTCTCTCTTTTCTAATTGCTGTTTCAGGATTCAAAAAATAAATAAAGACTTGCTTACACAGTTCAAACATGAGAAGTATTCCTTCTTCTTGAAAATGCCTACTTTACAGCAGCTCTGAATTGGTACTTGCCCTCAAATGAGTTTATTCATCATTCTGAAGGTCTGACCTTGTATTAAAAGAAAATAATGCTCATTTCACAAAACCTTTCAAAATGGTGATTTTGAAGGGTGTATTAGTAACAATTACAGCAAAGTTAGCTTCCTATACTTGGAAGAGATGAGGATCTACTCATCTCCCCCTAATTAACTGGTATGGTCATCACCCTCAAATACCTACACCTAGGATATATGATGGACCAAACTTTTTTCCCTTCCCCTATTGCCTTGTCTGCTTCTACTATAGAGATTGTGGAGGCAAAAACCTTCATTTCCCCTCCTTTTTCACTGTTAGAAATGATTGCTTCTGGGCAGTGATACGTACATCAGTCTCCCAAGGTCACTCCTCTCTTCTTTGACTTTCCCGCCTGAAGGTGCTAAAACCACTGCAGGAAGTTACAAAGGGTCTGGCTTCTTGGTGTTATTCTCCCCAAATGCTCACCCCTGAATGTTTTGCACAAGATAAATTATTTGTGTTTAAGCCACTACAGTAACATTTTCTGTTATGAGTAGTTGAACCTAGTCCTAAATGCTGTAATAAACATGGAGACAGCAAAAGCAGCTGATGACTTTTAAATGGCTAACACTCTATAGGTCCACGTGAATAATATCCAAGATACTGCAGGAAACTGTCATTGGTAATATTGAAGTGCTTGAACAGTACTGAAAGAATTCTTTGAATGCATTAATTCAGTAATTTTGAAAGAATCCCTGTGTGAAAGGTAATATTCTCATTCCTGTTTTTTTTCTTGAGCAGACTGAATTTCAAAAAAATGTTTCAGTGATCTGTAAATATATAACTGTGCTCACACAGCTGGTGAGTAAAAGAAGTTAATTTATAACCCCATCTGATTCAGAGGCTAAACTACTACAACTTTCCTACTTCTGGCCTTCTTGTGATATGACACATTAACTCTCTTTATTATTTAATACTTTTTTATGGGAGTCTAATCACATTATAACATATATACATCAAATTTGGAACTAATTATCTAGTATAGTAGAAGATAGAATCAGACTTAGAAATATGTTATATGACAGCAAGTCCTACATTCACTCAATAAATACATTTTATTTAAATTAAAATTATTTAATATATGTCAACTACATAATATTCAGTAGGAATATAATAAGTAGAATTAGACATGGCCCTGCCCTCTTGAAATTAACTGTGCAGTGGTAGAGAAAAAAACTGAACCACAAAATTCAATGTAAGATTACAATTTTTTTTTTTTTTTTTTGAGACGGAGTCACGCTCTGTCGCCCAGGCTGGAGTGCAATGATGTGATCTCAGCTCAACTCACTGCAACCTCTGCCTCCCAGATTCAAGCAATTCTTCTGTCTCAGCCACCCGAGTAGCTAGGATTACAGGCATGAGCCACCGTGCCTGGCTAATTTTCATAGTTTTAGTAAAGGCGGGGTTTCACCACATTGGCCAGGCTGGTCTGGAACTCCTGACCTCGTGATACACCTGCCTCGGTCTCCCAAAGTGCTGGGATTACAGGCGTGAGCCACCACACCTGGCCAAGATTACAATGTTTTTTAAGTGCTATCAGGAGAGGGGTATAACTTGGTCTTGCCTGAACAGTCAAGGAAAAGGCCCTGACAAAATAAAAATGAGATAAACTTGGATAATCATAGGTTTGAACCAGGCAGCAAAGTAGGAGATTTAAGAGAAAAATATTGAAAGTAAAAATAAATAAATAAATAAATTATACACTTCTAAGATGCAGTGATGAGAAGTTGAGAAACCTATGAAGAAATTAAGGAAGGCTGAGCCAGAAAGTGAGGGGAATCCTGGTTCATGACAATATTGAAGAGAGGAAGTTAGGGTAACTAGCAGCATTGTAAGAGAGCCTTGTACTCCAGATAGAGGGCTTGGGTCTCTATCCTGAGAGCAGCAGGGTATCATAGATTTTGGTCTTTATCCTAAGAGAGATGAAGTGTTATAAGGTTTGGGTCTTTATTATAAGAGGAGGGAGGATCACAGTGTTTGAGTCTCTATCACAAAAATGGTGGAGAATAAGAAAGTTTAAGTCCCTATCCTAAGATCAATGGGGCTTCATAGTGTTTTGTTTTTTATCCCAAGAGCAATAGGAAATCATTACGGATTTCTAATAGTAGAATACATTATCATATCTATCACTCTGGCTGATATATGGACAAAACTGGAGGGATAAGAAGATGCTTGAGGTAGTGAAACCAATGAGAAAAACATATGGCTAATGGTTTAGTCTAAGTGATATGGTCCAGATGAAATGGTGATGGTGGTGTCATGGTATGGATGAACGTGGTTAAGTTAGAAGCAGATACAGGTAAGAGATATTTAGAAAGTAAAATCAACAGAGTTTGGTAATAAACATGTAATGGCAGGTGAAAGTGTAGTGAGATAAAGTATCATTTATTAGTCTTAGATTTCTGGTGTAAATAATTCAACACAAAGTGGGATCATTGCCAGAAGTAGTGAACACCCCAAGAGAAGGAAAGAGATTTGGAAAAGAAAGTCATGAATTCCTTTTTGGACACAGTGAATTGAGAGGCCTTTAAAACATCCAGATGAAATGTCAAATGGCAATTTTTGATAGGGTTGGTGTCAGTGGGGAGTTCTTGGTTGAAAAAAAAACCAACAAATTTCTGAGAACTGATTTCAACATCTTACTGGTTCTTTCGTTAAACTGATGAGTTAAATAACATTTGACATATGTTTATTTGATATTTCCATGAGAATTGTGATTTTACCTGTGGGAATGTTATGTGTTAATGGGTTTAGAGGTAGATTATCTGCCAAAATGTCTAGTTCATCAACTTAGAGTCAGGTAAACTGTGGGGCTGAAGAAATGGACCTCCTGAATTGCTTAAGCCCATGAACAATTTTCCTGCCTCCCAGAGAGGGTATCAAATGGCAATAGATATTTAACCTTGTTCACTCTGTTTCTTTAACTTTGTTTCCTACTAACTATATATTTTGTTTTGTTGCTGAGTAAGACATAGCTGATGGCTTATTTTCCACTGGAGGAAGCAATTAGGAATTTGGCTTTATGATCTGCCAATTCGATGATCTCTGTAGGTCTACTGTCTGTTGAATAAAAGATGACGTAATCGGCTTATTATTCTTATTGTCTATTTTGTTTTACTTGTGAGCTCAAATCAATTGAGAATTTTATGCACATTGGGAAACTGAACTTCTCTTTGAGATCTCAGCCATTGGATTTTTGCATCTTTGTGTGTATTCTTGACTCGTGGCTGAAGTGGAAGATATCAGGCTGTGAGTTCTCTAACACGTTTGTGACTCTGTAATTGTGAAAGGTCTTGACCTCAGTTAGTGGATATAAATGTTCCTATCTCTTTAATTAAAGAGGTACTATTCTAATTGGCTTTTAAAGATAAATGTACATATAAATCCAATTTTTCCAAATTCAAAAAAAAGAAAAATAAACTAATACTTTAAATACACTAGATTAAAAATATCATCTTTAATAGTGTATTGTATACTTAAAATTTGCTAAGTGGATAGATATTAAGAGTTTTCACCACAAACACACAAAGATAACCATGGTATGTAATAGATACATACACTAAGTTGTTTGTGATTGTCACGTCACAGTGTATATGTATGTCACAACATCAAGTTGTACATTAAATATTTGGTTTGTGTAAAAGTAATTGCTGTTTTGCATCAACCCAACATATACATTTTTTATGTTAATTATAAACCAATAAAGTTGGAAAACATTAAAAATGTTCTTATAAAACCTTTAGTTCAGAAGCATTTTTAAATTCCAAGTTTATCTAATTCCATTATTAGGCAAATTATATAAATAATTTCATTTATTAAAAAGTCTATATGTTTTTTCTGATAAAGCCACACTAAATATAATTTGACCTACAATTCACTCTATTTTGGTTGCTTTTCTCATGATGATAAGAGTCAAACTGCAATTTCTGAATTTATAGTGGTCTATCGATCATAAAAACTAACATTATTTCTGCACAATGTGTAAAATATGAAAAATTGCATTAAATTAAATTATTATTATGATAAACCTTTTCTGTCAATAGTAACTATGTGTTGCAGTGTGACAGCTTTAACTTAGTTTCTAACTTCCTTAGGTTACTTAAGACCTTGACTAATGTTAAATACCCTTAAAATTGGAGAATTCTTAGAAAACAAAGTAACTTCTAATGAATGTATAACAGTTGAGTCCTTGACTACTAAATATAAATTTAAGTTTACATACTTGTGCTTGTTATTTTTATATGCTGTCCAGAAGACTATCTCTTGGGATACATCTATATCAATGAGTATATTTATTTTTGCCATGGCAAGCAGATGTAAAGGATGGATGACACGGCCACCAGGTGTGTTTCCTGTGACCTTTGGTAATACAGTAAATACTGTATGACATCCGTTCTTAATTATTCCCCCATTAACCCAGTTTTTTCTATGAAATAAGCTTAATCAAATGGGTGATTGAGACTCTACTAAGGATAATAGAGTCAGGGAAACACAAGTGTGTATATTTTTGTCTTTCGAGGAAAAGAATTAGTTTTGTATTTTAGAAAAGTGACAGATCTTTCCAGAATATGAAAGAGTATAGTGAAAAACAAAACTTAGAAATTGAATTTTGTCTTTGTTAATAACACATTAATCTAAAACAAAACTAAAATATTTTATATTTTGGCAAATTTCACTCTGTTTTTGATGTGCTTGTTCCCTTGGTTTAATGATGCGTGACTTGCCTACAATGTGAAAAGTCATTTTTTAACCTTTTGTGTAATCAAAATTCTGATAATAGGTGATAGAGATTCTGTATCCCACTTGAATAATTTTTCTGTGTTTACTTTCATATATCTTTGATTACTAAAAATAAAACATTTTCTAGCTTTGGAAAGAGCTAAGAATATTTATAATTGTGGAAACTTCTAAGTTTACTTTAAAATATTTTGATGTCATTTTGATGAATTAACCAACCACTGTTTTTTAGGTATTCATGATCTTATCCTAAATAAGTGCCCAAATCTCCACCAACAATTATTTAGATTTTGGCTTTCTAAGATTGTATCCTAAATTAAGAAAAATGAATCAAATGTCTACATCTCTTTTGAGATTTCATAAAAATTTATTCTTTCACCTTAAGAAAAGAGTGATGCTACAAATAATTATGTTTTGTGATGTGCACTATATTTCTTAAATTACCTCGACACTATGGTGAGAGCTGCATAGCAAGCATTATTAAATTGGGAAAGATCCTCAGCTATTGCTAGATAAAATTTAAACAGAAAAATATTATTGTATTAGTCTCTTTGGCTGCCATAATAAAATAACACTGTCTGGGTGGCTTGAACAACATAAACCTATTTTCTCACAGTTCTAGGGGCTGGAAATCCAAGACCACGGTGCTGGCAAGGTAGGTTTCTTGTAAGGTCTCTCTCCTTGATTTGCAGATGGCCACCTTCTCACTATGTCCTCACATTGCCTTTTCTTGTAAGCATGCTCCTTGTGTCTCTCCCTCTTCTTATAAGGACACCAGTCATATTGGGGTTCTTATGATCACAGTACCCTGCCCTTACGATCTCATTCAAACTTCATTACCTCCACAAAGCCCTTATCTCCAAATAGAGTCCTATTCGTGGTTAGGAATTTGATGTATGAACTTCAAGGACACAATTTCATTTATTAATATAAATTATTAATATAAATATTTTAGAAATTATATAATTCATGGGAAGGTCCAGAAGATTTGCCAGTACTCTGGCTGTACATGATAATTCCCAGCACAGGAGAAACATTGCCAAACTCTTATGGAATTGTTGCCTACTACACCCCATAGAGAATTCCCCTCTTCTCCATTCTGACATCACTGGTTATTATAATAAATTGGCCACAGCCATTCAGTCTTTGTCATGTACAGGTAGTTTCTCGTTACTCTGATGTTGGATACTGATGTAAGATTCACACCACAGTTTGTCTTCAGTAAAAGAGGGCTCTTAGAGCCTTGTGGAAATGTTTGTACCAGCAACTTTAACTTTTTATACTTCCAGAATGGTCTCTTATGTAATATCACCTGCTAAGGTGATATTACTTAACCAACTCTCAGAGGGTAACCATCTACCGAGTCAGGCTTTCCAGGACACTGTATTTATTTATTTATTTATTTATTTATTTATTTATTTACTTACTTAATTTGAGATGGAGTCTCACTCTGTTGCCCAGGCTGGAGTGCAGTGGTGTGATCTTGGCTCACTGCAACCTCCGCCTCCCAGGTTCAAGCAATTCTCCTGTCTCAGCCTCCCGAGTAGCTGGGACTACAGGCACCTGCCACCATGCCTGGCTAATTTTTGTATTTTTAGTAGAGATGGGGTTTCACCATATTGGTCAGGCTGGTCTTGAACTCCTGACCTCAGGTGATCTGCCCGCCTCGGCCTCCCAAAGTGCTGGGATTACAGGTGTGAGCCACTGAGCCTGGCCAAGACCTTCCTCTTAAAAGCAGGGTTCCTGAGAACAGGAATGAACTACATAGGTGAGAGGAAAATGCAAGTATTGTAGAATACCATCAATGTTGTTTTTAGTTTTAAAAGATATATATCAAAGTGCTTTCTTCTTAAGATTTGAAGCAAATCTTACCCTTAATTTCATAGACTCTGCTCTTGATGAAATGAAACATTTAAGAAATGTATCTGATTCTCACTGACTCCCCAGAAGTAATAAGGTTTACTAAATTTCCTAATGTTTTATGAAACTGCTGTATAGATAGTTGAAAAGGTCCACTAAGAATCTGTCTTCCTTTTTATTAGGATATAATTGGACAATTTGATTCTACACTCAAGACCTTACTTAGTATCATATTTGAAAATAATTCTCATTTAATCAAGTCTGACTATCCCACTATTATAAAACACGTTTGACATTATGTGTGGAGTAAACGCCTCAAAGCCTCCCCAGGAAAAGCACCCAAGTACCTGGCTCAGAAGGTCTCAGGATCAAAGGCAGTAACAAAGGTCTCTCCTTGGTACAGGATGTGCCTCAGTCAATTTAAAGGATTCAGTTGAATGTAGGAAATGCAGGTGAAATCTGCTGGAGAAAGTTTCTTGTGGTCAGTTTCCTCGTCTTAGAATATGTTATGGTTTGGCTCTGTGTCCCCACCCAAATCTCATCTCGAACTGTAATCCCCATGTGTCGGGAAAGGGGCCTGGTGGGAGGTGATTGAATCATGGAGGCAGACTTCTCCCTTGTTATTCTTGTGATAGTGAGTGAGTTCTCAAGAGATCTGGTGGTTTGAAAATGTGTGGCACTTCCCCCTTTGTTCACTCGCTCTGTCTCCTGCTCTGCCATGGTAAGATGTGCTTGCTTCCCCTTAGCCTTCTGGCATGATTGTAAGTTTCCTGAGACCCCTAAGTCATGCTTCCTGTTAAGCCTGCAGAACTGTGAGTCAATTAAACCTCTATTCTTCATAAATTACTCAGTCTCAGGTAGTTCTTTATAGCAGTGTGAAAATGAACTAATAAAGAAAAGAAAATCATAGGGATTTTTAGAAGACCAATCAAAGATTTCTTTTGAAAACTCCTAGTCATAAGTTTATTCTCTGGTCTTAGTAGTTGCTTAATAATTCATTGATTAAGAACTACAGAATAAACTCAAAGATGCCCATATGGTTAGTTTAAATTCTTCTGCAACTATGTAAATATCAGGTCAAACCTTATGGGCATCCTTGGCCTGTTTGAGATTAAGAATTTTCTTTCAATATTATTTTTATTACTAGTGGAGATACTGTCAGGAAATGGGCAAAAGAAATGACTAGGTGTCCTTTCAGTGAAATTCTGGAAATTATTTTAGCAGGATTTCTGGGTGATTATCTGACTTGATAGGAATGCACATTTTGGGTTAATTCTTATGTTATTTTACAATTCTGTAGAGTTAGAACTTAAATTGTAAAAAAAAAAAAAAAAAAAAGACAGTAATACCAATGTTTCCTTCCATAGGCATGCAAATAATTACTGTTATCTGAAAGTAAATGGAGGCCCAATAAATTTTAAAAGAATAGTTTATTTGAGCAAGCAATTCATGAATTGGGCACCTCCAAAGTAGAACTGGTTCAGGAGCTTTACTGAGGAAACAGAAAGAGGAGGCTTTTATAGAACAACACAGAAGTAAATCAGAGAAAGCATTTGGTTGGTTTCAGTTATACAGTTGCCTTATTTGATCTATCCCATCGGAAAGTCCCCCCAGTTATAGGATTATAAGTGAGTAGACTGCTTCTGACTGGTTAAGCTTAAGTTCTGTTTTGAATACAGGCATTTACAAGAAATAGCTCAAGCTGACATTCACTTATGTTTGCAAATCAAACAAGGTTGAGGTCACTTATGAGGCCTGACTAGTGTTGTCTGCTCAGGGATTCTTCAGGCCTTGTCTCCACTTTTTAGCACATTTCTTAGCAATATAAATACATTCTGTGCCTTGGAGAATGCATATATCTGTATATCAAATTATCATTTAAACCAGTTGCAACATTTTACTTCTCTCACTAATATATCTCCAAGGAGACAAAGCAGGAAGAGTCAGAAGCATGGAAGGAAAACAAGCAGGTTGTGGTATTAAAGTCTCCAAAGTGAGAGGTGCTTCAAGAACGATAAAGGGTTCACCGCTTGACTACTTCTTGTGCTCATGAAAGGGAAAGTAGGACGAGGAGAGAAAATCACCAAGAGAACTGTTCAGGGAAGTGACAGGGCAGCGGAGAGTGGTGTCATTTGAGGAGAGACCAAAGAAAATGCTGGTAACCAGTATGGACAGCAGTGGTGTAATAAAAATTGTACTTCATCTTTTTCCCCTGTTCTTGGCACAGAACTACCAAAACCCTCGGGACTAGCAGAAATGGGAGTGCCTTCTGTTATTCATAATAAGCCCCTTTCTACTACACCTGTGTTTATGCCACTGAGGTAACCTAGGGTGCGGCCCTCTGTATAGCTTCAGGATAGGGCTGGTCACAACAAAGACCAAATGGTGATTAGGCGTTGGAAATCTTCAGCTATACCCCCTAACCTCCAGGGAAAGGAGGGTATTAGAGATTGGGTTATAAAAACTCGTGAGCAAAAGAGATTCAAGGAGCTTCCAAGCTGGCAAACACATGGATGTGCTGGGAGGGTGGTGCCCCCAGAGAGGGTGAGGACGCTCCCAGTCATTCCCCTACCCCATACCCAGCCCGTCCTGTGCACCACTTCCATTTGACTGGTCCTGAACTGTCCTTCATAATAAACCAAAAAATCAGTAAGTGTAGTGTTCTCCTGAGTTCTATGAGTTGTTCTAAAAAGTTGTCACATTTGGAGGGGTGGGAATGGTGGGAACCCTGTGTTTGTAGTGGGCCTGGCAGGAGACCAGGAAGGCTGGCACTCTTTTTGTGGCTGGCATGTGATATGGGGGCAATCTTGTGGCATTGGGCCCTCATCCCGTGGGTTTTTCTCTAACTCTGGTTAGTTAGAATCCAATTGAACTGCTGTCCACACAGATGGTGTCAGAGTATTGGTTGGTGTTTGGAAAAAAAATAATAATAATACAAGAGCTTTTAGAGAAGTCTGGTTTTCACGAAGAGACAATGATATGGAAGGAGTGGAATCAGGATACACGTATAAACCAATGACATCTTCTGTTCTCTAACCTTTTTAAAAGACTTTTATGGGTATTCTTTAGTAGATCCTCACAAGAGTCCTGTAAGGCAGGGGGAGATGACATTCCTATTCCCATATTACAGCAAACAGCTGTCCCAGGAGGCCAACTGGGACAGTTGTTCAAGCCCACGTAACTATTTGGCCGTTGATCTGGAACATTAACCCTAATCTCCAGTTGATGTGAACGTTCTCTTTTGGCTCTAAAAGTATAAGACCTGAAATCTCTCAATTTAAATTCAAAAATCAATTTAAAATACAGAATCAGAGAGATCTGCCTCAGCAGCTAGGGCTGTATTTGAAAGAGAAATAATGGAATCTCCTTTTTATGACACTGAGATCATCACCAAGTCCATATAAAATGACTCATTAGCTTCAGCGTGCACTGGTCTGAGCAGACCTCCCGGCGGGAATCTCTGCCCAGGGCCTCTGCAAAGGGACATGGACAAAGTTGTCTGAAAGAGAGGAGAGGGTTGGAAGGGCAGTCCACCTGGACACACTGTCCTGGGGGAAGGACCACAGAACAAAAGAAGACTCAGGGGATTCTAGTAATTGTTTTTAAAAATGAAAAGTACTACAAAAAGAATACATTTGGTTTCTGTTGTTCTGGTGGGCAAAACATGGATCAATTGATTCAAATCAATATAAAAAAAATTTTCTGACAACCACAAATGTGCATTAGAGAAATGGACAGCCTAAGAGTTATTGAAGTCTTCATCCTGAGGATGCTTGTGAAGGTGACTTTGGTTGATAAAGTGTGAGAAATAGCACAGTAGCTACTTCTACACCTCTCGGGAATTGATATTAAAATCATTCCTAACTTTGGCAGCTCTGATTTTAAGAAAAGTTATTTGGGACTTTAAGCATTGAAAACCAAGAAGTTTGGTGAATCATTCAACTTTGAATTCAGTAAATCAAATCCAGAAATATACCTCGGGAAGGTAAGGCACAATTACACCAAACAATTTCCATTTCTTGGTGAAAGACAAAGGTATTTGCTGCAGTGAGTTCGATAAAGTTTATGCTACAGTACAAGGGGGAACAGATTATGACACTTACCTTCCATTCTGCTTTCATAAAAGTAGTTTTGTGGTGCTTCAGTTTACACAGGTTTGTCTTTGTTTGTGAATGTGGGCTGGAGATTCAGTGGGGAAGGCAGGAGAGACAGAGGCAGCGGCCCAAGGCCTGTTTGTCTTCAATAAACTTACTAAAATAGAAAAATATAACAATCCTTTGGGATAGTGGCAAAATAATGTTTTATTCAAACATAGTAAATGCAATACATTGTAAAGTACTTTTAATTTGTTAAGATCATTCTTAAAAAAGTTTGAAGATAAGCTAATGATTAAAATGTGAAGGAAATTAGATTAAAAGAAAAACTCTCAGGTCCGGAGAAACAGGGGTGTTGTCCTCCACCAGGGATTGCAGATTCAAGGCCCCCAAAACCAGGCAGGGCCCATATCAGCAAATTGGGAGGGTTATACCCACTAAATTGCTTTATAGACTCATCATTGCCAACATGTTTTTAAATATTTCGATGTAGCTTCATTTAATTTGATTAAAAAACAATTCAATGAGAATTTTCTTTTTAGTTCATAAAACTTTGTATCCTATTTCTTATATATTGGTGATAGATCTTACTAAATTTATTTCATAATAATGCTCGAAATTGTACACTTTTGACACACTAGCTTAGGATATCAAGTTTTTGCAATGAATTATACTCCCACCTTTGGTCTATTTTTCATTTTTCTAAATTTTGACAGACAAAGGTACAATAATATTTCACATTTCCCTTAACTATAAGAAAAACAATAGCACAAATCAAAGAAAATCGGAAATGTTATACGGTCAGTCTCAGAGTGCAGGAGTAGAGTCAAGGAAGTAAAGAGTGCCCAATACCCGCCATCTTCAGAAACGGCCTCGCTGCAGCTTTTGTTTTTTTTGTTGTTTTTTTGGTTTTTTTTGAGACGGAGTCTCTCTCTGTTCCCCAGGCTGGAGGGCAGTGGCGCCATCTGGGCTCACTGCAAGCTCCGCCTCCCGGGTTCACGCCATTCTCCTGCCTCAGCCTCCGGAGTAGCTGGGACCACAGGTGCCCGCCACCGCGCCCGGCTAATTTTTCGTATTTTTAGTAGAGACGGGGTTTCACCATGTTAGCCAGGATGATCTCGATCTCCTGACCTCGTGAGCCGCCCGCCTCAGCCTCCCAAAGTGCTGGGATTACAGACGTGAGCCACCGCGCCCGGCCTCGCCACAGCTTTTTCAAGGTGTCAGGATGGGAAGGCCTGAACTCATTTTGAAAAGAGAAGCTAGAAGTGCAAACTTGTATGTAAAATCATCTACTTTTTAAACTGAAAGCAACTAGTTTAATTGAAATAAGAATACCTACACTATGATACCCACACTGTGCTGGCAAAGTTCCCAAGCCTTATCTTTAACATTTCCCCATAGTTTTTCTAAGGTATACTTAGGTTATGTTATTTTTATTTATTTATTTATTTATTTATTATATAAATATTCTTAAAATAAATTGTGTCTCATATATCATTGTCATATTATCTAAATATTAAACTAATGGATTTGTGTAACTCACAAATAAATACATTAAAATATTTTTAAACGTGTTTATTCAGTTGGGAGAGTTACTTTGAGAGCTGAATGAGTATTTGTACTCATTAATTTTAGTATATTTTAGGTGCATATACTATTTATCATGAGTACTCATTTCTGTTGTTTTTTTTAAAATACGTACTTAAACCTCTTCTCTCCCAAAGTTAAGACTAATAAGTAAGTTATACATTATTTCCAATGTTTAATGTAAGTTATAAAAGTAGGGTTCTTTTTTACTAAAATTGAGGGAATGGAAGTTTTAAAAGACCCAAATTTGTTTGTAAGCTGTAGGTTAAAATATAGCATCAGAATCTTTTGAACTAAAGAAAACTTTAGGGAGAAGCTATTTGAACAATTTTCTTTAACAGATTTTATTTAATTTGATTTAATTTAAATTAACAGATTAACATTTAACATGAATAACACGAAAAAAAATGTGTTGAGTACTATGTCACCAGGCAATAGTAGGAATATAATCCTGTTTTCACATTAAATTCTGATAATATTTACCCACTTCTTTAACCTGATGGTATGGTTTTGATAGCACTATCACTGAGATATATATTTACCTTGTAGAAATATGACAAGCTTTGAGATTGTATCTGTAATTCTTTTTTCTCTACTACTTATTAATCTGTGTCCTAGAAGAAGCATTAATATGTAATGTGTGTACATGTGTTTATGCTCTGTGTGCATGTTTGCGTGACAGAGTATTTATTTGTGCACACCATTTTACATGTGTAATTTTAAAAACGGATTATGTAGTTTTAAAATGTTTTAGGCTTCTATCCTCCTGTAGTCAAAAAATAAAATTCTAACACGACAGAATTTGGAGGAGCAAAGCTCTGGACAGAAATATTCTAAAACCTAACCCTTGATCAATTTCATTGGCTTCATTTAACAATACAACATATTTTATAAACATAGAAGTATAACTTATCAATAAAGAAAACTCTTAATAAGAATGTTTCTGATTTATCAAAACGTATTTTACAATCTTGCATTTTGATACTTATTTCAGGAATTTTCTAAAATCATTTTTTTTAAAAAGCTTAAGGGAGAAATGTACTTAATTTATAATGAGAATACTTTGTTAGTTATGAAAATATCTTACAAAATATTGCCATATATAAGAAACTAAAAACTTCCATTCCACAATGGAGTTTGATTCTCTGAGATTTAACTCAACTTAGATCGTAAATCTGATTTGATCAACATTATA
The DNA here is from genome assembly GCF_000001405.40 of Homo sapiens. Lineage (NCBI taxonomy): Eukaryota > Metazoa > Chordata > Mammalia > Primates > Hominidae > Homo > Homo sapiens. The sequence goes on from NC_000013.11 coordinate 105,683,504, forward strand.
GAAATCATCTGCTAATACTACAAGAATAAATAAAAACTAGAGAGACCAATGATAGGATGGCTGTTAAGTACTTGCCTGATTACTGATGGGTCTGTGGGATTCCTAAATCGGACATCCTTTTTTAGTTTAATTGAATATGGATTCAGAGGATGGCCTTATATAAATTCTTATATCATTATGTCCCAATAATCTCAGATTTAAATATGAATATACAGTATTTAAGTTTAAAATGCACTGTATGTCATTTTATTAAAGTAAGACAGACTTTCTCAAGAAATTAGAGATCAGTAGGTATCAAAATAATAAAATCAAATTTGTAAAAAAAGAAGCAATTAATAAAAGTGTTGATACTAAAAAAGTGAACCAACTAAATGTTTATTATGTTATAAGTCCATAATGGCAGAGAAATAATATCCTTCTACTATTTTTAGGTGCTGTTTTCCTGTCTCCTCTCAGGGTTCATCCATTTTTAACATGTTTGTGGTCATTTTCAAAAAAAAATAGTTTGCTGGTCAATTGTCTAAACCTAATACCCATCAAAGAGAATTGCGAATAATAAAATTATCTAACAGAAAAGGGCTAACGCGGCTGATTATTAACATAGTTTCTCAGTTAACTGGCAACACTGAAGACCAACATCTCATGCAATTGTCAGGAATTAGGTTCTCCCCTTTACTATCATTGAGTCACACTTGAAAGCTTAGTCAAATAAAATGATATTTATGAAAAACTGTTTGGGAGATATAAAATTCACCCCATTCTAGCTGTTTCCCACGATTCTTGGATGAAGTCAAATCATCAGAGAGCTACATATGTGGACATCACTCAATGTCCTTCCACTTTCCTTTTTCCAAAAAGCGTTTTGCTAAGTTGGAGTTTGTAATGATGTCATTGCTTTGTCTGGAAGGATATTTTAAGAAATAATTACAAGAAGATGTTTCTAAAGATGATATTCATTATCTTGCACAGTGTTCTCCTTAGGAGAGTAGATTTGAAAATTATTTTCTGTAGTATTTATAGCAGGACTCTTTCATTCCTATTAAATGGCTTGCTTTTCACCCAGGGACTCTGATTTTGGTCACTGCATTTTCCCGTCTGCACTGCTAATGTTTGGAGTTGAACTCGAAGCTCCTTGTTTGGAAGGACAATGATGTCACAGACAAACTTTGTGGACTGACTTTGCTCCTGGATTCTTTTTTTTTTTTTAATTCATTTTCACTTGCCTCATTTTTCTACCTCTTAAAGCATATCTTACTTTGTAAACTGTAAAGCAAACTATTTTTTTTAGGAAAAGGCTAAATTAAAAGGCAGAAATACATCAAAGTAAGAATATGAAGGAGCACGAAAACTGTAAAGCCTAAATATGTGTGGTTTTGTTCTGCATTTTGGAATAGTGCTGTTTTTCCTGTACTTGTTTTCTCTGTGAGTACTTTCCAATCAATCACAACTTCAGTCACACCTGAGACAGCATTTGTGAAGCACTGGCAATTTACCTGATTTAATTTCATCAATGGAAACAGCCAGTCTTGGTAATTCAGCCTCCTAATTTAACTTTGTCTACATTGATGAAATTAACTGACACATTGCCAAATTCTTCCCCTCCTTTTTCTTCCTTTGTTTTAGGAAATTCAAAAGAAAAGGGAAGGAAAGAAGAGAGAGAAATAGGAAAAACTTAGCTTTTCTCTTCAGGCTACAGATATCACTGAAGCACTTGCCAAATAGGATGCGGAGAATCTGTAAATTTACCGGCGTTTATGCCATGGATTGTGGACATAGGCCACCTAATTGAATTGTCACCATTATATGACACAATAGAAAAGAGTATAGACTCTGTGAACAAAACTCAGAGGGTCCCATTCCTATCTGGGTGTGTGTGTGTGTTCCATTAATTGTTCATAACTATTTGCTGTAAAGTGAAGAACACGTATAAAGTCATGTAACATGGATACCATTAATCCAGTTTGAAGGGAGATAAAACTCATGTTGAGGTAGGCATGTGGGGTTGTTTGAGATGGACAAAGACACAGAAAGCTGATATGCCATGAGATGTGGCACAAATTGATTTATCACTATCAGGTAAGTTACTGTCAGTCAAATATTGTGAAATTAAAAAAGAACAAGACAAAAATAAGCAAATTTAAAAATAACTGAGCTTCTTTCTCATTTAGTGCAGGAGAAACTTTCAGGTTAACTGTTTTCATCTTTTTTAAAGTGGTTACGATTCCATAAATTGTAGATAACTGATTGCAGTTTAAATGACACTTGCCCATAGAAATGCAAATGAATTTTGTCCCTGGAAATAACTACTGATTCCTGGACAACGACCCCAATCTCCATGGAAAAAGCCAGTTTTGCATCATTTTGTACATTCATTTCAAAATTCCTGATTTATGTATATATGTGTTTATTTTGAATTTTGAATTCTACCTTGAATTGGGTGTAGCATCATACCCATTTCTTCATTAGTTAAAGAGTTAAATAAAATATTTGACATGCATTCATTTGATATTCATATGAGTATCATGATATTACCTTTTTAAAATAGTTACTCTTTAGTGTCAATACATTTTGTTTTCAATAATGCTCCTCTTCATAATTCTTAAATATGTTTTAGGGATATGTAATGGCGTTACAGCAGAGATTCATTTCAACCATGACTTTGTAAGTAACTATGTTTTCTATGTAAGAGCATCTAATTGTGAAGAGTCAATGGATTTCATGATAGATGTATGTTATAAAATTATATCTTAAAACATAGCATTTAATCCTTCAATGGAATGTTGAATGGGTCTTTTCGTCAGTCCTATTTTATAGTCCAGTGGTATTAAAGAAACTTTAAGGACTGAAGTCATGATGATGAGTGGCACATAAGTGCTCAAGAGAAGGCTTAAGGGAGAGAACACCTGGGCAGGAGAGCATGGCCATATGAACTCAGAGCTTCAGTGAAACAATTAATGTTTTCTTTAAAAGGGTAAGAGTGCAAAGACCAGACTTCAGAAAAGATACATAAATTGACATTCTGACCAAAAATGGACTTTATTTGCCTTCTTGCCAATAGTGGCTATGGCCCATTTTCTGAATCTTTATGAAGTTATAAGGCAAAACATATATCATTGCTTGTAGTAGCCTTCTTTTGATTACCAGAGATGGCCGTCGTTTCATATGTTTTGATTATTCGTATACATTCTGTATTTTCTCTCTTTATATCTTTGTTCATTTTAAAAATCAAGACTTAATTCTTTGTGTTCTTCCTTGAGTAGCTATCAAAAATCTAAGCCTTTACAGCACTGAGTATGTATATTGCCCTCACATCAATAGTCTCGGTGATATTATTAGTGCTCTGTTGCAACTGCTGGAGATAGAGCACAGCTACTTTTCATTAAAAGAGTTTGGCAATCTCAATTGATTAGCTCCATGTCTTATTTTTAATAAATCCAAATTCTTTATTCCTCCTATCATCAAACTTGTCAAATAACCACCCTTCATTTCTTCACTTGCATTGATGCCCCAGCCCCTGCCATCTGATTTTTGTTAGCGCACCACTAAAATTCCTCTCGGGAAGAAGCCTTTCGTGACCTTTCAAATACAACAGATATTTTTCCGTTCTTACATTTAAACTCTACATGCTCAGATTCCATTGCCAAAACTTTCCCTGGGCACCTCGTTACATCTTTTAAAGGTCATTTTCTCTCTTGGTTCCATCTTCAGCCACAACTCTTCTTATGTTACTGCAGCAGGCAGAGGCTTGGCATAGAATATTCAGCACAAGGTCACTACTTTTTAACCAATGAGGAATATTTAATGAAGGTACTGTCTACGAAGGGGCAGGCAGGATTTAGGGGAATCAACTGAAGATGGCTGAGAACTATAGAGCTAGCAACAGTTGGGAGACCTCATCATCCCTTGACCTGAAGCAGCTAAGCAGACTCTAGAAGCAGCTGTGTGAAGAGGTGCACCTGCTGCAGCTGTGGCCTTTGACTGAGGATGACCCTCAACCTGCAGTTACCCCTTGACCCAGCAGAAAGGAAGCTGGGAAAACAAAACCTGTTTTCACCTTCCTGGGTCCCTGATTTTCTCTCTATGCCTCCTCTAGATGGTGCTTACCAAAACCCTGAGGATGGAAGAGTCCACTGGTGCAGTCCACTGGGCTCAGGGTGCTCTGGTGCCCAGACTACATGAAAGGGCAGATCTGAAGGGCAAATAGAAGACAAGAAGAGGAACAACCTGCACTCTCTAGATGTTCTCATCCATCCTTGTTCTCATCCATCCAACAACAGCCCACACGATGATGACGTTGACACTAATTGTAGGCCAGCAGTTTCCAAAGCTGGCAGTTTCTTATAATCGCCTGGGGAGTCTTTTTTTTTTTTTTTAATGAAAAAAAAAATTCAGGCGCACATCCCCATAAATTTTAATTTAATCAATCTGCAGTTGGGCCTGAGATTTAGTCATTTTAAGCAGTAAATTTCCTAATGTGCAGTCAGAATTGAGAACCAGTTTTAGATTATATATCCGCATTACATTTCAAACTCACATATGCTATTGCCTACTAAAAATCTCCACCTACATTTCCCATATGCATTTCAAGCTATATATGTACAAAATAAATGTTTTACTGTTCTCAAATGCATTTCCCCTGATATTGTTACATTTTAATCTTAGCCGTTGACAGTAATATCTAGCTAGGTACTCAAGATCAAAGCTGAAGATTCACAATGCTCTGACCGTTGTTTGCTGTTCTCTGCATCTGCTTTACTCTTTGAGCTGTATTTCCCTCTTTTTTGGATAAATGAACTCCTACTCTGCCATTAAAATGCATCTGTCATTTTGAAACTTTCACAACTACTCTTTTCACAGCAACTCATAGGACATCTTCAAACTTTTATTTCAAGGTGTTTTATACACAAGCAATACTTTCAAAAGTATAACTAAATATCTCATTTACCCCGCAGTAAGTTATAAAACAAATTTCAGCAGGTTAAAAATCACTGGCATTAAAAAACTGGCATTAATGCCTATTGATATTAATGTTGAAATAAGGAAAATTGCTAAGTTTGAATTTATAAAAGTACTAAAAACTACTGTTTTTACCTGTTTTGTAGTATGTCATAATGTGATTACATGTACATCTTTTGCTATAGGTAAAAACACCTCTGCTGCTATAATTTTTGAAATGTCACTCTTCTAGACTGTGAGACAAAGAAAGAGAAGGGAGAAGATTGCTGTGGGAGCAAAGGAGCTGGGGAGGGGTCCATGGGCTCCCGTCTCCCAGTGAGTCCACTCCACACCCTTCACAGTTCGCTATTACCCAGTGGCCTGTGGGACATTAGCTCTTTCCTTTGCTTTCACTTTCATTGTGACTATGAAAAAGAAAATGAAAATATAAACATCATTATAAAAAATGCGTCAAGCCTATTATGCATCTTCTCCACACTGGTTTTCTGAAACAGATGGGAGAGAACACGGCATCCTTCCTCCTTCACACTGAAATGCTGGCCAATTTCCCAGATTTCCACTGTAAGTCCAATATAGGACTAGAAGCCTTAGATATATGTAGCATTGTTTGAAACTAATACTTCAAATATACAAATTTCATGTATATTTATAAATATATTTATATATAATATGTTATCGATAATACATTATAATATAATGAAATGTGTTAACATGTAAACAATATTAATGGAAGGTTGTTCAATGGGTGTAGAGTCTCAGTTTTGCAAGATAAAAATGTTTTAGAGATCTGTTCCACATCAATATAAATATAGTGAACATGACTGAACTGAATACTTAAAAGTACTTAAGATAATAAATTTTATATTATGTATTTTATCATAATTAAAAGTTAATTATATAATTAATAAATTTTGAACAAAAGACATATTAGCATACATTTCTTCAAAACATTTCTAAACCAGTTAAGTATCTAATTCATTGCTCCAAACATTTCTGTGTTTATCTTATATGTTTTGTTGTGTATATTTTAATATATTGTGTTATACTATGTTTTTATGTGTCTGTCTATGTTCTCTCTTTTAGGACTTCACATCGATTTGTTGTGTCAGTAACTGTTCCTTGATGTTAGTAATCCCGACACTTAGTGTAGCGCATGCTCTGAAACTGACCCTCAAAAAATTCCTGGGTTAAATGAAGAATGAATGAATCAGGTTAAAAATATCAATCCATCTACCTTACAGACTTCTGGAAACGTAGTTCCTAAAATAACTGTGTGAGGTAATGCATATGTTAATTAACTCAATTTAGCCATTCCACAATGTATACATATTTTAAAACACCTTGTTGTGCAAGATAAATACACACAATTTTATTTGTCAATTAAAAACAAATAAAACAAGTAAATTGGCAAAAAGAAGAAGCATAGCTCTTAACTGCTGGTTAATTTGACACAGTATCATTGTGATTTCAGCCCATATAAAGGTGTTATTAATAAAAATTACTATCCACAAACCCCAGGGGGTCCTAAAAAGACTGTTCGGTAATTAACAGATGTTCCCACAATGTCCTGTTGTTTATGAAGGTAACTGTTTCTACAATTAAATACTGAACACACACTCCAGGCATTTTTCCAGGTGGTTTTACACATACTCTACTTGCTAATCTAATCTTTTCGTTTGTTTGTTTGTTTTTGTTTTGTTTTGTTTTTTTTAGATGGAGTCTTGCTCTGTTGCTCAGGCTGGAGTGTAGTGGCGTGATCTCAGCTCACTGCAACCTCTGCCTCCCGGGTTCAAGCAATTCTCATGACTCAGCCTCCCAAGTAGCTGGGAATACAGGCGCATGCCACCATGCCTGGCTAATTTTTTTTTTTTTTTTGTATTTTTTTAGTAGAGACGGGGTTTCACCATCTTGCCCAGGCTGGTTTCAAACTCCTGATCTTGTGATCCGCCTGCCTCTGCCTCCCAAAATGCTGGGATTACAGGTGTGAACCACCGTGCTCAGCCACTAATCTTGATGTCAATCCTTAGAGGTAAGCATTCTCTTCCTCACTTTTCAATTGAGGAAATTAAGGCACAGAAAAGAAAAGTAATATCCAAAGTCATACAATCAAGTGTGTCATTGAAATTTTCATGTAAACCTACAGAAAGTGCATAGTCACCTTGATGAATTTTTCAAAGTAAACCCATCAGTAAAGCTAGGATTAGATCAGGAATTAAAACATCTTCATCACCTAGAAACTTCCCTCCTGCCCCAGCCTGGGTACACTAACTGCCAAAGGTAACCACTGACTTGTCTCACTGTAGAATAGTTTTGCTTGTATTTGAAATTTGAATAAAAGTTCTTACAGAGAATGTAATCGTAAACAGCCTGGCTTTATCCACTCAAGGAGTTTTGAGTTTCATCCATGTTGCTGGGTGTAGCAATAATCTACTCATTTTAACTGTGGTCTAGAATTCCATTCTATGGATATACCAAAATCCATCCATTCTACTGTTGATTGACATTTGGGCTTTTTCCCATTTGGAGCTATTCCAAATAATGCCACCATTAACGTTTTGTATAAATCTATGGTACACATATTTACAAATTTCTGCTGGAATGAAATCATAGGTTGTAAAAGATCTTGGAATTTAGTTCATTCATTTTTACTCAATTCCAGGGCTCTTTGACAAATCTGTGGCATATCATTAGGTTGTACTAAATCCATTTAGTCATTTTGCCATTCAACCATTTATTTATTGTATGTACGTGTGTGTATGTGTGTATATAGAGGAATGTGCCCATACACATGTATTATATATATGTATATGCCCATACACATGTATATATGTGAATATATACACATATGTGTACATGAGTATGTACATACACATGTATATATGTGTATATATACACGTGTGTATGTGATTATGCGTCCATACACATGTATATATGTGTATGTACATATATATGTGTGTGTGCGTGTGTATGTATACACATGGTTGGGGAAAGAAAGAGAGAAAAGATAATTAATAAAGTTTGTTATGCACCAGGTACTCATACTGTGCAGGTCCTGGTGATAGGATGAAAACCATCTGGAGCTCTTTCTTACCTTCATGGAATTATAATCCAATAGTTTGATTCACTGCAGTTAACCTAGAGGAAAAAAATAAAAACATATTAATATTTCTAAATTTCCTATATACATTCACAGAGCCAACTGAATTACCTTCAATAAATTGAAATGACCAAAAAAATTAATCACATTATAATTTCTTGCATTCATATGAGTTGGACTATTCTATGTACTCCCTGTTACTATACCCAAGGCTAGTGTTTATGTTAGAAAGGCACCCCGGGGTAAATAATCTCTCTAAGCCAAGAATCTGAGTATTATGGATTGCCAATGATTCAGTGTTCCTTTAACATCTTATGGAGGCCGCAAAACACATGTGGTAGAAAATCGACGCTGGCCAGAAGACTCACAATGACCGAATTTGATCACGGTTCTGTCACAGCCATTGTGCACCATCTTTCATTACTGGCTGGAACTTTCTGGGGCTGTTTCCAGTGTAAAAAAAGGGACTGATCCCCGTGAACACTATGGGCTTTTCAAGCTCATGGACTTCACATTTGGTTTATAGCTGGCAATTCTGGCATTATTTGAATTGTGGTGCAAAAAAAAAAATCCACTTTTAGGAAAACTATTTACAATACCCTAATATAGTCCTTTAAGAGAACATCTGATTGGGTTCATTTTACAACACACTACATGATATTTTTAAAGTGCAATAAATTCTAGTAGTTTTCTTTAGTAGGTAAAAATCCATATTTACCTTTTAGTTCATCTATTTAATATAGATAGTGAAGATCTAGTAAACAATTTGTAGGTTTTCTTACTAATCTGCTTCATTATTTTGTCATCATTTAGTAAAAATCCATCAACAAATGCTGCAAACATTAAATGGACAAGGAAGACCAACCAAAAATTATAATATTAGCTATGGCACACACATACACACACACTCACAAATACTGTATCTAATTCCATATCTTCAGCTCTCATAGAACAGGACTTTTCCTGCATTTTTTTATTCCATCTTCACTCAATTAAAAAACACATTTCTGAAGCATTTAGTGTGAGTTGCTATTTATGCCAGTCAATAATTCACATCATCTGCAAAAAATATGTTTGTATCCTTTCTACACCCGTTAGAGATGAAAGGAAGGAATTTATGTGCTAAAATGGCTTCATGTGCCCAAATCATGCAAATTCTCTAAGCCATTTCCTAAGATTTGCAGATGTGTAAATTGCATCTTTTTTTTAAAGAGTAGGTATACAACGGTATGAATCTCAAATCAGTTTTTGTTCCACCTCATAGTTCTTCAAATGATGAGAACTGATTTATTATTGAGGCATTGTCAAACTCTGAATGGAGTCTAATCTTCCATTTTAATCTTTTATGAGGCAACTGGGTAAAAAAAAATTACAAATGCAAACGATGTGTGTCAGTGTACGTATGCACACACACTTACATAATATCAGCATATATGTCACATTAATGGAGATTAGATCTCATGGAGCACCAGAGTGTCTTGAAAAAAACCTCCGAATGGTGACACTGAACAGGAAAAGGACTGCATTTAATAAAATCGGGACAACATAGCAAAATGTACACAGTGTCTGATACATAGAAAACACTCAATAAAGTGTTTTTCTACTCCCATAAAATCATGGGATCATTGTCTCTCTGAGCTTACAGCTATAGAATAAAGATGGGATGTTTTAAGTTGTGAGATTCTTTGTGCCTATTTTATTGTATTCATTTTTATACAGTATTAGTACAAACACTTTACCCATTTGAGAGGAAATTGCCTTTCCAAGACACCAGAGATGCATTTAATTCTATGGAAGAAACGTTATTCCAACTGATGTCCTCATGTCTTGGAAACCAACTGTTATGTTTTCTTTTCAGTGAGTTTATGGTAGTCTTTTAAAATCACATTGGTGGAAATATGTATGTATATATACAATACATGATATATATAATACATTATATATTATATATAAATTATAATATATTATATATTATGTATTATATATAAATTATAATATATATTATGTATTATATATAAATTATAATATATTATAAATTATATATTACATATTTTATAATATACACAATTTTTATATATAATTTTATAAATTATATAATTATATATAATATAATTATAAATTATAAACATGTAAATTACATATAATATATAATTTATAATATATAATTTTATACAACCATATATAGTATATAATATATTCCTTTATATGAATTTCTTCATTATATAAAGAAATTTTATTTATATATATAATTCTTTTATTGTATAAATATCTCTGTCTATCTATCTATCTATCTGTCTCTAATGCTTTGGGGTTTAAAAGCCATGCCAGTGGAAAATAATAATAGCATCATGTCTGAATACAAGTATGATAAATGCTGTGTGTGGTTGTAATAAATGTGAAGATGGATATAGATAAACTCTGACTTCCCAGTGGCCACCCTGGCTGATGCAAAAGACCATAAATCCTTTGTATTTATAAAGGAAGAATCAAAGTGCACTGGAATTTATTTTAACTCTTTTCAGATTTTCGGAGTAGTTCTTTTATTCTTCTCCCAAATATTCATTTACACTGTTTAGCAACTTTCTGAAGCATGAATAAAATTCGTAAAGCTGATAAGAAGCACTGGAATTCTCTATCTGTAACTTGAAACAAGATTTGGGTTGAACCTATGATGGCACATTGAATGGCTTGTATTTGGTGAGTTTTCTCTGTTACTCTTTTCTGAAGGGTTTTCTAAGTTTCTCCAGGTGTGCCCCTGGCAGGGATCAGGAAGCAGGAGCAATGGACAGGCAAGAGACACTGCTGAGGTGCCCTGTACCTTCTCCAGATGGCCTCCCTCTTCTCCTCTGAGACACAGTGCAATAATACCGTATGGATAGAAAGTCTGAGGCAGCATCATGGAAGCTGAGTCCCCAGAACCTGGGAAGGCTGGGAAGAATGATGGAGAGAGAAGAGCAAGGAAAGAGAGAGGGGAAGGTAGGAGCTGGAGAGTCCAAACAAACACTGAGGCTCTCCCTGTAACTTTTTGGCAATGGTTCTTGGGCAGCTCTTGCTCCTAGAGTTTGAACTGTAAGAACTTTGGCATTAGGTGTAGAATGTAATTATCTCTTAAGGAATGCACATCAGAATGTCAGTAATAAACCGAGTAATTTTAAAATCACTCATTTTTTGCTCATTTCTGCTGATATCTTGATATGGTTTGGCTGTGTCCCCACCCAAATCTCATCTTGAACTGTAACTCCCACAATTCCCACACGTTGTGGAAGGAACCTGGTAAGAGGTAACTGAATCATGGGGTGGATCTTTCCTGTGCTTTTCTTATGGTAGTGACTATGTCTCATCAGATCTGATGGTTTTAACAAACAGGAGTTTCCCTGCACAAGTTCTCTCTCTTTGCCCGCTGCCATCCGTGTAAGACGTGATTTGCTCATCCTTGCCTTCCATCATGATTGTGAGGCCTCCCCAGCCACGTGGAACTGTGCGTCTCTTAAACCTCTTTCTTTTGTAAATTGCCCAGTCTCGGGTGTGTCTTTGTTAGCACCATGAAAACAGACGAATATATATCTACACCATTTCTCAATATCTATCTCATAGCAGAGACTCACAATATTTTTCTTTGAAAGTTGTGAATTTGAATTGAAAATCTACCATCTTTCCTAATGGTACCACCCATGTTGATCTAATTTGTTTTTTCATTAAACTATCAATAATATTCCAATGATATACAATTGCTCTAAGAATACAGTAGTCCTCCCTCATCTGCAGTTTCACTTTCTGTGGTTTCAATTACCTGTGGCACACTGCCTTTTCAAAATATTAAATGGAAAATTCTATAAATAAACAATTCATAAGTTTTAAATTGTGCACTGCTCTGAGTAATGTGATAAAATCTGTGCTGTCCCATTCAATTCTTCCCTTGACATGAATCATCCCTTTTCCAGAGTCTCCATGCTGCAGACACAACCTGCTTATTAGGTCAATAGTAGGCCACCCTGCGTCATGATGCCTTTCTCATTCACCTTACTTCATCACATCACATCACATAGGCATGGTATCTTCTCACATCATCAAAAAAGGGTGAGTACAGTACAATAAGATATTTTGAAAGAAAGAGAGACCACATCAGACAACTTTTATTACAGTATATTGTTATAATTATTCTATTTTATTATTAGCTATTATTGTTTATCTCTAACTATGCCTAATTTATAAATTAAACTTTATCATACATGTGTATGTATATGATGAAAACATAGTGTGTGTAGGGCTTGGTACCATTCATGGTTCCAGGCATCCACTGGGAGTCTTGGAACATGTCCCACTAGGATAAGAGGGAGTATATCCCACCAGGATAAAGGGGAACATATTCCCACCAGGATAAGCGAGGACATACTCCCACCAGGGCAAGGGAATACTGTATCGTGAACATCAGCTATTGCAGGAAAGAAGAAAAAGCTTTAATATGCTGTTGCTTTCAAATTCAGCAGGAATTTGACAAGCATTTTTTGTGCTAAATATTGCTGTTTAAATTTTGGTCTTGAAAATGAAATCTTTCTTTGCCAAAAATGCCAAAAATGCCAACTATCTCATTTATTCATTAAAAAAAAAATCCATCTTTCTCTCTAGCATGTCAAAGACTTCTGGCCTAAAATGGAAATGTGGAGAAATCCCTTCCTAGAATTTCTCCTCAAAAGTGCAAACTTGCCTGCTGCTTCCCTTTTAGCTATGGCATTCTTGGTTTACAATTTACTCTCTCCTTCAACTGCCCTAGATTTATTCTCTCCCCAATTTATTCTCTCCATCAGTTGCTCCTAGAGGGCAAATGGTCTCTGAGCACCAAACCATGGCCCTGCCCTCGGTCATCACCATTCTGGGCCATGGCTGAACTGTGACTGCTTCCTAGAAACAGTCTAGGATCTTATGGAAGCCAAAGAAGATCTTCTTGAATTCCCCAGTTTATCTTATTCTTTTTAACTTCCCCTTATTGCCTTCATTGAGTCTTCCTATTCCCAGATGTGAGAGCCCCTACAATATAGTTTATCTGTACTGGTTCACTCAATGAGTGCACCTGTGGTTTTATTATATATGGTGGGTGTTTCTATTCTATTTGGTTATCTGTCTACATGGTAGTCTGCATGGATGACGGATTGTCACTTTGAATTCAATGTGTTCAAAATTGGATTCATTATCTTTCTCTAAAAACTGGTTTCCTTTAAAATAATTCATTTCTATCTGAGGTATGCCATCATCACAGCTTTTGCAATAAACCTTGGAAACATAATTTCTCATCCTCTTTTTTTCATAATCTCATTCCAAAGTTTCAGTGCTTTTCCTTCTAAAAATGATCACGTTGACCCATTTCTCTTTATTCCCATGTCACCACTTCATCACTAATTGCCATTGTTACAGGATTCCACATCTACATTATTTTCACAATTCTCATGGCATGGTCACTTTTGTCTCACAAAGCCCACCAGCCTTTTCCCAAACTTTTCCAATGCCTCCTATATTCACTGCCTCAAATCCAAATCTTTGCTTACATAAATCAAGCCTGCTCTCAGTTGAGGTTGTTTTGTTCTTTGTGGTTAAAATGGTTGAATCTGAAATAAACATACTAGTTTATTTATTATATTGTATATCTTCATATGTTTGTTTAAAAACTCTTTTTTTGGCTGGGAGATAATTTGATAATCTTCGGAATGGTAACAATTTATTACCATAGCCCTATTTCACGTTCTAACACTCAAACCTTGTCCCTTTTAACAGTTTCTTAGATGTTTCCTGTGAAAAAGAAAACCAGCCTCTTGATCTAAATATGCTATTTTATTTATTTCATTGTCTCCACAAAACTTTCCCTGAAACAGACACAACATCAAGAGCATTTCTCACTATTTCTTACATCAAATTACTAGGCTTGAAAGCAATTCAGGATCTCCCAATATTTTTTAATGGTTTTAACTTATCTCTTAACACAGTATAACTTGGGTCTCAATTTCTTTACAAATCAGTCCATTCTTCATCTTCCTAGTATCATTCTCATATCCACTGACTCCTGCCCTCTGTCTGTCTCTGCTTCTCTCATATGACTTTGTCTGAATCCTCTCAATTATTCACTGAAATATCTCCCTCCTTTCCAGATCACGATGCCTCCTGAGCTGACTTCATTCTGTTCTTATCACTAATCACCCAGCATCACGTAAATCTCAAATCGAGATGGGTTCAGGTACTCTTAAATTCTCATCTGTTAATTCCCTTATTGGACCTTTCCAAACCCCTTGAGTGAAGGTTCTTTTCTAATTAATTAGTAGTTAAGTTAAAGTAAGGGAGGTTCATTTGTTATTTCATTTCATATGCAGTATCAGAGCATATTGTTATTCAATAAATATCATACGATACTGACAATAACTTCAGGTTAATAATATTCTAGGAGATTAGATATGATGAAGTCGAATAAACATACCCTTGAGTCCAAAAGGAAAAGATATTTAAATTTAAGGAACACTGCAGAAAGCATCTTTCTTCCAAAGACATAGCAAATGTAAGATATAGAAGACAGCCTCTCCCCGACTTCCAGCCCCAGCTTTCCAACCGATATTGCTTTACCACAGCAGCCAACCCAGGCAACTGGTAAGCAGCATCTTGACTAATGAGCCAGTTCTTCCAAGGTGTATGATATTTCCTTTTTGTAATCCAAACATTTTTGTGAACCAAGTGATCCAGACAGATAGCTTAAATACAACTTCAGTGTAGGTGTCGCCGTGGAGCTGACCCATGGCCCAAAGCATCTAAATTTGTAATAGGATATAGTTTATACTTGGCAAATTTGTCTCAGTATGAAATAACAATCAATTGAACTATTTCTGCCTAGGTTTTCCTTATCTTTGTTTCTCCATATTCCCACAGAGCACACTGCATTCTTATATTGGGGAATTTAGCTCCTTGTATTATAGCGAGGTTTGCTTATGTGGGTCTTCTCTGTCAGCATGAACCCTGAATTACTTACTGTTTTTCTAAACACATTAATAGGTGGTTAATGCATGGTTTGAGAATGAAAGAGAAAGGATAAGTATTTGTAGCCGAACTTTCTTTATAGAAACTTCTAAATTACTGATTATTTTACGCCATTTAAAAAACCCATCAGATAACTACGGAAGGATACAGCTCTCAAAAGAACATTGACAAAATATCCATTCCCATGGCTTCAATCACTAATCATTATCAGATGGTATCTAAAAATATCTCCATCCCGTTTCTCTTGTTTGAACTTGAAATCATAGCCTAATTGAATTCCCATCTTGGATATTCCAGAGATCTAAAAGTGGAGTCTTTAGCTTCCCCAAAACCACCTCTAGTCTACTCTGTCTGAGTTGAGTGATTGGTGCCTCTATCTACAAAGTGACTCAAGTATTCATTACTCCTTCATTTTCCTTGTTCCTTAAGTTTAAATTATCATTAAGTCTTACTTATGCTTTATCCTAACACCCTTTATATCTATGCATTTCTCCTCTTCCTTACTGGCCCTGTTCTCCTCTAGGCCAAACTATTTATTTTTTACACAACAAATAAATATTTTTATTACGTAAAATAATGCCTTTCTTTCTCAATTCCAATTAATTTAAATAAATCTTTCTGAAAGTTTTATAATAACTGCAACTTTCCTGCCTACACCACTTTGTTATTAGCCTTAGAATAAGCTTCAAAAGTTTAAAAATATATTACTTCCTAATATGGCCTTTACCTCTCAAACTGTATTTCTTGACAACTCAATACCTCTCCAGACCTTGACTCTTCACTCCCCTTAATCTCAATTTATTTCAGTACCTTGAACACAAGATGTTTTATTTTTCTTCTGGACCTTCTCAAATGTTTTTTCTGACGGAAATCCTCTCCAGCACTACATCTTTCATTCAGCCTGGTCAGTGTTCAGTCTTCAGCTTAGGCAGTACTTTCTATAGAAAGCTTTTCTTGATTCCGAAGGTCTAAGTCCAGTATCCCTCCCCTGTGAACTCTTAGCACCTGGTACTTGCCCCTTCAAACTACTAAACACATTTCTGGGCTGGGCACGGTGGCTCACACCTGTAATCCCAACACTTGGGGAGGCTGAGGCAGGCAGATCACTTGAAGTCAGGAGTTCGAGGCCAGCCTGGCCAACAGGGCGAACCCCATCTCTACTAAAAATATAAAATTAGCTGTTCATGGTGGCACACAGCTGTAATCCCAGCTACTGGGGGAAGCTGAGGTGGGAGGATTGTTGGAACCTGGGAGGCAGAGGTTGCAGTGAGCTAAGATCACAGCACTGCACTCCAGCCTGGGTAACAGAGCGAGACCCTGTCTCAAAAAAAAAAAGAAAAACCAGATTAACCATATTTTCAATGCCAGTTTACTTAAAATTAATGAATAGTAATTTCAGTGTGGTAGCTAAGTAAATGTTGTTCTTGAAAAAGCCAAGAAGGAAATAATGGTCATATAGTATTTCATTTGTATGCAGCCTTTTGATTTTCTTGGAATTTCTTTATATATATATAATATATATATTATACTTTAAGTTCTAGGGTACATGGGCACAACGTACAGGTTAGTTACATATGTATACATGTGCCATGCTGGTGTGCTGCACCCATTAACTCGTCATTTAGCATTAGGTATATCTCCTAATGCTATCCCTCCCCCCTCCCCCCACCCCACAACAGGCCCTGGTGTGTGATGTTCCCCTTCCTGTGTCCAGGTGTTCCCATTATTCAATTCCCACCTATGAGTGAGAACATGTGGTGTTTGGTTTTCTGTCCTTGCTATAGTTTGCTGAGAATGATGGTTTCCAGCTTCATCCATGTCCCTACAAAGGACATGAACTCATAATTTTTTATGGCTGCATAGTATTCCATGGTGTATATGTGCCACATTTTCTTAACCCAGTCTATCATTGTTGGACATTTGGGTTGGTTCCAAGTCTTTGCTATTGTGAATAGTGCCGCAATAAACATACGTGTGCATGTGTCTTTATAGAAGCATGATTTATAATCCTTTGGGTATATAGCCAGTAATGGGATGACTGGGTCAAATGGTATTTCTAGTTCTAGATCCCTGAGGAATCGCCACACTGACTTCCACAATGGTTGAACTAGTTTACAGTCCCACCAATAGTGTAAAAGTGTTCCTATTTCTCCACATCCTGTCTAGCACCTGTTGTTTCCTGACTTTTTAATAATTGCCATTCTAACTGGTGTGAGAATTGCCTTTCATTTCTTTCTTTTTTTCCCCTTTCCTTCCTGCCTCTCTCTTTCCGTTCTCTCTTTCTGTCATCACCTTTCAACATACTGGTTTGTCACATCTCTATCTGATCAGGTATCCTGTCAGAATTTTTTTATTTATTTAATTTTTCTTTCAGAGGTTATACTCTTGAGGGCATTCATCTTCTATTCCAATCTAAACATTCTTATATTGCTATTATCATAGGACTACTTTTTATTATTTTTCTAAATTGTTTCTATATATTTTTCTGTATCTCACATCATACTTTTTCTTAGTTTATTCCTCTGTTTGACTATAGCACATCCTAAAGTAATCTTCTAAGAAAATATTGGTATAAGGTAAATTTTCAGAATTATTCTCATATTATAAAATATCATAATTTGAAGCTCATACTTGATTGATGCTATGATGATAGATTGAAAAGAAGTTCTCTGTAGATTTTTTGAGGCATTCCTCCATTGTCTTCTAACATCCAGTGTTTCTGACACAATTTCTAATAATTTTATATTAAAATATTGACATAATAGTTTCTAAGATAATACAAAGTATTCCTGTATATCTTTCCCCCAACTTTTCCTGAAGTTGCCATCTTACATAATGATATTTTATTTGTTACAACTAAGAAATTAGTATTGGTACAACAATATTAACTAAAATAGACTTTATTTGTATTTCTTTAGTTGTTCAACTGATGTCCTGCTTTCTGTTCTATAATTCTAAACTGTATACCCTATTTCATCTAATTTTCATGTTTCCTCAGTCCCCTCTAATCTGACAGTTCCTTAGTCTTACTTTGTTTTTCACGACTTTGCTTTTTTTGGGGGGAGATGGAGTTTTGCTCTGTCGCCCAGGTTGGAATACAGTGGCATGATCTTGGCTCACTGCAACCTCCACCTCCTGGCTCCTGGGTTCAAGCGATTCTCCTGCCTCAGCCTCTCAAGTAGCTGGGATTACAGGCCCACACCACCACACCTGGCTAATTTTGTTATCTTTTCTTAGTACAGTTGGGGTTTCCCCATATTGTCCAGGCTGGTCTCGAACTCCTGACCTCAAATGATCCACCCATCTCGGCCTCCCAAAGTGCTGGGATTACAGGTGGAAGCCATGGTGCCTGGCCAACTTTGACATTTTTAAAGGGCCTGAACAGGTATGTTGTAAAATACATCTCAATTTTTCTTTGGCTGAGGCTTGCTCATGATGAAACTTGGGTTATGGATTTGTGGGAACAATGCCATAAAAGTGAAGTGTCCTTCTCATCTAAGAAGAACATCCATGGAACCCTGACTCTTATCTCTTGTACGTGACCAGATTTTTCTGTTGGTATTTTCTGTGGTTCCAAGTGATGTTTAAAAGCATTAATTGTCCCATTCATTGCATTAGGTTTCCATTGAACCTCTTTTGATGTGCCTGTTTGTATATTCAAGCTCTGAAAATTTCTTATTTATTTGTTTTTTGATATGTCCTGCTTTCCTTCATCTTTGTCCTCCCTTAATCTTATTTACACCAGCATTTATTAGCCTTTTGTTTACACGGTATCATGAGTTCTTTTCTTTTTATGAGTAAATTACTCTTGAAGATGATTTACTAAAACACCGGTTCTTATGGTCTTTTCTCAAAGTTTAAAAGGGGAAACTCATAAACTTTTTTTTAAATTTCTGATCTCCACACATTCAAAACTGAAATATAGGCAGGCATAATTTTGGCTTCCACTTCTTCTACTTTTAATGATTAACACAATTATTTTGAACTATTTTGGCCTCTGAATACTTCAAAGCAGTGACCCATAATGTTCAGCATTCTTTATCTCCTCTGTCTCGCAGCTGACGGAGTGGGCATACTGGTTGTATGCCTTGGCTCTCTGTTCACAATCCTGAAGGGATAGAAGCCAATCGTTTGGTCATTCTGACACCAGATATTGTATGCAAAGCTGACTGTGTTTTCTCTGGTGACACCAGACACTGTATGCAAAGCTGGCTGTGTTTTCTCCGGTGAATTGGGAAGAGGGACTACACTTGAAATTGACAAGATGAGTTTCAGTTGCCAGCTGTTCCACGTGGGTCCTTTCAGTTCCTGTAAGGCTTCCAGACACTGGCATGAGGTCAGATTTCCTTTGTCTTACTTTTCATAATCAAGTTCTAGGCCACTAGATAAAACTACTCTTATGATTTTTAATTCTTTATTAAAGTAGGTTATACACAGAAAACATAAATTGGAGTCTGCCTTCCTGATTTTCCTGTAGTGGTTTACTTACTCTGATTCCCCTATTCAATATGGAGTTACTTCAAAAACACATGTTCAACTGAAATTCTAAAATCCCTTTTAAAAATCAGGGCTGGTGCAGTGGCTCACGCTTGTAATCCCGTAATCCCAGCACTTTGGGAGGCCGAGGTGGGCAGATCACGAGGTCAGGAGTTTGAGACCAGCCTGGCCAACATAGTGAAACCCTGTGTCTACTACTAAAAAAAGAAAAGAAAAGAAAAGAAAAGAAAAGAAAAGAAAAGAAAAGAAAAGAAAAGAAAAGAAAAGAAAAGAAAAAAACATTAACCGGGGGTGGTTTTGAGCACTTGTAATCCCAGCTACTCGGGAGGCTGAGGCAGAAGAATCACTTGAACCTGCTAAATGGAGTTTGCAGTGAGCCGAGATCGCGCCACTGCACTCCAGCCCAGGTGACAGAGCAAGACTCCATCTCAAAAATAAAATAAAATAAAATAAAATTGGTGGTCTATCAAATACATACGACTTGCTAAGCAAATTAAGGATGTTTGTCCTTACATACATATCTTGGTTCTTATAACTGGAGCCAACAACAGATTCGTACAGCTAACTCTAGACAGTTGAGAGACTGTTTACACAGATTACACACCATCTCTACATCATCTCTTCCTCCCTCAAGCTGCCATCTAATTTTAGTTACGTCAGTACTAGTGCCTTCATAATGATGGAGGAAAGGTATTAAGTTTCTTTCTTCTGGAGGCCCTGTTTTTAATAAATCAATCACAAGTGAGATTTATTAAAAACAAATGGCTAAAATGATTTTTAGATTATTCATATTTTATAGTAACTGCCTATCCGACCATTAATGACTACACATGAAGTTGTTCTATATTTATTTTGTCCAGTAAATTTTCTTCTAGATAAATATATGGAAAGACAATGGCTCTCTTAGTTAAAATGATATTTGACATAATTTCAAAGCTATGACAATTTCCTTATATTTGAAACACTTTCTGCTGACGCAGCATTTCTTTAAAGCATAGTTTATTCCATGACATGAAGATGGAAAAACCTCCTGAGTATGAAGGACCAGGTACCCAAATGTCCTGAGAAAGCCTCCTTCCCTTTTTATACCTCAGAAGCCAAATATGTTATTTACTCTAAAGCGTGTTCTTACATCTTGCTCCATAGCTCATTTAATGACATCACCATTCATTCAATGTCCAAACTGCTCTCATTGGATACACGAGGCTCTAGGGTAGTTTGAAGATTCCCTTAAGACCGAAACAAACAAGTAAACACCTCTGACTATGTTTGGTCGTTTAGTCTATGGTGGATCTGTAGATCCATTTTTTTTAAACTGAAGTTTGGATGTTTTATTTATTTTAGAAATGTAAAAGATTTCTGTGTCTGTGAATGTGCAGTGTTGTATGGTAGAGGAAAACATAGGCCCTGAAGTAAGATAGATCTATAAGTGACTTTACTTCTTTTATAGATGTTGGAGGAACTTTGAAAAAAATAGGTTTTTGGATAAAAGTTGCTTAAAATTTCAGATCTCTCTTCCCATATGTAAATGTAAATATTTATATATATTTAAATATTTGTCATTAAGATACTTTATTAATTAATTAATTAATTTATTTATTTATTGAAGCAGGGTCTCATTCTGTTGCCCAGGCCAGAGTGCAGTGGCACGATATCAGCTCACTGAAACCTCTGCCTCCCAGGTTTGAGCGATCGATTCTCCTGCCTTGGCCTCCCTAGTAGCTGGGACTATAGGCGCATGCTACCATGCCCAGCTAATTTTTGTTGTTTTTAGTAGAGATGGGATTTCACCACGTTCGCCAGGCTGATCTCAAACTCCTGACCTCAGGTGATCCTCCCGCCTCGGCCTCCCAAAGTGCTGGGATTACGGGCGTGAGCCACCACGCCCAGCCATGAAGATACTTATTAACAATATATAAAATGATAGTATCTGTCATTTAGAGGTGTTCAATTATTTACATAAACATGTGAATAGAAAAGAATATAAATCTACATTCTTGATGACATAAATGATAATATAAAATGTTATATATCCCAGAAGGTTCAGAAAAAATAAGACTAGATTTGAAATAAAATTATCTAATAAAGAAATATAAATGGGATGTAAAATCATGTCAACTACTCACCCTTTGAAGGAGCAGGCTTATGAGAAGCTAGGAAAGAATTCTTATGGTTCTTAAATAATTATCTGCAGGAATCAAGGTGCTCAGTACTTCCTCTTGTCTCCTTTAGTCTATGCAGATACACTTGGTAAATAGTCCCATTTCCCCTTCATGTCTTCCTTTCTTCCCTTCATTGTAATAATGACCTGTAAGTACAAGAAGAATTACCGTCAGGTAAAAGCCTTTTTCATAGATCCTGCAATGAAAATTATAATTACTTTAAAGCAGTAAAATTGTAATGCTAGTAGGTAATACTCAGACATGTTCTTCTCAAACATTCTTTTAACTCTTCCGTGATATTTTCTGAAGCTCTGAAAGAATTTCCCCTTTTAAAGAATTGACGTATAAAATATATGCACTCTCCCACTAGAGATACGAGCTACTTTAGTCCCGTATTTTATTATTGCAGGGATAGATAAGTGGACAGATGCTGTCAAGCATTCAAATAATCGACCTATAAAGGGCTAGACATAGAAAGACATAATTTCCCTGACCTCTCCAACACGCAGTCTATTCTCACTCTGGAGGATGAAATGCAAAGACTCAACTCCAAGAATGAAGGTACACAATGTGTTTCAGGGGAGTGGACGCATAGCTATGGCCTCACAGTTGGCACTTACTCTATGCCCTGGTGATACTGAATTTGGATATGATACACAACGATATTCAGCTTCTGGAGGGCCGGGGAAGGGTCCATTGCAAAATTGTGCGGAGTTGACCCTTGGGTAAAAATCAGAATTTACATTTTGGTTTTAAATTTTATAAGGTACAGTACTGTTCTATTTGCTCTACATAAATAATTTCATTTAATCTACTCAACAGCTTAGTGTTTTGTGTATTATTATTCATCTCAGTTTATAGCTGTGGAATCTGAGCTTTACAAAGGCTAGATAACTCATCTGAAGGCAATGCTTAGCACTGCTTAGCAGCCCAATAGTGGTACCAGCTCAGCACCATGGTTTTATTTATACTTTGTCTCTGTAGACCTTGCTTTATTCCGGACTTGAGAAGGAGTTCTCCAAGCATTTGGAAGAAACTCCTTTTCCATTGAAGTTGTTTAAAGAACACTTACCTTTTGAGTAAGCCAGAAGCTTTTTTTGAAAATACATGGAATGTGATGTTTTTTATTTTATAATGCCTACTTGAGCTGCATACCCAAGGCTACCTGTCAATAATCAGTCACTTTTCACAGATTATTTTTACTACAATCTATGACAAAGATGATCACACTGACCTATTTAGCCTCTTAAAACTCTGCTTTGTACTTGATTATCTAAAACACTATTTATTTCACTTCAGCCCAATAAATACTTATTGAGTGCCTGTTATGTGCCAGGCACAGATGCCAAGATATAACCTGTGATTTAATGGGGTAACATACATCATGCATTGCTTTAGGAGTGTGTTCACTGGGCAAAGGGAACAAAGAGGCACTTGGCTCACCCTAGATCAAGAGGAGAGGCTCTCCAGATTTGCTGACCTAGAAGGATAAGTCTGAAAGTAGGAGGGTGGGGAGAGCCAGATGAACAAGGGAGGTGAAAACGTGATCTAGGGAGGCATCCGAGTGAGCAAAGGCACGAGTGAGCCTGGTACACTTCTGGGCAGGCAGAAGGAAGGCAGTTAGGCTGTTAGGAAGGCAGTTAGGCTGCAGTGAATTCTACAAAGAGGCTATGGGAAAGAAACCTGGAAAGGTAGGGAGGTATGGATATGGACAAGCTATGCCAAGGAGCAGGGCTTTGTCATGGAGAGTGACTAGGTGCTTTTACATAGGAAAGTCACCTGATAATATTAAAACCTGTGAAATATCACTCTGGTGGAAGTGTGAATGAATTTGAAAGGGGTGTAACACTGTTCTACTTTGTTTACTCCTCAGTACCCTTGGCTGTGTACATTTGAGTAAAGAGAGCACTATAAAATCAAAAACCAATGAAATGGTTTCCAGAACACAGAACTATTAAGCTTAAGAAAAGGACAGAAGGAACTGAAGAGAGAGGAACTGTTTTGGAGCATCACACTTCCACCTCAGAAGAAATAAGGAAGGAAGGAGGAGGGTGTTCCCACGGCTCTTCAACCAGGCCGGCTCTTCAGCCTACATCCCCATCTCATCAAGTAAAAGGGATTTTTCAACTGGACCAACCAGATGGTTTAACAGTGCACTCCCACACCATTCAACTACGCAAGGGAGATACACTTAACATATGCAGTCGTATAACACCTACTAACATTTTCAAACATTAAACCTTTAAAAAAGAGTTCTAAAGAAATAGAAGCTTGAAGTATCATCTCTCAAGTATATAGACACTACTTCATGGTGTGGTAATATATGCATATAGAAGCTAGTAAACACCTCCAGGAGATGCAAAAGGAATTAGAACTGCCACAAGGTGCAAGCAAAACCTTGAGGTAAGCCTGTTCTTTACTCAGTACATTTTTCCTCTTCGACATTGTAGGTATGTTATCTCCATCATCCGTATTTGTCTATTGCAGTCTCCATTGATGGTGAAGTATTTTCACTATTTGGCATGTCTTCTCTAGTACCTAGAGCAGTGCGTTGCATGCAGTAGCAGGTTTATAAACATTTGCGAGTAAAACATCCAACCTGATACTCAAGGTAAACTCCTGAACCAAACACCCAGAGTAATGTGAATGTTTTTCTATACTCTAGAGTTTATGGCTAGAAATTGCACGGAATGAACTGCATCCTAAACTGGGGTCGGGAAGGTGGGAAAATGAGTCCAGTGATGAAAGGAAGAAGCTGTGCAAGCTATGAAAAAACCTGGTGTGGGAAACTTTTTGTGTGATGTCTGTATATTTTTTTCTTATTTTTTAACAGCAGGTAGCTGTCTTCTCATATATAATTAATTTCCAAACCTCCATTTTTGATGTATGTCATAAAACTGGCATTTTAATTATTTATTTTCAATGTATTTTCTGTTCTGTTAATGAAGATTACAATGAAGAGGAGGGGGAAATCAATTTTTTTAAAAAAAGGAAAAATATAAAATTCAGACCTAAACCTATTTTTCTTCTTCCGATCTATTTACCCAGCTTCATCTTCATATTACCTGTAGCCCTGTGATGCAGGACAGCGCTGAATCAGTTCTCAAAGTCATCCAGTTCAGGAAGCTTTCTAGATACTCACACTTGCCCTCAAACATACCCCTTCTGCGCGCACACACACACACACACACACACACATCTTCCTTCTCTAAATGCCCCATGATACTGGATTTATCCTTTTATCACTCTTGTTTACGATGTGCTACTGTAATTGAGTATATCCTATGTATCAAGCTCTGTGTTACCTATTTTAAGGATTTAAAATGATTTAGTTGTTTGTACACAATTTGTGTAACATCCTTTCCTATGAGAGCAAAAAGACAAAATTTGCATCTGATTTTTAAAACATGATATACATACATGTTTCAGAGAGCATGTATCTAATTAAATATTTGATGAGTGCAGAAGAATGAGTGAGAGTATGAATGTCTGTAAAAGATTATTTGGTTATTACATTAAACCAGATAGTCTCTTGGTAAACTTTAAGTTACATTTATGCGGACAGAATTACAGATTCTCCACTGGCACACATGTTGCAGCATTTACTATCTTCTTTCATCTGATCAGATGTCAAAAGGAGATTTTTGAGCCATCATTTAGGTAATTGTTCATGAAGCCCAGACCAAAATATTGTGATAAATGTAGTTAAAATTATCTTTTTGTTAACTGCTATATTAGGAAAAAGTTGATACAAAATAAATTTTACATGTTTAAAATGTACCACTTAACAGGTTTTGGCATATGTTTACCCCTTAAAGCTGATACTGACTGCCCCATCCCAAAGCAGCCACTGATCTACTTCCTGGCCTTATCTATTAGCTTACATTTCCTAGAAGTTTGTGTAAATGTAATTATACAGTGTACCTTTTGTTGTTGTTGTTCGACTTATTTCATTCAGAATGATGTATTTTTTTTGAGATTCATTCACATAGTTGAGTGTATCAATACTTCATTTATTTTTTCCTGCTTGGTAGTTTTTCATTGCTTGGGTGTGCTACAGTTTTTATATTCAATCATCTGTTAATGAACATTTGAGTTGTTTCCAAATTTGCGCTGTTACAAATAAAACGGGTATGAACTTGTATGTATAAATATTTGCATGGACATATGTTTTCATTTCCTGTGGGGAAACACCTAGAATGGGAATCAGTAAATCCTACTGTAGGTATGTATTTAAAATGTTAATCAACCGTCAAACTATTTTCTAAAATAACTCCATGGCTTTATCTTCTCACCAGTAGTGTGAAAATTCCAGTTCTCTCAGGATTCTTGACTAAATTTAGTGTGGACAGTGTCTTGAAATTGAGCTATTCAAATAGGTGTATAGTGCTATGAGATTGTGCACTTCATTTGGACTTTTTCTAAGTACATTGAACATCTTTTAATGTGCTTATTGCTATCTACATGTCTTCTTTGATGAAGTGTCTATTCAAATCAGTTACCCATCTTTTAATAGGGTGGTTTGTTATTTTTACGTTTTGAGAATATTTTTAAAAATATTTTGAATGCAAGTTCTTTATTAGACATTACACACATAACTTGATAATCAGTTTTTCCCAATCTGTGGCTTGTCTTTTCATTCATGGTACCTTTGGAAGGGCAGTTTAATTTTGATGAATTAGATGAATTACAACATATCAATTTATTCTATTATTGATCTGAGCCTAATCTATGTCACAAAGAATTTGTTTCCTTTTTCTAGAATTTTTGTAATTTTAGACTTAACTCTAAAATCTTGAGTTAATATTTTATATAAGGCATGATATGAATTAGAGATACATTATTTACATGTGGATATCCAATTAGTCTAGCACCATTTATTTAAAGGCTATCCTTTTTCCATTTAATCTTCTGTAAAACTTTGTCAAAAATTAGTTGTCCATATGTGTATAGATCTACTTCTGGAATATCTATTCATTCTCTTGGTCTCATATTTGTCATCATATAATAAGTCTTGAAATCTAATAATGTTAGATCTACAACTTTGTCTTTTTTATTCAACATATTCTGACTATTTTAGAAACCTTGCATTTCTGTATTTATTTTAGAAACAGCTAGCTAATTTCTAAAAAAGACAGCCTAGAGTTTTAATGAATACATATAGTAGTATTTCTTCCCTTCCAATCTTGGTGAATTTTTTTCTTTTTCTTTCCTGATTTCATTGACTAAAAATTCCAGTAAAATGTTAAATAAAAGTGGTGAGAATTGAATCTGTTTTGTTCCTCACGTTAGTGAAAAAAGTTTCAGTCTTTCGCTATTAAGTTTGATGTTAGCTGTAAGCATTTCTGATGCCATTTTTCAGATTGAGATGTTTCTGTCTTAACTCTTATAAGAATACTTATCAGGAAATTCAGTTTACAAATGTGTGTAATTTCAGGTTACTTTTCATACATAAAACCAAACCTTAATTCTTAGAATAAACATCTCTTATTTTTTATATGTTATTATTTTTGTATATTGTTGGATTTGATTTGTTATAATTTTGTTAGAACTTTTTCATTTTTGCTCATGATGAATATTAGTCTATGATTTCTTTTCTACGAATATAATTGTCTGGTTATGATATCAGAGTAAATCCAGGCCACAAAATGTGTTGGGAAGTGGTTCCCCCTTTTAAATTTTCTGGGAGAACTTGGATAGAGTTGCTATTTTTCTGTAAATATTTGATATAAATCATCAGCGAAACTATCTGGGTCTGGAATTTTGGTGGAGGCAGGTTTTTAACTACATTGTAGAGTACTTCAAGTAATCTAACTCTTCTTGAGTGACTATTGTTGTATTTTCTCAATAAGTGTGTTCATTTTTCGAAGCTGTCATATTTCCTGGCATACAGTTGTTTACAGCATTCTTTTTTATTGCCTAATATCTATGGATCTTTAGTAATGCCACTCCCATTCTTTGGAAATTTGGTGCTATTTTTTTTTTTCAGATCATTCTGGCTAGAGATTTATACATTTTCTTGATTGACTCAAAGATCCGTCTTTACTTTTTTGAATTTCTCTGGTTTGTATTTTATTTTATTGATTACTATCTGATTTTTACTATTTTATTTATTCTATATATTTTGTGATTAATATGGTGATTTTTTTCTAGTTTCTTAAGTTGGAAGGTGAAGTCAATAATTTGGAGCCCTTTCTTTTTCTAATACAGATGTTTAGTACTATACATTCAGCTAAGCACTGCTTCAGTAGTATCTTACCTATTCTGACATGATGAATTTTTATTTTCATTCCTTTCAAATATTTTAATATTTCCATTTTGGTTTGTTATTTGACACATGGATTATTTTTAAGTATGTTATTTAATACCCAAATAATTCTGGAATGTCCATATATCTTTCTGTTATTTATTTCTTATTATATTTTACTTTCACCAGAGAACATACCTTATATGATACGAATCGTGTTAAATAAATTAAGACTTGTTTTATTATCCATAATATGGTCTATTTTGGTAAATGTTACATGTGAACTTGAGAATAATGTCAATTCTTATATTGTTACAAAGAGTATTCTAGGTGTCAAGTAGATTAATTTGATTCTAGGTGTCAAGTAGATTAAGTCTTCTATATTTTTACTTTCTATTTCTTTTATCAGTTAATAAGGCTGAATGTTTAAATATCAGCACATACTTGAAGAATTGTCTGGTTCTTTTTCTCAGTTCTATCAGCTTTTACTTAATGTATTTCTATTTCTTTATTGTGGTAGAAAACACACGAAATTTACCATCTTAACCATTTTCCAAGTGTACAGTTAAGTGGTAAGTATATTCTCATTGTAGTGAGACACTTCTCCATACATTTTCATCTTGCAAATTTCAGTTTATACCTATTAGGCAGCTCCTCTTTCTACTCTCCCTGCAGCCTCTGGTAACCACCATTCCACGTTCTGTTTCTATGACTTGGACTTTTTTAATATTATCTACATTGGATCATACAGTATTTGTCATCTTGTGACTAGCATATTTCACTTTACCTAATGTCCCCCTGCTTTCTCAATGTCGTAGCAAAGGATTTTTGTCCTTTTAAAGGCTGAATGATGTTCTGCTGTACGTATCCATCACAGACATTGTGGTTATTACACCTCTTGGCTATTTCAAGTAGTGCTGCTAAGAACATGGATGTAAAAATATCTCTTCAGGTCCCTGTTCTCAGTTATTTTGGATAAGTACCCAAAGATAGGATTTCTGGATCCTATGCTAGTTCTCTTTTTAATTATTTAAGGAAACTCCATGCTGATTTTCATAATGATTGCATCATTGCAAAATTCCACCAGGAGTGCAAGAGAATTCCAATTTCTCCTCATCCTTACCAAGATTCATTTTCCGTGATTTTTGTTGTGGTTGGTTGTTTGTTTAGTTGTTGATTTTGTTTTACATGTTAGCCATCGTAATGGGCATGTGGTTACATCTTGTTGATATCTTGTTGATTTACCTTTCTCAGTGATTAGTGATATTGAATAGTTTTTATATGTTTGCTAGCTATTAATATATCATCTTTGTAGAAATGTCTATTCAAGTTCTTTGGCAATTTGTAATTTTTTTATTATTTTCTGTTGCTGCATTGCATTTCTTTATATATTCTGGACATTAACTTTTCATTAAATATATGACTTTCAAATATTTTCCCCCATTCCATAGATTGTCTTTTCTCTCTTTTTATTGGGTCCTTTAATTACAAAAGCTTTCAGTTTGATGTCATCCCATTTGTTTATTTTTAATTTTTGTCTTATGTACTTTAGTGTCATAACCAAGAAATTGTTGCCAAGTCCAATGTCATGAAGCTTTTCCCTTATATTTTCATTGAGAAATTTTATAGTTTTAGGTCTTATACTTAGGCATTTAATCCACTTTGAGCTTATTTCAGTATATGGTGAAAGATAAAGGTCCAACTTCACTCTTTTGCATGCGATTATCTAGTTTTCCAACATCACTTGTTGAAGAGACTACCCTTTCCACACTCAGTAGTCTTGACAATCTTATCAAATATAATTTAATCATATAAGTGAAGGTATATTCCCACGCTCGTAACAGGCATTGAAATTAGGAGGTGTGATTCTTTTGAATTCCTTCATTTTCAAAATTGTTTGGCTATTCAGGGTCCCTGACATTCCATATGAATTTCTGGATGCGTTTTTCTATTTCTGCAAGGAAAAAAAAGTCACTGAGATTTCTATTTCTATAGGGATTGCATTGAGCTCATAAATTTCTTTGGGTGATGTGGACATCTTACCAATATTATTAAGTCTTCGAATTCATGAACATAGAATGTCTTTCCATTTATTTGTACCTTTGTCATTATATTTCAGAACTGCTTTGTAGTTTTCACTGTATAGTCTTTCACCTCCATGGGTAGATTTATTTCTATGGTTTTTATTCTTTTTGATGCTATCATAAATGTAACTCTTCTCTTAATTTCTCTTGTAGAATGTTCATTGTGATTGTAAAGAAACACAACTAATTTTTGTTTGTTAATTTTTGTATCCTGCAGCTATGTTTAATTCACTTATTAGTTCTAACAGGTTTGTATGTGTGTGTAAAACTTTTATGAGTTTCTATGTTTAAGATCATGATATCTGTGAACTAAGATACTGTTCTTTATTCCTTTCTAATTTATGTTCCCTTTATTTCTTTATCTTGCTTAATTGCTCTGGCTAGGACTTCTAATATTATGTTGAATGGAAGTGGCAAGAGCAGTATCCTTATCTTATTTCTGGTCGCAAAGAAAAATATTTTAGAATTTTACCACTGAGAATGATTTTTAACTGTGGGCTTTTCCTAAACGGTTTCTGGAATATTATTAATTTCTTTCCTCGAACCGCGTTTTCCTGTGTTTTTTTTGTTAATTTTTTTAAAATTTAAATTTGTAGGTTCCAAGTAGGTGTATATATTTATGGGATATGTTTCCTGTTTTTACGTATGCTGTGTAATTATTTGCTGGGATTTGGACATTTGAAAAAAACAAACAAACAAACAAAAAAACTGCTCTTTAGTCTTTGCACACTGATTTCATTCAAGGAAAGACCTGCTCCCTAAGCCTGGATGGAGGTCTAGGACTTCTCAAATCTTTTCTGATCTTTTGCACCCCCATTCCCCAATGTCTGGCAGCAAAACGGAAGCTCCAACCTACTGCTTGCCTATTTTCAAGAATTTCTAAATTCTGTCACCCATCCCATCAATGCTCCAATTCAAGCTAGATAGAAATGAAGTCCTCAAGCCGTTCTAGACAAGCCAGAATGTTGGATATATGAAACATTCATTTGTTTAGTCCCTGACAGAGAAATGCCAGTGTGAGAGGATGTATCCTAGTTGTAACATGCTATGCTGTGGGAGGGAAGGGACATAAACAGGTGTGTCAAACATCACATTATTTTCTACTTTTTTTACTGGAATCTTCTCTGGATTTTACAATGGCCTGGATTTTGTAGCTTGTCAATTGCTCTCTAGAGTTCTCACAGAGGTATTCTAGTCCACATATTGCTGCTAACTCAGTGTCATTTTGGGGGGAAAAGGACCTGTAGCTTCTTAGTCTGTCATCATGCTGATGTCATTCACTACTTAAAGTATTCTGAAGCTCTGTTAGGTGCGTAAGAATTTTAAATCTTATGTCCTTTTGATGAATTCAGTCTTTTTATCATTATGAAACCAACTTTTAATAGGTGATCATATTCTTTCCTCTGAAATCTGCTGTTTTTTAATTAATAAGCCAATCCAGATTTATTTTGATTAATGTTAACGTAAATTTGGTATATTTTCCACATCTTTATTTTTATTACTCATATATATACACACATACAAATATAAATCCAGCTCCTTCCATGTTGCTGCGAGTGATGGAATTTTATTCTTTTTTTATATCTAGAGGTTATTATGTTGAGTCAAATAAACCAGGCACAGATAGACAAATATTACATGCTCTCACTCATATGTGGGAGCTAAAAAACGCGGATCTGACGGAGGTAGAGACTAGAATGGTAGTTATCAGAAGCTATTAATAGAAAGGGAAGTGAGGAAAAGGAATAAAAAGAAGTTGCTTTGTACAAAATTACAGTTAGATAAAAATAAATGTTAGTATTTGATAGTACAGTAGAAAAATTATAGTTAAAAATAATTTATTGTATATTTCAAAATAGCTAGAAGAGAAAAATTGTAATGCTCTCAACACAGAATATAAATATGTGAAGTGATAGATACTGATTATCCTGATTTGATCATTACACATTGTATACATATATCAGAATATACCAGGTACCCCCAAATATGTACAACTACGATATATTGATTAAAAATGTAAAAGGGCATATCTTGTAAACAGGTGTATTTGGATTTGCTTTTTTAAAATTCAGTACTATAATCTTTTCCTTTTGATTGGAGACTTTTCTTTAGACTAGTTGCATGTGGTGGCACTATTCACGTGCTTCTGTTTAGCTCTGTTACCTGACTCTGGTTTCTTTGTCTCATGTGTGTTCCTTTTTTCAGCTTTGCCTCCTTTTTTGCTTTCTTGTCGATTAGTTGTAAAACACTAGCAATATTAGTTGTAAAACTAATCTTCAAAAAAGCAAAAAAAGAGGAAAAGGTGAAAAAAGACATTTTTATAATTTTTTTGCATTTTTTGGTTTAATAAATATAACACTTTGTTATATGATTTCAATTGGTTGCTTTAGAGTTTATAATACACATCTTTAACTTATAACAGCCTAATTTCAAGTAATATTATGTTAACTATAATATTAAAACTTATAATAGTGGAATTCCTTTCCTCTCCTCCAAAACTTTGCGCTGATCTCATTGTATTTATCATTTCTGGTGTTCTCAATATGTTTGTGTAGATCCAGGTTTCCAGTGATTTCATTTTTCTTCTACCTGAAAGAATTCTTCTAATACTTCTGTCAGTGTGGGTCTCTGGTGATAAATTCTATCAGGTTAGGGGTTTTGTATCTCTGAAGAAGTCTTTATTTCACTTCCATTTTTGAAAGACACATATTGCAGGATATGGAATTCTCATCTGACAGGTGTTTTTCTTTCAGTACACTAAAGAGGTCTCTTTTCACTTGCATTGATTCTAATGATAAATCTACTGTCTATCATTCTTATTTTTCACTCCTTTTTTATGTAATATGTCTCTCTTCTCTGGTTTCATTTAAGATTTTCTCTTCATTATGTTTTTAGCAAATTGATTATAGTGTATCGTTTTTTATGTTTGAGGTTCTTGACTTCTTGAGTCTGCAGGTTTATAGCTTTTGTCCAGTTTGGAAAATGTTTGACCATTATTTCTTTCAAGTTATTTTCCTGCGCCCCCATTTTTCACCTTCTTTAGGAGCTCCAGTGGTATACAAATAAGACCACTTGAAGATTATTTACAATTCATTGATTTTTTCACTTTTTAAATTATTTTTCTCTTAGTTTTATTTTGAATTGTTTCTATTGCTTTGTCTTCAAGTTCACTTCTTTTTTTTTTTTTTTTTTTCTGCAGTGGCTAATTTTCTATTACTCCCATCCTGTAAATTTCTCATCAGAATCAGTGTTGTTTTTATTTCTAGAAGTTGATTTAGATCTTTTTTACACCTTACATATCTCTATCTAATTTGATAAAACACAGAATGTTGTCATAATGAGTGTTTTAGGCTCTCAACCACAAATTCTAGCACCTTTGTTAGTTTGGGTTTAAGGTGATAGATTTTATTATTGGTTTATTATTATTTATCTGCTTTTCTGCATGCCTGGTAAGGTTTATTTTTAGATGTCACAAATTGTAAAATTTTCCTAAAGCGAGTGTTGGTTATTTTGTATATTTCGTATTCTTATAAATGTTTTTTACTTTTATTCTTGCATTCATATGTTAGTTGCTAACACATTAACTACTTTAGGCCTTGCCTTTATGATTCTTTGGGTGAATCTGGAGCATTGTTCAATCCAGGAATTTTTTTTTTTTTTTTCTGATGGAGTCTTGCTCTTGTCACCCAAGCTGGAGTGGAATGGCGCGATCTCAGCTCACTGCAACTTCCACCTCCCAGGTTCAAGCAATTCTCCTGGCTCAGCCTCCCGAGTAGCTGGGATTACAGGTGCCTGCCACCACACCTGGCTAGTTTTTGTATTTTTAGTAGAGACGGGGTTTCACCATGTTGGCCAAGCTGGTCTTGAACTCCAGACCTCAGGTGATCCTCCCGCCTCAGCCTCCCAAAGTGCTGGGATTACAGGTGTGAGCCACCACGCCCGACCCCAGGAGACTTTTCCAAGTTACCTATCCAGTATACATTGAATTGTGAGGTTTCCCAGTCTAGCTGTTGACACTAAGCACTGTTCTTTTCTCTTTGTGACTGCAGAACACCTTACTCTAATTATTTTTAGATTTGTTTTTATTATTTTGATAGTTTTCTCATGCAAATGCTGATTAGTACACAACTGAATATCAAGGAGAGCTCTGGAAAATAACAACAGTTCTGTCTCTGGAGTTCTCCTTTCTGTAGAACATTGTCCTGAAATTTCTAGCTACATTGGTCATCTTCTCCTCATCTCAACGGTTTCACTGAAAACTACCTGTGCTCCTCCTGCACATGATACAACCTAGAAAGTCTTATTGTTTAAACCAGGGAAATTGCAGCACTCATGTTTATTTGTGACCTCTCAAGGACCACTGCTTGTTTTCTGATGTAAAAAATCTTCTAAAGTGTATTTCAAAGCATTGCTTTATATATTTTATCAATTTTCTTATGTTTTTCAAGTTATAGAGAAAGTTTCCGCTTTTTAATTTATTTTGTACTGACATGCTTTGCAAATCTATTTACTTTTTTTTTTTTTTTTTGAGATGGTGTCTCACTGTCACTCAGGCTGAAGTACAGTGTCATTATCATAACTCACTGTAACCTAGGACTCTTGGCCTCAAGCCATCCTCCTATCTCGGTTTCCTGAGTAGCTATGAGGCCTGACTAATTTTTTATAATTACTTTTTGTAGAGGTAGGGTCTCACTAGGTTGCCTAGGCTGGTCTCAAACTCCTAGCCTCCAGGAATTTTCCTGCCTTGCCCTCCCAAATTGTTGAGATTACAGTCATGAGCTCAGCTCCCAAAAGCTTTCTTATATGCCTGTTGTTGTTGTTTCCTTCCTGATTAAATGGTCTATTATATAGATAATACTGTGTCTGCAGCTATGATTTTTTTCAATTGTTTAATTATTTAACTAATCTCTTGATTAGGTAATCAATCTGCATCCCATTTTGGATGAGAATATTTGCAACTTTGAAGGTTATTTTAAGGACAGCAGCAGAAGAATTATGGCAGGTATCTGAAATTCATTTCTGTGCTTTGCCGAGGACCCATGGGATGCCATTTGCAGATGAGAAAACTAAAGAATAGCTTTATCTTCCAGCTCTTCACGGAAAAAAAAATGGCAACAATAAAATCAGCAACTCCTGCCAAATAAATGGGCATAAAAAAGAAATCATAGACTGCTGGCAATGGTGGGGAAAAAGTTATAAAAATTGTCTCTGCACCATCTTCCTTTTGTCCTCTAAAATATTCACATTAGCAAAAGTATATAACAGCTGATGAAGAAATACTGATAATTTGTCTTTGTAAGTATATCGAAAACATTTCAAGATCTAGAAATTTGAAATTGTTGACAAGTATTTATCTGTTTATTCACAAATTTGAAATCAACCTCAGGAATGCTCATTCTGATTGATATACTTAGGTCATAAATTTTTAAGACCACAGATTTCCAGGGACTTTTTGGAAAATCACCCAGTAAAACAATGTCTTTTTGCAGGGGACTAGCTTCAGTATTTTGGCTTCTTTTTGCTTCTTTGCAACAAATTGGGAGACAAAGGTGGGAAAGTTTTTTTCAATAAGTTAATAATTTTTTAAAGGTCAAAATTTTGTTCTTTGCTTATATTAGAATTAAACACTGTGAGATTCTCTCTGAGACCTTGTATACTTTCTCTTTTAAAGATAATTTCACTGCATGTAATTTTTCGGGGAATGACTCTCAGAGTTGTTGTCTGAAAGTACCTTGATGTTTGGATATTGGTTTGTTTGGATGAACAACAAAAGGAATCAGTAAGAGAAGTTATTATAAGAAATATAAAGCTATTATTAACATTTCAATGAAACCAAGTAGTCTGAAAATTTTCACAGATGACTGTAATAGTTAGTGGGATGACCTCACTGTTTTGCATTAGGAAATGTTATGTAGCCTTTAATTTATTGAATATAACTATTGCCTTAATTTTAATGAACAATTATAAATACGTGAATGAAAAAGGAACAATTCTATATATAACAATTCTAGTTATTATTGCTCCATATAACAATTCTAGTTATTATTGCTTATTCTATATAACAATTCTAGTTATTATTTCATATGGTCTAACATGAAAGTCAACAGCATAGACACAAGACAGAAAGCCCATGTTTACAAACCAAATACATTAAAAAGATTGTCGTTACATATCAGCAGAAGAAAAATGCCCAATGGCAGATGAAGAGAAATGCTAATGAGATTCCATGAGCTAAAACCACCATGACAAATGTAAATGAATAGTACTAAGTGATCCACATGTTTATTTCACCAATTCTATTTGCGAGAGAATAAGTAGAAAAGTAACATCCAATTGCTGTCTTCCACAAGAATAAAGAGGCTTGACGCTTATTCCCAACCTTATTCAACAGAATGTTATCGTTCAAAGCCATTATGCAAACTGCCCTTTTTCACAGTTCTCAGGCCACCGTTATACAATTGCACCTAAAGCAATTGTCAGGCACTTGCTTGTACAAAGTTCAAACTCCACTAGTACAATAAGCAAAAGCTCTGCATGTGTATTTCATTTGCTTCACAAGTGGCATCAAGGAACAAACACATGGCTTATCTAGGCTGGACGGTTGGGGGGAATGACAATTTGATCTTGGTTCGAGGTTGCATTTACTTAGGTTTACTACTGAACTACAACTAGAAGAATCAAAGGATATATGCCAGGTGAGCACAAAGAACAGATATTGCATCCTAGTTCACTTCCTGCTGGAAGAGAGCCTGAGGCTCCCAGTCAAGCATCCTGCAGGGAGAGAAGAATGTATTAAGTTAGGATCAGAGCTGCACTCCTATGTGGCTTCTATATATCAGCTCTAAGTTTCCAGCTGCACCACATACACAAACACTTGACTTTCCAGTTATATACTTCATTTGTCTGTAAAGAAATACTGAATAAATGTTCAATTTTTTCTACAAGCCCAGACCAGAACAGGTGTTCAGTTTCTGATTACAAGCTGTAATTCCACAAAGAAGTTCAAATATATGAAGAGGAAGTCAGCTAGCATTCCGTGTAATATCTTCATTAAAACTCATCACAGTTTAGCTCCTATGATAGTCTTCCTGCAACATCTTGCATTGAAACATAGTATTGTTAAAGAAACAGAATGCTTAACTTACTATGACTTAATACAGCTCAGCATTCTGTTTTCATCTTATTTGCTCCAATTTGTTCTTTTTCCTACTTAAACAACTAAAATTGAATGATTATACTCTTTTTGAGGATTAAGTAGCTAAACTTACATTCTGGACTTCAAGATTCATTGTATTGTACAGTAGACTTAAAATTATGTAATTAAGTAACTTTTGATTTGCTTGGTTTTTAGCACTTAAATCTTTAATGTGTATGTGTAGTAGGATGCGCATACATGTGTGAACATTTGTGTGTGTGTGTGTGTGTGTGTTGAGTTGGAAAGTAGTAAATATCTCTTTTTGCTGAAAGTGTGCTGTAAACACATTATTCCAATTACATTTGGTTCTAGTTACTTGGTCTCTAGCTAAGTATGGTTCCCTATTTAAGAAAGATGCAAATCAAGTTAATTGTGATCGCTCTTATGCTCCATAAACAATCTGAGTGTTTGGAAGCATTGGAGGCACAGCCTTGACAGGCTACCACTGAAGATTAGCCAACATAAACATTGTGCGTGCAGAAAGTCCCATCAGGAGGACAAAGGAAGCAGGAAAGACCGCAGAACTCTTGTTTCACACACTGCCTCTCACTGGATTGTTGTTGAGCAAGATACTTTCATGTTGGCCAGATACCAATGGGGTAGAAAAACAGAATTGTAATATAATATATTTTATCAAAAAAAAAAACATGTAGAATGTTTTTCATGTTTTTGCATGCAACATAACTTCCTAACTGCAAGATTTTTTTTCGAAAAGAATTTCACATTAATTAACAAGGCAGCAGTCTCTATGGGGTCATAGTTGGCAAAACCAAATCATAACCAAATCACAACCTCCAGCCACTCCTAGTTCCTACTCCCAACTCCGGACCATGGGACTGTGGGTGACGACATGACAGAGGAGTCATTAATCACAAGCTGGCATGGCAAGATTCATAACAAATGCTTGGACAATCACATTTCATTTCTCAGGAACTTGGACTGGGGGCTGTAGAGGAAATGGAGCACTCGGCAATGGAAGGAAGATGGATGTCTCCTTCCATGGTGGGGCTGCTTCTATTTCACAGGCTTCTACTAAACCTAGAGAGAAGGTGCATGATTCCTTACTTCTCATTCCCGCTTTCTGACACTGTCCCTTCTATGAAAACCCTGCTGTGAATATCACACACATCTTCCTCCTGCTCCCTGTTGCTGTCATTTACCAGCTATCAGATCCCATTCTCTGTTGCTATTATTCTTAGTAATTTGAATTCTTGCGTAGGTGATCCATTCAACAACCGGACCTCTGAGTTCCTGGAAATCCTCTCCTTTCATAAACTTGTCCTCACTCAACTCAGCCACAGCTCCCATGGTCATTTCCTAGTTGTGGTCATGACCAAGGCTCAAGTATCCTTGTCTCCAAACACCATCTTCCTAGTTCACTCCCTCTAGAACCCTTTGACCTTACAGGAACCCACAGCCCTTTAATCCTACCATACCTTTATTCTCTCTTTTGCCAATTCACTTTTCCCTTCATGCAGAATAATTTCCATGGCCCCTAAGCACAGTTACTACCTGGTGTACACCCTAAATGTTTATCCTCCCCTCGCTTCATCATGGTTGCTTAGAAAAAACCACATTACTGGCTGAGTATAACCAACTTTCTGTCTCTTCCATACCTACATTTGTACAACCTTTTATGGAACTAATCATGGCTGGAGAAATATACACATCCATGCTGGCAGGTCCCACTTTAAGTTCATGATCACTAACCCCAAAAGGGCTCTTAATACTGCCTGGCAACTATACCCATAACATATTCCCTGTTCACTCTCCTCTTTTACATTTCTCTTTCACACCTTTCCTCTCCTCAAACTTCCAACACCTCCTCCTCCATTCTCACACCAAACTGGTTTCTTGATTTTTGATTCAGATAGAAAATAGAAGCAGTCAGAAAATTCCTACAGGCTCCCTCAACGGACTGAATATGGGTCTGTGCATTCTGCCTTCTCTTCTTTTGCTGTGGGTGGCTCGGCCAGGCCATGCTCCTCTCTGGGGCCCAGCCCGCAAAGCGCATTAGACTCTGTCTTATTCAACCACTTATTAACATCATTCAATTAAGTTTCCCATTTTCCTCTGCATTAACACATTTTTCTTCACTAATAAGTCATTCCCTTCAGTGTATAAACACGCTCTTGTTTCTTTCATCTTAAAAAAAAAATGTTAACCCATATCCTTCTCCAGCTCATGTCCTCCCCTATTCTCAAACAGAAGAATGCCCCAGAAATAGTTATTTGTACTTGTTTTTTTCCCTGCAACTCTTCTCTTAGATTTATCCTAATAAAATTCAACTCTACTCTGTGATCAAATCTATTGCTGTGAAAGCACTCAACAACCTCTACATTTCTAAAACCTAAAATCAAAATCCACATCCATGTCTCATCTTTCTGTGCTGTAGAAGTGTTGTACATAGATGCAAGTTTTTATGGAAAATGAATGGTCTGGAGGTAGCAATGAGGAAGAAGAAGAATAGAACACCGACCCAATTTCTTTCTCCTTCCAATACATTTTTCACTTGCTTCTCAAGACGCCAGCTTTCCTTGATTGTCCTCACACTTTCTGGCTGATGTTTCTCCGTTTCTTTCCCTCTTTTTGTCTTTATCTTTATAACATGGGGCCACCAAAGGCTCCGTTCTTGAGCCTCTTCTTGTTTCTGCCTGCACTCACTCTTATGCTAATTCCATTCGGTCTTGTAGCTTTTAATGACTTTCCTATTTACGTTCTGAAATTTATGTTTCCATCCCCACCTGTTCTCTTGAATTTCAGACTCATATGTTATGTATCAATATTCCATTTACTCAAAGATTTATTCTCAAGGCTAGCTAGTTCTTCAATCAGATCCTCAGATTTTGAGATTTCACCTCTTCTTTCACCTCCGTAGTTTGGCATTTGTGTGTGTGTCTTGTACATCACAATGGTAACAGGTTTGATTAGATCTGTATAATGACCTCAGGTTTCTGCTAAAGCGTAACTGGTCTATTCTGCCTTGGACAAGTGATCTCTAGTATGTGTTTGGAATGATAGAAAAAAGGCATTGAGGGTAAGTGTGGTATTCCTGTGGTATAAGCACATTTTTTTTTCTCCTTTTACCTCTGTTGTTTTAAAACAGATTTCTGATGGTTCTATCATTTTTTTAATTCACTGGTGACAACACACCCTGTTATCAACTATTTTACTACTGCTATCACCCAGTTAAAATAGATACTGACAATAGCTTCTTCCCTATCAAGAGTCACAGGTATTGTGCAAAGGGCCATTCAGAGTGGACAGTCCAGGAAAGGGGAGAGACCAGCTGAGAAGGCTCCACACTGGCCTCTACAACTCACCCTAGATGCCTCTTCTGCGATGCTTCAAGGCCTTCAGCATTTCTCACTCCCTGTCCTTCCCTTGTTCGTAGTGCCAACACCTTTGCCAGTGGCCCCTTCCCACACTAATCTCTCCCATGGCTATATTCACAGCTGCTTTGACCCTTCTCCCTCTAGTAGATGAGCTTGACCAAACACCACCCTGGCTAGACCAGAGCAGGTAGATATGGCTATAAGAAAATACCCAATCATTCTGACAAATTACCTTTGAGTTTTCTGGTTGGAAAAATAGAAGTGCACCTTTGGCTTTGTCCAGCAATCTTACCTTTAATTTGGTCTTTCACTCACTAACAAACAATAAATTTCTCAACTTTGTCTGTCTTCTCCAGTCCCATCTTTTCTTTCTCTCACTCTCAGCTGATGGCTTAGCTTCTTATTTCACTGAGAAAGTGGAAACATTCAGGAGAAATCCAGCCTTCCATCAGGGCTGCCAAGCTCCTGTGTCTGAACCTGTCTTCCTATCCAATACTGTATGAGAAATGGCTTTCATCTTCTTGTGCCTGTTCAAGGCCTTTGCATTTGACATTTTCACTTACTCTATTAATGCATCAAGTATTATTTCTCTTTGGTATCGTTTTTATATCCTCATAAATATGTTGTAATACCTTTCATCGTAAGAATTACAACGTCAACAAAACCTTCCCTGATTATAAACCCTCTCCTACAATTTCACAACACATTTCAAAAGAGTTGTCTATACCTGCTGTATCCACTTCAGTCTGCTCCTTCATGGTGGTAACACCTGCATTTGCCTCTATTGAAACATATCAGCCCCAGAACAACACGCAGCTCATTCTATCACTACTCTATCCAGCTCTCTGCTCAAATGCTATTTTTTTTTAAGAGGAAAGTCTTTAGTTGGCTTTTTAATTAGAGGGTTACCCTCCCTCAGGGAACGCTCTATCTATCTATCTTGTTTTATTTTTCTTCTGATGACTTACTACTTCCTAAAATCACACACACACACACACACACACACACACAAACACACACACACAAAATCACATTACATGCTGGCTATTACCTATCTCCCAGTAGAACAAAAACATCCTGAGGGCCAGTGACCTTATCATG
The DNA here is from genome assembly GCF_000001405.40 of Homo sapiens. NCBI lineage: Eukaryota > Metazoa > Chordata > Mammalia > Primates > Hominidae > Homo > Homo sapiens. The sequence continues at coordinate 105,725,189 of NC_000013.11, forward strand.
CCCAAGCTTAGCTTCTTAGATGTGCCTGTCAGAATTGTCCCTCAATGAATATGTTAAGTGAATGAATGAATCAGTAATCATGTTTACTTATTTGATATACTGGGAATATAACAACGATGTCATTTAAAATAAAATTAGGATGTTGGCAGCCAAAATTTGGAAAAATTTATACCACTTGGTCAATCCCATTTCCACTTTCTTTACACTAATATCCTTTTGTCTTAGGCACCAGGAGTTCCAGTTTTTTGGCTTTAATTCTATATAAAATTTAGCCCTATATAATCAAGTTCATTACAAGAAAAAGCTGAACTGAAAATTCTATCTAAAACTTAGCCATATATAATCAAGTTCATTATAGGAAAAAGAAAGCTGAACTGAAAAGCTGAGTGTTCCCAGGACATTGCTAGTGCAGCACCAATAATCTATATTTGGAAGAACTCTGGAAAGTGAAGAATGAATTGCTCAGTAATCTGGGAGGACATTAGCCATTTTCCATGAGTCATGACTCAAGGTTGTCTTCTATGCCCTGCACTGGAGAAGCAGTGGAGTCAGGAGAGACCCAGAGACTGGTGTTTAAAGATGGGTTTGTCTTCCACCATGGGAATTCTAGCAAGCCATCATTTCAGACACTGTTTCTGTAAAATGGGATGGTAGATCGTGTGGTGAATAGAAGCCAGGGGGCCCTCATGCTCCTAACCTTCACATCCTTTCCTCTTGAATGCAAGCGAGACCGCCGACTTCCTTCCTTCTTCACGGATGTTGCTCCAGTTATTAGGCTTTGCGTTGTACTGTGTACAGCTCCATCTTGGTAGAAGGAAGAGAGGCTCTTCTTGCTGGCCTGATGACGTGAGCAGCCATGCTGGGAACATCCCCACGCCAAGGCCAGTATCTCATCAACAAACAGCATCAGCTGAGGCTCTGAATCATGCAGCTGCAAGCTGATTCTGCCCCAAACCTGAATGAGATTAAAAGTGGATTCTTGCATAGCTGAGAACACAGCCCAGCTGACACCTGATTAGCCCCCATAAGGAATCCGTGGACTCCTGGCTCACAGAAACCATATCAAGATGTGGAAAGAAATAATAACAAGACCATGTTCCATTTCTTGTTAAGATTTGATAGTTGCGTTTCACTACATTAAGAAAGGTTAATAAACAAAAAGTATTTTTTCTTCCCTGACTCCCAACAGTCATAGTATCCTTTGGTCCTACAGAAGACTTTGTTTTAAACACTTCTTATATTGAAAATGAACTATTTTCTTATACATAAATGGCATGACCATCTTTCCTGCTATATAGGGACTGAGACGTTATCTGCTTTTTCTGCAACTAGCTTGTACTTGTGCTTAATGGTTTCTCTGTGGATGTCTGTAAATTGGAGGAAGGCAAGTCTTGAACCCTCTTAAATGCACATGGGGTGAACTCAATCTCATTTCTAATTCTCTTCCCAATCCTCTATAAATCCTACGGAGGAATTTTGTTAATCATCAGTTCTAATTTTGGTCTATGAAAGTGTGCTCAGCACATGTACTGGTGTACAGGATGGAAATGATTCACTTGGAATAAAGACCACCCTGTAGATAACACACATAGGAAGGACTGGAAGCTATGGCTGTGCTCATGTCCCAGAGTCTCTCAGTCTGTGGTTGTTCCTCGGGAAGCTCTAAACACACAGTTACAGAATTATGCAAAGCCTCTTACTTGATAAGATCTTCTGGAAATACTACATGGTCAAGAGCAGTCTACACACAGCTTTAAGCTTAAAGTCTGTTCCATCCCGCCACCACCAACAGGTATCATCTTTGATGACTGTGAATTGCATATATTTGTATGTTGTTACAGAAAATCTAATTTAACCCTAAAAATGGAAATATACCAAGAGTTTATTTTATTCTCCTTAAGCAAAGGGTCCAAATAAATAAGTGGAGAAGGCATTGTCTGTGATGGCTCTCAGTCAATAAAACGTCGTGAGAGCCTTCTCAAGGCATCTTAGTTTCTGCTCTGTTTTGTTTTGTTTTTCTCCCTCCACCCTCCTCCATCAAGGGGGAGAGTGGAACATTTATGCTTATCCCTTCCTTAACCTTTGTGATACAGGAATATTTTGGATGGATAGGTAGAAATTTATTTTGCTTTACTAGCAAAAGTTATACACAAGGAATGATTTGTAAAATTGAATAAAGGAATCAATTAGTGTCCTTCGCTTTTTGGAAGGCTAACAACATACTATCTCAGAAATGGGGGGAAATGACTCTCCCACATGCTTTGAAGGAAGTTGAACCCTTGGTGGGAAGACTTAGGTTGATGAACCATTAGTGATATCTACTTTCATGGATATTGGACTTATTGGCACATTTTCCAGTTTATTAAAAAAATCCATTTAACCTTTCTGACAAAAGCAGGACTAAATCATCTGTGCTTTATGTGAGAGTACCCAATGATTGCCTCCACATGAAGACTTCTGAACCCTGGTGTTGCCATGGTAATGACTGAGTCTCAGAATTGGTTCACTTCAAATCATCCAAAAGTTCCTGTTTTAAAATGTCACCACTAGTAAACCCACTTTGCTTTTAAAATGTGTGGAGTGGAAATTCAGGGAAATAGCAAACCCTTTATTTGCCTCTGATATAGCAGTCCTAAAAGTACATACATATTTATGGATCTAATAAGTATTTGTATGTGTGTGTGTATATATATATATATATGTATATATATATATGTGTGTATATATATATATGTGTGTGTGTGTATATATATATATATATATATATATATATATATATATATATAATGATTTCCCAAGTTCATTTACTCTGAAGGCAAAATGGGTCAATATACATTTGAAGTACAGTGAAGTTATACAATATTTTTACATTTATTACTTCCTGTGTCTGCTCTTTTCTGCATTTTTATGATGCTTAATTACAAACACAAAAGAAAACTAAGGTAAATAAATTTAGCTTCCATATCTAGTGCTTATAAACCTCTTTAATAACACTAAACTCCCAGAAGAATGAGGATCATTTCATCTTCCTAAGGATATAATAGCTATATTCCCCAGAGTTGCTGAGAATAATTTTATAAAACATCATAATGTAGAAAATATTTTAATGTATTGAAAATATGGCACAGGAAGAACTTCAGCCATATGTGCAATTCATGCAAATAAATCATGTCATTTCTGGCTGTTTAAAAGCCTGTTTAAAAGCTTTTTTTTCTTACTTATTGCATCTTTGGAAATAAAAAGAAAAATAAACTCATTGACCAAAATGTGCTACTATGCAATCAATTTAAAAGATGAAATGTTTTTGCCTCACTCTATATCTAAAGTGGATTATTGATGGTGAAAAGATTTTTTTCAGTTTGACAGAAATGGCCAGTTATAATCTTGTAATTTAAATGCAGCTTCTTTAAAATATGAAGACTTCGAAGTTATTTATCCAAACCAACCTGATCATTTCTTAAGAGTGAATATACCTTGGAAGACGTGTCCTGCCTTTAGTAGCGTCACAATGGATTACATCCTCTATAAAGCAGTCTGGGGTGAGTGAAAGAGGGGGGCGGAAATTAGTGATTTCATTTGATTTAATTGTTGAATCATACTTAAGAACTTAATAAGGCTTTGTTCTTTAGAAAAACCAGAAACTGTAACTCAATGTGATTTTTGTTAAGCTCTTGATGCTTTTCCATGAAAGATTATTTTGAATTCTTAAGGTGGTAGAATAGGAAATTATCACATAAAAATACATGAAAATAGACGTGTACAGACATTTTTGTCAGGACAAAAGGAAAACCCTCTGCTCAGATAATGGCAGTTTATCAAGAATCCTGACGAAATGCTTGGTTTCTCCCTTCAATGGGCCACCCACTGCTGTCCAGGTAGGAAATTTCCTGCCATGGACAATCTGGAAGTGTCTGAGAGACTGTCTATACTCAGCTCAGTGAGTGAAAAGAGAAAACCTGTGATGGGCAAATAGTCTGGATGATGATACCAAGATTAATTTGTTCCGTCCATCTGACTGGGTGGAGTGCATATGTGCTATGTTGTTGTAGACTCCAAACATCTAAATTGTTCAGACCAGACCAATCTGGATATTTGGTGAAAGGAAAGCTCATAGAAAAATTTTTCAGAGTTTTTACTTTGTGCAATTTTATAATTTTATATTATCTAAAGTTTTAGCTTGAAAATATGAAAGACAAGCATCCAATTGATGGAAGAAGAAAAGAGAGTTTTCCTTTTAGATGATTGTGTCTGAACTATTAGGCTTATTATGCTTCTAAGTGCTTTAGATATTTTCATGTGTTTACTTCTCACAATATGACAGCTGAGGAAATGGAGGAACTAGAGGTCAGTAATTAGCCCAGGGACACATCTCAGTTGCACAGGCAGTATTTGAACACAGCATTCCAGCCATGGTGATGATGTTTTTAACAGCTGCATTATATTTCCATTTCATGGTCAAATACCTTCATTGAATAATTTAAAATTTCATTTAATTAAGTAGGTCTGGCATTATTCAGATCCAAATTTAAACCAGTTCAGCAAGCCATCTCAAAATACAGTAATTGGGTATTAAGAAATTATCTAGGCATTCTCTAAATTTATTTACATATTCAACGAGCATTGAAAATTATGTATCAGATATTCTGCCCAATCAGAGGCTAACATCTGCCACAAGACAAATATGGTGCCTGCCCCCATGGAGCTCATATTCGAATGGAGAAAATGTCAACAAGTATCCCACGGAGTGAACACTTCAAAAGGAGAAGCACAGGTTGGTGTGATTAGAAATGGCAGGTGTTTATGAACGGGGTGCCAGTGCAGGGAGAAAAGGCCTGTATCGAAGGACACTGTTGATGCTGAGATTTGAAGGGTGGGCAGCAATTAAACAGTTGATGGTGTGGAGAGTGAGCCACACTCCAGGATAGGAAGACCAACGTGATAAGTGAGCAGAGCAAAGAGGGACCCTGGCTGTCCAGGAGGCAGGGCTCAGTTACTCACGGCCCCACCGTCAAGCTGAAGATTGGAGACTTCATTTGGTAGGCAATAGGAAGCCACTTAAGGCTTAAGCCTCTAAGGACCATGCCCCAAATACAGGTTTAAAAAGGTTTCTCTGGTTATGGTTTTAGGTGAGAAAATCGAATTTGGACACCGTTGAGGAGACTATTGCAGTCATCCAAGCTCAAGATGGTGGAGCTTCATCCTTGAGAATAACCAATGGGGATAGATTTAAGAGACACTTAGAGTCTGCAGCCAACAGGGCTGAATGAGCAGTAAGTAGGAGCACAGCTGGGTGATGTGGTGGAGGGAAAGAGAGGAGTCAGTAACAGCTCCCCTGTTTCTGGCCTTAACATGTAACTAGGTACCTGTCTGGACTTCTGTGTCTCAAAATATGAAGCAGCCCATACTACTACTTCCTTTGTTTCTGCATCTGATGGAATAATAGAAACGTTTTCAATTTTTGTCAGAATACCTTCATAACACACACATACAATTAAAATAGCCTTTACATTTTTTACATTCCTATATTTATATTTACACTTAACATTATTGAGAAAAGCCCACACTTGATGTACATTGTACCAATTGTACTGTTCTGCTTGCCCCATCAGGAAAGCAACTCTGGAAAAAGTGTGGTTGTTTGCAGTTTCCTGGTTATTTAAATTGACTGTAAAAGGTGATATGGTTCTTCAATATTATTGAATAGTGTTGCTGAGACTTTCTTGAATGTTACTGAACTTCTGTAATAACATCACTCAACAACTGAGATTATCCTATCCTAAATAATGGTTGATGTGATGTAAATGCCAGTCCATCAGTCATACAGACAAAACCCAAGATGATGTTTTGATTGTCATTGAGACAAAGTTATTCTTGCAATAATAAGAATGGCCAACGCTCATGGAGTGCCTTCTACCTTCCAGGCACCAACTGAGAGCTTCACACATATTAACTCACTCAATCCTGCTAGCAATACTCCCAAAGATGGTAATATTTTTGTCTTCACTTTGGGGATGAGCAAAGTGAAGACATAGAAATTTAGTATCCTGACCAAAGTCAAATGCTGGATAAGTGGTGGAGACAGAATTGAAAGCTGTTAGGCTGCCTGGAGTGAACGTCATCAGAAAAATGCAAGACCTCTTTTTACGGAGAGTTATTCTTCTGCCCCAAAGATGGAAAGCTAAATTTCTGATTGTGTATGTGAATAAGCAAATTTTAAAATAATCACATTTAATGCACATACACTGTGTCTTTTCCCTAGGAGAGTTATGATTCAGAAGATCATCTAAAATTGAACAGCTGCCACTACTGGCAATAAGTCTACTGCCATTTGGTAGATAACCTTCTTATCACACAGAAAAATATCAGTACAGACAAATAGACCGCAAAGAAAATGAGACCATCAGCAAAGAAGATAAAGAAGTTTGTACAAAGCAACTTTTTATAAATGGATGGCTGTCAGGCAAAAATAAATTTCCTGTGGACAAGACCAAGAGCAAGGCAAGAGGAAAATAAACATGTTTAAACTATTGGAGAGTCCATAATTTAAATATAAACTCTTCTGTTGAGTGGTAGTGTGCACCGAATCAGTTCCAGGGATGGCAATAAATGTTACGCTGCATTTTAGGAAGTATGGGAGAGGAAGCTGGGGCAAGAGGAACTAATGCATGATTAATGCTAGATATTTGGAATTGCCTAGAGCAAAGGAGGTTGGGGGCTGCAGAAAACTAGATCTTTGAAGATTTAATAGATTCCTCATTCTATGTCAGTCAGCCCACTTAGATTTGTCACGTGTTAGCTCTGTTTTTCTTTACATTTAGTATTTTTAGTAATGGCTTTTACATTTTTAAAAATCAGGTTGAATTTAAGCTAATGGACAATAAAACTTCAGGGTTAGAGATACTGTTTTTATTCAGCAACTAGATGAGGAACTGCAATGAATGAGAATTTGGAAATTGATGTTTTTATAGTGACACAAGCTGCATCACTATGAGATGTTCTTAGAGAGGAAATATTTGAAATTTTTAATATTTGCATTTTAAATTGGAATTGAGAAATGGGCAAATGAAGACATAGCTCAATGGTCAAATTAAACATTACTTGTTATTCTAAATGCAAGATTCTAGTTAAATTAGAAGGGTGGAAAAGTGTTGTTAATTATTTTTTCTTCATAGGAATGTAAAATCAACTATAAAAAATTAATGCATGAGACCCAGGGATTAGCATTACAGCAAATTCAGTGATTTTTGCAATCCATGCCTTTACAAAGAATGTGTGATTACTTTGTCTAGACTTTGTAGCACACTATAATAAATAGAGACTGACAATATCAATATATTTCATAAATACATGACTGGAATTTACAGTATTTCTGACGATTAATATTTTCTCAACTACCCTAGGTAAAGCAATGTGTACATCTTATAAAGGCAAATCTGTTGATAATGCCATTTGCTAGCAGACAAAAAAATAGTAATGGCATTTATTTGTCTGAATATATTCATCTTCTCAAGTAAACCTGGGAAATCTGAACTGAAATCCATAGATAATTCATTAGCTTCAGTTCATGGGTTTGTGTTCTTGGAGTCTTCTCATACATATAATATCCTAGCACAGTTTTTGTAAGATTGCTTCATGGAATGATTTCTTTTTCCTGAAAGGGCTAAGCTCATATAAAATCAACTATGATGGGTTACTTGTAAAGCTATCGATTGACATGGAGCTGAAATGGCTTCTTTCTAAAAAAATTCTTCTAGAGATACACACGTTTTTGTAATGAAACCACTAACAGCAGATGGGAGTTCATTGATACTTGTGCCAAAAGGCTTCCATTTTTTCAGTTTCTTAGAGCTGTGGATACAGCAAAGGCAACTAAAAATATAATTTTGGAGAACAATTAGTCACTCTCAGGAAATCTATAAATATTCTGGGAAAGCAACATGGCATACACATTCTGCTCCACAAAAAAGATGACTACATTATATTATATTATGTCATGATTTGCAATGTTATGTGATGCATACATGCTTCACAATTCTTTTTTACTTGTATATTTAGAAGATTCTAAAAAAAGAAATAGTTCTTTTGGCTGCAAAATTTGCAGAGAATGTCTGAATGCACCCTCTTCCCACCTCCTGCCACTGCGTGGCTGCCTCTCTGCATAGTTCTTCCATCACTCTCCCTAAATGAATGAAAGCTTTTGCTTGCCTCATACCTGTGAAGTTCCTCCACAAATACACATTCCTATAAAAATAAACCAAAAAAAAAAAGAGCTAGAGAAGCTGAACATGTGGAGAGCGCTTGTTTTTCTATAAGACGATCTTGATTTCTCTTAGGGATTTTGGGATATTGGCCAGCTCTGAAGTTCTTGGATGTGGTAAAATCATGGACACACCTACGCATGAGTGTGGGTATAGTCAGGAATTGGTTGACCCATCTCAGAAGTCAGCATTGGTCTAGGTACTCACAAATAGGAACTATAATATAAAATGTTGATATATAAATATTATTAATAGGTGGCATTGTAGCACACTGCCAATATTTCTTTAAAGGATAGCAATTTCTTGATATTAGTTATTTAGAAGTATAGTGGTTAAAATAACTTATATTCTGTGTTTATCTTTTCAAATCATGCTTATATATACTATTGTTTTCATCATTAGGAATTAGCTTTCAGAATACCCTTTCCAGACACCATGAATGATTTAACAAATGTTTATGCTTTGAGTTTCAGATATACCCGGCTTTTAAAATTGAAAACCATAGCCTAGAATTCTGATTGAATATGCATAACAAGATGGGAGCATAAGAAGAAAATTTTTATTGATCTTTAAAATATAAACCAAATGACTCTCACTACTGATTTTAGACTTGTGAATTAAAACAGGGGTCCATGAACTATGCGTAGAGGGTCAAATCTGGCCCACTGCCTGGTTATATAAATAAAGTGTTGTTGAAACACAGCCACACCATTGCAGCTATGTAACTAGGGGGATATCAGCTCTACCCCTATGTCTGCGGTAAGTTAATGGGTCCTGCTATAATCCCCTTGTCTTGTCAAGGTTTTGCTCCAGAATGGAGATGAAAATTAATGGTAAAAGAACCATAAAGATAGGTCTTCTCAGAAGCTTCTGAGAAATGTCCTGGTTCTTAAGAAAGAAGCACAGGAACATGCTTTTCCTTTTTTGCCAAAATCCAGTGCTGTCCAATACAGCTCCTTGAAAATATGTAAATCGTCTATATCTGTGCAATCCAATATGATGGCCACTAGCTACATGTGGTTGTTTAGCTTTAAAATGTGACTAATTCCACTGGATAACTGAACTTTGGTTTTATTAATTTTGATGAATTTAATGTAAATAGCCAGGTATGGCTAGTGATGATGAGTCTGAAAAGCATATTTCTAGATGGCATCATGCTTGGATAAAGGTCATTGTTGTGTTACAAGCAGGCAGATGAAACGAATAACAAGGATTGCACAAGGAGCAGTGGAAAAATCCCACATCCTTGGTACATTATTGAACCTCTAAACAAACCAGCCCAGATGATTACTCTAACCTTGTTAAGTATTTATAAAACATTCCTTATTAGTTAGGTTTGAATTTCTGTTTCATTTATTTAAAACATCTTAACTAATATACACTAGCCCTTTAGTTTATGCTGCCTACACTCTTCACCTTTACTCTGAATAAAATGTAAGTGATGTCATTGTGAGAGGCATGCTTTAGTCTTTTTGTTTGTTTGTTTGTTCTGTTTTTTGAGGCAGAGTCTCACTCTGTCACCCAGGCTGGAGTGCAGTGGTGTGATCTCCACTCACTGTAACCTCCACCTCTCAGGTTCAAGTGATTCTCTTGTCTAAGCCTCCCAAATAGCTGGTATTACAGGTGTGTGCCACCATGCCCGGCTAATTTTTATATTTTTAGTAGAGATGGGTTTTCCCTATGTTGGCCAGGCTGGTCTCAAACTCCTGACCTCAAGTGATCCACCCACCTAGGCCTCCCAAACCATTGGGATTACAGGCATGAGCCACTGCTCCCGGCCACCTTAGTCTTTTTTTTGTGCAGCCCTCAATGCTTGTGATGCTGAACACTGCATGTGTTCATTAAAAAAGAGCCCAGAAGCAGGTGTAGACCATTTCCTCACATTTGAAGCTCTGCCAACAGGCTTCCATTTTTTCAGTTTCTTAGAGCTGTGCATATAGAGGAAAGCTCAAAATGTGAGGAAATGGTCTACACCTGCTTCTGGGAGGTAGGTGGCAGACTGCCAGAAGGGAGACTGCCTTGTGACAGTCGCTAGTGCACTCAGTAACTAGAGGAGGAGGTCTAGCTTGTACACAAACAAACAGAGAAGCAGGCTGCATACCAGTCCAGATGTAGAGAACCACAGCACTCCCTCAAACTTCCTCTCAGCAGTTATTCTGCAAGATAGAAATCTGATCACTGGAGAGTCATTCTATCATTTAAAACACTGACTTTCTACATAATTGAGATACAGCTTTTTCCTAAATAGAAAATTACATAGCAATCAAATGTAGAAGATAGCAGAGGAAAGTCCAGCTGCTCAGGGGAAAGTGGGTGGTTGGAGGCTCAAAGTCCTTTCCTCCCCTCTCCAGCTGGCCTGACTGATCCCCTTCTAAGGACCCACAGGGACCTTCCAGCAAGCCCTAGGCTTCTACGAAGCTCACTTTCAAAACCTCAAATTTATATGTAACTTCGTTCCTTGCTAAAACACAAATCTATTCAAAAAGGGTAAGTTTTGTAAGATATTAAGCCTTTAGTTATCAAATAGTCTACCATTATAATATGCAAGAAACAAAAAAAAATTGACATTGTAGGTTCAATATTGAAGGAAATAAGGGCCTTGTTTGTAATTTTTTATGCCAGAAGAATTGACAAGGCTAATTGTGAAACAGTTGAATGTGAGCCTAGAATTGTAAAAGGCAGTATTCCTAAAATACACACTTTTTCCTTCTTAAATACTTTTTAAAAAGTTCTAGCATAGAAATAATATACATTTAATAAAATGAGGAAAGGTAGGAAGAATTATCACTAATAATTTTACTGCTAACCAAGTGTCACTGTTAAAATATCTAAAATTTCTTTCCAATCTTATTCTGTGACTATATTTTTCTCTGTTGTAGTAATATTCAACATGTAATATTCTTTCTTCACATATTAATTAAGAAGAATCCTTCCGTATTATATTAGTTGAGAATACATTATTTTAATGATGTCTGTGGGTATTGTGTGTGTTGTGTGGGTATGTATTTTTTAATGGTTATTTCTCAGAGAATACAGTTTAAATCAGAAAAAAGCAGAAAATAAAAATAAGACAAATTACAATTTTATCATTCTATAAACAATATATAGATTGAACTTTGAATTTTATTTAGTTTTGGTTAATTTGCATGTAAATAGCCTTGTAGCTAGTGGCCATTGTATTGACGAGCATAGCCCTAAATAGTGTCTTTCCTGGATACAAGTCACCCTTCTGCTCCAGGTCTTCAGAAAGAGCAACAGTAAGGACAGACAAGAGAAGCAACTGAGAGAACCCCAGGCCTTGGTGCACCTTGGCCTCCACATAAACCAGCCCTGATGGCCACCCTAACTCCAGGTTTCCTGTCATAGATTTATAAAGTTCTTTACTGTTTAGTTGGAATTTCAGTTGCATGGATCTGAAAACATCCTAACTAGCACAATTTTTCCCTTAATTGTATTAATTGTGCCCTATCTTTACCAAGATATTGCTCTGTGCTTATTAGCACTAAACATTATCCTTCAAAAAAATCTGCAATGGTTTTCTAACAAAAAGGAAAACTAAGCTTTCTTGCTTGCTGCCTGTGACACAATATTGAAATCTTACTTAAATTCTCAACAACTGAAGGGGTTACCCCTGATGTGCAAATGAGGAAATTATAACACAGTATGCAGTGAGTTGTACACCCCAACACAGTCAGATTCTAAGCTCCAAGTCCATTGTATGTTTCACCAACATTATACAACAAAACACTATTTCAGGTCTTTGAACATATGTCATTTTCTCCTGGAAGCCTTCTCCTTTCATCCTACTTAGAACTGCTACACCTGCCATCCACAGGTGTAACGGCCCTTCCCCACACACCTGCCCTGTTTCCTTTTCCTCTGTTGTATTTCATACTAACATCAAATAATATATTATTTATTTGTGTAATTTTTATTGTCTCCTATAATAACATGGGCTTTGCCATGGTAGAGGTATCTGTCGCTTTTGTTCAATGCTGTATTCCCAATATGTGCACATAAAAGATATTCAAAAATCATGTGTGGAATGAATGAATGAATGACGAATCAGATTCTAGTTTGTTTTCCTTTTGTTATTAGTGCCATTAAGCATTTTTTCATAATGATTGGTCAATTACATTCTGTTTGTGAATTACGCCTATTTCTCCTCTGTGCCATGAATTGAATCTGGCCCCTTTACACAACACAATGCCGTGTTGTAGAAGCCTAGGTGTGGAGAATGATCTTTGCTAGAGTCCTCTTCCCATGTCCAGCTGAATGGTTTCTTGCAGTTATTTTTCTGGATATCAACCTCATGGCTCATGATCCAGCACTTGAGTCTTGGGAAGTTATGCCTGTCCAGAGAGACTTAAACCACTTTTGCCAGACTGTGGTATGTTAGCTGCAAAATCCATTTAGGGTGTCACATGCTACATAGCTGGAGTTTATGGGAAACCCCTGGGAAACCCCTTCCAGCTAGGCCAACCTGCCCAGCACCAGCAGGTAGGGCATTAGACAATTATTATTTTGAGTTCATTGATTGGCATTTTATGTCTTTCCTAGTACATTGTCAGTTTATCTAGTTGTATTTGCCGTATTCATTTAAAAAAAAAGAGTAATTTTTTGTTATCATTGTTGGAAAAAAAATTTATCTTCGTTGGAAAAAAATTTTCTCAGTTTCAGTATTTATTGTATAGTTTCCTGAATGGACTTATTTCTTAAGACATTTTTCTTCTTTTATAAACTTGTTGCTTTTTTCTCTAACAAATTATTAATCCTTCATAACTCACCCAGAATTTTAACTTATTGACAAAAAATGTACAATTTGCTTTGTGTTGTTCTTGACTAAAGTTTTAATTATCTTGAATAAGAAGTGTATTCTCAGATTTCTGAATGAATCACACAAAAAGGCCATTAGTTACTTGTCTAAATTCTCCAATATAAAATAAAATGTACCATATCTGTTCTTAACACCTTGCTCAACCTTTGCACGTCTGACAGATTTCTATTTCAGGTTTTTTAAAAAATCTATGAATTAAAAAATTTTTTAAATATATTTTTGTTTTTGTGAATACATGACAGACTCTATGTTAGGTATTAAGGAATGATCAGTCAATGAGACCAACATACAATACTTGGTCTCGTGAAGCCACTGAGCATTTATTGTGTTTATACATAAAAACTTAAACTCAGTGCTGCTGAAAGGTGGCTAAGGCATAATCAACCTTTCAGTAAGAGTCGGTTTCTCTGTTTATATTATCTGGTCCTAGTCTTAGCTTTGCTATTTACAAACCTGGGTGACCTTGCAGGAATTTCCTTTGCTTCTCAAGTGTGCCATGTCTCAAACTTTTGCTCAAAACCAAACTCCATCTACCTCTCTAAAACTGATTTTCTCCTCAATTCTCCTCTCTTGATAAATGGCATCTCAAGTCTTTAGGACTCTCAGGCCAACAACCTTGAAGCCATTCTTAACACCTTACTTTCTCTTATACAATTCATTCAACCTATTAAAAAATATATACCATCAGTTCTATTTTCAAAATAGGTCCAGAATCTAACACTTCTTAAAACCTTCATACTTGCTATCTTATAAAAGACAACATTATTTCTCACCTAGACAATTACTATAATCTCTTAAATTGTCTTTCTGATTCTATTTTTCTCCCTATGGCTTAATATCTACAAGACTTCCAGTTATTATTCTTTTAAATAGACTTTATATTTAAAGCAGTTTTAGGTTTATAGAAAATTTCAGGAGAAATAACAGAGAGTTCTCATATGTCCCCTGCCCCCACGTGTGCAACCTCCCCCACAATCAATATCTCACGCCAGAGTAGCCCATTGGTTACAATCATTGTCACATCATTATCACCCAGAATCCATAGTTTAGATTAAGGTTCACTCTTGGTGCTGGACATCCTATAGGTTTTAGCAAATGGATAATGACATGTGTCCACCATTACAATGTCATACACAACCTGTTATCATTTTAATGTTGGGTTGAATGTCTATTTTGCCCCAAAGCCTTCAATGGCTCATCATCTTACTCAAAATAAAATTCCCAATCCTTCAATGAATTTAAGACTCTGCCTTAAATTCTCACCTGATCTCAGTCTTTGCTACAAACTCTCTCACTCTGCTCCAGCCACGTGAACTTCTTGCCCTCTGCAGACAGACTTCACCTTGGGGTCATTGCACATGTGCTTCCCTTTGCCCACAATGCTCTTCATTATGGCATCTGCTCAGTTTGTCCCCTCTTATGATTCTGGCTTTTATTCAAGTTTCGCCTTAGTAGCAGGGCAGCATTCATTGGCCAGCCTTGATGCTATGGCACCCTCATCACCCTCTTGAGTCCTCATTCTACTTTCTTTCTCCTCCATTAACTTACCTCCTGCAAACATTATATATATGTATTTTGTTGCTGTTGTTTCTGTGTTTGTCTTTATGTCCAGATATGATGTAAGTTTCATGCGAGTAAGAATCTTGCTGTTATTTCCACCATTATGCATGAATAAATGAATTTCTTGGTGCCTAATTTTTATTTCAGCTGTAGAATAGGTATGATAATATAAATCACAACATAAGCTTGCTGGGATGATTAAATAAATTAATATCGCAAAGCAGTTAGTATTATGTCTCATGTAAAATGATTAAATATTTGTTAGTTGTTTTTATTTTATCATTCTTAAGATGATGGAATGAGCTCACAGTCCTTTCCGCTAGTTTCTTTACCTCTTTCAATTTAGTCTTTTTGGACTCCTTCCAACTACTGTCTGAACCTAATGAACCTCTGCTCTTCTATGTGTGTATGTATATACATATTTGAGACAGAGTCTCACAGTGTCGCCACGCTGGAGTGCGGTGGCACGATCTCGGCTCACTGCAACCTCTGCCCCCTGGGTTCAAGGGATTCTCCTGCCTCAGCCCCCCGAGTAGCTGGGACTACAGGCATGCGCCACCACACCCAGCTAATTTTTGTATTTTTAGTAGAGACAGGGTTTCACCATGTTGGCCAGAATGGTCTCGAACTCTCGACCTCGTGATCCGCCTGCCTCGGCCTCCCAAAGTGCTGGGAGTACAGGCGTGAGCAAGAGCACCTGGCCTCTATGTATATTAATAGCCATACTTGGCTGTACGTTCTTAGCAACTGACATTTAAAACTGCATTAATATAGTATTTAAAATGACAATATTTGTCCAATAGAAGAATTAAATGTGGCTTAATGTACTCTTACGTATTATAGCAACAATGATACAGTAATACTTTCTATCAAGCAGCTACAACACAACAAAGACTTTATGTGTATTTTTTTTAAACACTTAAAACAACCTTACAAGGTGGGAATTATGAGCCGGTTTCCTAGATCAGGGAACTTGGTGTCAGAGGGTGTAAAGTCCTCACCTCTGTAGGCCACGAACCCAGTAAGAGGTGGATTCAGAATGCAGTCTCATGATGCTCTGGTTTCAAAGCCTTGCTCATTTTCTGACAGAAAGATTGAAGGCTACAGGGTGGAGGGTACTCTCAGGGGACATGACACAGCATAAGTAATTGCCTAGCAACGGTGGCGTTGGCTCCGAAGTCAGGAACCCTGTGGGCCCCCAGGACAGCACCCCAATGCAATTGTTTTGCAGGAGGCTTATCTGGAGAGCCGAGGCATTTCCTAAGGACACTTAAGGAAACTTTTCACTATATCACAAGTTTTTGCAATTTCACAACTTCCACAAAAATGTAATAAGTGTGAATGAACAGGTAATATTTCTCGTGTGGAAAAGTCCATATTCTCTTGTGGCCGAGGTAAAGTGATAGATCTTGCTACATAATATTTAAACTCCCACCATTAGAATTTCACTGGATGTTTTAAAAATATCTGATTGATTAATTGCAGGTAGCCTTACATTTTGTGTATTTGTTTCTGTTTTTGAGGCTGTGCGTGTTTGTGTGTAAATTGTCCTTTGTTTTTCAAAATTTCTTCTGGATTTCTTGCAAAGAGGAATACTCATATTGTCTTTTTTGTTGTTGTTGTCGTTTTTCTTCTCCTTCAGATGGATATTAGTGTCATTATGGAAAATAAAATTCACAGGAAGACTTTTCTGGGTTAAAGCAATAGGTGGGAAGTAGTGTTAAGGGGTTATTTTTACGTACAAAAATAATTATATTAATTTCTTAAATTGCATTTTCGTTTCACTGAGGAAAAAAAATGTCTATATTCAAAATCAGGTTATTTCCCTTATATTAAGAAGCTTCCAACCTTATTTTTTTTTCTGTTTTTGATAACTCACTTGAACGTGAAAATGTTTAAGGGGACCAGATTCTTTAATAAAGAAAGCCTCTCTCACACCTCCAGAAAACTACCAATGCCATGGCTGCAATTTTAAACATTTTAAATGATATATACTACACTGCTTTTTACCCAGTATTAAATTACGGTAACTTCTTTTTTTTTTTTGGAGACAGAGTCTTGCTCTGTCTCCCAGGCTGGAGTGCAGTGGTGCAATCTCAGCTCACTACAAGCTCCACCTCCTGGGTTCATGCCATTCTCCTGCCTCAGCCTCCTGAGTAGCTGGGTTTACAGGCGCCCGCCACCACACCAGGCTAATTTTTTGTATTTTTAGTAGAGACGGGGTCTCACCATTCACAGGATGGTCTCGATCTCCTGACCTCATGATCCACCCGCCTCAGCCTCCCAAAGTGCTGGGATTACAGGCATGAACCACCCCACCCGGCCAAATTAGGGTAACTTCTTAAAGAGCAAAGGATAATTGAAATGATTTACTGAAAGAGCAAATAAAAAGATTAGTAATAATTCCCAAGTCCCTAGTTATGTTAAGAAAACAATTATGGAACTACTTAATCTTTAATGTAGACAAATCTTTCTTGAGTGTAGATACACATTTTGGTATTCATTGCCAGCTGAATGAAGAAAAACATTTTAACAATCTTAATTTAAAATAGTCTCTTCTCACCCTTCACTTGCTTCTTGGCATGACCAAATAATGGTTGGTTTGAACACTCACAAAGCAAGAACTACATACAGAGCACTTGTAAATATCATCTTACATAATTCTTACTAATACACAAGGCAAACCTTTTTATCCCCCTTATGCAAATGAAGAAATTGAGTTATAGAAAGTTGGAGTAAATTGACTAAGTCACAAAGATAGAGATGGTGCCTAAACCCAAAATTACTTTTTCTCCTTAGAACATGGGACTTTATGGGATTTTTTAATAGCATGAACACAGAAAATATACCATGTATGTACATGCAGTGAAACAAGATCAAACAATATAGGAGTGTATAAATTACAATGCCATTTTGTCATCTGATTTCCAAACCTACTCTGCAGAACTTATCAGTGTCATGATTAGATGTATAACTTTCTACATTTTTCAATGTCTAGACAGCAGGAGTAACAAATCGTGGCCTGGCCAAGATTTGCCTACACACATATTTTGCTTGGCTAACACTGTATCTGAAAGCATTTAAATGAAATGAAAACATTAAACACACACCCAAGAATATACATTAATACCTGAATCTACTTCTCTTCTCTAGAAAAATCTAAATATCTGACAAAATAGGGCACTGGTACCTGCATGGCAACAATTGGTGGGCACTGGGAGGACGTTTAGATCAGTTCACCCAGCCTTCTCCTTGTGCCAAGAAGAACGCAGGGCAATAGCTGTCTTGGGTCACATCTGCCCTGATGTTACCTGACTAGGCCCTGAGAGCATTTTTAGTTTGTATCCTGTATGTTTTCTCATTAAGTTACTTTCTCTACTTAATGTTCTATGAAGACCTCCTTTCCCTATTTTTCCTGGACTTTTAAAATGCCTACCTAGTAGTCCGTTGTTTGGATACGCCATCATTTATTTAACCCTCCTTCTACTGCTATAGAGTTGGCATGGTTCCCCCTTTTGCCATTGAAATGCTTTAATGACCATCCTTACAGATATATCTTTGCCACTTATGTTTATGTTCCAGCAAGATAAATTTCCATAGGTGGAATTGCAGGGTAAAAAGATATGCACATTGTATACTTTGATGAATTGGCCAGATTGCCCTCTGATGTTTGTCCTGAATATATTATGTGTAAGAGTTCATCAGAGCTCCTACTACCTGGAGCCCTTCAGTAGGACAACTCACATATGAAGAGACAGACACTCAAATTCTGGAAATACTTTGGGGAATGTGTGCATTTTGAAACAATGAAAGAAAGAAACTAATTAAACTAAAGAGCTTCTGCACAGCAAAAGAAACTACCATCAGAGTGAACAGGCAACCTACAAAATGGGAGAAAATTTTCGCAACCTACTCATCTGACAAAGGGCTAATATCCAGAATCTACAATGAACTCAAACAAATTTACAAGAAAAAAATAAACAACCCCATCAAAAAGTGGGCAAAGGATATGAACAGACACTTTTCAAAAGAAGACATTTATGCAGCCAAAAGACACATGAAAACATGCTCATCATCACTGGCCATCAGAGAAATGCAAATCAAAACCACAATGAGATACCATCTCACACCAGTTAGAATGGCAATCATTAAAAAGTCAGGAAACAACAGGTGCTGGAGAGGATGTGGAGAAATAGGAACACTTTTACACTGTTGGTGGGACTGTAAACTAGTTCAACTATTGTGGAAGTCAGTGTGGCGATTCCTCAGGGATCTAGAACTAGAAATACCATTTGACCCAGCCATCCCATTACTGGCTATATGCCCAAAGGACTATAAATCATGCTGCTAGAAAGACACATGCACACATATGTTTATTGTGGCACTATTCACAATAGCAAAGACTTGGAACCAACCCAAATGTCCAACAATGATAGACTGGATTAAGAAAATGTGGCACATATACACCATGGAATACTATGCAGCCATAAAAAATGATGAGTTCATGTCCTTTGTAGGGACATGGATGTAATTGGAAATCATCATTCTCAGTAAACTATCGCAAGGACAAAAAACCAAACACCGCATGTTCTCACTCATAGATGGGAATTGAACAATGAGAACACATGGACACAGGAAGGGGAACATCACACTCTGGGAACTGTTGTGGGTTCGGGGGAAGTGGGGAGGGATAGCATTAGGGCATATACCTAATGCTAAATGACGAGTTAATGGGTGCAGCACACCAGCATGGCACATGTATACATATGTAACTAACCTGCACATTGTGCACATGTACCCTAAAACTTAAAGTATAATAATAATAATAATAAAGTACAGTAAACTTTAAAAAAATGGTTTTAAAAGAGTTATGTCCACATTGAACTTTATTCCAGAGGTCAGTGTAGACAACAGTACTATTGCCCTTAATTTTAGTGTGAGGCAGTTAATGAAGAAGCCACAGGAAATGGTACTCCACTTTTCTTCCATCATCATTGGTAAAAACGATGAAAAAGATGTGGAAAGGGAAGCATTGTTGTAGGAAATTATATCAAATGGGGTTTTTTAATTGTTCCTAGCTTTTGACCTATTGTTCGAGTGTATTTAGGGAAGAAAAAAAATCCCTCCTGAGAAGGAAATATAATAAATACCGTTTAGGAACTACAGAGATATAAATATAATTATGAGAAGAATGTGTTATTTCTGCCAATTACTTCTGGAAATCTAAAAAGGAAATTAAGGCTCTTTACAACCCATCAAAAACTGTTCACTTTACAAAGAATGAATCCTGCTTAAACCTAACCTCAGGTGAGATTTGTGGAAGATTGGTTTGACATCCATCTCCTGCAAGAAAAATAATGAGAGAACCTGAGCATCAGAGTGTTTATGAATGTGCTCATTCAACAGAATGTGATCATCAATCCAACAGAATGTGATCATCAATCTACTTATTTTTCTATATCAACAAAGATTACTTCTATGTTATACATTCCACTTTAATGATTCATTTTTAAAAATGTGTGTATATCTACCTCAGGTAGAATGTAAAGATTGGGCTTTATGTTCATTAAGGTTTAAATAGATTTTACTTCATTTTCAGAAAATAAATTGCTTGTCCAATTGATCAACTCTAAAAAACCAAAATACAATCTGTTCTGTATCATATAAGAACATTTCCACAACAAGCATTATAAGAGAGAGGCATAGAAGTTTTCTATACTGAAATGGAATCAACTATTACATATCTTCCAAATCATCAAATTTCTTAATATGTCCCATTTTCACCTTTTCAGTTCTCATTTTTCTATGAGTAGTTAATGATAGCGAATGTATTTTGTCTGCTTTACTAGAAATTTAACGAAAAATCAATATATCATTTAGGTCTATCCTTGCTCTGTCAAGATCATATATCATAGCCATTTTTCTCACCACATATTTTGCAAAATGAACAAGATTTTTAAAACTATGAAAATAAACACACCAATTAAGAAATGAGAACATGTGTTATGCTTATCAAAGTAGGCTATTGATCACATTTTGCTTCAGAGACCTTGAATTTGATATCATCCCAATAGATTAAAACAATAAACATTAATCCATTCCTCAAATATTTGTTGAAGGTCTAATTTGGGCTATGCCCTCTATAAGGTGTTATAAATGATATTAGGAAGAATCTGGCAGTTTCTTCTTTACAATCTTAGTGATATAGTTATGTAGGTAACAATGGAAAAGCCCCCAAAACTACTGGTTAAAATGGAACAAAACAGAAAGGCCATTGATAAGCATAAAGGTATTCATTTAGTTTAAAAGTCATCTGTTTCATATGTTCAAGCTCACAAAGAACTGGGAACTCACTACAAACCGAAGGTGAGATGACAGTGTAGCCACTGCTAAAATCCCTCATACAAATCTCCTTTTAATTTATCTGTCATCATCCCAAGCTAACACTCAAAGATGTTAACTAGGTTCTCACAATTAGTAAGAAGATAGCCAGAAAGTGGGCAAAGGATATGAACAGACACTTCTCAAAAGAAGACATTTATGCGACCAACAAACATATGAAAAAAAAGCTCATCATCACTGGTCATTAGAGAAATGCAAATCAAAACCACAGTGAGGTACCATCTCATGTCAGTTAGGATGGCGATCATTAAAAAGTCAGGAAACAACAGACGCTGGAGATGATGTAGAGAAATAGGAACACTTTTACACTGTTGGTGGAAGTGTAAATTAGTTCAACCATTGTGGAAGACAGTGTGGTGATTCCTCAAGGATCTAGAACCAGAAATAGCATTTGACCCAGCATTCCCATTACTGGGTTTATGCCCAAAGGATTATAAATCATTCTACTATAAAGACACATGCACACGTATGTTTATTGCATCACTGTTCACAATGGCAAAGACTTGGAACCAACCCTAATGCCCATCAGTGATAGACTGGATAAAGAAAATGTGGCAAATATACACCATGGAATACTATGCAGCCATAAAAAAGGATGAGTTTGGCGGGGCACAGTGGCTCATGCCTATAATCCCGGCACTTTGGGAAGCCGAGGTGGGCAGATCATGAGGTCAGGAGAGCGACACCATCCTGACCAATATGGTGAAACCCCGTCTCTACTAAAACTACAAAAATTAGCTGGGCATGGTGGCACATGCCTGTAGTTTCAGCTACTCAGGAGGCTGAGGCATGAGAATAGCTTGAACCTGAGAGGCAGAGGTTGCAGTGAGCCGAGATGGCACCACTGCACTCCAGCCTGGGCAACAAAGTGAGACTGTCTCAAAAAAAAAAAAAAAAAAAGGATGAGTTTATGTCCTTTGCAGGGACATGGATGAAGCTGGAAACCATCATTCTCAGCAAACTAACATGGGAACAGAAAATCAAATACCACATGCTCTCACTCATAAGTGGGAGTTGAACAATGAGAACACATTGATACAGGGAGGGGAACATCACACACTGGGGCCTGTCCCGGGGTGGGGGGCTAGGGTAGGGATAGCATTAGGAGAAATACCTAATGTAGATGACGGGTTGATGGGTGCAGCAAACCACCATCACACATGTACACCTATGTAACAAACCTGCAAGTTCTGCGCATGTATCTCAGAACTTAAAGTATAATAAAAAAAGAAACTAGCCAGAATCAGACGAGGGACAAAAGGTCCATGCACCCAGCATACGGTTGATGTTCAATAAAGTGTTGAAGAATGAATGAATAAATGAACTTTCTGTAGCATGTTTTTAATAAATATATGATTTTAAAAGTGAGTTTATTCCCTATTTTTATTCTAGGGAGGAATAAAATATATGGGGAATAAGTTAGAATATAGCAGTTTTCTCAGGATGTTGGCTGTCCAACTCTAGACAAGAGGTCAGCAAACTACGGTCTAAAGACTTGCGGGTGGTACTATAATAAAGTTTCATAAGCAGTTACTCACTCATTTACTTTTGTCTACGGTTTCTTGTAAAGCCTAAATTATTACAGTCTGGCTCTTCATCCATACCCCTGCCACCAGCTGTGTTTCAGCAGCATCCACAGTGATTTTTTTTTCAATAGCACTGATGATTTGTTTTAGATAAAAGGATGCAAAATAAAAGCAGTAAAAGTAGAAAACATCAGTAGTTCCTTGTATGTCTGAGTCTCTTCATTCTAGTTGTGTCATTTTCCAAACTTATATTCTTATTTCCCAAGCTTACCTGGGGAAGGGATGTATATACATACTAACCTCCTACTGGAGATTTATTTATTTATTTATTTATTTATTTATTTATTTATTTACTTATTGAGACTGAGTCTCGCTTTGTCGCCCAGGCTGGAGTGCATTGGCACGATCTTGGCTCACTGCAAGCTCCTCCTCCCGGGTTCACGCCATTCTTCTGCCTCAGCCTCCCAAGTAGCTGGGACTACAGGCGCCCGCCAGCAGGCCAGGCTAATTTTTTTGTATTTTTTTAGTAGAGACGGGGTTTCACTGTGTTAGCCAGGATGGTCTCCATCTCCTGACCTCATGATCCGCCCGCCTCTGCCTCCCAAAGTGCTGGGATTACAGACGTGAGCCACCGCGCCCGGCCACTGCTGGAGATTCTTAAGCTTTAGGCAAATTCTTACTCTTATTCTGAGGCAACCTACAAGCTGAGAGTCAGGTTCACTTGTTTAACTCCATTATGTTCCAGTCATCTTCAGAGATGGAACCCTTGTTCTGAGCAGAACACTCAACAGAGTCACGGTTGCCAGAGTCTATGAAACACATAGAAAATATTGTCCTATCCTTCTATTTAAAAGACCTGGGAGAAACTGCTGCAAGTAGTGTTAACACATGCAATTAAAGATAATAATGACGAGATTTCTGGCCAGACTTGAAGGTCAAGTACACTAACAAAGCATGTTACAAACCAGGAACGAACATGGTGATTAGAAGTTTATCCAATGTGCGGTGTTTGTTCAAAGAGCCATAGACCCTCAGTATCAGAATTAAAAGTACTGATTTGGAGATTTCAACCAAAACCCAAAATATTAGAATATTTGTGGTTGTGATGGGGATCTTGATGTTAACAAATGCCCAGGTAGTTTTTATGTGCCTTATTATTAAATTAAAAAAGGATCAGGAAGATCAAAAATGTCCCAAGGGAGAGACTCTCAAGGCCACTTGCCCGTGATATTCCCATGCCCCCAGAGTTTTTCTAAGGTCAGATATCATGGAAATGCTAAGGACAGCTGCCTTGGGATAATGGTAGCAAGGCTGTGCAAGAGGAGTACAGCAACTCTAGGAAAAACACAAAACAAAGATTTGCACCTATCATAACAATCCCTCTACCAAATTACAAGATATCAAAAAAAATCTGCAAAAAAAACCCTGGTTTTATTTCTCACTTGTCCATATAGCTTTCCTTGAATCCTTTGGTCTTCCTAGATTGTCTTGTCCACTAAATTTGATTGCAATTTTAGTTTATCGCCCATTATTTCATGAATATTTGTTTTACATTAAATATTACAATACTCTGTTATTTTAGGTTTGCTAATCCTTGTCTCCCTATTGTATTGGGCAGGGAAAAGTGTCTTGTTTGAAGGTAGATTATGGGACAGAGTGGGTACAATTAATGCTATTTTAATAAATACATGTGACATGATTGATTTACTAGTAATGTCAAATAGATACTAACATGCATCAACTATGTAAGTAGGCTTATTCATGGCTATGTGAAGAACAACAGGCATAATACGAATCATGACTGGGGCTAAGCTATTTCACCTTGTCTGTTTTGATCGCATATAATGGTGTCAGCAACTTAGAAATAATCTGCAGGCAGAATGGCAGCTTCAAGGTCAAATAATATTGAGAAATACAGGGATAAAAAAGGAAACTAAGAAAACAGAGTATAGAGTGTGCTTGTTTCACTAATCAAATAGTCTGTGGCAGGAGTTTTCTTACAGCCCTGAGCTAAGAGTTAATAGTTTGAACAACAACAAAAAGACTGGTGTGAACAAGAGAAAAATTTTCATGAGTGGAAAAGGTGGTAAGAATAGCACATCCTCAAAGGCATAGAAGGAATCAGGTATCATGAGTCTTAAATTAGGAGAAGACAACTTGAAGTGGGTTGTTCAAGGTGCTAATACAATGCATGTGTGCTCCAAAGGAAAGAGGTATGATTAGTGACGAGGGCATGTGCGTTTCAGGTAGCTAGATGGCAGAACTGTAAATAATTGAGTGAATATTTTAGGATGTATAGATTCAGAAAGGAAGCAGAATATCATAAAGCTTGGTTGCAAAATCAGTGGTGCTAGGTCAACCTTTAATGAAAGACTAAGAACAAGAGAGTTCAAAAACAAGACCAATAGGGATCTCAGAATATATGGTTTAGACATTAGATTCTCAGCCAACGAAATGAGGGAAGGCCATATTCCTGAAGTCAAATAAAAGACTAGGCAGATATTTCCTCAGAGGGACACCTGGGACCACCAGAAGGGCCAGTGATTTATGTGGATATGAGGAAAGGTGTTTCTGCAGCCAACCTTGGCAGGCTGGCCCCCAGATGGGTGACATTCCACTTCTATAGGGACCTCTGTTGTTGCCATAAAGCTTTTCCCAGTTTTGAGGGTTAACTTTGGGTTGAATATGTGAGAATAGAAGGTAAAAGTGGAGAATATCTTTTTAAGGCTTACTGCAGTCTATCATGAAATGTAACTTCATCAGAGTTGCAATTTCATCAAACCTATCCTATGGCCATAGTAAGTGCGTAGTAATAACTTCTGCAGGAGAATATAATTATTATTCCAAACCTTCTCATAAGAGCAAAAATTAGTTCTGTCTTTGCATATCTTCTGTGCTAAATTCATCATAGGTAGCCTGAGGAAATGAGAAGTGCCACCTTTGTAAAGAAAAGCTAAAGAAAGATATATGGCATTGATTAGATAGAAATATAGATAGAGATTTAGCATATGATAGATTATATATTGATGACACATGTATATATATTTCGGAGAAAAAGATATATGGGTTATATACAAAATATAGACAGGTTATATATAATCTTTATTATGGTCTGGCTCTGTGTTCTCACCCAAATCCCATCTTGAATAGTAATTTGAATTGTAATATCCATGTGTTGTGGGAGGGACTTCATGGGAGGTGATTACAGCAAGGAAGTGGTCCCACCAAGCTGTTATCATGATAGTGAGTGAGTTCTCACAAGATCTGACGGTTTTATAAGGGTCTTTTTTCTCCTTCACTCTGCACTTCTCCTTCCTGCTGCCAAGTGAAGAAGGATGTGGTTGCTTCCCCTTCTGCCATGATTGTAAGTTCCCTGAGGCCTCCCCAGTCCTGCAAAACTGTGAGTCAATTAAACCTCTTTCCTTTAAAAATTACCCAGTCTCGGGTGTTTCCTCATAGCAGCGTGAGAACAGACTAATACAATAATCTCCATAGACACTTAATCATGGGAAGATTTCTATATTAAACATCAGAGTCACCTGAAGAAGTCTTAAAAATACGTTTCTGATTCCACCTAAATACACTTGATGTGAATATTTGATTGTAGATCTATAATTTTTGCAGTTTCTAGGTATTTTTTTCAAACCCCTTTACTGGTTGCTGGAAACCTCAGGGTTCCTCCAATTCCAACCTAATGGAAGAACCCAGCCAACGTTCGAAGAACTCTAAAGTCAGGAGCTCAGGCCATTAGGAAGCATCAGAATTGCTTAGTCTGTGTTCGAAACTGAAGTCTTTGAATTGACATTACGGTTCAAAATCCAGTCTTAATTTGTCTACTGCTTCTTCTACAAAACCCTCAGCACGTATTTCCCTGCTGTTACTGTTGGGTTGCAGCAACAGAAAGTGATCTACAGCAGAACTACCTGGCTAGAGTGTCCTACAATTTGGAAAATAATTAAGTGTCTTTGCAGTTGATTATTCAGATTCCTGGGATGGAGGAGGCCTGTGTTCAGTGAACACACACACAAAAGGAAAATTCTAACTCTAAGGAAAACAGGAATTTGAAGCAAATGTATCATACCAGCTAAAGTTCTAAACTTTCAAAAGAGTGAATAGATCTGGCATGCAATTTTGTTAGTTTAGTTTTTGTTCTTCTGCTTGTTTTGCTTCCAATAAGTTGCTTCTCCTGCCCCCTTTTCTGGGCTCTTTCAAGGTCACAGCTTCTGAAAGCTGCACACTCCTGACTTTCCCCAAGGCCTCGTAGATGAGTGAAGCCTCTCGGAGGGATTCCCAAAGAAGCTTTGGTTACTGGTCAAAAAGAAATAGCCTTGCTCCTCTCATGCTCCGTTAACTGAAATGTTCAGAGCAATCAGATGTATCACGAATGAGTCTAATTTAAAGGGAATTGAACAGACCAAATGTTTTATTTGCCCAAAATGCTATCCTTCAGAAACTTTGTTTTTTAGTTTGATGTTACTGCCCTAAGACCCTGCTACTGTCTAGTTTAATTCTAAGTTACTCTACTCCTTAAATCTGACAGCAAATACTCTATTTCTTTAAAGTTAAATTTAATTGAATTTAGTTTTCATTAGATTATTTTCTTTGACTTTTACATCAAATTGTAGGGTAATAGTTTTCAAGCTTTATTTAAAAAAGAGAAAACAAATGAAATATTTTGTTAAACTACAGGGCAGTTGATCCTTGAACAGCATGAGTTTGAATGGTGTGGGTCTACTTACATGTAAATTTTTTTCAGTAGGTGTATTGGAAAAGTTTTGGAGATTTGCAATAATTTGAAAAAACCTCACAGATGAACTGCCACCCCTGAGATAACAAAACCAACCCCTTCTCTTCTTCCTCCTCTTCAGCCTACCCAACATGAAGACCACAAGGATGAATACCTTTATGATGATCTACTTCCATGTAATAAATATTAAATATATTTTCTCTTCCTCATGATTTTCTTAATGCAATTTTCTTTTCTCCATTGTAAGAGTGCAGTATTTAATACATGCAATATAAAAAATATGTGTTAATTGGCTGTTTACATTATCATTAAGGTTTCCAGTAAACAGTAGACTAGTAGATAAGTTTTGGTGGAGTCAAAATCTATATTCAGATTTCCAATCATGCATAAGTGAGCACTCCTAGCCCCTGCACTGTTCAAGGGTCAACTGTGTATATGTCAGTTTAAAGGTGAACCTTATCCTTACACCTCCCCCTTACTTACTTCTGTATCCCTAAATACACTTGCAAAGTCATGAAATATCTGAATAATGCCACTGTGATTTTAATGGTTTTGCATAGCAGACTGTTTATGTGTTTAACATGGTGTTTGAAATAGCACTGATACCGCCTGGTGCAGAAGATTCAGAGAATAAAACCAAAATTTACTAAGATTTTTCTTTTTTACCACCCTGCTTGAAGGAAGTAGTTTTTAATCAAAAAATAATTATTTTAATTTGTTAGCATTTATTTGTAGCCTGCACATCTATAGCTAAAGCTGAGCAATTGGTCAGAAAATCACTTTATGTTGTGTTATGATTTTTATTATAAACTCCTACTCATCATTCTTTCCTTTCCAGAAAAATCTGTTGAACTTTGAGAAAATTTGTCCTCTAAGTGAGAACATTATGTCTGCTAAATGGAGATAGTCAGTATTTGAATTAAAAAGTAAACAAATTACCTTGGGCAGTATGGCCATTTTCACAATATTGATTCTTCCCACCAGTGAGCATGGAATGTTCCTCCATTTGTTTGTATCCTCTTTTATTTCATTGAGCAGTGGTTTGTAGTTCTCCTTGAAGAGGTCCTTCATATCCATCAAGCTATCAATGACTTTCTTCACAGAAATGGAAAAAACTACTTTAAAGTTCATATGGAACCAAAAGACAGCCCGCAATGCCAAGTCAATCCTAAGCCAAAAGAACAAAGCTGGAGGCATCATGCTACCTGACTTCAAACTATACTACAAGGCTACAGTAACCAAAACAGCATGGTACTGGTACCAAAACAGAGATACAGACCAATGGAACAGAACAGAGCCCTCAGAAATAATGCCACATATCTACAACCATCTGATCTTTGACAAACCTGACAAAAACAAGAAATGGGGAAAGGATTCCCTATTTAATAAATGATGCTGGGAAAACTGGTTAGCCATATGTAGAAAGCTGAAACTGGATCCCTTCCTTACACCTTATACAAAAATTAATTCAAGATAGATTAAAGACTTAAATGTTAGACCTAAAACCATAAAAACACTAGAAGAAAACCTAGGCAATACCATTCAGGACATAGGCATGGGCAAAGACTTCATGTCTAAAACACGAAAAGCAATGGCAACAAAAGCCAAAATTGACAAATGGGATCTAATTAAACTAAAGAGCTTCTGCACAGCAAAAGAAACTACCATCAGAGTGAACAGGCAACCTACAGAATGGGAGAAACTTTTTGCAATCTACTCATCTGACAAAGGGCTAATATCCAGAATCTCCAATGAACTCAGAAAAACTTACAAGAAATAAACAAACAACCCCATCAACAAGTGGGCGAAGGATATGAACAGACACTTCTCAAAAGAAGACATTCATGCAGCCAAAAGACACATGAAAAAATGCTCATCATCACTGGCCATCAGAGAAATGCAAATCAAAACCACAATGAGATACTGTCTTACACCAGTTAGAATGGCAATCATTAAAAAGTCAGGAAACAACAGGTGCTAGACAGGATGTGGAGAAATAGGAACACTTTTACACTGTTGGTGGTACTGTAAACTAGTTCAACCATTGTGGAAGTCAGTGTGGCGATTCCTCAGGGATCTAGAACTAGAAATACCATTTGACCCAGCCATCCCATTACTGGGTATATACCCAAAGGATTATAAGTCATGCTGCTATAAAGACACATGCACACATATGTTTATTGTGGCACTATTCACAATAGCAAAGACTTGGAACCAACCCAAATGTCCAACAATGATAGACTGGATTAAGAAAATGTGGCACATATACACCGTGAAATACTATGCAGCCATAAAAAAGGATGAGTTCATGTCCTTTGTAGGGACATGGATGAAGTTGGAAACCATCATTCTCCTCAGCAAACTATCGCAAGGACAAAAAACCAAACACCGCGTGTTCTCACTCATAGATGGGAATTGAACAATGAGACCACATGGACACAGGAAGGGGAACATCACACACCGGGGCCTGTTGTGGGGTAGGGGGAGGGGGGAGGGATAGCATTAGGAGATATACCTAATGTTAAATGACGAGTTAATGGGTGCAGCACATCAACGTGGCACATGTATACATATGTAAAAAACCTGCATGTTGTGCACATGTACCCTAAAACTTAAAGTATAATAAAAAAAGTAAACAAAGTGAAATAGTGAGATAATTATTTTTACACAAAATATTATCAGTAGTAATCATACCAAAGATTTTGCTTCAATATCTGCAGACAGCAAATGGACAACTGAAAAAAGATGATGAGAATAGATTTCTCATTCCAGATTTCTGAGTTACACTAGTAATAAAGATGTAAAATTATTTCATATTCTCCCAGATATTAATGCAATTAACCAAACAGCAGCTATCATTCTCTATGGGTGCTTGCTCATGTATTGAATGAGAAAGGTACAATAATTGACTTGATCCAGATGTCCATGTAAAGTAATTGAGAATCTGAAATGGTAAAATTTCTAAAGAAATATGAAAAGGATACTAAATTTTTACAAAATGCTTTAAATTCATGGAAAATAAGTTCAAGTAAGGAATAGCATTTTAAAAATTGTGTGACTTAAAAATGTATATAAAATAATTTTAAGTGGCATGGAGATAAAACTAATGCTGAAACTGTACTTTCTTGTATAAGACACTTTTAAAACTTATGATTATGACAGTATTTCCTTATAGCTCATGATTCTCATCTAAAATGATAATAAATAGGTTATTCTATAGCTCTATTTTTCCAGAAGTCTAGCTATCATTAATTTTCAGTCTATGAGATATGTCACAAAAAATCCTATGTGGTTTCCTATTAAGACTCTGACATTGTGTCTAGTTGTTCCCAAGAAATCTAAATATATAGGCTTGATATACTGGTCAAACAAGGCTAGCCCTTTGTCAATCAGGTTTATTTGGAAACTGATATTTTGCTTGGAAGAAAAGAAATAACGTTGACTAACAGACACAGAAAACAGTTTATTGCAGGCATGCAGGTAACTCGAAAAATCAACAGGAAGCCTATAAAACCAGACTTAACAACTCAGGTCTAGACAAGTGGCTCACTATAACAAAAATTAAGGTCACACTCAGGAACAACCAGGGTGGTGTGCAGTTGCCACAAGCCCTAGATGACCACCACTGTCTCTGGACCACTGATGCTACTAGCTCCAGGGGAAGGAATTCTACAGAATCCATGCTGGCCATCACTCATGCAAAGACCCAAGTGAGAACTTGCTTAGGTCTGGTAGCCTTACTGAAGCTATAAAGGTCGTAGAAAGCAAGCATTTATGTTTTCATTATTTCTTTTTATTTTTTGTACTAAGGTAGATTTAGAGACAGAACTGAGCTGAAATACGGGGCATCCAAAAGAAGGAAAAGCACTAATAACTAAAGTTGTATTGTTTTGTTAAATGCAGATTTATGAAACACAACTTACATTATTACCACCAAGGTTTAATATGTCCATTATAGAATAATTAGAAAATATAGATAAGCAAAGAGAAACACAATAGCACTCCAAACTCATCCACCCAGAACTAATAAAATGTCAACATTTTGTTGTGTAACTCAAGATTTTTACAACACTTTAAAATAAAAATGTGGTTATATGTGTGTGTATCTATGCAGACATATGTTTACATACACATGTACAAACACAAACACACAGTTGAGTAAGTTGAGAAGACAAAGCAATATATCTTAAGTACTTTTCATATCTTTACAATTTTTCTATATGATTTCTATTTACATGCATGAATTTCATTATATTGCCATATCATAATTCACTTAACCTATCTCCCTATTGTTGCCATGGAGAGATTTTTGCTCATATATTTTCCTGTTAAAAATAAGCCGGCAATTAACATTCTTATAGAAAATGTATAATTATGTTCTTAGGATAAATTTTTAGACTTGAATTATTACAGGATCAAAGTAGAATATGTAATTGCCTTTTATAGGAGAACAAAAGTTTCAGAATATTGAACTGTGACAGAGCTAGCATCCTGTAGTTAACAGCTGCTGATTTATAATTGGATCCATCCAAGTCATGCTTTTATGAACTATAAGTATATGTTTACAGGACTAGAGTCTGAAGTATCTTCTTCTATCTACACTGTTTAATAAAGATAAGGCTCAAGAAGAACATGAACCAAAGATGACCAGTCAGGAGATTTTCAGAATGGAGTCCAGTCATCAGCAAACAAATCAAAGACTAGAAAATTTTCATCAACTTCACCCCGACCCCCATCCACTCCTATTAATGTCAAAATTTTATTTATTCTTCAAAGACAACTAAAATGTTGCCATTCACAAACAGCTTGTTCTTTATCTGGAAGTGATCTCTCCTTGGATCTTGCTTTCTCAATGTTTTTTCTATCACCACCACCCCATCCCCAGCAAACTTTGCTTTGAAAATGTGGTCACTCCAGGCATGTGTTCTCATCTTCAAGAGTTCCTCAACCAAGACACTACTTCTTCACCTAGTATTATTTTGTATTTCAACTGACCTAGGGGGGAAAATATTTTCAGTACAAGTATAATATGTGCTAAATTTTAAGAGTATACAATTTTAAAAAGTACAAATTAGAACATGAGAGCCCTCTATAACCCACACCTTACATCAAATCAGATTCCTAAATGCCATTGTTCACCAGGATTTCTTCCCTGGGTTCACGTCTTCTCTCAATATATACAAGTCTCCCCAGTTAACATCATTCATTACCAATAGAGTCAATTCCCAATAGGCAAATCATTCAATCCTCTTTCTTAATTTCAGGACACTTACTTTCAAATGTTTATTCTATTCCTTTATCTGAAAAATTATTTCCATTTCTCTGCCTTGGTTCTGAAGCTAGCCCTGTCCTGATCCCAATTAGAACAGCTAGAACTTTTCAGTCTTGCCTTCCTCCTAATGCAGATCCCATTGAAACTATAAAGTACCTTTGTGTTGGTTCCCAATATGCCCTGAGATTCACTCTGACTGCACATATCTACTCCTAATCCCTGGAGAGTGTCTTGATGAAATGCACAAATTAACTTGTCCTTTATTGCCTGTTCACCCACTTGGAGAACAGATGGTGTCAGCTTCCTCAAACCACACAGCTGACCGTGGAGAAAGAGATCGTTTGTCAAAAGACAGTTGAGGTCCTGTTACCGGGGGGAAAAATGCCAGAAACAAAAGGTGTGTCCCCCCACTCTGTCTTCTCCATACCTGCTGCCATTGTCCAGGCATCCTTCATCCCCTATGGGAACACTTCAAACCATTTCCTTGTTGATCTACTATCCTGTGAAGAATGTCTTCTCCCTCTAATATTCTCCAGTCAGATGAGATGACTGATTTGATAGAAACAGGTATAATCTTGTCACTCTTTTTTTTTTTTTTTTGAGATGGAGTCTCGCTCTGTCACCCAGACTGGAGTGCAGTGGTGTGATCTCGGCTCACTGCAAACTCCACCTCCCGGGTTCAAGAGATTCTCCTGCCTCAGCCTCCCAAGTAGTTAGGACTACAGGCACATGCCACCATGCCCAGCTAATTTTTGTATTTTTAGTAGACACAGGGTTTTGCCATGTTGGCCAGGCTGGTCTCGAACTCCTGACCTAGGTGATCCACCCACCTCAGCCTCTCAAAGTGCTGGGATTACAGGTATGAGCTACCGTGCCCAGGCGTCACTCTTGTTTAAAACGTATTAATGCATATGTACTTACAAACATTTGAATTTCTAAGCATAGCTCAGTGTTCCTTTATGGCTTTATCTCTAATCATAACCCAAAGTAGACTGCCCAGTGTTCCCAGAAATGGGACTCATTTTTTATGCTTCCGTGGCTTAGCATTAGCTGGAACATTTGTACTGTACAGTTTTTCCTGGCCCCTGTCTCCACTAGCCCCTCACTTCCCCTAGTAGATGGAGTTGCTCTTGAATCTATATTGCCATGACATATTGGAAAAATCCCTGTCAAGGTACTAATCATGTATTTGCAGGAATTTATATTTACATTTCAGTCTCTCTTAGTTAACTGCGAGTTGCCAAGGTTGTCTTCTCAGCTTTACAAACCAGGATGTCTAAGAAAGTGCTTCGCATAAAACATAAACTCAGCAAACATTTGCTAAATTGAATTTTTGGACACTTAGCAACAGAAATATGTCAGAGCCGTTCATATTATTCTTGTTAATCCAATCAGCTTCAATCATCCAACATAGCTATGCCAAGAAGGTACAAGCTACTCCAGTGTTTCTGACATATTTTTATATGCATAGCAGTTATTTATTGGTCAAAATTACTGGGAAGATGATTTCTACTATGAGCATGCCCTATAATTTTTATAGACTATATTCTTCTTATCCAAGTACAATTCACAATGCCAAACTCAGAGATTACCGATGTTTATAGAAACATGACAATAGTGAGACTCTCTTCTCTCAAAGACTGAGTATGATGTACAGCCATCCATGATGGAAGGCCAAGTAGAAAACATCTCCGAGACTGTGATGTGATGATTTCTTTGTGCACAGATGATACAATTCCAAGTTGCAATGCACTCCATTAATTAAACAAGTCTGCATGCTCATAATTTAATTTGCTGAAAGAATTCACAAGAGGGATGGGAAACTGGGTTCCCCTGCTTCCCATAAATGTAATTGACATAATGAGCAGCTTTCTTCTCTTCTGAGTCACAATGCCTTACAGTAATACCTGCCTCACATGATATCAAGTTCTCTTTGAGTCGTACAGAGAAATAATTTCCTAAGTGCAATTCAACTCAATGTAGATAGATATCATATGGCATCAGAGACTTCAGAAGTAAAGCAAATGAAAATGACTTCAATGAACTTGGTGCTTGGAATAGTAAAAACCTTAGTTCAATAATAATTCCCATGGAAACACTACATATTTCTCTCTCACTCTAGGTATTTTCAATTAAAGCTTGCAAAATTTGAAATGGAAAAGAAAAAAATCTTAGACTGAAATGTGAAATATACTAAATTTCATTTTGATTAGCAATGTATAAAGTACTTTGATATGTATTAACATACTGTATGTTTTATGCATCATTTGGTGAAAGAGATTTTCTTATCATTCTCATAATCATCCCCTTTTATAAGTGTTAAAACAGAAGAGTTGAAGAGTATAGTCATTTGACCAGGCTCATATTGTTTATAAACAGTAGAAATTTGAACTTGAATCTCTGCCTTCTTATTTCTAATGCTATGCTTTTTCCATGATGGAATTCTAAGATTGTCCAGCACTTATAATTGAGTCATGATCACACTGAATGCTCAGCAATTATATGCCCAGTGAATAGATACCAGAGAATAAAATGCATAACTTTTATCATGGCACTTTTTAAAAAATTTTAATTTATCCCTATTGCTGACCATTACAAGATTAAATGTCTTTATTATAAATTTCAACCTCCTCTAATATTACAGTCACAAATCTTTGGATTTTTTTCTTAGCTAATTTTAAAATGATATTTTTAGACCTCTAAGATAAAATAATCAAAGGAGAATAAAATCTTTTATTTTCTGAATATACTTTATACATCTCATTCTATCAAGATTTTACATTATTTTTTGTTTGCTTCTCTCATTCTCCTTCCTATTAGTTGTTTTTTCCCAGTTAATTATGTGTAGCTTTTTCAGGTTTCAAATGCAATCTCTTTCTTTCCTTTCTGAGCTGCATTGTTCACAGTCATAAAGAAAAATAACCAGGGAGCTAATAAATGTCATTTTTTACATGTTATATAAAGTATTTGTGAAACAGTAAGCAATGTTCAAATATCTTCAGAATTGGCCATTTAAGGCTTTAATATCTGGCACTGAGAAAAGTAGTACTTTGAAAGCTTTCATTTTATACTGAAGCTATAGAAATTTCAGCACCTACTGATAAGTTGTGAACATTTACAAGTGAATGAAACAAATTAAATGACAAACTCCTACTAGTGTTTAAAACGTAATATTTTAGTAGCTGCTTTATTTATTGAATAAAAATAGAATCCCAAGCAACTACTCAACTTAGCTTTTATTATTCCTGTACCCAATTTGTTTACAAATTGTATTATACAGAGAAAGACATATTTTATATTTTTCATTAATTCAACATATTTCTCAAATCTCTTAGTCCTTATGTTAGTGTTTACGAAGATAACAGATAGTATATGTTTATATCTGTATATCTGGACATATATCTATTATAATATAACCTTTCTTCCTAGAAGGTTATTTGGAAATGTTAACCTTGGTGTTTTTCATTTACAGTTCTGTTTTTCCTCTTCTAATCCTTCACCCATCTGAGCTAAAGTCTAGACCTAAGGAGGCTACTAATTCAGGGATCGAGTAATCTGCCAAGCAAGAGTTTATTCAAGCACAGTTTGAAATAAAGGTTTCAAATGCATAGCCTGTCGATACTTTGGAAGGATTCTCATCATAACGAGTATGCAATTTGCTATAAAGAAGAATGCCCATTACGGACTAAATGTTTATGTCCTCCTAAAATTCATATGTTGAAGGCCTAACTCTCAATGTGATGATTATGTGGAGATGGTGCCTTTGGGAGGTAACTGGGCTTAGATGTGGGCGTGAGGGTGGGGCCTCATGGTGAAATTTGTGCCCTTGTAAGAAAAACACACCACAGGTTTTCATTCTTCCTCTGCCACATGAGGCCACAGTAAGAATGTGACCATCTGCTAGCCAGGAGGAAAGTCCTCACTGGAACCCGCCCATAATAACACTCCAGTCTGGGGCTTTTCAGCCTCCAGAACCATGAGAAATAAATTTCTAGTGTTTAAGTCACCCAGGCTATGGTATTTTGTTATAGTTGACGAAAACAATGCCCAATGAATTAAATTTTCTCCTTCTGGGCTGAGGAGAGCTGGAAAAGGGAACAGCATGGTCCCGTGAGAGAGATCTTTCTGTCTTTGACTCCAGTTCTCTTCCTGCTCCCCATCTCCTTTTTCCATCACCAGAAATCACATCATGCAAAACCTAAATAACTTTATGAATGTGAAAGTAGAAAATAGCCATGTCCTACTTCCCATTTGGAAATGGAAAAATGGAAGGAAAAAATAAAAACAGCAGCTTGCAGCACTCTCTGAAAACCATGGCATAATTAATGCCAAGGGCACTGTGTGTGGTGTCAAGACAGTGGGGGGCTGAGATTGCCTCACAAAATTCACTGGTGCTCCAAAGAGCACCTGCAAAGCAGCCAACATTTCCCATGTCCACAGGAAGGACATGCACTTAGATGAGTGAAGGGCAGCAGACTTAGAGAGGCCATGGGGTTGGGATGAAGAAATCTGTTTGCAGATGACAGTGTGGGCCGTAGGCCAGATTTCATATGCAAAGTCATCGCAGTGGATGCTCACAAGACCAGACAGGGCAGTGTCAACTGTGAGGACGCCAGTGTGAGCCGATAACAAGGTCAGACATTCACCACCTAATATTGTTGCCATTAGTAAGTCTCCAGGATTGTGCATCAGTCCTAGAGAAGAAGGGGGATTAGATTGAGATAACCTTGAATTAAGTACCTAAAAGTTTTGGCAATGAGGAAAATAATGATAAGCTTGAAATAGGAAAACCTGCATATCTATCAGTTGTGGTGACTCACACCTGTAATTTTAGCACTTTGAGAGGCCAAAGTGGGAGGACTGCTTGAGCCCAGGAGTTTGAGCAACACAGTAAGACCTCGTCTCTACAAAAAATTTTTAAAAATTTGCCAGGGAGGACGGATACTCAGATACTCAGGAGATTGAGACTGCAGTCTCAAAAAGAAAAAAAATAAAATAAAAGTTGCATATCCACATTTTTCCCTGGAAATATTACACTTGTTCTAGACATATCCATTCTAAACAATAGTATATGTACATAATACACTTCCTTAAGGATAAACATCAAAGTTAGTGATAGTTCAATAATAAAGCATAAGACAAAGAATTAGGTTAAATAAAGGCTTGCCCTGTAAAATAAAATTTTGGGCAAAACTTCAACAAAGTTTTTACGCTATATTAATATTCTGGGGGTTTTATGCTATTAGAATCACGAGAAGCCACCGTAGATTGTTAAATATTGGGGATACATTATCATAGTGATGATACAGGTTAATTTAGCAAAAAAATGTGAACAATGGACAAGAGTGAGAATTAGAGACTGGAATGTTAGCTGAGAGGTTATAGCACCTGCCAGGCACAGGATAATAAGGAAAGTAATAAGGCAGTAAAAGTAAAATATGGAAGTGATCACACAGATTGAATTCATAATATCTGGACTTGATCAGTTACAGGGAGAGAAAGTTATGGAAAACAACTCAGATTTCAAAAGTTAGGAGTTCATGTGTATCCCTTGAAAGTACTTGTGAACTATCTTCTGTGATGTAAAAGAGGTGCTGGTGGCCAGGCGCAGTGGCTCAAGCCTATAATCCCAGGACTTTGGGAGGCCGAGGTGGGTGGATCACAAGGTCAGGAGTTCAAGACCAGCCTGGTCAATATGGTGAAAACCCGTCTGTACTCAAAATACAAAAAAATTAGCTGAGCATGGTGATGCATGCCTGTAATCTCAGCTACTTGGGAGGCTGAGACAGGAGAATTGCTTGAACCCAGGAGGCGGAGGTTGCAGTGAGCTGAGATCACACCACTGCCCTCCAGCCTGGGCGACAGAGCGAGACTCTGTCTCAAAAAAAGAAAAAAAAAAGGAGTTCATTGGTGAATACTATCATGATAGTGAACATTTTTCTATTTTAGGATATGGGAGGACACCTGAGACGGCAGGCCAGAAGTCACTCAGTAGGAGAAACATCCGTTAGAAGTAATAATGTGGGATTGCTGAAGTAAAGACTATAGGAAGAAAAAAGTGTCTGTGTGTAGGAAACGGAAAGGGAGAGAAAAATACACTGAGATGGTAAAGTAAGGAAGTGGAAGATCAGCAGAATGTGCAGATGCCAAGCCATCCAAGAAAATCATCTCTTGTGATTGTTGCGAAGTCAACTAGCTAATGTGACTCACTGCTAGGCTGTTGGATCTGAGACTTATGTGGGATAATTTAGAAACTTGCTAGTGTCTTAAGATCAATTACTCACCAATGAGAGTGGCATTGAACTGTGAATGTTCCTCCTAGATTTTCCATGAAGACTAATGGTTTTGTCTTGTCTTGAATTTGTTTTAATTACAATTTGTATACATCCTGTTCCACCCTGAAATTTTTATTTTCCAAATGGTTTTTCATTTAAAGAGACTAAATAAAGGTTCTGACTGAGTTGTACTTGTGGGAACTCCAAAATCTTTTTATAGGAAGCTATTTTCATCAAATAGTGTTGAGAATCAAGTTTCCAGTTGGAGAAAATAACAGAGACATGCAAATTCAGGATGTAGCTGTACAGCAATGTTAGTGAAGAGAGAAAATTTTGAGTCATTTAGACATTAACCATTAAGCATCTGGATTTTTTTAAATGTTAAGACAGAAAAAAATACCTGTATGTCAACCAAAATTTTATTTAATTTAGTGAACTGTGATAGGGACTCCTCTCTGCTCATCCAAATCCAGGTTTTCTTCTGCTCCTGGACACATAAGCAGGGTATGTGTTGCAGTTAGCTGTGGCCAGGACATTGGACTTGTGGTCAATGGAATATGCACAAGAAGAGATGTGCGATATTTCCAAGCCTGACTCCCTAAACAGTAAATACTTTCGAGTCATAATTTTCCACATTCTGTCCTATTAGCTGTGTCAATGGAATGACTATTGGCATCTTAGAAGTTAGAGATGAAAGATCTCCTATCAGCCTGATTCTTCAGAGACTTACTTGGAACAGAACCTCTGCTGTGGATCTTAAACCACTCACTCTGGGGAATGGTGAGGATTAAATTCCTATTTTGTTTGAGTCATTGTATATCTTGAGGATGATTTGTTAAGTGCTTGTGGTACCTGCAATTCATATATCCTTTATTTATTTTAGCAGCATTTGGGAGCATTTGTTCCCCTCCCTTCCCCTCCCCTCTTCTTTCCTCCCCTCCCCTCCTCTCCTCTCCTCTCCTCTCTCTCCTCTCTAACCCTCCTGCCTTCCTCCTCCTTTTCTTCCTCTTCTC
Organism: Homo sapiens; assembly: GCF_000001405.40. Taxonomy (NCBI): domain Eukaryota; kingdom Metazoa; phylum Chordata; class Mammalia; order Primates; family Hominidae; genus Homo; species Homo sapiens. Next base: position 105,765,079 of record NC_000013.11, read on the forward strand.
TTTCTCCTTCTTTTTCCATCTCCTTCTTCTCCCCCTCCTTCTTTTTCTTTTTTCTTTCTTTCCTCCCCTCCTCTCCCTCTCTCCTTTCCTCCATTTAATTATGATTCTCACACACACCCCTCCTCCAGTAGTTCCCATGCTAAAATGGAAAGGTGAGGGTATTGGCTATTGTTCTTACTTTGTACGGGCAGATATTGTTATTCCCATATTGTGTCTTGTCACCTTGCTAATTTTCAGCCCATAGACTTCTATGCACCAAAGTGTTCACACAAAACTCACATTCTTTCTAAATGTTTTATGTGGTAGATGCCCACCAACATGTCTAGCTTCAAACATTCTTGTCATCTTTTACTGTTACTTTATCTATGCATACCTCATTGAAGTAACCCACTCTCATACATACATTTAATTATTTGTCTTGACCTAAAATGGTAGGATGTTTTAAATTCTGAAATTTGCTTTTTGAGGCACAGCTTCCTATTTACTTCACTACCTCACTCACTCCCCACATGCACCATGTCTGCATTGACCTAAGTGGTATCACCATTTCTACTGCCTCTGCTTATTCTCTTAGCCTATAAGCCTTGTTTTGATACAGCATTTATCTAGTATTTGGATATCAGTATCTAGATCTTAGGGTCAATCCTTTCAGCCACTATTTCACCACTAACAATGCCCTCATTCCCTGCAATCTCTGCCACTATGGCTATTTTTATTCAACAAAGAGCTATGGAACATTTACCATGGGTCTGGAGCTCAGCAGTGAATTGAAACTGCACTTATGGATCAAGGAGCCATCAGCACTAGATGGTACTGAAAATCATGAAACTAGAAAATACCTCATAAGAGAATGTAATTAGAAGACTGAGAGGCGTGCCTCATGCCTGTAACCCCAGCACTTTTGGAGGCCGAGGTGGGTGGATCACGAGGTCAGGAGTTCGAGACCAGTCTGACCAACGTGGTGAAACCCCATCTCTACTAAAATTACAAAAATTAGCCGGGTGTGGTGGCGCTCGCTTGTAATCCCAGCTACTCAGGAGGCTGAGGCAAGAGAATAGCTTGAACCCGGGAGATGGAGGTTGCAGTGAGCCAAGATTGTGCCACTGCAGTCCAGCCTGGGAGACAGAGCAAGACTCCATCTAAAAAAAAAAAAAAAACCAACGTAATTAGAGAAAAGGGCCTAAGACCAAACCCCAAATTATTCTACAGAAAGGGCTAGCAGAGAGAGAGAGTCCACTGAGGTATGAAGAAAGATATAGGACCACTTAATATTACTGAAGGCAAAAAATAGGTGTATTACTTAAAAAACTTTGATTGCAAGCAACAGAATACAGATTAAGCTAACCTCAGGAAAACAAGTTGATGGGAAAAATATTTTTAAGTGCATAAAACTGAACAAAGATAAAAGAAATATTTCAAAATACTGCAGATCTAAGTAACAGTAGTATACTCTTATCAGTGTGTCACTACTGTAAGTTAGAAGTAAGCAAGTTTAAATATTTTTGGATATTGTCTTCTTCGGTTCAAAAGTTATATACCCAAGAATTGGTTAGCCCAGGTTAAGACCCACAAACCATATGTTTAAATAGTTAAATACTATAAACTTAGCTAACAAATTTTTCACTGAAATATTTTCTCCTACCTGAACAAATATACCTTCATATTGAGAAATATGTTTACAAATATGGTTTTAATAGAAATTTGACAAGACATGAAAGATGATTGAATCAAATCACTATTAATATGTTTAAATAAATGATGACATTAAGACATGTAATTCACAAATAATTATATAGTTATTCATACAAATAATTTTCTTTATTTCAATAAAATTACTAATTAAATAATTATCAGGCATTTCACATAATTTGAATTTCACTAAAACATTTTTTCAAAATGTAATTACTCAAAGCATATCAAACCCAAAGCATATTTTCATAAAAGTTATAAATGGAAGTACATGTAAAATTAGAAAAATTAAGATAATATTTTTCATATTTTCAAATGTGTCATGTTTTGAAGGTGTTTGAAGTTGTTTTCAAACAACAAAAAAAGTAGATTACAATTAATTAATACCATGATATATTAAATAATTTCAATAAAACTAAGCTTTCCTTTTAAAAATGATTTGATAATATTTTTTGATGAACTTACAATTAAGAATTTCAAGCATATCTACTTGCCACTATGAGAATTCATTTTCATACCCTGTAAATATAGACTTGCATACATCTAAATTTGAGTAACAGGGATTGTAGAAAATTGCAAATGTTTCTCGACTGCCCCATGCAAAGAGACACACACACTCACACACGGGCACACACACAAATATCATGCTAATTAGTGCATTCCTCTGGAAAAATAAATTGGAGCACAACAGCACAACGAGAAGCAAGAAAGTCAGTTCCTGCGCTACTGAGAAATGACAGCTCTTTCTCCACATTCTGAAGCTATGCCTATCTCTATATGGGCAGTGCAATGACCCACACACTTTCACAACATTTAGACACAGCCATCTTTTCCTTTAAGAATGCATAGTAAAAGATGTACAAAAGAGTTTTGATGAGGCCTGCATAGACGTTAAGCTACAGGTCCTCCTTGGCCAATGCTAAGCATGGCATGCAGGGTAACACCGATTATCATGAATTCTTTAAACAACAGAGATCAGGATAATAAACTTCATTCTTGGCTTGCAGAGTGGTCGTGGTTGGGTGATTCTCTCATGTCAAATTGGTGTGTACAAATGAAATAAGAAGAATAAATGCAAGTCAAAAATATGAGCAGAAAGCATTACCCAACTTGTTAGATGTGTTTTAAATAATTCAAGAATGATCTATAGAAGTATCCATTTGAATCTGGCAACATAAAGGTCAATGGTGACTTTAAAAAGATCAATTTCACTATAGTGGTGATGAAAACTCTGAGTGAAGTGAATTGAATTGTGAATGGAAAGCAAGGAAAAGAGACAGTGAGATTTAACACATCTCTTGAGAAATTGTGTGGTGGATGGTGAGTAAAGAAACGAGGAAGTCATATAAGAAGGATATAGTATATCAGCACAATTTTGTAAAATAGGAGATATTAAAGCAATGTATTATGCTGAAGGAAATAATCTAGCATAGATGGAATGATGGATGAATTAGCACATGGGGAGGGTAATTGAAAGAGCAAAGTCATTAAACAGGCGAGATAGTAGAAGCTAGAGGACAAATGGAAGGCTTGACCCTCAGCATCAGAGAAAATGTGTAGACAGAAGACCATGGGGAGGACATCGCAGAAATCCACAGAAGAGTATTCAGAGAGCTAGGATTTGGTACCATAGCTGACAAATTATCCAGACCCAAAACACATTGTAGAATCCCCCCTCCAAATTAGTTAAGATTCGAGGGTGTTGTGGTCTAAGACTTGAAAGATTAATGTAACTTAGGGGATAGAAGGGATCTCAAAAAATATGCAACACAAAGTCAGATGTGCCCACATTGGCCGTGAACATATGACCTTCAAAGTGGGAGGAAGGAATCATGAATAAGAAGACAAGCAGAATGGAACTCTCAATAGAAATGAGAAGACAAGTTAGATTGGGTGCAATCTTCTCAAAAAACACTGAGTTAGAAAGAAGTGATGATGAGATACCTAAATAGAAGTGCCTCTGGGCAACTGAGTCAAAGTTTGACACTAGATATGGGGATCTGGGAGTAATCAGCAAATAATCATAACCTCCTCTCTAGCTTTAACTTGGTACATTTTAAAAAAAGAAAGAAGAAACCACTTTAATTTTGTATATATGATGTGAACAATTTATAGCAAAATAAAACATTTTTTCTAAAAATAGATTCTTACACGTTGCTGTAATTCTACATTAAAAACAATTCAACAATGTTTTGGACTCTTTAATAGAAAAGCACTTATAATATAAAAATGTACACTAGAGAGTAGAATCATTAAATGTATGCATAATAAGTTTATTAAAAACATTTTTGTCTCTCTTAAAAGCAGCGTCCTGACTGTTGATGCAAAGTGAGTTTTAGTAAACTAGTACATTAGAGCAAGATTCAACTTTTACATCGTTCTGATATATCTCAAATCTTCTGGCTTATGAAGATGATCATGACTTGCCTCTGAAATGAGCTAAAGTAATTTGTGTCACTTAAATTATCTCGTGTAACTAGGAGATAAAAATTCAATCCACATCTATTTGGTGAAGCTTAAATTATTACGTGTACTGTTGAGAGGTTCAGATTTTGGCTTTAAAAGTTTATAACAAAAGAATAAGGCAGCAAAAATAAGGGGAAGTGTCAAATAGAAAAAAAATATTCAAAGCATGTATTCGGAGAAAAGAGGCTGTGGAAGAAAATTGTCTAGTGGGATTGCAGTCTAATTCCTCTCTGCTGGAAAAATTAAAATCTATCACATTCAAAATTTCTAAAGTGATAAACTATGGGTGAATAAGAATTTATCAAGTTTCCTATAAATGATTTAGATAGAATATACCTAAATGCTATTTTTGTTGTAACATATTTTAAAGACTCTTTTCTTACCATTTTTAAATAAACCTTATTATTTAGAACAATTTTAGATTTACAGAGAAATTCGAAGATAGAACAGAGAACTGTCATATTCCCCACACCCAATATCTTCTAATATTAGCATGTTATATTAGGATGATATGTTGCTTACTAATGATAAATCAATATTTCAACATTATTTTTAACTAAAGTTCATATTTGGTGCAGACTTCCTAAGTTTTCACTTATTGTCCTTTTCTGTTCTGCCTTCACATCTAGGGTACCACATGACACTTTAGTTGTTGTGCCTCCTTGGACTCCCCTTGCCTGTGGCAGTTTCTCTAATTCATTTCATTTTTAATGACCTTGACTGTTTTGGTGGGAACTGGTCAGATATATTGTAGATTGTCCCTCAATTAGAATTTGTCTTTTTCTTTCATAATTAGACTGGGCTATCACATTACACCAAGGATACGTAATATCAACAAATGCTGTTGGCATTGACTTTAATCACCTGGCTGAGATAGAGTTTGTCAGGTTTCTTGACTGTACAGGTGCTCTTTTCTTAACCGCTTGCCACAGTGTATTATGGAAGGAGGTCACTACATGTAGCTGACACCCAGGAATTGGGGAATTTTACTTCACTTCTTGAAAGTGGAGGATCTACACAAATTATTTGAAATTCTGAATGGGATATTGGTGCCTTCTTTCCCATCTGTTTATTTTTGCCATCATTTATTTATATCAGTATATTTATATCAGTATAGATGCATAGATATTTATTTTTGTTGGATCATAATCTAATGCTAATTTAGTTATTCACTTGCTATGATTTTTCCAGAGTTGGCTCTTCCAGTTTGCTCTTATAGCCCTTTGACATATCTCATCAATTTGGTGGCATTTTTCAGTTTTCCTTTAGAATACTTCCATACTTTTTGACGTTTCCAGATGCTCCGGGATTATCTTGTATTTTCCTTCCTAAGTCCCAGAATCATCTATTTCACCAGGAAGCTTGGTTCCTTTTATTAGAAAATGGCGTTAGAAGCCAAGATCTAGGAGGTAGGTGTGCTCATTGCTACTGAGGAGTCATTGCTTCTAGTTCTCTCAGTTGACAGAGCAAGAAAATGTGTGTTTATGTACTAACCTGGATATATACACACACCTATAAATATTTCTGTATGTAGCCATCTGGACCTATATTAAGCTAAATAAGTTCGTACTGATATCTTCAATTCAAACCCACCACCACAAAAATAATTCTAAACTCTTCAAACTAATACCAGTATTTTAAAATAAGAACAGAAAATATTCTCTTTAAAGTATCTAAAAAAATAGAGATCATGCTTGAGCCAAAGATTATTCCAAGTACATATGTGATTAACCTTGATGCAACATTTATTCATATACAGGATAATACATTTGCAGTTGTCTAAAAAGCTCTGTACACAAAACAAGCAATGTGGATGTCCTTCAGGTATAATTTGAAGTTTTCCACTATCTATTTATTTATAACTTCTGGAATCTCACTGTTTGAAAGACAGCTACTTTGGTGTTGCACATTCTTGATCTTTATAATCTCTCTGTCAAAATAAAAACAAACCTACAAAGAATATCAGGAATTTTTGCATAAAGCAAGCCAGTACCATTCAGCAGAATGATGATGTTCTGACTTCACAGGAAGTTAATTGGTTGTGGACAGAGGACTAGAAATAGCAAAGAACTGAGTTAATTTGGAGTGTGAGAAAGGTAAGCAGATAGATTAAGAATAATGGTTTATAATCTCATGCAATGTTACATTTTAGCACCCAGAAGTCAGCATGAAGTCACTAGGAAATTATTTGGGGTTGTACAAACTTGGGGAAAAATATACATGATTTCTTAATAAGAATCTTATAGCTTAAATGCCCTAAATGCTATCAGTATAGGTGAAAGAATAATTAATTTAAAATTTTTCAATGCAGCAAATTATTTTATGTAAATTAAACACTGTTCAATGTTTAAGACAATTATTTGTTTCTAAAGGAAAAAATATACAGCTTATATTTGTGATAGAATTATTATCCACAATTATTTATTAGTATTTACAATGGAAATGAGATATAAAGATCTGGGCTATATAAAGAAGCACAGTTAATATTTAAATAATCTTTATTTTATTAAAAACACATGCTAAGGCCTCATGCTGGTTTACAGGTATTCTGGCTATGGCAGGAGGGAAGGGAGAGCGGGGGTGGGGGCGGTGTCTACCTGACTTTCTCATGCCAGCCAATGGGAAACAGGTATTATAGTCATCTTCACATGCAGAGAGGAAGAGAGAGGAAATAAAAAACAGCTAAATACACCGAATACTCCTCTCTTCCATAACTACCCATGAAAACCTTAAGGGAGTGTTAGAAGTATTCAACTAAAGTTGGCTATAGCAGGAAAATGGAAATCCAGCTAATTGATCTATTTGTAAATTAATGAAAGAATCAGTTCAGTGTAGTTAATGTCTATCCACTACTTTAAAATATATATAATTTCTCCCCTCATCCCTGATCTCCCCAACTCACCTATAGTCTTTGGATGTCTCTCCTCTTCCTGAACTTCTCTTCAATATTTTGGTAGATATTTTCAGATAGTTTTGCCTCTATTAATTGGGATGTAAGAAAGGAAGAGGACAAAATACTAGATTAATTTTCCCCTTTTCCTATTTGCTAACTTGTCTATACAGCATGAAGGAAAGTACCAATATTTATTTGTTCTGAAGTATAAGACAACTTTGTTCCTCAGGTATGACCAGAAACAAAAGTCCAACAGAGTTAGGAAGGCTGGCAGAAAGCAGGTAATCGAGGGTGAGGCTCTGGAAGACAACACAGGCCGGAAAAATCAGATATTTTCAGCACAAATAGGTAAGAATTTGAGACTAGAGAGAAGTAAGCTATAGCCGGTACCATAAAGCAGTTTCATTTTTTATTGTACATGTGGTCTGCAGACAGCCTTCACTGCTGACATACACCTGAAATGTTTATTTAAAATGTAGATTTCTCGGCTGTATACTGAGTCACTAAATCACAATTCTTGAAATCTTCAATTTAGGAAGTTGACATTTTAAACGATGTCTTAAAGTTTGAGAATTATGGCTATAAAGGTATAATGGTCCAAAAGCACTTTTTCAGAAAATCTAAATAGTTAACAAAAGTCATATTTGGTGCCACAGATCTAAAAATTTAGTTATTTAGCAACCAAGGCCTCGGAGAAAGATAATGGAGCTGATAAGCAGAGCCCAGGGGCAAGTTCAGCCCTAAAAGGAAGCTGAGGGATGTTGTGCCTTGCGCCAGCTCCCCTTTAGATAGAGATAGGCGTTGGCACTCAGGCACTAATTGGTACCCTAAAATGCCTAGAGACCTATGGACAAGCCCTGCCCTGTTTCAGAACAGGGCATGACTGAATGACATCCTGTTTAATTAATTGAATTCCCTTGCAATTTGAGGATCTGAGGTGAAAGAAAGAGAGGCAGGGAGGGAGAGTCCGAGAGAAAGGTTTTCACATAAATTTCTAATACATCTGGGATTTTGATTTTCTTCTGCATTCACCACAACATAGCATTTCTGCACACAAAATTCATAGTTTACTTTTCAGAACAGTCTACTATGACAGAAAGAGAAGCAAGAAGAAATTTCAGCGATCATCTTTTGATGTAATACCCCTGAGAAGTTTCAATTCCAGAGGACTCTTTTTACTCAAGATCAGCAAAGTCCTGGTGGATAGTACTGCTTTTGTGAAGGCCACTATCTTTGTTTATACTCTCCATCCTCAGGAAGCCAGACACTAACAAAAAGCCTCCTCATTTGATCACTGGGTGTCCTTTGATCTCAGTGTGCTTGGTTGCCAGTGTCTTGCCGCCGTCCTCAGGCAGGCAGTCTGGGGTAGCCCAGCACACAGTCTCCTTGTGGAATTGTGCTTTCTACCAAGTTTCAGGGTCATGACTGAGAGTCGATAGCTCCTAATTTCACATACTCTCTCTGTTTGTCAAAAGTACCATTCATTCATTTAAAAGTATATTTTTCTTTTTCTTCCTAATTGACCTATTGGCATAATAATACACTTTATTCTATTAGTATTACAACATGAATTGTGCTCACCATTCCTCACGATTGCTTAGCTATTTATTCTTTGCATTACTAATATGGCCATTATTAACTCAATATCTCAGGCTTTCATTAGTATAATTGTCATCATTATCTGCACGCCACCTCATTCACACTAGGCAATTAGCCAATTCATTGGATCAAGTTACAGAGACAAAATGATTAATTAAGTTGCCTGAGTTATCTCTGACTGTCTATACTGATTGGGATAAAATGGTTTCTATAGGACAGCAGTAGAACCAAGCACAGAAAAGATTCCTGGAGTTCATCTCAGTTAATGACTACAAGTCACAATGCTAGGAGTAACAAAAGGCTCTATCTAGCACATCCACAGGTCTTGCCTAACACTCAGCCACATACGCTGGAAACAGAAAACCAGATACAACACATTCTATTCTCCAGTGGCAAAATGGTTCTGTTAGAGGAATGACTGGTCTGAGAAGAGTGTCTGTGTGAAAAGGAGAGCTTGCATTTGTTGAATATTTACTATCAACTATGGCATAGGTGTTTCTGCAAATGGAGCAACATACAAGGAAGTAGTGGAGATTGAATAAGCTCTCCAAAACCACAAGGTCCATTCTCAGTAGAAAGCACGCTTTCACCCAGGCCCGTGACTCAGTCAAGCCAACCTTCTGCACGCTGTGCTACAAGGCAGTCGAAAGGCAGCTGAATTGCCGCTGAGTCAGGAAATGGATTCACCGTTTTTCAGCTTTCTTTATCAGACCCTGTCATCTCCACTTTCAGGATAATTATGCTTCCTATTCAAAGAATGGATCTCAGAGGAAACTGCAAAGTGCTTCCAGTATTTTAGACTGCACAATTTATTTAGGGCAGTAATTGCCTCATTCTAAATTAATTTAAAGATTCTTCTCACATGTGCATCTAACCTGAGAACTTTTGGTTTCAGTGGGCTCCCCCTGAGTGTTTCCATTTGAAAACATCCGAGTGGCAGTCACCATAGCATGATTATGAATTATTTTTAATAAAATGGACTCATGATCTATGTCCTAGGGGGTCCAAGGGCAGGCAGGTGGGGTGCTTTGCATGCAGTAGGAGCAAGCCTGCAAGGAACCAGTCCAGCCTTTCCCAGGAAGAAAAGGTTTCAAGTTAATCCATCCACTGATCTACTCAGTGACTTGCATATAAACAAGAAAACCACCTTGCCTTTCTGTTTACAAGCTAGAGCCACCTGCGGTTGCTGGTGGCCAAGATCTGACCGCCAGTGCATTAATCCACAGAGCTTAAAACAGGAAGGGAAAGCGGGGAGTCAGGAGACAGGAATTTTACAAATTGACTTAACATGAAAAGAACAAGGTTAATAATTAGAGCAGGAAAAGGGAGGGAGAAGAGAGAAACATTCTTGTCCCAGAGCCCTCTGCTCTTTTCGGTTACGTTTCTGTCATACCTTCCCAGACAGTAAAAGCAAACTCTGTTCTGCATCCTCTCTCCATCTTTACCAGTCTATTTTTGACTTCATAACATTTGCTGACTTGGAAGCTGGGTGGAAAGCTTGGGTCTTGACTGTCAGTTAAAGGCATATCCTGGTCAACTATGTTTCCGTGCTCTACTTGTTTTGTAAGATTTGTCGTTGTGTGCAAAGTGAGCAGAATTACATTTGGTTGAGTTTGCATTTTTGGAGAAGATAATCCCTGGAGGCTGTCTGAGGCCAGTGAGATCCTGGGGTGGCCTCAAGAGAGGGATACAGAGTTTTCTGCATTACCCAGGAGGATCTTTCTGGGGAAGTTTTGGTGTATTCCCAGCAAGACTCTTACTTCTTGTGTGTGGGCAACAACTTCTCTGTACAAAATTCTCTAACATACCAAAGATGATGTATGATCATGGAAAGTACACTGAATTGAGTGGCAGAAATACTGAATCCACTAACCAGCAATGTCATTAGCCTAGTTTATTTTTCTGAATCCTAACAATTTTTGAAATCAGGATATCTATGCCAGTGCTATCTACCTCATAGGGTTACTGTGCATTTCAAATGAGGTGATATACACAAGAATGGCTGATACATTCTCAGGCACTATGTAACTGTAAGATTGGTGTGTGTGTGTGTGTGCTCGTGTGTGTGTGTGTGTATTTAATCAGTTATTCATTTAGCAAATATTAAGAAAGTATTTATATGCAATACACACTATAATAATTGCTGGTCTTTGCCATTAAAATCCATACATTTTGATAGAAAATAGTGTAAGAGAAGAAGTGAAATTCCTGCTTATCCAGCATTTGCCAGGTTTTGGGGACATTGTACAAGGCATATTATTTAATCTTTCTTACTATCATCACCAACATCATGTTGGCCCTGATCCACTGAGCACTTACTATGTGCCTGATGCTAAACCAAGTGTTTCTTATTAATTTCTTCAGTCCTGTCCACTTGCTTGCTCATACATCATAAATGGCAAATTCCAACTCAGGTCTGCCCTCATCTAAAACCTGTGCTCCCAACCACCAGCGAACATGGACAGCACTCAACTTATGGGTAACAAAGCAAGACCATGGAAGTTAGGTAATAGTCTAAGGTCTACAACAGGAAACAAAACCAAGCTTTGAAACTGATCCATTTTCTTGCCAATCCCTGTTTTTTCCACCATACTCCCTCAGCATCCCATTGTCAAGATCCCAAACCATCTGAGACTCAGAATAAACATGTTGGATTTCAAAAGAAATTATTTGAAACAGTTAAGCCTCAGAAAATGTATTCTGTTTGGACCATTTTCTTTTTAAAGACTGTAAGAAATCTTATTTATAGTGTTTAATTTCACTTCTCGTTTTATTAACATGACTGAGGTGGTATTTTTTCTTTTCTGTTATAACCTGCTGATTTCTTAGGCTATATTATTTTATGATGCATCCTTTAAGTTTTTTCTATTATTTCACACTGAGTGTTTTAATAGGATTTTAGAAATTTTCCATTTTATTCTCAGAAAAAGATTTCTTTCTTGGAAAGGTTTTCTTTGGTACATTTCCAGCTGAGGAATGGTCTCCCTTGTGATATCAAAGGTTGCTAGCTCTCTGTTCTCTCCTATTGGTCTATGGAGATGAGCTTTTAATATTTATTTCTAAGGGCTGTTTTCTCTGTTTATAGCCTGCTGTTGAAATGAGCAGCTCAATGAACTTCTTAATGAAGGTGGTTGAAGCATTTCCTTTTGCTTTCATTTCTATTGCTTTTGAAATGATAGCGTGGTAAACAGTTTCAGCGCTTTTAAAACTTTCTGTGAACTTGCAATGCCCTAGTAAATAATCCTGAAATCGTTAATTGGCATAAAGAGTCACTGAGCTTAGAATTATATTGTTTTCAGCAAACAGTCATGCTTTTGAGCTTATATTATCTCTTCAATAAATTGTATTAAATTCAATCTCTATAAGGCTTTAGTGATAAAAGCTACATCTGGCATTAAGGTTCATTATGTATTATATTCCAATGTAATACAGAGCCCCAAACCTGTGACATTAAATCAGTACTTCAGCAGAAGAAAATTGTTTGAGAGAAACAGGAAGATTTTCAAGAGTCCTGTGAGAGTCCTCTTACACTATTAATTTGACTTTCGGTTATTTATTATTTTCTTTATTACATTCTCCAGTGAATTTCAGGTAGGCTAAAGTTCTTTTTAAAATATAGGCTCGGCTGGGTACAGTGGCTCATGCCTGTAATCCCAGCAGTTTGGGAGGCTGAGGCGGGCGGATCACAAGGTCAAGAGATGGAGACCATCCTGGCAAAAATGGTAAAACTCCGTCTCTACTAAAAATACAAAAATTAGCTAGGCATGGTGGCACGCATCTATAGTCCCAGCTACTAGGGAGGCTGAGGCAGGAGAGTCATGTGAACCTGGGAGGCAGAGGTTGCAGTGAGCAGAGATTGTGCCACTGCATTCCAGCCTGGCAAAAGAGCCAGACTCTGTCTAAAAAAATAAAATAAAATAAAAAATGTAGGCTCTAAAATCTTGAAACTACATCTTTTTTAGGGTCTTACATCAATTGATAGATGCTTACTGTCTAATATTCCAGTTGAGTAAACCAATTCCTGAAATAAATTGCCTATGATTAGAAGATGAATTGTTTTTCAAGAAATGAGAATACAATAACCTTTTTTGGCAATGATACCCTAAAAACAGGAAACTTGTCTTCTCAAAGGTAGGTAATTTTCCACCAGGTATGAGTTATTCACTGGGAAGGGTCAGGTCAGACCATATCTATCTATTTATTACCTATCTATCCATCTATCTATCACAAATCTATCTATCATCTAGCTAGCTAGCTAGCTAGCTGTCATCACTGACTTCAATGGAAGAATTTATTCAATTGAGAAATTGTTACTGATGTATCAACATTATTTGAGCATATATGGCATATGATGATGATAGTTTTAATTATAGGCAATCTAAATAGATAAAAGGGATTGTCTTTTCTCTTTAATTGCTTGTGATCTAATGAAAGTTAAAGCATGCATTCAACATGAATTACAGGAGAATATCTCTGAAACAACTGCTAAAGAGTATATGATAATATGTTTTAGAATAGCACCAACAGAAATGACAAGTTCAAGAACACAGACAGCCTTGGAAGTGGACTGGCAGTGAGTAAATGGAATAAACTTCTAACGGCCAGAGTTGTACTTGCTATCATGAGCAGAATGAGGAATGTGTGTCAGGCCTCTGCTCTACACAACCTTAAGAGGAATTAGTCACTTGTGTTCTCTTTTCTTGGCAGTATTTCACACTGGATATGAGGAGAATCTAGCTCTGGCAAGTTCTGTAATTTCCAGGATTGATTCTGCTTGATAGATTCCTGCTATAGAGGGTAATACAGTCAAATAAGGGAAATTGTTCTATGGTTCAGGTATGGAGAAGAAAATGCTGGACACTCCCATGAAGATTCAAACTCCAGTCTTAGGAAATTCAAAGCCATCTGTGACTATCCTTCTCTTATTTCTCACTATTAATTTGTCCTGAAGAGTGTCTCTTTAATCCTTGTCCCCAATTCTTTAATTACAAAAAGAGCCATCATGGGCTCAGTGCCTACCATGTCCTACACACTGGTATCACCATCTCTTCTTAATGATACCAGGATGATCTTCCTGAGTCCTATATTTGTACAAGTAATTATTCTAATTAGTGGCTCTTCATTGAACAGAAGTTAAGGCAATTGTTAAGAGGAATAGCTTTTATTCAGACTGTCAGAATCTTGTAACCCTAATCATATTACTAAATATTTTAGTTCCTTACCTGTAAAATGGAAAAAAAATATTTCACTCACTTTACTTATTAGGAAACATTTATTGAGATCTTGCTATGAGGCTGATGCTACTCTAGATCTGAGAGATACAGCAATGAACTAGACAGGAAAGCTCCCCACCCTCATGAAGGTTACATTCTAGCGGGCCATAGACAAGATCCAAGGAGAAGGACTACATGTCCTCTGACCTGGAGGATCTCAAAACTGCTAGAGGGATGAACAAAAAAATAAGTCATTATTTAGGCAAATACGAGCATTTGAAATAGATATAATCTCTTTCATCCTCAATGTTTGCTATAAAGAGGTGTGAATTATGCATGTAAATAAAGACGAACAAAATAATCTACATTTGCTTGAACATTCCTTGTGAAAACACAGCAAACATCATAAGAAATTGGGAGTAATTCGTTTATAAAGTCACTGAAAGCATGCCACCAAGATTTCCCAGCTCAGTTCTTGGTGCGCAGTAAGAATCCATTAAAAGTTAACAGCCAGTAGGAGCACTTCCTTAGTTGAATTCCAGCCTCCTTTGTCAGCCCCCACCCCAGCTAATCCACCCCACCTTACCCCTGTGTAAAAGCAATATGCCAGCTTTTTGGGACCAGGAGTTCTCCGGCCCTGAATCAGCAAATTAGTCTAAAATACATCTCAAATTCTGCTTCTTATTTTACATTTTGTCCCCTTTCATCATTATAATGCTTAGAACTGGGAGGATTTTGTGAGGGGAAACCTCGTATAAGCAGCTTATAAGTCAGAAAATTAAACACACTTTTATATTAGATAAAACTTAATGGTTTAGAATTGATTTTATTGTATATTCAGGCTTTGAAAATTCATCCTGCTAACGTGTACATAGGATGAAAATAGAAATGTCATTAGCCAAATCTGCCCAGACACTTTTTGTTTTCTTCGTGAAGTGATTTACAATACTGAATGTGAATATCTTTATATGGGGTAAGGACTCTCCATTTTGCCAAAGCCCTAACAAGCTATGCTTTTTTCACCTGATGTCTGTACTCATTTAAATTATGGACATGCTCCCTGTGGCCACATAAGGTTGCCATCTCTAATAGTTAAATAAATGATAACCTTCTCCTAGGCAATATATTTGATTGAAAACAGAACAATTTATCTGTAATGCCAGCTACTCAAGAGGCTGAGGTGGGAAAATCTCTTGAGCACAGAAGTTAGAGTCCAGCCTGGGAAACACAGTAAGAACCCCATCCATCAATTAAAAAAAAAAAAACTAGGCTAAAATGCCTAGTACTCTTAATATTCATGCCATGTGAAAGGGAATCTGTATTAAAGTTTAGACTCTGATCAAGCTAGCTGAAGGACAAGTAAACACTAAGAAGCGAAGAAAAAAACATACAAACAAAAAAGACTGCAGCAAAATACACTGGTTCTTATTCCCATCACCAATAATAATAAAATCCTAAAACCACCCCATACTATCTTGGATAATGATGAAAAACACAATTAAATAAAAATGGTATTTTTAAAACACACTATTATGTTTATAGTATACAATCTATAAAGCTAACCAAGAGAATTTCTGGGGCATGACTGTTGTTAGAGACAAGATAATAAAACTTCCTGGTGCTCTCAAATTATATTAGACATTTATATTGTTTATTGCAAATAATGAATATAATTATGTTCCTGGAGGAAAATCTTTCCACAACTTGAATTCAATGACATCATAAACTCTAGAAAATAAAGTCTAGGAACCCCTCAATTGAAATTTATGTTCATGCTGCTGGAAGGAGATTGGGACCTGTTTGTGAACAGTTTATTATAGAATTACAGTGAGAATACTGTAGAGGGTGAGAGTAAGTGTTTAACGTAATCCTCATGATAACTGCGAAGCAAAACATAACAGTAGATACAAAAATAAATAAAGAAAGAAAAAGGAATCAAAACATATCACTACAGAAAATAATCAAATCACAAAGAAAGACAGCAAAAGAGGAACAAAGAAACTACAAAACAATGAGAAGGCAGTTAACAAAATGTTGGTAGTAAGTCCTTACCTATAAATAATTATCTTGAACCCAAATGGATTAAATTCTTCAATCAAAGGACATAGAGTAATTAAATGGATTTTTTTAAAAGACCCAATTATATACTTCCTAAAAGAGACTCACTTTAGCTTTAAGGAGTGGCCATACATATTTCAGACAAAATAGAGTTTAAGTCAAAAACTGTAACAGGAACCAAAGAAGGTCACAATATAATAATAAATACAATCTTCACTATTTATCAAGAGGATATAAAAATTATAAATATGTATTCACCCAATTTCAGAGCATCTAAGTATATAAAGAAAGTATTAACAGATCTAATGGGAGAGATAGACAGCAATCCAAGGCTAGTAGGGAACTTCTATACACTCACTTTCAACAATGGATAGATCATCCAGACAGAAAATCAAAAACATTGGACTCTATAAAGATTATTTGAATAGGTGTTTAAATAAGGACATTTTAGACCAAATAGGCCTAACAAATGTATCCAGAATATCCCATCCCATAGAAGCATACAACCTAACAAGACTAAATCACGAAAAAATAGAAAATCTGAAGAGACCAATAACAAGTAAGGAAATTATATCAGGAATCAAAAACATCCTATCAAAGAAAAACCCAGAATGTGATGCTTTCATTGATAAATTCTACTAAACATTTAAAGAAAAATTAAATACTAATCATTCTCAAATCCTTCTTTAAAAATTAAAGAGTAGGGAATACTTCTAAACTGATTTTACAAGGCCAGCATTACCCTGATAACAAAGCCAAACAAAGGTATTGCTAAAAAAGAAAATTATGAACCAGTATCCCCTATGAATATAGATGCAAAAATCCTCAACAAAACACTAGCAAACCACATTTGACAGCACATTAAAAGGATCACACCATGATCAAGTGAGATTTATTTCAGGAATACAAGGATGGTTCAAAATATACAAATATATGAATGTGATACACCACATTAACAGAATGAAGGATGAAAATCATGTGATCATCTTAATAGAAGAGGTAGCTAAAACCATCTTGTACAAGAAGAACGAAGCTGTGATTTGTTTCTTATTTCAAATTATATTATGAATCTATAGTAATCCAAACAGCACAGTACTAGCTCTAGCTTAAAGAAAAGCACATAGATTAGGGATACAGAACTGACAGCCCAGAAATAAAAGTGCCAAGTAAACACAATGAGAAAAGGATAGTATCTTCCGTAATTGGTGTTGGGAAAATTGGATATTTATATGCAAAAAAAAAAGAAAGAAATTGGATCCTTACCTTATACCATACATACAAATCAACTCAAAATGGATTAAAGACTAATAATGTAGGACCTGAGACCATAAAATTTCTAGAATAAAACATATGGGAAAGGCTGCATGATATTGGCCTTGCCAATCAATTTTTGGATATGACACCAAAGCAAACATAACAAAAGCAAAAATAAACAAGTGAGACTGTATCAAGTTTCTTCATGGCAAAGAGAACAAATCAACAAAATGAAAAGGCAACTTACAGGATGGAAGAAAATATTTGCAAACTATATATCTGATAAGGGGTTAATATGCAAAATAACCATACACTAAAAGATCTATACACTGAAACTATAAAACATTGATGAAATAAATTAAACAAGACACAGTATAGGCCATATATAACAAATTCACAGCTATTATCATCCTCAATGGCGAAAAGTTGAAAGCTTTTCTTCTGAGATCAGGAACAAGACAAGGATGCCTACTCTCACCACTTCTATTCAACATGGTATATTGAACGTCCTAGCCAGAGAAATAAGGGACATTCCTGCTATTCCTACTTTGTTGAGAGTTTTTATCATTAAAAAGTTGAATTTTGTCAAATGCTTTTCTCTGCATCTATTGAGATGATCACATGGTTTTTGTCTTTCATTGTGTTAATGTGGTATATCACATATGTCATGAATGCATAGAATATATGTAGACATTAGTCTATTTTATGGGTTAATCAATGGTTTATGTTATTGGTAAAGCTTGAGGTCAACAGTAGGCTATTAGTAGTTACGTTTTTGGAAAGTCAAAAGTTAAATGTAAATTTTCAACTGTGAGAGGTATATTCTCCTAATCCCTGTGTCATTCAAGGGTCAATTATTGAATGGAATGTTATTCAGCCTTAAAAAAAAATAAATTCTGCCATTTTACATGGATGAGTCTGAAGAATGTAATGCTGTTTGAAATAAGCCAGACACAGAAAGACAAATACTGAATGATCTCACTTATATGTGGGACCTAAAAAAAATAGCCAAATAAATAAATGTAAAATTGAAAATTAAACTTAAAATTTTAAAATTTAAAAGTGAGAAAAGGACTTAAATAGACATTTATCTAAGTAATATAAACAATTGGCCACCAGGTATATGAAAAATGCTCAACAGTGCTAATAGTCAGGGAAATGCAAATCAAAACCACAATGAGGTAACACCTCAAACTGTTTGGATGGCTACTATCAGAAAGTGAAAAGATAACAAGTGTTGTCAAGGATGTGTAGAAAAGGAGACACTTATAAAACGTGAGTGGAAATGTAAATTGGTACAGCCATTATGGAAAAATGTATGAAGTTTCCACAAAAAATTAAAAATAAAACTATACAATTATGCAATTATATTTTGGGTATACATTTAAAGGAAAGAAAATCACTATCTTGAAGAGATATCTGTATTCCCATGTTCATTGTAGCATTAGTCACATAGCCAAGATAAACAATGTGGGTGTTCATTGACTGTTGAATGGATAAAGAAAATGTGGTATATATTTATGTTATGTATATATGAACACAGTTGACCAGTGAACAACACAAATATGAAATGTGTGGCTCCAGTTATAGACAGATATTTTTCAATAAATATACTGGAAAAATTTTTGGAGATTTGTGATGATTTGAAAAAATGTACAGATAAACCATATAGCCTAGAAATATTTTTTAAATTGAGAAAAAAAGATGTATCATGAAGGCATAGAGTATATATAGTTACTAGTCTATTTATGGGTTAATTAACTGTTTCTGTCATTGGTAAATCTTGCAATCAACAATAGCTATTAGTAGTTAAGTTTTTGGAAAATTAAAAGTTTTTGGAAAATTAAAAGTTAAATGTAGGTTTTCAACTGTGAGGTATCAATCCCCCTAACCACTGTGTTGCTCAAGAGTCAATTGTAGAATGGAATATTACTCAGCCTTTAAATAAAAAAAGAAATTCTGTCATTATGACAACATGGATGAATCTGGAGAATATAATGCTATCTGAAATATGCCAAACACAGAGACAAATACTGAATGATCTCACTTATATGTGAAAGCAAAAAAACTTAAATTTATAAAAACAAAGAGTAGAATGATGGTTATCTGGGATCAGGATGTGGGACGAAATGGGAAGATGTTGGTTAAAAGGTACAAATTTGCAGTTCTAAGATGAGTAAGTTCTGGAGACTTAATGTACAGCATGATGACTATGGTTAATAATTATGTGTTGCATACTTAAAACTTGCTAAGATAATAGAATTTAAGTATTCTTAACATACACACAAAAAGGTAACTGTGAGATAATAGCTAAGTTAATTAACTTGATTGTAGTAATCATTTGACAACTGATAGGGTTTGGAGATTTGTCCCCTCCAAATCTCATGCTGAAATTTGATCCCCAGTGTTGGAGACAGGACCTGGTGCGAGGTTTTTGGATCAATAGGAGGGCTCATCATGAATGTGTCGGTGCTACCCTGAAGATAATGAGCGAATTCTTGTCATATTAGTTACCATGAGAATTGATCGTTGAAAAGATCCTGGAACCTCCACTCTTTCTCTCCCTCTTTTCTTTCCCTTGCTTCTCTGTCATCATGTGATCTCTATACATCTGCTCCACTTCACCTTTCTCCATGAGTGGAAGCTGCCTGAAGCCCTCCCATGGCACCCAGATGCTGGTGCTACCCTTCTTGTATAGCCTGCAGAACCATGAGCTAAATAAACTTCTTTTCTTTATAAATTACTCAGTCTCAGGCATTCCTTTATAGCAAAGCAAAATGGACTAAGACATCAATTTATATGTGTATCAAAATATCAAACTGTATACCTTAAATATATACAATTTCTATTTGCCAATTATACCTCAATAAAGCTGGAACAAAATGAATTATAGTAAATGTAGACAGTGAGAGTAAGCATTTAAAAACTTTTACAGAAATTGGACATCACTGTATCTTTTTAGCATATTTGATAAAAACATGAGTCCTCCATGAACTGGAAATTTAAAAAACAAAAACAAAAATTGGCCCTTCATCACAGATAATTTGAGAGTCCCTCTGAGATTATAACAAACCATTGTAAATTTGCTAAGCATCAGTATGTAAGTTTACTAAAAACAAGGGGTTTTGTATCAGACAGATCTGGATTCAGTTCTGGGTTGGCCATGTGCTGGCTGTGTGATCTAAGGATAATTGTTCAACTGTCTTGAGGCTCAGTTGACCATGTAACTGAAGATGAAAATAGTACCTACTTTAAGGGTTCCTTTTGGGGAATAAAATGAGATAATGTTTATAAATAAATCAACATATTGCCTGGGATTATTTTTTAAAACCTTGTTACTGCTAGAGAAAGATACAACATTTATGCAATTGCCCTTTGAACAGTGCAAGGGTTAGAGGTGCTAACCTTCCTCCCTGCACAGTCGAAAATTTGCATACAACTTTTGAATCACCAAATTTAACTACCGATAGTCTACTGTTGACCAGAAGTCTTACTGATTATACAAAGAGTTGGTTAACACATATTTTGTATGTTATGTATTATATACTATATTGTTACAATAAAACTAAGGTAGAGAAAAGAAAATTTGAAATATGATATTTGAATACTTAATATGATATTAAGAAAATCATAAGGAAGAGAAAATGTATTTCCTGTTTATTAAGTGGAAGTGGATCATCATGAAGGTCATTCTCATGGTCTCTACATTGAGTTGGTTGAAGAGGAGGAAAAAGAGGGGTGGGTCTTGCTGTCTCAGGGATGGCAGTTCATCTGCAAGCTTTTCAAATTGTCACGAATCTCCAAAAATTTTCCAGTATATTTATTTTAAAAAATCTGTGTATAAAATCTGTGCATAAGTGGATGTGCACAGTTCAAACCCATGTAGTTCAAGGGTCAACAGTACCTGAATTGCACCTATCACATACATAACAACTTTTGGAAAACAATAGACAAAGCAAACCTTGTACCTTTTCGTAAGATTGATTATAATAATCAAACAATTTAGTTGTTATATGGAAATCAGATCATCTATCAAGTGAATGTTATATCTTCTAGAATTATAGACATAATTAAATCATCCTAATAAAAACACTGTGCTATGGGTAAACTCACATTTGTAATCCAGGGTTATTTTGTATGTCATATTCTAATTTTTTTCTCTTTTCTGTCACTAGAGGAAAAAAAAACACCCACACATATATGTTTTTATATATATATATATATGTTTATATGTATATGTTTATATACATATACATGAATCTCTCATTTATTTTTCTTGCCATTCTTGGCTGAAGCAATATCCTCTGTGCCAATTTTTAAAGCAACTATCTCATGCTGCAATAGGTTATTTTCCATGTCCATTTTAAGTTTAATATTTCTCACTAGACCCGTCTGCAAATGTGATTTACAGTGCCATTATCCAGTTCCCTTAGTGAGATAGATGTTTTTCCTTGGGCAATTGAAGCAAGGTTACCCATTTGTATTATCTAAGAGTCAAACCCCAAATTCTATGTGTCCATGGAAAACTGTGTCTCATGGAAAAATTTTCTGAATCCTCCTTAGAGCCGTTGTAACTAATGGAAAATCTTAGCCTCCTGTGAGAATAACAATAATAATAAACATTTGTACTTTGGCTTTAAATATTCAATATGATTTTACATATAGTATGTTGTTTTATTAACTCCTCACAAGCCAGCGAAATGGACGACCTTCCCAACTTACGAAAGAACTATACAAGCTCAGAGACAACAGCAGTCTAGCTATTAATGTCCAAATGTTAGATGTAAGCATCCCTGGACCAAAGAGTTGTCAAGGTAATAAGTGCTGGTTATTTCTTTTATAATAGATTGCTTTCTGCTAAAAGACATTATGTTCCTCCAGTCCACTAAGCCATATGTACCTGTCTCAATGTTAGATTATATTTGATTACCGGATTTTCTCTTAATAAAACATTTATAATCATTTCCTTTATTACGTCGATGTGCTTGGTTCCAGGAAAAATAAAGATTCATTAAATTATCAAATGCCAGTAATCGTTTTGTTTAAGGCAGTAGTGTCATATAAATATCCAAAAGTATATTTTAAATTATCAACGTGGCTGTTTTACTCAAAATAGGAAGATAAGTTGATGTAAGCACAAAGCAGAAATATGTTTCGCTTATGAAAGTTTTCTAGATAACAAAATTGAAATGAGAAATAAATGGATAGGTGATTATTTATAGGAAGTTTGTCTAAAATTTAGCTATTTTGTTGTTTATCCAAAAGTTTAATTTGACATGTTTTCCCCAAGGGAATAAAACGAGCAAGTGGCAAAGTCAGGCCTGAACCAAGTTTCCAGACTCCAGATGCAGATTTCTTCCTCCCTCTATGCCAGCGAGGCAGCCGTATCCATGACTTAACTTCCACATCTCGCCAGCACGTCACCTGTATAATCCAGGGCTGTCTACCTAGGATCACCGGTGTGTTGAACTAAAGAATCTGAAAAGCCTGAGATTGTGTTTGCTAGGGTTGGTATTTAAGCCTGTCTGAATATGCCACTTTCTAGCCAAACAAACCAAACCCAAAACGAGGGAAATCTGCCAAGACAAACTTTCAAACCCAAAGTTTAAAAACATTGGAATTACTGTCGTGTAGCACTCCAATGTAAATGTTGTCACATCGGGCCAGACTACCTGCTTACAAGAGGCCAGAATTGTGGGAGGAGTAGATGGAAAATCGTTCGGTGTCATTGACTGGTCCTGTTGACAATGGCTAAGAACACCATCTGCCTACTCCAATATTCCTTCTCCCCTTTCTCCTTTAACAAAGCCCTGAATTTTAGGCAGACACATTGTTCTCCATGCAACAGTCTCTATTTCCTAGTGGTCCTCTTCCACCTTAACTCCCACAGCTTTGATTCAAACCCCATCACTTCTGGACCAAGCTGATGCAGCAAACTTCCAACGTGTTTTCCTGCCTCCTGGCTTGCCTACGTATGTATTGTTTTTCCCACTGCTGAAGGTAATCTTTAAGAAATTCAAAGCCAATCATGTTTTTATTTTCTCTGCTGAAAATTCTTTAATGAACTCTATGATTTAGACTAGGAAGGCTTAACTCCTTAGCTTGGCAAACAAAATCCTCAAATGTCTGAGCCCTGGCCATCTTTCCAACCCCATTTTTCTGCCACTGTCTTCCAGTATATCCTATATTACAAAAATATTATATTTTTTTCAAATTTAATTTAATTTAAGTTCTGGGATACATGTGCAGGACGTGCATGTTTATTACATAGGGAAACATGTGCCATGGTGGTTTGCTGCACCTATCAACCCATCACTGAGGTATTAAGCCCCGTATGTATTAGCTATTTATCCTGATGCTCTCCTTTCCCCTGCCCCCGACAAGCCCCAGTGCTGTGTTGTTCCCCTCCCTGTGTCCATGTGTCCTCATTGTATTTTATGAATCTTCCTGAACAGACCAAACCCTTGTACACTTGTTATTTCTTCGTCTTTGTAAAAACACTTACTCATCCTTTATGAAACTCTGAAACCTCTCTTGACTCTAACCTTCTTCTCTGGGCAGAAGCCAATATTCTCTGCTATGTTCTCAAAGAACATTATATACATTCTCATTTTATAGCTCTTATAACATTTTTATGGCTGATTATTTCCAAAAACTATCCTTCTTGAGGAAAGTGCTGTTTTTCTTTTTCATCTTTCTATACTCAGGGCTTCCTGGAGTATCTCAATCAAAGTAGGCAGTCAATATATGTTTGATAACTGCCTGGCAACAGACAGTTGGTGATTTTGGTGAGCTGTTGATCATTTTCACAATGCTGACATAATTTCTTTTTATCTTTCCTCTAGAGATCTCACATTCCCCAGGAACAGGAGATTCTCTGAGGCATCAAAATACCAGCAAAGGTCTCCTCTAACTGCATGCAGCAGGTTCAGATGCTTGACAAAAATTCTCACTTATAGCGTTAACTTGGAACTGAGTCATATGCCTTTAAGATTGAGACAGACTGGGATAGAGACTCTGTGATCAATACTATTTAATTTCATTAGCTTAATTGATACTCAGAATCACTCTGTGAAGTAGATGATCTTATGATTCTAACTGTTATTATTATTATTATTATTATTAAAGTATATTTATGTAGCCATGGTCATCATTAGCAAAGATCTACGGCATGCAGGTTCCAAAATTCTCTGCATGGGAACAATCCATGAACTGATGCAGTTGTTCTATGTGAAAGGCAATTTTTAGTCTCTTCAGTGGGATTCTCACATATCTTCCCTAGATAACCTTAAAAATCCTTGACCTACTTCACAGAACATCTGCTATTACTATAATAAACAGCAGATAACACAAGAGAGTGGATCCAGTAAAAAGTCACATCCTGATATGACCAGGTTTTCCTAAACAGTGGTCATGATATACCAGGAACATTCAAAGCCATAATTAGAACATTCCAAAACTGGGATCATAGCCACATACTTGTTGGTTGCTTTTATTTTTTCTTCAGGATGTACTGAGATTCCGGAGAAAGAGAAGCCCGCCAATACTCTTCCATGAATTCATCTTTTTACCCACTCAGATACTTAAGTGCCTAAAGTTCATTATTAAGGCTTAAGTGAAAAAAAAAAAATCACAGAAAGTTTGAGAACATTCATTCTAATTACCAGGTTAATACTCGGCACCAGTAGCCATATAAAGTGATATTGTCATTTGGAAGGTTGTGCTCCTAGTCAAAGTTTTCTTGCTCATTTTCTTGACCCTGTATCTAAAAGTGTATCATTTCATCTTTGTTCTATTGTAGTGAGACTTTAAATGCTTCAATAATTCCCTTTATAAATAACTAATCACCCTTGAAGTCTTAATCCATTGTCTGTTAATAATACTTTAATTGGATGTCAGTTCATCAGATCATTTCTGAGTTGTCACCAGATCAAAGCAGAGAAAATGTCCCAGTAGGAGATGGTTTGGAGAGATCCAGGTAGGAGCAAAGGTAACAGACCTGGGCATGATGTTATAATGACTTCCATGGTACTTCTGCAATTGAAGGAACGATAACAAGATTTATTGAGTGCCTATTTCATTCCAGGTGCTATTTTAGGCAACTCATATATGTTACTTATTCAATAATATTCCAGTATTCTCAGAGGTTAGTGCATTATCCCAATTTTATAAGTGAACACACTGGAGCTGAAAAAGCTTAAATATCTTGCCCACAGTCATA
The DNA here is from genome assembly GCF_000001405.40 of Homo sapiens. NCBI lineage: Eukaryota > Metazoa > Chordata > Mammalia > Primates > Hominidae > Homo > Homo sapiens. Next base: position 105,790,472 of record NC_000013.11, read on the forward strand.
GAGTTAGTATAAGCATTAGCACCAGAATTCAAATTGGATATATTTGAGCCTGAAATATGCTCTTTTGCTAAGCTTCATAAGGGATAATCAGGTGATCATTATCAATCATGACCATTGGTTTGCTTGAACAGGTGCATCAGGTCCTTCCTATTTTATAAACAGTAGAATGTTATATCCTTTTTTTTCTTTAACAAATATCTATGAAGAACCTACCATACTGTACATAAGGCCCTTTTCTACTTGCTAGGATATAGTTGTTAACAAACTGCAAAGTCGTTGCTCTTATCAAGTTTCTATAATAGTGGGAGTGGAGGCAACTTTATTACCTATGACTTCTGCTCTGTCTGCAAATATTTCCAATATTGACCAAAATATACTGTATCACATACTCTCTAGTGTACATATTTGAAAAACTATATAAACCACAAATAGTAAGCAACTAAAATATAGTTGTGTTTCAAGTCTTTTCCCCCTTGTTTCCATCCATGAAGAAGTTGTGTATTGGCCAAATGAACTAAAAATGTCAACTCAACTATTAAGACCTACAGCACTTAGCATGAACTGTCAATTTTCAAACATGTCAAATAATGCAATGCCTAAATACATAGCTTGGCCTTCTACACACTGAAAAACTGTTTCATTATGTGCATTTGTAAATAGCTAAGTTACCAATGGACCTCTAAGGTCTTGTTTAAGTTACTGAATAAACATTTCATCTCATAGTTGCATATGAATGAATATACGTCTACCTCTGTGATGATCTTGATAATTTTATACATCAAAATATTATAGTTTCCAACTTAGATGTAATTGTTCTTGAACAACAGAAGCTATAAAGATGAAAGTTCCATCTCTAATTTGTTTCCTAAGTTTAACTGTATTTAGGTTTTTTGAAAGAATATAATACATAAAATCCATGTTAAGCTACTATACTATATGAATAAAAAATAAATGGGTTTAAGTTAACATTTTTACGTATCTGAATAACTCTCATGTTTGTTTCACTAACACTTCATTGGAATAAAGGATTAGAACATAGCATAAGTTCTAGGAGTACTTATCTGAATAACTCTCATGTTTATTTCATTAACACTTTGCTGGAATAAAGGATTAGAACATAGTATAAGTTCTAGGAGAACAACATCCAATATTTTGTAGGTTTTTCTTTTTAAAAACCAAGAGCATTTTCATGTTTTGATTTTATGCTTCTCTACTTTATATTGCAAATACTGTCTTGACTTGAAAAACATCATATACTCTCTCAGAGGTCACACACTTTAAAAATTGTTGCCAATAATGCACTGAACATACATATGAATAAATGGGCATTACAGTGAATGCATGCAAAGTGAAAGACCACATCTGTTATCCAGTGAGCATTTTTCCCAAATCCACTTGTTAGGTTCAGCGTTATGCTTCTATTAGTAAGCATGATCTTTGGCTTTTTTGAAGTCATATTCAGTTTATCACAGTTTTTCAGTTATAAGAAATCCATGATTGTAATGTAAAATTCTATGTAAATTCACAGATCTGCTGAGCACGGTGGCTTGTGCCTGCAATCCTAGAACTTTGGTAGGCTGAGGCAGGTGGATCACTTGAGGTCAGGAGTTCAAGATCAACCTGACCAAAATGGTGAAACCCTTTCTCTGCTAAAAATATAAAAATTGGCCAGGCGTGGTGGTGGGTGCCTGTAATCTCAGCTACTTGGGAGGCTGAGGCAGGAGAATCGCTTGAACCCAGTAGGCAGAGGTTGCAATGAGTCAAGATTGCGCTACTGCACTCCGGCCTGGGAGACAGAGCGAGACTCTAATTCAGAAAACAAACAAACAAACTTGTAATCCCAGCATTTTTGGAGGCCGAGGCGGGTGGATCACCTGAGGCCAGGAGTTCGAGACCAGCCTGACCAACATGGAGAAACCCCGTCTCTACTAAAAATACAAAATTAGCCGAGGATGGTGGCACATGCCTGTAATCCCAGCTACTACCGAGGCTGAGGCAGGAGAATCGCTTGAACCTGGGAAGCAGAGGTTGTGGTGAGCCGAGATTGCAGCAGTGCACTCCAGCCTGGGCAACAAGAGTGAAACTCCGTCTCAAAAAATAAATAAATAAAATAAATAAATAAATAAATAAATAAATAACAGATCTTGCATTAATGGGGAAAGGCCCCAAATCTGTCATTTTTACACGCATTAGTAAGAATTTTAAGTGAGACTTAGAGTCTCACCTGAAGTAAAAGGAAAGAGAGCATTATCTTTAGCCAGAGAAGTACAAATATGAACACAACTGATAAACATATAAAGACAAGAAACACTTTATAAATTGAAAATACAAGCAGAGTTGTTTGAAGTGGTAGGGACGGAGGTTTCATGCAGGCTCTAAGGCTAAAGCATGCCATCGTAAAAAAGATGTTTTAGAAAATATTCGCCTGACTAAGAAAGGTAAAATAGCAAAACAACTGGAGGAGAAAGGAATTAGGTAGTGTATTAAGCCGTTCTCACATTGCTATAAAGAAATACCTGAGGCCGGGTGTGGTGGCTCACGCCTGTAATCCCAGCACTTTGGGAGCCCGATGCGGGCGGATCACGAGGTCAGGAGATCGAGACCATCCTGGCTATCACGGTGGAACCCCGTCTCTACTAAAAATACAAAAAATTAGCCGGGCGTGGTGGCAGGTGCCTGTCGTCCCAGCTACTCAGGAGGCTGAGGCAGGAGAATGGCGCGAACCCGGGAGGCGGAGCTTGCAGTGAGCCGAGATCGCACCACTGCACTCCAGCCCGGGCGACGGGGCAAGATTCCGTCTCAAAAAAAAAAAAAAGAAAAGAAAAAGAAAAAGAAAAAAAAAAAAGAAATACCTGAGACTGGGTAATTGATAAAGAAAAGAGGTTTAATTGACTCACGTCTCCGCAGGCTGTACAGGAACCATGGCAGCATCAACTTCTAGGGAGGCCTCAGGAAACATATTCATGGCGGAAGGCAAAGGGGGGTGAGGCACTTGTGGCTGGAGGAGGAAGGGCGGGGAGGTGCTACGCAGTTTTAAACAACCAGGTCTCATAAGAACTCACTATCTTTTGCATTTGTTTTTGTTGTTTTGTTTTTGTTTTTGTTTTTTTTTTGAGACGGAATCTCACTGGAGTGCAGTGGCGCGATCTCGGCTCACTGCAAGCTCCGCCTCCCGGGTTCACGCCATTCTCCTCCCTCAGTCTCCAGAGCAGCTGGAACTACAGGCGCCCGCCACCACGCACAGCTAATTTTTTTTTTTTTTTGTATTTTTTGTATTTTTAGTAGAGACGGGGTTTCACCGTGTTAGCCAGGATGGTCTCCATCTCCTGACCTTGTGACCCGCCCGCCTTGGCCTCCCAAAGTGCTAGAATTGCAGACGTGAGCCACCGCACCAGAACTCACTATCACACTAACAGCACCAAGGTGATGGTGCTAAACCATTCACGACGGATCCACCCTCATGATGCAATCACCTCCCACCAGGATCCGCCTCCAACATTAGGGATTATGATTCAGCATGAGATTTGAGTGGGGACAAACCATATCAGGTGGCAATTAATGTAATAAAAGAGGTGAGAAGAGCCCATATTAAGGTGTTTAGTCCTCAGAGATGCATATCAATTCTTTACATGCACAATATTCTTAAATGATAACATTTGTACACTTGTGGATTTGGTAAAAATGCTTACCTGATAACAGGAGTGGTCTTCAGCTTTCTATGCGTTCATGTAATGCTTCATTTCATTGATATGTATGTAGACTGCCTTATCGGAAACACTTGTGAAAATATGTGACCTCTGAGAGAATGTATGATGTTTTTCAAGTTGTCAATACAGTATTTGCAATATAAATTAAAGAAACATAAAATTAAAACATGGAAATGTTCTTAGGTTTCTTTAAGAAAATGTATAAAAACTTGAAATTGACTTACTACTGCCTGCATTTTACTTAAGAAACTTAAAACAAATAGCTACCATTAAGATGTTCCACATGTGTTTTTTCAAAAGCTCTTGTAGGTAAGCCAATAAACCAATTAGATCAACCCAAACAAATTCTTAACTTTTTGAGTATTTCCTGTGTCTTGTGCATGTATAAACATTAATGGCATTATAAAAACTGTAGGAGTGGAGAAATGCAATTTAGGCAGCTGTTTGTCAAATCAAGTTTTCCTAATTTTCCATTTCCACAAGTTTCATAAAATTTTTCCTGAAGAAATATCAGTCAATTAAAAGAAAACAATGGTGTATCATCTACCATGTGAACTATAAATTGTTATAGACACTAAAATTCTGTTTATTTATAGTAGAGTCAATAAATGTGTCATAACTCAATTTGAGAATGTACCATACAGAAAAAAGAACTAATTTCTGTAGAAAAAAGAATTTAGTTCACCAAAACTCATATACAAACACACATACTTGCTTATACACCTTCATAATTTTTGTAAAGATATACTTGATTAAAGAGTATTCTCTCTAATAGAGAAAAATTAACAAGTTCAGAATGAAAACATCTTCAAATTTAACATCATATCGCCTTCTTTGTGTTCTGTGCTTTACATTTTACAAAATATAACAACATACATAATTTTTGGTCATAATGATGACAGCCAGCATGGATATTTCCATGTTATCAATGAGAATAACTCCAGTTCCTAATAGAGAGCGTTTCAAAGGCAACTCTAGAAAACATGCACTATTTATTAATATGGGGCAATGGCCTCTAAGCATTTCTCTCACCTCTCCTCCATGCCCAAGCCCATAGCACCATCACCCAGAGTCAGCAGGGCCTAATGCAGCACACCAAACACATAAATTGTTTTCAAAGTTTTGCTTTTACAACATTTATGTGAATTTCAAATTTTCTGCCATATCTGACCATATTTTTTAATATAAATTATTTTCTCCACCTCTGAATCTTCCAGGAAGATGCAGCGTGTTGATCCCGTGCTTTTGAGGAAACCTAGCGTGCTATGTCACATCTTGCCAGCCAAGCTACAGAATCACTTCATTAATATCTAAAGACCAAAACACCAAAAGCTAATATGAACTAGGTGCAAAAAGCGTAGCCAGTCTCAAACCTCCACTTCTCTGTCTGTTACATAGGCTTCCATGTATCCTTCTGATAGTGAATGGAAAAAATATTGGAAGCACCTATCAGTGGGGTGAGACCCTCACCCTGTCACCTTACCATACATAGGGACTTTCAAGGGAGAAAAGGAAGGACCAAGAGGATAAGAAAAGACCCACCAAGGATACCAAAGAGTTGGCCTAGTATGCAAATACAGAGTTTTGATTTCTCTCCATTCATAGTTTTCAATCCTTATTTATTGAATTTAAAGACACTCGGGTTTTGAGTCTTGACTCATTAAAATGTTTCTCGTGGAAGATTGGGCTGAGCCCTTGTTTTTTCTAGAGGTTGGATTATGACCACTGTCATTCCTTACATTTTGACTGTTTTTCTGTTAACATAGGGAGCACTACAATTATGAAATATATTCTTTTCTGCTATGGGAAAATCAACACAATTTGGAAGCAGTCCTGCCTGGAATTTTGGGAAATTGATTCTTCCTCCTTGCCACTTTTCCATCAATCAACCTGCAGTCAATGGATAACTCCACTCTACTATGTCTTCTATCTCCTTTGTGGTACATCTGAAAGTTGCTGAATTGGATCAGGTCATTGCTTTGACAATGTTTGTCACAAGGATCTGTTGTAAACTCTCCCAAGAAATCTTCCTCTGTGTATTTGTCTTCTCAAGTCATTATGTTGTACCACCAAGTAAATTAGACATTATGCAAAAGTACATTCGTTTATGAAATATACAGCAGATATTCAAAGATATCGTTTCCCAGTAAAACAGAATGTAACAGGATGTTTGCACACTAAGTAACTATGTTTACTGTCATTTAAAGATCGACAAATTCAAAAGTTCATTAAATTGCCCAGGGGCATCCAACTAGGAAATGGAAGAGCCAGGATCCAAGCCCAGGTCTAACTGAGGGAGAAAGGGATGTTTCCATTGATGTTTACTGTCCTGTGCCCTTCAGTCCCCTTTCTGCCCATCTCAGAGAATTTCAATCTTGGAATTCCCTCTCCAGTGTATCCAGCATTCTCTCAATCACCCTTTCCCAGACAATGTGTCTAACTAACAAACAAACGAACCAATAAAGAAAAAGAAATGGTCTGTTAAGTAAGAAGCAAATCAAAAAAAGTAAACCTCCATACTATTTGAATATTTCCCATTTTAAATTTATTTTCTAGAAGCTCTTTGGTAAGAAATAAAAAGCACTAAAAATTTCGAGCTTTGGGCAATAATGCTTAAATCAATTTCTTTTCATGTTCACCGTAAAAAGATATTGCACTGATGCTTAAGTCTATTCCTGTCTTAGTATTACAGTATTAGTGTTTTCTGAAACGTAAAGTTCAGAACTTCAAGATTATTTTTAATTTTAGTTTTAAAGTTACAAAAATTTTAGAGACAGTTTGGGGGAAATCAATGAATATTTTTGGCAAAAGTAAAAGCAATAATAAATACAAGGACCAGGATACAGGCAGGCGTATATGGTTAGAAAGAGTTTCACTGAGCCAAAAAGCTCTGGAAAGGAGTAAGGGCACCAACTTGCCTTTAAATAATGCTGATCCAAAATTTCTGCTGTAATTAGTCAGACTTGTGGATGATAGGCTAATACTTTGAAAAACATAGAATTTCTGTCAGGCCAAAGTTGAAGCATGCTATATGGATTTAGAAAAAATGCTGTTTTTATTTTTTTAAACTTTCTGGATAATAGCTTTCTTTAGGGTAACATAGTAATTTCTTTAAGCACAAAGTTGTTTTATGACAATATCTTGTTATTGTTGATGTTGGTTTTATTACCACCACTGCTGCCATTGTTATCATTATGTTTGCCATCCTGTACTATTTATTTCAGTTAGTCTTTTATTGAGTTCACATGGAACTTGTTCAGAGTAATGCATTATGGTTAAGTAACTCTATGTATGTTACAGTTTGGGTTGTTGCAATAATCGTATTTATATTCTCAATGATTATCAGATTTATACAGTACACTACTAGAGAAAATAAGAAAACAAAAGGCTGTTTTCTGAAAGTGATGAATGTAATACACAACTTTGAATATTAATTTATAAATATTTATGATCATGTTCTTGTGTCATTGCTTCAGTCTTCAAACTCTTTTTTTCAAAAACTCTTTAAATGTAAGTAATTTTAAATTAAACTATTTGCATTTTACATATTGAGTTTATATGTTCATTCTCCAAAAAGGAGAAAGCAAATGGCATGGTCTGTTTTTATTACAAAGAATTTCCTAAGCCTGTTGGCTCTAAACAATTATGAAACCAATCACTTCCATAGTAGTACATCTAAGATCCTTTGCAGGAAGAAATAAAGATTTATATTGCTTCTTGTTACAATTTCTTAAAACCATTCATATACACAGACATGATCTACCACATACATGTAGTATCTTAGTTTGTTATATGTGTGCCTGTTTGAGACAGTTCATTCTCCATTATTGGCTTACTGCATTAACAGACTGAAGACTTATTCATAAGAAAATGCATTACGTATATCCTCTACACAGTGATGGCAACAGCAGGCAGTCTTTAGCTATGGCTTATGTTTCAAAGAACCTTTGGTGTGTAAACAGAATATATCGTTCAACCAATTTTAGTGAAGTATATATGAAACAATATGTTTTTCATAAACTTTTTTTGTAATATTGGAAACTGAGTTAACGTATTTACAACATGTCCCCATACCTTATTTTATTCGATTGCCAGAAGTTGAAATTGAACAAAATTAAAGAAAGAAGGCTGAATCACAAAGCAATATGAGATGGGGGAAACTGAATGCAGGATTGTGTTCCAAAATTTGTATAGAAAGATTATGTGACAAACAGAGTAATTCCAAGTTATGCTAACCTACACATTTTTAGCTTTCTCAATTCTAAGCAATAAAAAAGTAGTGAAATGTCTCCATTTTCCCCTACACTTCTATAATGAATGGCTCATGAACAGATCTTGCCGTTTACCCAAGAAGCTTGTTCATAAGTTGACAAATATGCCTAAATATAAAATTCCAAGGTGAGTTGGAGAAAATGCCATGCAAAACTTGGAAAAGCCCGGATGGTCCATCCACAGTTAATTAAGTAGCAGAGCCTAAAATAGCTATGAAGCTGTATACCCAAAGGCTGCAGTCATTTCTAGCCTCCTATAAACAGGAAACCAAAATGGTCTGAAGCTGGTATTAAGGATCTGTGATGTCATAGGGAAAAAAGAGATAGCAGTGCATGCACCTACACACATAGTACACACAGTCCTCAGTACAGGCTAAAAGAATGATGCCAACACTCAGAGACAAAATGAGTTGGGATATGGGTAATGCAATAGAAAGTCTTCAGCACAGACCTTTGGTCTTTGTCAGCATCTTTAATATTGTTAAATGCAACTGGGATTAAGTCATTAGCCTCTCCCATCTGTTCACATAATTATATAAAACAGAACTGAGTCTATGTTCCATACCTGGATATTGCTGTCTGTAGTCACTGCTCTAGCAGCCTTCAAAACCTTCATACTAAACTGTATATATGGGGGACAATATTTAATAATTTTCAAGGCAATATTTCATAATAACCAAGGCATACTCATTCTATATGCAAATATGCAAGCTACATAAGCTCTCTGAGCCTGGAGTTCTCTATCTGTAAAATGGTATCATTAGTACTGTAAAATAGTAATGTTGTGAGGACAAAATGAAATAATTCATGTGAGAATAGTGGCACAGTGGAAAGAATATTATGACAAAAAATGTTAGCTGCTTAAATGATAATGAAGATGATCATGGTGGTGGTGGTGATAATGATGTCATAGGCACTCAACAATTTCAGTTCTTGGCACATGATAGCCACTCAATAAATATGTGTTGAAATAATGAGGGAATATAACAGCATAACTATGTGGGATAGACACTGATGCCATCATGTCACAAAGAATAAAGCTCATTTCCAAATGGGTTAAGTGAACAATCTCACCCAGCTAGTAACAATCTGCTGGGCAGGCAGAGATCTTCTCATTGTATCCTGTTATTCCATCACAAAGGGCAATTTATTTTCATGGATCTGGTTTTCATTTGATCAACACAACCCCTCTATTAGTCAGAAATAACAGGTATTTAAATCTAAATGCAGATGAGTTAGCTAATGTCCAAAGAGGTTGAGCATTTTGCTCGAGATCATTATATATGTCTTAGGAAAAATGGTCTGTAAGCTGATTTTAGTGATGTGAGTGAGGAAAAACAGAAGAAATTGGTTCTGGCCCTATAATTTCTGCAACCTAGGTGATGAGTCTGACCCAGTGGACACCTCTGGGCAAACAGAGTTTAAAGAAGTGACACATTGTGTTCCAAGACCTCATTATAGCTGCCATTTGGCCCTTTAGCTTGTCACATAAAGATTCATATTATAAACAGGTCTTTATTCCTTATTACTGCCCACCACCATGAATATTCTATTTTTGCACATAAAAGTACACTGTTGTTTACTTGAATGCAGCTTCTTTCTCTTTTATTTGTTTTTTACGTTCCAATGGAAAAGTGCCATATATGTGACAAGCAGAGTGTCTCATTTGGAATGTGGCTTTCCTCATGAAACCCTTTTGCACAATGCCTTTGAAGCAATGGAACGTAATTCTTCAACACATCTCATGATTGCCAAATGTGGACAGGAAACAAGAGAAACAGCTGTTTAACTGGCCACAAATTCACCTTTATTACAATATATTTGAACAAGTAGAATATTTCTAGTTTTCAAAGTACACATTGATAACAATACTAATAAAAATAATAATGGCTAAGTTATCTTGAGTAATTAACATAAATCAGACATTTTCTAAGTAATGTACTCCTATACAAAAATGTTAGTACCTTGCCGTAGGTCGCACAGCTACCTAGGAGTAGAGCTGTAGTTTAAATGCAGGTGGTCTGGCCTCAGCACTGGTGTCCTTTCTCACCACAACATACTGTATCTGCTCATCACAGGTACTTAGGGACGCTAATCATTCCTGTGGGTGCCCACAGTTTGGCAAGATAAAGCACCTTCAGGCCTTCATGAAGCCAAACAATGTCTACTAACAGATTTGATGGAAAATGGCTGTATCACATAGCCATAGATGAAACACCAATGCATTTTCTGTGGTAAAACTCCCTCTGAAGACAGTCTTTACCATGGTATTCAATATTTCTCATAAAAGATGTGTAAAAAATTCTATCAGATTAGGCAAAAATGATCTCTTCTGATTAATTTACTTCCTTTTATTAGAAAAGGGGAGCCATAAAATTTCTGGTTTTCTGTATTTACTTTGGCTATTAGAAAGCTCAGAGAGAAGCTCAGAGTGAATTGTGGTAGGTTTACAGTGTTAGAGTTTTGTTGTGATTATTTCCCTCTCCTATTCTTCATTACTGAACTCTGTTATTTTCTTTTTAATATAATACAAGCCAAACAAATGCAATTGCTTTAAAGTAAACATTTTAATCTCATTACTTAAGTATTTTAATTTGAACACATTTGAAAAAAATATGGTCTTTTAGACAAGCAACCAAACTGGACTTTAGTGGATAATTTTATCCACTCCTCTGGTTGAAGGAATGCTGTCATTTATGGTTTGCATTATTCACTGTACAGGACAGACTTACTGTTTTCTAGAATTCTAATGGGTACAGATTTGGTTGAGAAACAAATATAATCTGCTGTATTATTTTTCACAAACTTATATTTCAAATTTATACTGAATATATTACATACAATCCAAGGAGATAATGTCTACTATGCAGTAATAAAAATATTTTTAAAGCCCACATATAAATCAATCATATTGAACTATAATTATAATCCTTATTGACATCAGACTAATAAAATAGTTGATCTTTGACATGTAGCTCTGGATAAAATTGACCCGAAGTCCTTACTACCCTATAAAGGCTTTTTGAATAAAAAGTTGTTTTTTAAAAAAGTACGGAGAATCATTTGACAGACTACATCAAGATAAAAAGATGCTCTATTAATTTGCAAAAGCCAGAACCCCTTGACTCATTTAGCTAATAATATAGCAAACAGAGCATTTAGCATACCCATCTAAATACTCATATAAAGAGCTCCACACAAGTGACTAGCAAGTGTTTTAGATTCTCAAAGATTCTACAGGTATTTCTCCCAGTTTTGTTGGGCCTTTAATTTTTAAAAATATGAGAAAGAAAAATTACTCATAATAAAATTAATCCTGTTATGTAATCTGAAAGCAGTTTAAAAAAAAAAAAGAAAGACATCTCACTAAGCATCTATTATTTTTGTACTTATTTATGTCATTGATAAAAATAAGGTATGTAATCCATGTAATAAAATAATACAGATTTAATTTTCTTCATAAATACTAATAATTCAGTTGGAAATATAGAAATTTAAAAACTCTAATATATAAGCCTTTTTATTATGATGAAAGAGAAAGATGTGGAGTCCCCAGATGGGAAAACATATCATATGAGTTGGAAGATATCTCTTAAAGCATTCTATTGCTGCTACTCTCAACATATTTTACCACTTAATATGAGCAATGATAATTGTAGGACATGAACTATTTTCCCATTTCTCTGTAATTTAATTTTTAAAAATTAAAATAACTAGAAAATATAGGGAGAAGAAGATATTTTCCCATAGAATAAGATTCTACTACCATGTATCCGGAGGACAAGTGGAATGGTTGTAACGTGAGTGGGAGGAGAGTAAGGAAGCAGAAGAAAGAGCTGCATTAAATAATGTCGTAGCAAATCATCCTCAATTTAAGAATGGTGATTTTAAAAAGAAGCTGAATACAGATGCTATTTTCTTTCAGAGGAAGATCTTTGCACTCTAAGAAAATTATGCATGAATCCTACTAATAAATGAGCAAGAAGACCTTTTTTCATAACACTGTTATAGAACAGTGTTTATGTCAATTGTATGAACAGTGTTTATGTCACTTGTATGAAAAACCAGTCCAATAATGGTTTCATGATCGCAATCCTTAAAATTCAGCCAATGAAGCCCTTAGAAGTCAAAATAAAAGTTAGTGTTATTATGAGAGGTTACACTCTCATCAGTAGTATTGGAGCAATCCGCAGTATTGGTGCAACCCTTCTGAAGTCACAGGAAAAAACATAAATAAATAAATATATATATATATATAGTAGCATATATATGTATATTCTATATGTGTGTATGTATATGTATAAAGTATATATGTACTATATATGTGTATATGTATAATTGGCAGTATTGGTGCAACCCTTCTAAAGTCACAGGAAACTATATATATATATTTTTTGTACTATATATATATATTTTTGTAGTATATATATTGTATATACATATTGTGTATATATATAGTATATATACTATATATAGTATATATAGTATATATACTATATATTGTATATATAGTATATATAGTACATATATTATATATATACTATATAGTGTATATATATAATATATATAGTACATATATTATATATATATATATATATACACACAAAAACGGGTCAACCCTTTGGTGCCATAATTATAAATGTAAGCATGTTTCCTACAGAAATAGAGATATGTAAAAATATGTTGCAACAGACAGATACGATAGTGAAAAGTTGAAACAATGTGAATGCGCAATAGCAGGAGTTTACTTTAATGTTCTGCATACATATGGTGGAATATCATGCAAACATTGAATACTTTTAACAAAGAAGAAAAAAGTGGAGACACAGAAAAATACTCATATTTTTGCAGAAAAGAAATCTAGAAAAAAATTATTAAGTATGGCCTATATTAGTTAAAGTTGCATTTGCTGCTATAATAAATAAATATTCTAGAAGGCTTCCCCAAATAAACATTTATTTCCTAATGTATAAAATCTCATTGTTAGGAGGCTGTCATTCAGGGACTTATTCTGATCGAAATGCTGCCATTTTCAACAGGGAGCTTTTTCAAGTCAATCTGGGAAACAATCCTCAGCCAGCAATAGGTGAGGGAAAGAGAGTAGAGAATAGATAAGAATGCAGCGTTGATTTTCCATGTATGTTCATGTATGTGCACACACATATATAAATGTATTTGTTTTCTTATTTATACCTTTCTATATTTTAAAACATGTCCATAATTTTGACTTTGCTTTTATAATAAGAAAATAGTAAAATATAAGAAACTAATACTGAGATTGCATTGTGTACTTGGTCTACATCTTTCTCTTTTCCACTCCAAATTTACTTAACTTGAAAGTAAAGTTTTAAAGTTAGAATTACCTAACTATGGACAAATTATATTTTCTATGATTAACTTCTGTCTGAATTGAGGCCCACTTTTAAAAACAAGAGTCAGAGTGTTCATGATATAGAAAAGTCTGGTAATACATATGAATTATTTCTAAATTTTATATATATATATAAACAAGCACACATACATATATGTATATATTTTATATATGTATATATACCATACATACACATATATGTGTACATACCATACATACACATATATGTGTACATACCATACATACACATATGTGTGTACATAGCATACATACACATATGTGTGTGCATAGCATACATACACATATGTGTGTGCATAGCATACATACACATATGTGTGTGCATATCATCTATACACATATGTGTGTGCATATCATCTATACACATGTGTGTGCATATCATCTATACACATATGTGTGTGCATATCATCTATACACATATGTGTGCATATCATATATACACATATATGTGTGTGTACATATCATATATACACATATATGATATATGTGTATGTGTGTATGCATATCATATATACACATATGATATATGTGTATGTGTGTTTATACATATATATGATATATATCATATATACATATATATGATATATACATATATATGTATATATATTTCAGGCACAGCTCTTTGAACCACCAATGGAACATTCCATGAGAGATGTTTACCAACAAGGCACAACTATATGTCTCTACATCTCTATTAATGTTTTCTTCACAATATAGTGGTTAAAAATGTATGAAGGAGCAGAAATAAAGTATTATAAATGTGAGAAAAGGTACATTTTAAGGGATCAATAGGCTCCTTTCTTTTCCCTGATGAAAAGTGCTGAGGCTCCATGAATGAGTTCCATAAATAAGCAAGAGAGAGCACAGCTTGGAAATCTACCAGACATTCAGCAGCATGAGTCACACGCAGTCCTCTCAGAGCCTAGAAGGATACATCCAATCTCCGTAGTCAAGAAAAATGAAGTAAAAATCTCCAACATCTTTGTCCACCTGACCTTTAAGATCAAAGCACACCCAAGTCTTTTATCTCCCTTGCTTTCCTATGCAGTCCTGAAGAAAAGCAATACAATTTATTAATAGACATGACAAGTTTCATGAGGAAGACCCAGATGGCTTGTGCTTATATCACTAACCAGCACAACTGGTTTCTCTGTGAATGCAGGGCACAAACTGGACAGGAGAAGAGTTTCCCTTGCTAAGGCTCCTTTCTCTTGCCCTTACCATGAGCAGATGCTACGGCAGCAGCATCTCCTGGCTGCTTCCAGACATAGTAGACTTCAGGTTGGCTGATGATTTTGGCTTTCCAACTGTCCCTCTAGATGGGGGAAGGATGACAGCACTGGGCTAGAATCTCAACCTAACAGGCTCCATTAAGGGAAGAAGAATGAAGGGAACCTGTCCTGCATGGATAATTGAGGTCATGTCTGTGGCAAGGGTCTCCATTACCTGCTGTCACTGAGGATCTTAGAGCCATATTTTCCTTGTCAGGCTTGTCGCTGCCACTTTCTGCTCTATCCAGATTCCCCCTGCATCTCAATGTATCTCCCAAACATTCCTTCATATTTTGGAAAGAACCATTCGACATTTTTTTCTCTTGATATTAAACATTTTATACATATTTATCACAAAGTGTTAGAAAAGCCAATAAATGCAGAGAAAAATTCCTGCAACATTTGGGAAAGGAGTTTATCACACTGATTTATTTTTCTTTTTTTAATCAACGCTTACACATAATGCTCCTTTGAAGGGCTAGACTACTGAACAGTCAGTGGAGTCAGTGGTCTAATGTGATTGTGAGTGACCTTAGGAGGCAAAGCCAGAGGACAGCCTGCGAAATAATCTATCTCTCCAATATGAGGGATGCTACTGAGAGTTGAGTAAACAGACAGGGTTAAAAACAGTTGAAAAACAGATAGGGTGATCTATCTCCATTGCCTGAGCCAAATTCTTTATAGAAACATGAAGAAAAGACTAGAAAACTAAGCAAACTGTATATTTGCATAGAATAAAATGCCAGAAACTGTTCTTTTAAAATTATTGAAAAACAATTACTGGTAGTATTCTACAATTTATTTCCTGGAGAAGAGAATGAGGGTATATGCATTTTTTAAAAGTAAAGAATTTGTGCTCACTTATTACTGTCCCATATATTTTCCCCACAAGCTCTGGAGTGAGGGAGACTAAGTGACTTGGCAAAAGAAACATACAACTAGGAAAACTGAAAACTACATAAAAATATGTGTTTGCTTTTTAAAGTCCGTTTACATTAGCTCATCCAACTTGGAGTTTCTCTTTAGAGTTCATAAGCAAATAGATATTAAAAAGGTCCATTTTCCAAGTAAACATTTATTTTTCAGTGGAATTACAGAAATGTCAGCTCCTTTTTCTTTGGGTTTTTGGATATAGGTATTGATGTGTTATTTTATGGAGAAATGAATCTGTATCTTTCTACAACTAAGTTTCGAACAAGGCTCCCAGCGTACATTTTTGGCAGAGAATACTGTTTAAATCCTGGCTGATTCACATATAGCATTCAAGGCCCAATTTTCTTGCGTCTGTTCAATCACTGATGAAGTTAATGTCTGAAGCTATCAGGGACATGCATTTTAAAGTAGAGAGAAGCCAGGAGTAGCCGCATGGCTGAGGCAGAGGACTGAAAACTCAGAGCTGAGAACTCTGCTCCCTGTTCAGCCGGTGACCCAGGGTGTAGTCTCAGGCATGTCACTTAACCATTATTAATTACTTAATTATTATATTTGTAATAGAAGGCTTAGGGAAACATGAGGTAATATCCAACTTCAGAAAGAAACTTTTGAACCCAGGTCTATTCTAAGAGGCATTTGGGCAATATTTTTGAGGTGAGTAAGGAATTGTACCTCCTGCTGCTTTTTTCGTTTCTGAGTCAATCTCTGGGTTGGACAAGGACTTGGAACGTGCTCAGTTGTAACTCCCCCACTCGTGCTTCATTTAAGTGGTGATATATCAAAATATCTTGGTAAATCAGATCTACTTTGGGCTGAGAAAAAGTTTTAGTATTTAGAAAAATATCTTAAGTAAGCCTTCCCTCTCAACTGAGAATATAGTTTACACAGCCCTCCATAGTATTACAAACTTATATTAGACAATTTCTGTAAGAGTACAAGTGGTAATTTTTTTAAAGATTATTAAAGGTGAGGACCTGAGAGTGTGAATTAGATATGAAAATCTCTATCTATCCTACTCGTCAACTTATCTGGGCTCTAGATTACCAATAAACAAGGTTGCCAGATAAAATATAGGCTTCCCAGTTAAATTTAAGTTTCAGATAAACAGGAGATCAGCTGGGTGCAGTGGCTCACCCCTGTAATCCCAGCACCTTGGGAGGCTGGTGGGAGGATCACTTGAAGCCAGGAGTTCGAGATTATCCTGGGAAACATGGTGAGACCCAGTCTCTACAAAAAATACAAAAATTAAGCTGGCATGATGGCATGCCTGTGGTCTCAGCTACTCAGGAGGCTGAGGCAGGAGGACTGCTTGATCCCAGGAGTTAGAGGCTGCAGTACGCTATGCTTGTGCCACTGTACTCCAACCTGGGTGAAAGAGCAAGACACCATCTTTAAAATAACAGAGAACATGGAATTGTTTTATTTAGTTAAGTATATCTTATGCAATGTTTGGGACATATTTATACCAGAAAAAATGAATGTTTATGTGACATTCCAATTTAATTGGGATGCTTTTATTTTTATTTGATAAACCTGGCCATCCTCTCCATAAACCAAGCTATCAACTTGATTCCTGTTGAGTACCTAAATTTTGTCACTGCCTCTCTTCTCTTGAGGTGGCACTAGACCCTTCTCGGATGCCATGGTACTCAGCAGTTGCCTCTGTTGGAACCCTTAACAAAGCACCTTGTAACACTTTGCTTATCTGTCCTTTGCTCTCACACTGGAAAATGAGTTCTCTCAGGCAAAGACCATGTGTGCCATTATTTTGAAACACAGCCAGAACAACTACCAGTTCTTAAACACCATCGGTATGGGGAGATCATATACTTCCCAATGTCTTCATCATCTCACTTGCTTTCTCTGGTTTTGGCTTTTTCTCTCTGCAAGAAAATTGAAGGCATTTGCCACAAAGAGAAACTGACCAAGGGAAAATTTCTCTTACAGTTTTATTACTCACCCATGGGTTGATGTCAGGTGACAAAACTATTGCAAATATTTTATTAGCATTCAATCACAACATGAAAGGTTGAGAATGATTTACCTTTTTGTAAATTGTTTCTTATTCACGTATATAGCACATCTCTCGTAAGTATATATGAAAAGCTTTGGCACCACTTTCACTCTGCATTTCTGAGGAGCAACCCTCAGCAGTTGTGAAGAGCAGGACTTTGAAATTAGAAACGTGGATTTAGACAACACTGCTGGCTCTTCCTAATTTCTAAGGCTAGTTTTACTACCTCATTGATCTGGTGGAGAGATTGAAAGAGATTAACACTTGTGAGACACTTAGTTCATTGCCTGGCCCAAAGTAAGTAACTCAGCAAATAGTAGCTGCTGTTTTTATTAGGACAGATTCAGGATTAACTTTTTGAAATAGTGTTATTCACCCATGTTCAAAAATGCTTTCTGGAGGAGACAAGAAAGAGGTGGAGACAAAGGGAGAAACTTAGCCAAGTTCCAGGTTCTCCTATGAGAAGGAGTCATACACAGACACACAGAGGATTATCTACTGTATTAGCCCATTTTTACACTTCACACTGCTCTAAATAACCACCTGAGATTGGGTAATTTTTAAAGAAAAGAGGTTTAATTGACATGCAGTTCTGCAGGCTGTACAGAAAGCTCGCTGGGGAGGCCTCAGGAAACTTACGATCATGGCGGAAGGGCGAAGGGGAAGCAAGCACCTTCTTCACGTGGCAGAGAAGGTGGAAGAGCGTGAAGGAGGAGGTACTGCACACTTTTTAACAACCAGATCTTGTGAGAAGTCATTCTCTGTCATGAAAACAGCAAGGGAGACATCCACCCCATGATCCAATCACCTCCCACCAGGACCCTCCCCCAACACTGGCGATTACAATTCAACATGAGATTTGGGTGGGGACACAAATCCAAACCGTATCATCTGCCATGTATCATGTGAGAAGAACTGAAAAGAAAAACAAAGAAGGACAGAATGGTCCAGGAGAAAGAATGGCTCGGGAGTCTTATTGATCCAGGTGCTGATTGTCGTACAGTGTTGAAAATGTGACTTAACCTTTGCGAGGCGCAATGACTTCACTGCAGAGAAAATAATATCGAACTTGTTTTAGAAAGTGAATAAGTTATGTATCTATGGTGTCTAACCTAGTGTCTGCCACACACACAAGTCATTTTGTAAAGGCGATTTTTTCCTCATTTCCAGTCTTCTTAAAATATGACTCCTATGTTCTCATCTGGGCTTCAAGTTTACCTAAACTAATATTGCAGTTCCTTAAACTCATGTTGGATTCCTTTGAACAGGATCTCCCCAGACTTAGTCACTCAAGCTGAGTTGAAACTCCTTGCACTTTTTGCTTTTATATACCTCAGCATATTCTGAGCCACTTTTTATCCATTTTTACACTAATATGGGGCTACAAAAGTACAAGAATCTTATCAAGACTCTTGCACATGCACATCCATGGCAGACCTCACAGATCCGTCGGTGACCTCACAGAGCCCATACACTGCAATTCAACCCATCTCTTGATGAGTAGACACCACCGACCTTCCAACACGGAAAGCCTCTTTTCAGCTCCATCCTGACATCCCCTTGAGTTATTGATTGGCTAGTTTTCCAAATTGCTTCCATGCCATCATCCAAGTCTTTCTTGCTGGCTTTGATCTCAAACTTGCCCCAACTATCTGTCCATTATATACAATAGACAATTATAAAAACAGACGATTATTTTTAATCCCTCCGATCTCTCAATTATAGAATATTATAGATTTTCAGAGGACTAAAAACCAATCACGACCAGAAAGAGTCACAGCATGAAAACAAAAAATCAGAAAGAGAAACAGAGATCACTACACAAAATGCTTATCCTTTAAAAAGAAACTCATTTAAAAGAAAAGCAGAAAAGTAATTTTCTTCCACCCCCATTTTTAGTCTTTTCCATGGAGTAATTTTTGTTCTTTAATGAATGTCTTCCTCTTGTGACATTTTAGAATCTTCGTTATGTTCTCTTAACTATTTACAAAGATGTGTTGTTTTGTTCTTGTTACGAGAGCTTCTTAAGGTAATCTCCTTACACTTGATGTAGCAAAACCAAGAAATTAATGTCTTTTGAAAAACTAGAAATAGTTCTAATTACCTCTTCATCTGAAAAGAATGACCAATTTGAGCCTACAATTTTGGCAAAGAATGTTTTCTTACTTGATTTTTTTTTATAATGTACCATTTCACATAGGAGAAGAACAAACAAACTCCAACAAAAATGAGTTAACAGTAAAATAAGTAATTTTGTATAGAAAAAAATGATAAAGTCTCATTATTGAGTGCTTTGTATTACCCAGCATCTTCTTGATTTCTTTTAGACAATATACACCTACTCATTCACTTTGCTATAATCTGTGCAAATGACAAATTAAAGAATGCTTGCAAGTCCATCCAAACTTGCTGTCACAAGCCTCTGCTACTTTTTAATACAACAATCATGATCATTTTTTTCTGTACATAATTGAGGTAATACCTTTAATCAAGTTTTTTGTTTGGTTTTTCTTGGCTGTAATATTAATATTTAATATTAATATTGGTTTTGGTTTAATATTAATAAAACAAAATTTAGTCATTAATGGTAACCATCAGAGTTTAGCAAATATTGTAGCAACTGTGATTGAAAAGAAAGTACAGAATTACTGGGAAGCAAGGAATTACTGGGAATTACTGGGAAGAATTACTGGGAATCAAGGAAGAGAAGAATTACTGGGAAGCAAGAAAGAGAAGAATTACTGGGAAGAATTACTGGGAAGCAAGGAAGAGAAGCAGAAGGAAAAGAAGGGAAGGAAAGGAAGAAGCAGAAGGAAAGGAAGGGAAGGAAAGGAAAGGAAGGGAAGGAAAGGAAAGGAAGAAAATGAAAAAAGAAAGGAAAGGTAAGGAAGAAAATGTAACCTTTTAAAAAATCTCCCAGCTTCCCTTCCTGTAACTGTAGCCATTAGAATGGATACTTTCCTTTCAGCTAACTTTGATCTCACTATGAACCATGTGCCCAGTACTGTCCTTAGTGCTGGAGATAAAAAGAAATGCTCCATTCATTGTCCTTAATGAACTCACAACCTAAAAGGAGAAACAGATATGGTCAACAAATGCTTTACTGGGTGAGAAAATTCTAAACTCAGAAAAAAATCTAAATTTGAAATACTTTGGAGGTATTTAGATGGACTACTCAAATCACAAGTCATCGCATGACTTAAACCAAGATGGCAAACTCCGGAGGGTATGTAGGCCCGTCAAGGAGATGCTGGCGGCATGCCACAGGACAGATCTTTCTAGGAGGAAGAGTTAATGCTGTTGGTAAGACACAGGCTGCAGGAAATAGTTTAGCAATATGGAAACACCATCACTAGCACAAGACATTTCAATGTAATGTTTTTCTTTAACAATAATGTTGTTTTGAGAAAAAATAACTTTGCTTTCCATGTTCATAACTGTTTAAAGTGTCTTACTGAGACGATCAGCATAAAACTAATGAATATTTTGGTTACTTTTTTGTATGCACATACAAGAGCAAGCACTCAGATAACCTTGTTTCTCATCTCTGACCCATAAAATGCTAAAACCTCACACTCTTCACAGTTTGACTGCACAGATAAGTCAATGATTATTGTTCAACCTTCTATGAACCAACCAGTTGAAAATGACATTTTCTGTACCTTTTAGAAAATTAGTATTTAGGATTATGATTTTGGAAAGAGAAAGGTCAAGGACTTTCATAATTTACTTCTCATTTTTTAAAAATAAGGCACTTACAGTCAAAGACGACTCATACTTCACATATGTATTTATTTACTAAGGCTGGCATACAATGTACCATAAACTCGATGGCTTAAGATGGCAGAAATATATTTATTCTCCAACAGTCCTGCAGACAAGAAGGCTGAAATCAAGGTGTTGGCATGGTTGCGTTTTCTGAAAGGCTCTAAGACAAAATCTGTTCCATGTATTTCTTTTAGCTTCTGACAGTCACATGCTGAGATACTAGATGTTACTACTTCAACATACTTCTTTGGGAGACTCAATTCAACCCATAACAACATGCGATGATTATGTCACAGTACTCTTCAAATTGGTAGAATAATAAAATAGAATATCCAAAGCAGGAAATAGCTGCAGAAGAAACAGCTGTCCTGTAAATCAGGCAATATTGGGTGTTTAGTGCATTATAAAAATGAATAGAGACAGATGACCCAATTTAGGAGTGTTCTGGTGAATGGCAGATATTTATTTCAAATCTAAAAACTTGCAGCTTTAAAATTTAATATTAATCAAAAGCTTACAGAAGTAGAAATAAGCTAATAATTTCAAAATGAAATATTTAATATATTGAATATACTATTCAGAATTCTACTGAAATAGAAGGGTTTTAAGTAAACTCTCAATTACGTTGCAATTGCTAAAAGTACACATACTTATTCCTCTGTGCATTCTGAGGTGGCTACTGTATGCAGCGGATTTAAAAATCATCAAAATCTGTACTAGTTGCCCAGGGTGGCTATAATAATCTACCACAACTTGAGTTCTTTAGTGTAACATAAATGTGTTCTCCCACAACTTTGAAGTCTAGAAGTTTAATACCAGGGTGTCAGCTGGGCCAGGCTTCTTCTGAGACTCTTAGCAGATTCTTTGGCTCGTCCTAGCTTCTGGTTGTGGTCTTCAGTCTTCGGTGTTCCTTGGCTTGCAACGGCATCACTCTAATCTCTGCTTCTGTCGCTGCATGGCCTTCTCCCTGGGTGTCTATGGATCTTCTCTTCTTATAAAGACATCAATCATATTGAATTAGGGCCCACTTTAATCTTAACTTGATTACATCTGCAAAGATGCTATTGCCAAATAAAGTCACATTCCCAGGTACTGGGGATAAGGACTTCAATATATCTTTTTGGGTGACACAATTCAACTCCTAGCAGTCTGTCCTCTGAATGGCAGCTTCTGTAGGTAATCTCCTTTATAAACATAATATAAAAATAATGTGGCTTAAAACCTAGATGACAGGTTGATAGGTGCAGCAAACCACCATGGCACATGTTTACCTATGTAACCAACCTGCACATTCTAGACATGTATCCTGGAACTTAAAATAAAAAATAAAAATAAATTAAAAATTATAAAGCAATTGAAAAAAAATAATATGGAGTGCCTCTGAGTTGATCCCTTGATGCTTTGAGTGATGCCTTTGGAGTCAACCAGGAATTTCAAAATGCATTTAGGACATTTTTCCTTTTGGTTAAAAAAAATGGCCTCTAACCTATTTGGAACTGAGACTCTCTCTGGGATCTGCTGGCTTGGGAGAAATGCCAATCCTAGCCATTCTCTCACATCAGCTTAGAAGGTTCTATGTATTCATTTTTTAAGTAAAACAGAAAAAAAGCTGAATTGCATTTAATAAATTATATCAATATTGCCTTCTCTTTGAAATAATAAGAGGCACCATGAAGGACCAACACTGCAGCTGAGAATCACTAGTACCAAAATATTTTTCTGTAGGAATAAATATTTGAATATATATTAGAAATTAAGTGATCCAAGTCTTAGATATTTTTCTTCTGATAAAGTCTATTATCTATTCTTCCTTTTGCTTCAGTTGTCTATCTTAAAAAATGCTTTTAATAATGTCTGTGAGGCAGAAAAATTACCCACTCTGAAAATGGCATTATGATAAATTATTTTATTTTTCAAAGAAGCATCAAGATAAATTTGAGTAATTTTAACATACCAATTATTTTTAAAGATAAATAGAAGGGTATCTTTGAATGAATGCTAAAATTTTGAAATAAATCTCTTAATCATTTTGGACATGAACTTGAATATTGTTTTGTAAAATTTTCATTTACACACCCATTAATTATTCAACAAATATCACAAAAACTATTTTTCTCAAGAGTTGAAACTTTTCTTCTCATAAATGTGGGTCTATCTTATGTAGATAAGGGGCAAAAATCTGTTATTTTCTTTTGGCCCAAAATGCCCCAAGCTTCCCATTAAGGGGCTGATCTCATTAGATATCACAGGCTCTGTCATTAATTGTGTGACCTGGGGCAACTTCCTTAGTCACTCTGTCTCTCTTTCCATGTATTCTGAAATAAAGGGAATTGGATTAGATTCTTTTCAAGCCATGAAATGTCAGTTTTGAAATACTTGTGGATAGTCTTGATTTACAATAACACACTTGGACAGTTCAGTATTTAGACAGAGCTTAATGAAAGGGATGCAGAGAATGGCAGAAGCACACAAGGCTGATTCAGGCATAAAAAATTATACGGTGAGCCAGAGAGGCACACCTGCCTTCTTTCTGGGAAAAAAAAAACGTGTGTGACTAACCAATAATCCACCCCAACATTTACAAGGGCGATTAATTAACTGGGAATGCATGATTCTTGAATGCAAACTTGTTTTTATGCAATGTGAGTCATGCAATACAAATTAATGTTGTCTTATAGAGGTGCAATTCTTGTGAGTTGATGCCAAACAGCCAGCAGTCTCCCATTGCCCCATCTTTTCTTAAAGGAGCAAAAGGAGTAGATTAGACTACAACAAATCTCATCATTTCATGTCAAACCTGCCTCATGCTACAGCTCATCCAGCCTGTGCCATATTTTATCACTGTCACACACCCTGGCTCAGTCATTATGCCCTTAGGTGTCCAAAGGTATTTAGAAAACAACAAGACAACTTCATTAAGATTGGCACGGCACCAAAAATCCAGATGCTGAATGCAGTGTGAACAAGAGGGCTGGCACAGACAAGTATCTGGCTCATTAGATGTCTAGGGTGATCACAGCCATCAGCAGGTGTGTCCAGCACCCGTCAGGGATGTGTCACCTAGTGGGCTGTGATTTAGGAGGGGGACAGTGAAATAGTACAACAGAGATGACTGTTGTTGAGGCCAGTGATGGGGACTGATTCTCGATGGTGCTTGGCAGTACCTCAATTCATTTCTTATACATTATCTTATCTTCCCTATCACGCCCTTCAGGGTGTCTCAGATGTACTGCATCGGGATTAGCAAAGTGTTCATTGTGACCTCAGCTAGTCAGGGGCAGAGCTCAGACTAATACCAGATCCCACGATTCAGATACCTTAACTTTTCTAAACTTGCTTAGATAACACATACTTCACCTGTAAGGTAATATACAGATACTTTAGATCCATATGGAAATATGTTGCCTTGATTATCTAGATATTTTAATAAAACATGTTATCTAGATATTTTAGTAACATTTAATTATCTAGAGATTTGAACAAAAGTTAAATTATATAAATATTTAATAACATTTCTTTGATTTTTATTGTTATTGAAAAATTGCTTCAGTTCTCAAAATTCTGTATTAAACAAAATGAAAAAAATGAGCAAAGAAAACTAGATAAATAAATTTTAGTATTGCACTCTAGATAACCTACACTAAGCCAGATAAATGGGGTGGAATTAAGACAGCAAACCATCAAGACTAAATATATCTTTGGATAAGTTATTTGAAGCAATTAAATGATCTTCAAGAAATAGCATCAACTTAAAGATATAATTAACACCAGGAGATAAATACATAACTTCTCCAATACTTATTTTCCCAGTCACCTTGACAAAAGCCACTTTTACAGTATAGTCAGAGGAGTGGAGAGGGCCAGAGCTGGGTGTAGGCCTACGGGGAGACATGGACTGGAGAGTTTTTAGACTTGCATAGACTGATGAGCTTTCAGAGATTTTGCGAGATTTCATAAAATCTTTCTGGGCCTAAGTTTTCTCACCTGTAAAATGAGGGTAGAGATGAAACAACTACATAAAGCACCAACCCACAGCAGATGCTCAGTCAGCACTACCCACACACTGACCATTGAAAGCCCAGGTTTTGCAATTGGTGGGACAGAAAGGTATTTCCCCCTCTGATCTTGAAGCCTTTCTCTGGTACATTATCATGCTTGGTCTTGATTTACAGTTAACTAATTTCTCATCATGCCTTTTGATAAGCTGGTAAACTTGTTCATGTCAGCGCCGCATCGTCATCATTTTTGTTTTTGTTTTTATATTCCTGTAGCAATTCACTGGTGCAATCAGTGACTTATAGTATATGCTCAATAAACTGTTGTATGGAATCATGGAATTTGTAATGTACATTTTTAACAATAAAATTATGTAAAATGATTCAATTACATCGAATCTAAACTTACATTTCTTCACATTTTATTTTATTTGGGAGAAAATGGAAACTTTTTGGAAATACAATAAAAACTTTAGATAGTTACATCACAAGCCTACCGATCTCTGACTCTAGGGTTTGAAAACATAAAACCTAAAAACTCATACAGCAAATTTTGCAAAACTAGAGCTAAACATCTGTTCATTTTATGTAGGGCCTTAGGGCCTTAGGTAACTTGCTAGCACTATCAGTACCCAAAGCGTCAAGAGAAGAAGATGGGAGACAGATGGATGTCTTGCAATTTTTACTTAGTGTTTAAGGAAATTAATTTTTCCTCATTATGCACTGACACAAAATATAGCTTTCACAAATAATTAGTTAGAAAATTAACTCTTCTACATCAAGGGCACATGTTAAGTCTTAAGGATTTTTTTAACCACAGTGAATATATTTTGTCATGATTCCTGAATTTAAGGCAATTAGGAACTGATATGGAGATTAGAGCAAGACAAACAGGTGAAATCACATACATGCCACTTGATCCTTAGTGTTTATTCTAGAGGACACTCAGTTCCTTGGATATTAAATAAATTTGTGTGAGTATGAGATAGCTGGAGAGGAGCTCAAATCAGGGTGTTCATCTCTGTCTCTCTTTCCTTCTCTCTCAACTATTTTTTCCATTGTCTTGTACTCTTTTCTTCCTTGGATCATGATCCCTTTTGGAGTCCCCTCCACTCCCTAAGTGTTTCTGAGTTCCACAAGAACTGCAAGGCTTCCCTCATGGATTATGGCAATTTGGCTTCTGGTACTGACCCAAGCTGAAATAAATAGGTGTCACTGGGTGAGCAGGCAGCCTCAGATTGGAAAGACTCTTCAGACCTCATTTTGCACCTCACTAAGCACAGCAGGTTGGCTCAGCTTTAACTCATGCAAATGAAAAACAAAAGCTGCAGGGCTGATTTTCTTTGAACTTCAGGGCCCTACCTGTAAACAGCACTTAGTTCCCATAGTCACAGACAGGTCAGGAATTTGATTGTTTAACATTCCTCAGAATTTATGGCCTTCGTCTTGATGAGTGAGATCACTCAAAGGAACACTCCTGGAGCAATAGTTTCGAGAATTATTATCACAGCATCTGTTAACACTAATGGCTGCAGGATGCCTGCAGCAGTTCAGAACGATACCCATCGGTATGTGAAAGGCACAGGTAGGATCCTTCGTAAACTCTAACTTGATGCAGACATATTCCTCTATAAACAACATCGATCTCTGGGACAGAAATGAAGAATGTCAGAAAGGATGAGCTCTTGGTCATTTTGTCATGCTGAAGTTTGGGCAGCGATTGAAGAAGGAAGGCTGGGTAGAGGGTCCAGGATTGAATCCTATTTGGAGGTGTGAGTATTGGGTTAGGTGCTGCCTTCCTCTGCTACACCCATTGCTTGCAAGAATCGCCTTGCACAGCAAGCTCAGCCTTGCCCAGACCCAGAGGCAATATTGGCCCCACCTGGCTCATGAGAGCAACTTCCAGACCTGGGCAGAAGGCCAGGAGGTACGTGTGCCATGTAGGGTGGGCATTACATGAGAAGCTCATAAAGCCCAGTGCTTACATAGATGCCCAGGAAGCCAACCAAGGTCACTCTCAGGTTCATAAGAAAGTTCATCTCGGTGATGTTTTTTCACTGATATCTCTCTCTCTCTCTCTCTCTCTCTCACACACACACACACACACACACACACACACACAGAGGTTGGGGGACGGAGTTAGTAAAATACGAATTATTCAAAAAGTAAATGGGAAGGCCTCCATATGGCAGACCAAATGTAACATCCCAAGAATGAAAGCAAGGCCAGGGAGAAGTGGGCAGGCACATTCGGACTGGACAGGTATGGATTAGGTCCAGCAGGGTGAGCCACAACACAGACTCAACCACCTTATGCAAGGTCAGAAGCAGAGTCAGATACTAAGGAACAAGATTTCTGGGAAGCCTGCAATGACAGTCTTCAGCAGTATCTAAACAAGACGGAGGTGGCAGGACTGGGTAAGAACAGAGGTGGCAAGACCAGAGTCATGACATGCAAGGCCAGGCTGATGGCAGCTCTTGCATTCCGGCTCTACCATGCTTGAGTCTGTTTCCTTGAGTAAATCAACTCCAACCTTTGGCCTGTATCCTTCCTCTTTAAAACGTAGTGGATTATACCTAATTGGCTGGGAAATAATCTAGGTAGAGGGCCTACTAGCATAATGCCTGCGATGTTATAGGCTCTTAATAAATACCAGTTTACTTTTACTAAGTCAATTTCCTGTTGTTTATGCTACAACCTCTGCTTATAATTAGGATTGATTTCGGAGTGTGAAAGTGACCTAGACCTCTGAGGGGTCTAGACCAGAACAACACCTGGGAATCTCACAGTAATTTATGGAACTCATTAAAGTCACTAATAAACATAAAGACCTCACCCCCCAAAAAAGTCCAATAACTTCTTGTTTTAAATTAAAATGTAGATTCATGTAAAATATAATTCAAACCTATGACCTGATAAGATGAGAATATTAATTTGCATCATTTTCAATACAAAGCTGTCACAAGAATTTGAGTTGTAAGATAGCTTGCAAGTTTTAGTGGAAAAAGTACAGATGTTGAAGTTACGGGTTCACAGTCCCGAACCTATAATACTGAATATTGTTTTAGTGTCTGTGTCAACTACAGACAACCAAGCCCTGCTTCCCTGCTACATACACAAATACGTCAGCACACTTCCAGGAAGTTCCTCTCCCTGGAAACTTTCAAAAGGCTATTTTTTCTTCTTCTTTTACTAATTGTTATTATTATTACTATTATTTATACAGGGTCTTGCTCTGTCTCTCATGCTGGAGTGCAGTGATGCAATCACAGCTTACTACAACCTGGACCTCCTGGGCTCAAGAGATCCTCCTACCCCAATCTCCCAAGTAGCTGGGACTATAGGCGTGCACTATCATGCCTGGCTAACTTTTGCATTTTTGTAGAGACAGGGTTTCGCCATGTCACCCAGGCTGATGTCAAACTCCTAGGCTCAAGCAATCTGCCCACCTCCACCTCCCAAAGTTCTGGGATTACAGGCGTGAGCTGTTTATTGTTAGACTGATCTTTAAAAAAAGTTTTTAGAGCTTATTTGTTAGTGTAGCACCTATTGAACATGAAGTGTAATATGAGATACACTTATTTATAAAACTTGTATATATAGAGACAATGAGTTTTCTTCTTTTTCACTGGAATGGGGAGTGAGAGGGCTTTTAGCTACTCAGAGAAAAATATTCTTGCTATATTCCTGTTCCAAACAATGATCTGTGAAGCCTTAAGTATAGAAAGCTCAGAAGCTGTATTCTTCTACTGAGTTTGCCCAGAGAACATCTGCTTCAGAAGTATGGAATGCTTCATTTAGCCTTGGTTGTATCTCTAGACATTGGTCTAAAAATCTTAGCTGGAGTGTTTAAATGGGTCAGAAGTGCCCTTGGCCACTAAAGATTTATGTTAAAGTCTTATTTTGTGTTTTGTAAATGTGCTGTACACATGAGTTTTTAAAGCATGAATAAGTTATTAAATGATCAAATATAAGAAACAGAAGATATAATTACATAAAAACATTATCTTACCCAAAAACTGTCACAGAAGAGAGAATTCTGATACAAATATACTGGTTGATTAGGGAGCATGGAATTAATTGCATTTAATTTGTCCAGAAAGTGAGTTGATATCACTACACTAATCAAATTCAGATTTCTGCCTGCTGTTCCATTTCTTTCTCATTCAGAGTGATGTATTTCAGATATATGTTCTACTCCAGGACAATGACTTGTCTGCGAGTTCCCTGGCCTGTCAGGAGACATTAGTGACTGTTGCTAAAACTGCTTCTGCCTCAAACAAAACAATACCTGTATCATGGGTTCCTGGTCAGAAGGAAAAAGGAAGAAAACACTGCTGAACTTCAAACAAATATACATATGCGCTAAAATTGGATCAGGATAGAATGTAGCTGAACGTTTGAAATATCATATGAGAAAATGAAATCCTGGACATCTGATTTGCAAAGTTTTGCTTGTGCTTTTTAAGTGAAATAAGCATCATCTAACAAATAAGACATAGCAATGATAGAAGGATAGATGAAAACAAACAAACAGACAAACAAAATCTGAGGCGGACATCCAGGACTCATATCTAGATGATCTCGCCCCATTTCTTAAGCACTTGGAGCCTAGTTTCCCCATCTGTGACACTGAGATTTGTATATTACCTATCTCACAGGGTGGCGTGAAAAGTATCTGAACTCATTCAGGTAAAGTTCTTAGCATAGTGCATAGCACATGGTTAGAGCTCAACACTATTTAGCTAAGTGTGACTATTACCTTATTGATTTACTTTGGGTAGCATGAAAAGTGCTGACATATGACATACTCAGCCATCAAAACTATTGAAATTATTGAATAATCAAATTATTGATTGAATACTCCAATTTTTTTCCATGTCTCTGATGTTTTGCAATTGAAAGGACACCTCACCAGCTTAAGATCATTTAAGTTTCACAGAAACTCTGCGGGCTAAGTCAGTATGAAATTGAATTTGGGGGATACTAAGCGTCCTTTTTCCAGTGATCTGAAACTAGAGAGCATAAGCAAAGCAACATCCTAGGAAATTCAGGAGCTCTCACGAAACAGCGAATCAAAGGCAGCAATTCAGAAATGAAGCCAGAGAGTAACTGCCTGCATGGCCTCCACTATATAATAAAACCATCATGTTCACCCATGAACGAGGCTACTGGAACTAAATGATGGAAATAAACTGGGGGTCAAGTTCTACCTATTCAGTTTCTCAAGCTCTTTATATAGTAAAGAGATGCCTCCAGAATCCTGCCTTAGCAGAGGCAAGCAGGGAGATACAACCACATCAGTGTGGGAGTGAGAAAGACCTGGCCTTTCATCTAATCCCTGGTACTTTTTAGCCGTGTGACCTTGAACTCGTTACTTTACAAACTCTAAAATCCTTATGTTTCCCCTTTATAAAATGTGCGTGACATTACTTATAAATTTGTTGCAAAAACTAGGTGAAATCACTTGTGTAAAGAGCTTAGTGTAATGCCGAGTGTAATAGTGTCATATGTATTAAACACCACTTAGTGGTAGTTTTCACAGAGTTCTTTATTATTTTATAACTCAATTATAAAAATAAGAGAATTTTGAAGTCTAAGATTCTCAGTCAACAAACCACTTTGCAAACCACCATAACAGAGTATTTCCATGTGCTATGTATCACAAAGAACCTCTTGTCAAAGGGGCACTTATGTACCCAGGAGACCCGAACTCTGCTGTAACCACCCCAGTGAACCTCCTAGCATCACAGAAAAGGCCTGGCAAGCAGACAATGCTGGGGCCTTCACAGTATGTTTCAGAGGCAGTGAGTATTTCAGACCATGTTATGGGAATAGTCAAAACTTCAGACCCAGAAATATCTTAAAAGTAGTTGGAGGATGAGGAAAAAAGTGGGAAGAAAACATGAAACGAATTGTGTTTTATGTGCTTATTGTGTTAGAGATTCTATATTAATATTTATAAATTATATTATTTAATACTCAATCCAGTGGGGTATGTCTTGCTCTGATCTTGCTCACAAGGAAACTCAAGCTCTAAAACTAAATCATGAGGCAACCCACTACTGAGAGGATAAATTGAGGTAAATTAGTACTGGTTTCTGAAACTAACCTTTCTAGAAAAGAAAGTAAAAGTCTTTTACTTTTTTCTCATCCCGTGTAATAAACAGAGATTACAATATTTGTAGCTTCAGGTCAGAGCCCAGAGAATCTAGATGAAGGAAAATGTGTCTTCACTGAAGCTGTTTTTGACTCGTCCTTATAAGCATTCTTCTTCCTTGGTTGCCAAGACACCTCATCTTCAACTATTGCTTTATATTTCTATCTCTCCTTCTCAGGCATCTTAGCTTCCTCTTTGCCAACTCCACCTCTAACCCAATGGCCTAAGGATCCTACAGGCTCTGCTGGACCAGGTGATCCAGTTTCCCCAAGTATCTGACAGCAGTATGTGAGGATGAAAATACACACTGTGCTCAGGGGAAAGGGAAGGGCCAGAATACTCCCTCTGAGGAGGGTGATAGGGAAAGAGTTACAAAGTCAGAAGCCACAAACACTAGGAGAAGATGAGAAAGCTCACCACGAGACAGATAGAGTGTTGCTGGCTCTGGTAGGTTAAAGCAAGACCGTGCAACTCTGGTGTCCCCAGGAGCCTTCCTCTGCATTTAGTCCTTGGGGAATTCATTGGCACACACCCCCTACTTTAACCACCATCTGGGTGGTGATGACTCCAGTCCATAGATGCTATGTCTAACTGACCCCTGGGTGTCTCTCTTTTGATGTCCAGATGGCAACACAAGCTTATTAACTTGACTCCCAACCCCAAAAGCACCTTCTCCTTCCTCCTTCATTATTTTCTCTTCCAAATTCTGTTTTCTGTTAATGGTGCTATGAGCTACTCTGTCACAAAGGCAAGAAACATTGGAGTCACCCTCATCAAAGTTTTCTTCTATTACCCCACATTCAAGTCACCCAGTTTTCTTGGTTTTAATTCAGGCATGGCTCCATAACCTTGCCTCTTCTCGCCCCTGCCACTCTCATAATCCCAGCCCTGGGCTGCAATAGAATCTCGGCCTAGAGAGCTGGCCTTCTGCTGCGGGTTCTTCACATTCCAGTCCCACCATCGTCCGTGCCCCAGGGTGTCCTCACAACAGGTACCTATGGCCACGTCCCCTTCTGCTTTCGCTCAACCAGTGGCTTCCCACTGCATCTACGCTGGAAGGTCTCAGCTCCACTTTCATGTCTGTCACCACCTAGTCCTCCTGGCTCAGCCCTGGCTTCTGCAAAGTGCCAGTGTTTCTCAAACCCACCATGACCTTTCAGGAGCTTGCCTTTGTGCAAACCAAGATCTGTGTCCTAGGATGTCTTCTTAATGACAATGTTGCAGATTGTTTATTGGACACTCTGCTATTTTCTTGACTTATTGTCTTTCTTAATTTAGACAATAATCTTCCAGAGTACCTTCTATTACCACCTCCTGTTCTCACAGATGAAAAGCCTGAGACAGAAAGATTAAGTAAATCCCTCAAGTCCCAGGACTAGGAAGAACCAGAGGCCAGATTCCAAGCCCTGCAGTGTGTCAGGAGCACTGGGACGTTCGACCCTGCACGGCCTCCTTCTCCACAGCTGCCTACTCCTCCTCACCCTTCCACAACCAGGACGGTGCCATGTCTGAAAAGCCTTCATCTAGTTCACAGGCAAAAATCAAGAATTCTGCCTGCTGCTTTCAAAATACTTTGTTCCTTCTCCATATTACTTCATAACTCCCTAATATTTTTTGTTTTTAATGCCTATCAAACATGAGCTTGTAGAATGATTTTAATTAATCTTCTTGTCTTAACAGAAATTGTCCAGGTGACCTTGTATAGAAAAAGAAATCAATAACGTTTATTAAGGTGAGTGAATGGCTATTGAAACCATGAATAGAAAAATGAAAGAATGAAGTATTGCTGGTTTAAATTCTTATTTTCCTAGATCTGGGGTGTTGACCCTGTTGTTCAGCAGTTCATGTTTTTCCCTTTCTTTTCCCATTCTCTCCACACACCTTTCTCTAGCTCTATTTGCTCTTTTTCAGAGATGATGGCTTTTTTACCCTATTCTCTGAAATCAATAAAAGATGTATACCTATGTAAAATAATTAAGTTTAGGGGCCACGTGTGGTGGCTCACGCCTGTAATCCCAGTACTCTGGGAGGTCAAGGTGGGCAGATCACATGAGGTCAGGATTTTGAGACCAGCCTGGCCAACATGATGAAACCCCATCTCTACTGAAAATACAAAATTAGCCGGGCATGGTAGTGTGCACCTGTAATCCCAGCTACTTGGGAAGTTGAGGCACAAGAATCGCTTGAACCCTGGAGATGGAGGTTACAGTGAGCCAAGATTGCACTCCAGCCTGGGTTACACAGAGAGACTCTGTCTCAAAAAAATAATTATTATTAAGTTTAGTTTACATAGGAATGCTGATGTTGGAACATGAGATCACAGGTTGGTATTACGACCCGGAAACACCACTGAACTGACAAAAGCATCCTCAAGAGCCCTGCTCCTCCTTGACCATGCTCCACCTACCATCCTTACCACTCCTCCCACAATTTCTCCCCCTGCTAGCACCACACTTGCCTCTTGGAATGTTCCTCTTTCCATGACTATAAAGCACACTCCCTCTTGCTTCAAAGACTCAGGAAGGTCCATGTATTCCACCCGGGGAATGGCTTCCCACTGCCAGCTTGGATGGCAACTCCCCGGCCACTTCACATAGCGACATGACATGACATGACTCATGCTTGGGAATGGGAAAAGTCATTCATTGCAAAACCCAAAATGAGTGCTTCCCTCTTCAGTGTAAATAATAACTTGTTTCTCCATCCAGTGGCTTACCTGCAGGATGTATATCCAATCATCTTAGAGGTTGCACATTCCCATACACAGCCATCTGTCTTTAATTTCTGTTTGAACTGAAAGCTACTAGTGGGCAAAGATTGTGTTTATTAAGTAGTCACTTACTTTAGATGACCGATTAGCTGCCAGAATTGCCTGGCTCTACCGTGCAAAAATAACATGCTGTATTTGATTCCTCCTGGTGCTGTGATGGATTTACTGGAGAAAACAGTAGCTCAACATTGTACAATACCATGTATGATGTGTTATTTCCCTAAATATTTTAGCTCTGGGTTCAGAAAAACATTTTACCCGGACACAATCCATTTTCTTAAAATATAATTGTTTACTGAGTGGCAAAATCACTAGTCTCTCTATATATTTGGTAACCTAGACATGGATTACTGAAGTCAGATTTTTATTAAAAAAAAAAAAAGAAAGGTAAGTTGCAGAACCACATCTTGTATAAACACAAAGTGAATGCCTTTGTATGATGCAAAGCAATGGAAAGATGAGTACAGCATCTGCAGAGTTCATTCACCCCACCTTGCTTTTAAAAAGCAGGTGTAAAGTCAGCTGGCTCTTGCCAACACTTGTCTAGCCCATGATCATGCGAGTGATTAAGTGCCTGTCTTAATAACCCACTGATAGTGGTAGTAAAGTAAGAATAATTGATGATAAACATCTTAAGGGGTTGAAATCTTTGTAACTCTGTCCTGAAATGTTGATGACAGAAGCAGGATTTACTCAGGCTGCTTGAGTTCTGACTCTCCCAACAGGGTCAGGGACTCCTTGAAAAGGGGATTCCCCATTACTTCCAGCGTGTTTTACTTCCAGGCTTTCCAACTGACTGGGATTTCACTGGGATACAGCTATTGGCGGTTGCCTTGAGCGAATCCCACCGTTCTGGGATGAGTGTTCACTATAGAATTATTCATAATATTAAATAAGATTAATGAATATTACCTGGGATTTAAAACTGCATTTCAAGTAAAATATGAATACACGGCCAGGCGCGGTGGCTCACGCCTGTAATCCCAGCACTTTGGGAGGCCGAGGCGGGCGGATCACGAGGTCAGGAGATCGAGACCATCCCGGCTAAAACGGTGAAACCCCGTCTCTACTAAAAATACAAAAAATTAGCTGGGCGTAGTGGCGGGCGCCTGTAGTCCCAGCTACTTGGGAGGCTGAGGCAGGAGAATGGTGTGAACCCGGGAGGCGGAGCTTGCAGTGAGCCGAGATCCCGCCACTGCACTCCAGCCTGGGCGACAGAGCAAGACTCCGTCTCAAAAAAAAAAAAAAAAAAAAAAAAAAAAAAAATATGAATACACACATGCATCCATATTGACATGTGCTGTTGTGTGTAATGTGCTTAGAAGGGTGTCTGACTCCTTGTAATCGTGGTGCGTGTCCTGGAAATTCTCTCTATGGCTATCATCCCCACTTATTCAGAGGCGGACTATAGTGATGCTGTGCAAACACTGACTAAGGGCTACTGCCAACTAGTGCACATCCTGTGACCACTGAAATGTCCCAGGAGAGGAACCCACAGCAGCTTTCTTTATCCTTACACTAAATCATAAGAACAAAATTGACCTTAGTGAAACAAAACATAATTTATGGATTAAGTGACACCTGATTTTTGCATTTGATTTGAGAAATGTAAGCTTTGGTTAACACTGCTGCTTAAGCAGAGACATATAATCCTTCCCCTGGATTCAAATCTGACACTATTCACGTAATAGGGTAATTTCTCCTGTTTTTCTACTCTGACTCGGAGACATGACCCTTGTGTAATATTATGTTGAAACTAGCTTGGCCATCTGATTTCCCATTTGCATGCCCAATATTTGAAGCAATAAACTAGAAGAAACTTGGGACATAAAGGCTGTTCGATGCCAACAACATGACTACCCAGGTTCTCAAGGGTAAAAGATGCTGGAAAACAAAATTGAACGCAGTACTTCTATCAGCAGAGACTTATAGAATGACCACACCCTGACCTTCTGGGACAGAGTCCAATCACACCTGAGTTTCTGCACAGTCCCTAAATGTGCCCCTTACACTCCCAAAAGTATCCTCTTTAGGAAATGTAAACTCACGATAATTTTAATAAATGTTGGTAAAGTTTCCTTTGACTAATTAAGGATGAAAATCGATTAATCATCTTTTTTGGGGGAATGTTAGAGAAATGTGGGAAGAGCATTTTTTGCCATATCCGGCAAAAATTGTTAAATAGAAAATGAATCTAGCAGTTTTGTTAGTCTCAGTGACCTGGAAATTCACTTCTGTGGAGCACATGAATCCCAGAAGTTGTTATATTAATGAAGTGTGATGGTAATATGCTCAGCTTTAGCTATCATTTCTCCTCCTATCTCATGACTGTACTTTCAGGTGAATTTTATTCCTCACTTGCCTTCAATATGTCATGTTTTTCTCTTGTGTCTTTTCCTGTCCTTCTTTCCATCCCTAACCTTTAATGTGACCAAAGACTTGGATTAATCCTGTAATCACTTTATCGTTGTCACATAGGCCCACGCCTACAAGAAAGAACCATTTCACATAGGCTTATGCCTACAAGAAAGCCAGTCTATTGTTGGTTTTCTGTAAATGTTCCATTATAATGACAAAAACACAAGTTATTTTGGAGAGAAAACAGCTAATCTAACTTCCCATCTGGTTTCCAGGAAACATTATCCAGAAGCATTTCCCTTGAAAATGTTAAGTGTCTTCGCTGGTGACCAGGGTTGCTTTCAGCTTGATCATATTAGTTTTACTTCTTTTTCTGTCACTTTTCCCTTGCTTCGAGTACTTTAAATTTCCAATTAAGATAAGATTTATGGTTTGTTGAAATGCTCTTGTTCAGCTGCCTTTGCTCCATCTCATCTGAAAGGTTATATGTGGCTTCACTTAATGCCACTCAGGCAGGGAATTTCAATGTATGCTATTAGGAGCAGGAATCCCCTATTTCCTTCAGTGTTGTTTTGAGAAGGCTGAGAATGCTTGTGCGTGCCGCCTTTCACATGAAGGAACCAATGCACTATAACCGTGCTCTTCCCTTTGACAATAACAACAACCACCACAACAGAAGTCACTGTACTCTTTTAAGGACTAGATTTTTTTGGATGCTAAAAATAGGAAAATTAAAACTAAGAACTATGAATCAAAGAGCATAAAAAAATTAAGAGAGAAAGATAACAGTGATCATGCACTTTATTGATCGCAGAGGAACCCAGGCACTGTGTCATCCCTTTGATTCTGTGCCCTGTCTGACTGGTAGACTTGTCCCCATTTTTCTTAACTGATGGAACGTTTTTATTTCAATAAGGTAGGAAAAATAATCAAACTTTTATCTTAATCAGAAATGATCAGTTTTTTATGGGTTTGTTTGTTTGTTTGTTTGTTTTTTGGTTTTTGTTTATTTGTTTGATGGAGTCTTGCTCTATCGCCCAGGCTGGAGTGCAGTGGCACGATCTTAGCTCAGTTTAACCTCCACCTCCCAGGTTCAAGTGATTCTCCTGCATCAGCCTCTCGAGTAGCTGGGACTACAGGCGCCTGCCACCACATCTGGCTAATTTTTTTGTATTCTTAGTAGAGACCCCGGGATTTCACTGTGTTAGCCTAGGATGGTCTCGATCTCCTGACCTCATGATCCACCTGCCTCAGCCTCCTAAAGTGCTGGGATTACAGACGTGAGCCACCACGCCTGACCGATCAGTTGTTTTAATACAATATAGGCTGTTTAAGTTACGGTAAAAATAAATAAATAAAAACACACAACATAAAATATACCATCTGATAGAGTTTGGATATTGGTCGCACCCAAATCTCATGTTGAATTGTAATCCCTGGTGCTGGAGGTGGCAGCTGGTGGGAAGTATTTGGATCATGGGGGTGGATCCCTCGTAACTTGGTACTGATCTTCATGATAGTGAGTTCTCTGGAGATCTGGTCATTTAAAAGTGTGTGGCACCTTCCCATCCCCTTGCTTGTTCCTGCTTTCACCATGTGACCTGCCTGCTCCCCCTTCACCTTCCACCATGATTGAAAGCTCACTGAGGCTTCACCAGAAGCCAAGCAGATGCCAGCACCATGCTTCCTGTACAGCCTGCAGAACCATGAGCCAACTAAACCTCTTTTCTTTTCTTTTCTTTTCTTTTTGAGACAGAGTCTCGCTCTGTTGCCCAGGCTGGAGTGCTATGGCGCGGTCTTGGCTCACTGCAACCTCTGCCTCCCAGGTTCAAGAGATTCTTCTGTCTCAGC
This sequence comes from Homo sapiens, assembly GCF_000001405.40. Lineage (NCBI taxonomy): Eukaryota > Metazoa > Chordata > Mammalia > Primates > Hominidae > Homo > Homo sapiens. The sequence continues at coordinate 105,828,959 of NC_000013.11, forward strand.
CTCCCAAGTAGCTGGGTTTACAGGCGCCTGCCACCGCACCTGGCTAATTTTTTGTATTTTTAGTAGAAACGGTGTTTCACCGTGTTAGCCAGGCTGGTCTTGAACTCCTGACCTCTTGATTTGCCCACCTTGCCCTCCCAAAGCGCTGGGATTACAGGCATGAGCCACCGCACACCCAGTCAAACCTCTTTTCTTTATAAACTACTCAGTATCAGGTATTTCTTTATAGTAATGCAAGAACAGCCTAACACACCATCTTAGCCATCTTCAAGTGTAGAGTCCAGTAGTTCTAAGTATATTCCCATTACTGTGAAACAGATCTCCAGAACTTTTTCATTTTGCAAAACTGAAACTCTCTACTCACTAAACAAAGCCCCATATTCCACTTACCCTAGGTCCTGGTAGCCACCATTCTACTTTCTGTCTCTATGAATTTAACTACTCCAGGTACTTTATACAAGTATAAGTATATAGTATTTGTCTTTTTGTGACTGGCTTATTTCATTTAGCGTAATGATCTCAAGGTTCATCTATGTTACAGTATGTCTTAAAATTCTTTTTCTTTTTAAAGCTAAATAGTATTTTATTATATATACTTGCCACATTTTTTTAAATTCATTCATCTGTCAATGAACACTTAAGTTGCTTCCACCTTTTCACAATCATGACTAGTGCCTCTATCAATATGCGTGTACAAGACCCTGCTTTTACTTTTTTTTTTTTTTTTTTGAGACGAAGTTTTGCTCTTGTTGCCCAGGCTGGAGTGCAATGGCAGTATCTCGGCTCACTGCAACCTCTGCCTCCCAGGTACAAATGCTTCTCCTGCCTCAGCCTCCCGAGTAGCTGGGATTACAGGCATGCGTCACCATGCCTGGTTAATTTTGTATTTTTAGTAGAGACAAGGTTTCTCCAGGTTGCTCAGTCTGGTCTCAAACTCCTGACCTCAGGTTATCATCCTCCCTCAGCCTCCCAAAGTGCTGGATTACAAGTGTGAGCCACCTTACCTGGCCAATTCTTTTGGATATATACCCAAAAATTGGACTTGCTGGATAATATTAAAATTCTATTTTTAATTTTTTAAAGAACAGTCAACTGTTTTCCCTAACAGCCACACCATTTTCATTTTACCTTCTTACTAATAGTACACAGGGGTTTACATTTTGCACATTCTTGCTATCACTTATTTTCTGTTTTTTGTTTGTTTGTTTTGTTTTTCATAGTAGCCACCTTAATTGGTATGAGATGGTATCTCATTGTGGTTTTGATTTGCATTTTTCTAATGATTAGTGACGTTGAGCATCTTTTCACATGCTTGTCCATTTCTATAACTTCTGTGGGGAAGTGTCTGTTCAATACTTTGCCAATTTTTAAATTATTTTATTTTACTTTTTTGGTGGTGAGTTGTATATTTCTTCATATATCATAGATATTAACCCTTTATCAGATATATCATTTGCAAATATTTTCTATTATCCATGGGTTGCCTTATCACTCTATTGATTGTGATTTTTTATTTACAGAAGTTTTAAATTTTGATACAGTTCAACTAATTTAATTTTACTTTTGTTGCCTGTTGCCCATTGATATGGTTTGGCTTTGTCCACACCCAAATCTCATCTTGAATTGCAGTTCCCATAATTCCCATGTGTCATGGGAGGGACTAAGTGGGAGGTAATTGAATCATGCTGGTGGGTCTTTCCTGTGCTATTCCTGTAATAATGAGTAAGTCTCACGAGATCTGACGGTTTTACAAATTGTTCCCCTGCACATGCTCTCTTGCCTGCCGTCATATAAGATGTGACTTTCCTCCTCATTCACCTTCTGCCATGATTGTGAGGCCTCCCCAGCCATGTGAAACTGTGAGTCCATTAAACCTCTTTTTCTTTATAAATTACCTAGACTTGGGTATGTCTTTATTAGCAGTGTGAGAACAGACTAATATACCTGTATTTGAAGAAAACGGAACGATATTCGTAGGAATCAAATGACTTTTCCAAAGTCAGACTGCTATTAACAGGCAGAGTTCAAATATGAGTCAAAGTCCACCTGCTATGGAATCTCATATGCCTTCTACTATCCTTCTCAGCTTCCATAAAGATAAAAATACATGGGAGGGTGTTGCGCAAAAGAAAGTGTCAAACTAAAGAAAGTTTGAAGATATGAATAACAGTTGTAGGAAATGAGAACAAACTCATGAAAGGAGAAAAAAAGAACAAGAATGCAGATATGAGCAATGGATAATGAAGCAGAAAGAAGTGTGCCCACAAATGATCACTATAGCATCATTTATATTAGAAAACTTTCTAAGTGTTCAGGAATTACACTGTTTAAGAATATACAGTGATTGAATCTTACAAACACTATTCCATTGATAAAATAATATTTTTAAAAATACAAAAAGGGACACTGTAGATATATATACCCTGAACCCACTCAGCCCTCCCCCTTGTTTTAGAGCCATTGACATGGGATTAACCCCAGCACCCAATCAGCACACTCCCATCTCACTTGCCACAGGAATTGGTTTAGCAAGCAAATAAAGCTGAACCAATAAGCACAAGGCATTCACTCCCCACGACTCTGAATATAGAGATTATTCAGGAGTAGCAGTAAAACCAATGTCTGTCTAATCATAAGAAAGTATCCCTCTCCCTTTTAGTTACATAAGCCAATCACTTCTTATTGTTTAAGACAGTTTTTGTCACTTTCTGTTACTTGTAACTGAATACACTGTACATAATACAAATAACTTACTTAGAAAGTTGATAGTAGATTGCTAAGAAAAAAATTTAAAGTCAAAAAATCAAAATAATGCATGGTATATTGATGTCATTTTGCTCTGAACATAACATAAATCCCTATAGCTAATAATATTAAAAGTATGCAAAATATTAACATTCTTGGAGAAGAGGTATTAGGTAATATGTTTTGGGGTTTCTTTATATTTCAAAACTATTCAGCATCAAGGATGTATTTATTTTGTAATTAGTGATAAAACCATGGTTCTATATATTTCATAATTATTAACTAATTTAATATTTACAACAGCACTATGAGAAAAGTTTGGTGATTGGGAAACTAAGATACAGCGGGATAAAATAACTCCACCAGGGCCATTCAGCAAGCAAGGGGGCAGCAGACAGAGTGGAGCCCAGGTGGGCTGTTTCCCACTCTGCAGCTTAGCTTTATCCCTCTTCCATAGCCTTGGCTCCAGTTAACTCCCTCAAGCACTGTCTTCTGCACCAAAATAGTTTATCAAAGTAGTTTCCCAATAAGGCAAAATAAACAGAAGCATTTATATACTCTGCCAGATAAATAAAATGTTATCTCTCTGTAATTGTGAACAAAATCATAACAAATTATTAAAATTGATCAAATATCATTAGATCTACCAGGCTTTTTTGCCAAAGGGAGACTTGGGAATCTGTGAATGATGGTTGAGTCAAACATGGAGCAGCTGGTCTGTGGCCTGGGATGGGGCAGCCCCACCAGCCAGACAATGTGTGCCTGGACTTGATGGGGATGATGCTAGTAGGTGTTGAGAAAAGACAGGGAAGAACTTGAGAGACAAGTAGGTGGGGAAGAAACAGAAGCTGCTGTTTTGGGGGTAGACTCAACACTTTGATGTGGACATGGAGTAAGCAGCAGAGAGAGAGCCTACCAGGGAACAGGCGGTCATCACAGGAGGGTCCTGGCTCATCTCCAGCATGTGGTATAAGCTTGGCCTCTAGTTCCAGAAGAGACAAGCAACAGATGAACACGAGGAAGTCAGCGTCCTTAGGTAATGGACGACAAGGGTGGCTGTCGAGTGATGCCCAGGAGCAGAGAAAGAAGACAGGAATTCTACATGAGACAGGCATAAAGTGGAAGGGAAGATAGGAATCAGGTTGATGAGACTGGGATTGGTTCATGAGTTCAGAGAGGTGCTAGAATAACCTTGGCTGATCCATGACATGATATGGGATGCACTTGCAGAGGCAAAGACCAGAGGCCGTGTTGCATATTCCTCCCTGTATGTATGGGTGGGGATGAGGACAGTCCACTGCTCTTGGGGTATCTACTCAATGGAGCTGGAAAGGAGTTGTCTGTGCTTGCTCTGAGTGTCTTTTTTATACAGCTCTCAAAGATAAGGGTGGTCTCCCTTACCTTTTGGCTTGCCTGGTGCAATGCCTGTTGCTTATTAGTGATAAGAGCCTCTCCTAGATAAAAGATTAGAGGTTCTCCTAGATAAAAGTCCTACTGTATTGATTGAAAGAATGAAGTAATCTTTCCCCCTTTTTAGAAGACCAAAATGGATTTTCTAAGACTCTTGCCTGTTAGAAGTATGTTGGTTTTTCTCTTCCTTTCCTCTGTATTCCACAGCCACATGCTCACTGTAAAAGGCGAAATAATGGAAGAACAGTTTTATTCCAAGTGTGTACATATTGTTTTCTAAGATAATTAATGGATATAGTTAATCCTGTGATTTGGGGTCACTGCTGTGTTCTGATATTTCTCAAGGGATGCTGCCACTGAAGAGTGCTGAGTTTCAAACAGGCTGGTAAAATAACATCCTCTGCCCTCAAACGCCAGAGGAGCGGGTCTTTGATCCCAGAACTCATTGACGGAGGAAGAGTTGCCATAGAATGTGCTCAGCACGCGGGGTCAGAAGGAAGCTGGTGATTAACAAAGGCAAGAGGTCCAAATATGTATCCCTAGACATATGGCATTTCCCGGAACATGGTACAAGAAATTATAAGAGGCGGTGCACAAACTTTCTAAAATTACATTAGGAGTTATGTATTCTTCACACATTCATCTATAACTAGCACAATTCAACCTTGATTTCACAGATATTACTGTAGCACCCAGGCAGAAAATGCTGTGTTTACTTCAGTTATAAGCATTGAAATACTTTTGACAGCTTTGAAAGTAAAATCTCCAGGAATAAAACTTTAGGACTTCATTCTGAAAATGGGTTTTGGTGGTAGTCATTTTTGGTCTTACTTTTGATTGTTTTTTAACTATGTGAGGTTTTCTCACATCCTTCCCTTTAAATAACTTCTTATTACGCAACTATTAGCTGCAAAGTGAGTACTAAAAAATTCTGGTCAGGAGGTTTGATATGAGCAGCTGGTGGCAAAGTCACTTAAACTACTCAGAGGTGCAAGAAGATCCAAGTTTTTCCACCTAAAGCTCGCTGCCAGCCCCTTCCTTGCCCCAGTGCCCCCAGTTGTCCACAGCACATTGGCTGCTCTCCTTCCTACCCAGCCAATTCCCCAGAAAATCTTACGGAAAATTAGACTGGCTATTCCTTAGGTTCCCTTGTTTATTACTCTCGTTTTAAAATTTAATAACATAACTTACATTGTCCTTATGTTTAACATTCTCTTCTATTAATGAAACGTGATATTGTCACTCCTTTTATGTCACACTGATAAGAAAAACATAGGCCTCAGGGAATTAACAACAACTGTTATCTTATAGCTTGACCACACCCCCTTAAATGTTGCCTTTCCATCGTCCTTCACCCCTTTGTCATCCTTCTTATTTTCCCATTTTTCTTTTCTTCCATTGATATCTTTTCTACTCAATGACCTATCATCTATTTGCAAATTTATTCATGCCACTTAATTCCTTTATGTTAATTCTGCTTCAATACCAAAAACATACTTGGATTTTCAGGCATCCAAAGCCTCAATACATGTAGTTGCCCACAAAATTGCAACCAAATACAATGAATTAGAAAGCTACTAAGTATTCACCAGCTTCTATTACATCTAATTATCTGAGATCTTTTGAATTACAATGAGATTGTTCATAGTTTAAAACATGCAGGAGTGAATAATTTGTTAACATCTAAAATGCTACTAACTTTACTTGGTGCTGTTATTGGCTTACCTAAAGAGTTAGGTAACTTCATATTCTGCCACATGTGAGGCAAGCTCTCCAGTGAAAGCCAGCCGCTCCTACATCTTTCCTCAGCATCTTTCTACTGTAAAGAAATTGTCAAAATGTAAGGAACTTCACAGACCCTTCAGTGGGGAACTGATGGGTCTCTAAGAACAGTCGTAACTGTCTCTAATGAAACCCATGTATTGATAATTCTCAAGATGCTTTGTGTGAGTCATTCCTTCCTTCCAGTTCGCAGTCACCTTTCACACCTGCTGCTCTGTTATGGATTTTTACTGGGGCAAGTTTCTGATTCCAGAATAGCCTCTTAAATGTGCAGGGTGGAAAAAGGGGAATATTGGGTTATGTTAAAGAATCAATGGGCCGGGCGCCGTGGCTCACGCCTGTAATCCCAGCACTTTGGGAGGCCGAGGCGAGCGGATCACGAGGTCAGGAGATCGAGACCATCCTGGCTAACACAGTGAAACCCTGTCTCTACTAAAAATACAAAAACAAAATTAGCCGGGTGTAGTGGCAGGTGACTGTAGTCCCAGTTACTCGGGAGGCTGAGGTGGGAAAATGGCGTGAACCCAGGAGGTGGAGCTTGCAGTGAGCCGAGATTGCGCCACTGCACTCCAGCCTGGGTGACAGAGCGAGTCTCTGCATCAAAAAAAAAAAAAAAAAAAAAAAGGACTAATGAATTTGTGCTGTTGGGGTTCAGTATGTATTTGTCAGCACCTAACAAGACCCAGTTAGATCCATTTAAAAGAATACAAGGCCCTCTCTCAGTGCTGCTTCCCTTCTGGAGTATTTTGGTGATTGGTTGTTTCAAAGGAGACACAATCAGGGTCAGACTGGAGGAAGCTGGACACTGGAACCGGCTCTTCTGTTTCCACATCGTGACAGTGGCTTCCTCTTCCAAGGCATGCAGCAAAGCACATTTGCAGATGATCAAACATGCTCCCCACAAACGGCAAACAATGCTAGTCCTTAGGGAGCTGAAGAGAAGAATTCCAGAAGCCAGAGGATCTCTTTGCTCAGATCAAAATATCAAGGCCACTAGGCCTCCTGTGATGGGACACCTTGGTATTTCCATACCTGTTTTGTCTTGTTTGGTGAAAGCATCCTCCTTTGACACACGAAAGTCAGAGGCAACTTGGCTGGTCACTGCGGCAGCAGGCACAGAGGGAAAATCTAGATTCAAATCCACCAACAGCAGCAGTTCTGAGATGTGTGGGCAACTTATCAAACTTATTTGAGCCTCATTTTCCTTATCTCTAAAAAGCAACACCTAACTTTCAAAATCGTGCAATGTTTTACTGAGCTGAGAAACACCCAGCCCTCGGTAGGGGCTCAACAACTCTGCCTTTCTTTGCCTACATTTGCTTTGCTGTAATGTTGTTAATAGAGGCAACCTAATTAACCACTGCGTGTATTAATCTGAAATGGCCGGAACCCTCCAAAGCAACCAAAAAGGATTATCTCACTCTCTAGAAGAAAATCTTTATAATTCTCCTGCAAGCACTTTACAGACACATTACAGTACACATTATTAATGTTCACACTGGAAGCTTCTAGACTCCAGAGAGGATGCAACTGAGACCTGAACAAGTTCAGGGACTTGCCAAAGATGACAGCGACAAGAAACAGCAGAACTAGGGCTGGACCTGAGGTCTCTTGTCTCCCTCTCCTAACAGCATCTGTTAAATAGACCTTGTTTCTTACCCATTTAGTTACATTTTTCTAGCAGAAAAAAGGCAGATCAGGAGACAAAAATGCACATAAACAATCCCACCTTCGCGTGCACTCTTTCTATCCACACATGCGGACTCACTAGTGCATGGCTTAGTTGTGGATGATTCCACAGCTGTCAGATTCACACAAAAGCAACACTTGCAAACATTTTGTGATGTGGTTTTGTAATCCTTGCTAGAGGACTTTGGGCCTATAAAATAATGAATGGATCATGCTGAGGACTAAGAATAGTACTTTTATGTATGACAAATGTAATCCTGCAGAAAAAGAAAAAAAGACGGTTTTCATGTCACTTAAAATAAAATGTTACTCCCTTCCAGCAGCCTCAGAGCTTTAGCAAATGAGAACTTGGTACCATCTCTTAAGATCGCATACTTCTGTAACGTAGCGAGTCAGTGCGGCTTCTCTTTTCTGCTTGATAGAAGTATGTGTCAGTTTCTTTTTTGGAGGTGCAACCACAGAGAGCTGAGGCATGACCTGAATTAACAACCCCAGAACACAAATAGGGTGAGCTTCTCAAGTGACAAGAGCAGCACAAAACCAACTTCGGTTTCCACCCACAAAGCTCAAGCTTCTGCTTCACAAGGCCAGGAGAAGAACGTGGAGTCCTAGAATGGACTCAGAAGTGGCCAAATTATCCCACTTCTTCCTTGTTTTTTTTTTTTTTTTTTTTTTTTTTTTTTGAGATGGAGTCTTGCACTGTCACTGGGGCTGGAGGGTAGTGGTACGATCTCGGCTCATTGCATTCTCTGCCACCTGGGTTCAAGCAATTCTCTTGCCTCAGCCTCCCAAGTAACTGGAATTACAGGTGCCCACCACTGCGCCCAGCTAATTTTTTGTATTTTTAGTAGAGATGGGGTTTCACTATGTTGGCCAGGCTGGTCTCAAACTCCTGACGTCATGATTTACCCGCCTCGGCCTCCCAAAGTGCTGGGATTATAGGCTTGAGCTGCCATGCCCGGCCGATCCCACTTTTAAATATGATCATAGGGTTCTGTATAGTCATTGTGGCCAAGTCTTTGTCATCATTCCAACAACTCTGTGAGCGCTTCCTTGGAGTACCACTAGATATCTGTAATTCCCCAATGCTGTATGTTAAATTTTCCCCAGCCAAGCCAGGGGCAAGATTAACTAGTGAAAATGATGGCTCGACATAAGTGTACATGTGCCTCCAATTCCTCAGAAAGAACAATCATTGTCTTCAGGGAAGAGGTTCCCTAGACTCATTGTAAGCAAAAGGCCTGGGGTCAGATTGGAAACATGATTTCCATTTTGGGATTTTCTAAGAGAAATTCTACCTGGGACTGTATCAACAAGTCCAAATTGCTTCACCTTTAAATGGCAAAATTACCATGAATTTGATTTGGAGATATTTGAAATATTCAGATTATTTCAATCTCATTTTCTTTTTAGTAACCCCCCTCACCAAATGCTTTAAAAATAGCTTTAAATAAGTCTGAAAAATATCATTGTTTTGAGCAATCATGCTAAAAATAAAAGGTTATAGATTACCGTATTGACTTCCTAGGAAGACTTATGAAGGAGCTTCTAAATGGGGACTAATAAAAGAGAAAAAGTCATGTAAAAGAGAGTGGGTGAGAGGATGAGTTGGAGCTGGAAGCCACTTAGCTCAAGGTTTTTCTCTCCTTAGTCTCCAGTTTTATGGTTGTTGTTATGGTTGTTTTCTTGTTTCAATTTCATTTTAAAAAGCGGGAGGGAGGCCTAAGAACCGGTGGCGGAGGCCTGGATCCTATTTGGCGCTGAGGCACCCAGTAACGAAGGACATGTATCCTTTCTGGGTTTCATTGGCAGGTGTGCTGTGTTTCGTCTTCCTTTTGAAGTTCCACAGTGACTCACAGTTGGAGGCAGGCACCTAGCAGCAAGCTTCAGAGGAAAACCAGCATCTCATGGTGCCTTCTCAGTGGCCACAGCAACGGCAGACTGTGCATTTGGATGAACGTCTGGTCCTCTGAAGAAAGGCACAAAACACAGGCCCCCTCTCTCTTGACATAGCATCATCCCTCAGTAGGAGTGGCCCTAATAATGCTTGGAGATTCATGCAGCGAGTGTGATCACCCTAGATCTCAGCCACCCTAGATCCTCAGCCACTCAGCAAGGGGATAAAAGCTCCCTTGCTGGGCTCCGGCTCCCCACACCTGGCAGTGGGAGCAGCAACAGTGATATTCACCAACAGAAATCCCATCTGCCCCTTTGAGTCAGCACACATTGCCTCTCCGAGGAGCGTCCCCAACAACGGAGAGGTGCCACACATTCAACCCTTCACATCCTATTAAACACACGACAGTTTGCACATGTTAAACACACGCTCAGTCGTGGCCAGACCCAATTCTCTTTTTCTGAACTGCATCTGAATGGTTTATTTGAGCTCCACCCCAAACTGTAGCGTATTGATAGACAGAAAAACACAGCCTCATAACTGGGAAACTTAGGTCTCAGCTAACTGAAGATTCTCAGGAGAAAGTTTCAGTTGAGCTGTGTGAAAGTTTAGTCTTTTAACTAGATCATGAATCCATTATACACACACACACACACACACACACGTATAGTGGTGTCTGTAGTTACTATTTGGCAGACTGGGAAGCAGTTATTATACACACACACAAACACACACACATAAAATCTTTGTCTTAATATTTCTGAATGTTGATGTGTTTTTCACCCAATAGTTTAAGTACACTGTAAAATATCCCATCACACATTTGAACAAAAAATGGAATCCTGTGTTCAGACATATATTGGAAACTAAGTACTTGTTTCCCTTTACTTATCATTTGCATTCTTTCAGTGCTAGTGTGTTAATACTATATGAACATTCACAAAACCCCACTAGGACTGTACTGTAGGAATGCTTTATGCATGTGACAATTTAGCTAAGGTGATCTATGAACTCATACTGTTTTATACAATTTGAGCTAAACTGAACTCTTTGAAACTTGGAAACATTCAAGAATCCCACTTGTAAAAATATCCAGGGATTTTAAGTTTGTACTAAAATGACAGATTTATAATGAGCAGAAACAGCCATTTCTGTTCTGACTGCCATGTTTCTGACAAAAACAAAACTAGGAAGCACCTACCTCAGCAAAGCCAGTCACTCCTTGAAAGCGTGGGTAATTATTCTATTCAAGCCAGACACTTATCAGTCATCAAAAATGTGAACAGCTTTGATTGACAAAACAAGGTGCTTCCCTTACTCAAGTATAATCTCAGAATGCAAATTCCTTGATTTCTCATTTTCTGCTGGGTATTGTGTTACTGCAATTCATTGTGGAAACAACTGATTTTTCTTAGGTGGCTTTTTCACTTTCAAAGTACTTTAAGGAAAGGAAAATGCTGTGATTATTCATTTTCAGTTATTTAAAAAAAAAAAAAGCTCTGACCAATTTGCAAGACTTTAAAGAAATCCTGGAGGAACTAATTAGCATTCATTCACTCATTCATTCATTCGTCCCGAAAATAGTTATTTATTGAATACTTACTACATACCTGTAATCACTATTCTAGAAATGAAGGAACAGTTGTTGCAAATTATATGTGTATTTAAGACCCTTACATATACTGGTGAGCGTGTGAGGTGACTGATAACAAGAAAATCAGCAGTTGACAGGCTGTTTGGGAAAATATAATAGGGAGGTGTGAGGGAGTCTGGAAGCGCATGTGGTCTGAGGACACAGCCAGAGGAGGGCCTGAGAGGTGCACACCAGGGAGCCAGCATGAAAGAACCTCATACACCAGGTTGTGCTGGTGAGTTTGGATGGTTCCTAAGGGTAGAATGATGGGAGACTGCCATGAGAAGAGAAGAGAAGATAAACAGGTGGCAGCACCTTCCTGGGCAGTAGCCAAAGAAGGCATCTTTTTTTTTTTTTTTTTTTTTTTTTGAGACAGGGTCTCATTCTGTCACCAAGGCTGGAGTGCAGTGGTGCAATCTCAGCTCACTGCAACATCAACATCCTGGGCTCAAGTGATCCTCCCACCTCAGCCTCCTGAGTAGCTGGGACTACAGAGGCTCACCACCATGCCTGGCTTATTTATTTATTTATTTATTTATTTATTTGTTTATTTATTTATTTTTATTTATTTATTTTTTGGCGACGGGGTCTCCCTATGTTGCTCAGGCTGGTCTTGAACTCCCGGGCTCAAGTGATCTGCCCGCCTCAGCTTCCCAACGTGCTGGGATTACAGGCATGCGCCACTGTGCCGGGCCAAAGGCATATTTTAGGAAATAACATTTAAGCAAAGACCAGAAAGAATGGATTCAGGTTTGCAAAATGAGAGTGAAGGTGCCCCAGGCAGTGAGAACCCTGTAGGTGGAAGCTTAGGGTAAAGAAAAATTTTGTGGTCTGGAAAACAGAAAGACGATACATTAACTTCCTGCTGTTGACATAATAAAGTACCACTAGCTTGGTATCTTAAAATGACAGAAATTTATTCTTTCACAATTCAGAGGCTCCAAGTCCAAAATTAAGGTATCAACAGGGCCATTCTCTGTAAGTTTTGGGTAGAATTTACCCTTGCCACTGCCCAGCTTCTGGTGGTCTTTGGATCCCTGGTTTTCCTTGGCCTGCCGCCGCATCATGCTGATTCTGCTTCTATGGCCACGTGCTATTCTTCTCATGTGTCTGTGTCTTCACATAGCCATCTTCCCCTTCTATAAGGACGCTGATCATATTGGATTAGGGCCCACCCTAATGACCTCATGCTAATTACATCCAAAAAGACCCTATTTCCAAATAAGATCACATTCACAGGTACCAGTGGTGAGGACTTGAACATGTATTTGCAGCAGGGGAGGGAACAATTCAACCCATGACCCAGGGGCCCCCAAGGCGGGGGCTGGTGAGCAAGTTGGAAAGGGGTTTGGCTTTGTGGTGATGAGAATGGGTGTGGGCCACGGCATTGCAGCCTGTGGTGAGCAGTTAGGATTGTATTCTAAGTGAATAAAGAGCCCTTATATAAAGAAATAGCACCCTGAAGTTTGCATTTTTACATGGGTTTTTAGATGCTGGGAAGGAACTAATTAGGTTGGAAGTAAGAATGGTGGTAGAGAAAAGAAGCTACTGCCGTGCTGGGGATGAAAGGCCACAGGGTGAAGAACACCCTGGAGGAGACAGGCACATATTTTGAAGAAAGAAACAACAGGATTTGGCAATAGGCTAGACACGGAGATAAGGGACAGAAAACTGTCAAAGATGACTCCTTGGTTTCTGACAGGGGCAACTGGATAGACTGTAATGTCATATACTAAGAAAAAAAAGAACAGTGTCTGAGCAGGTTTGGAGAGATGATCAAGAGTGAGTTTTGCATATCTCCGGCACCTGGCATGCAGTACTTGGAAGTTAGGAGGCATTAAATAAATGATATCTTTTATGTTTTTAAAAAAGTGAGCTTTGGACATAATAAACTGGAGATGCTTAGGAGACATTCAAGAATATATTCGATGATAGCAGTCAGACAAATGAGTCTGGAATCAAGAGAAATTTGAGCTGAAAATGTGCATTTTGAAGATTTTAAAATATATGCGAGATAAACCCTATTTTATTTGTAAAGATCGCTTCAATGTGCTATTATTTCTAGATACAATGATAGTTATGGATACACTTGTTAGCTACATGTAACAAAACCAAAATATTTAAGTTCAATTCAAGATAGCTCAGGAAGACAAACCGGTGACACGAAAAAGATGACAAGATATTGTTTCCGGGACTCGCAAAAATTAGTGTCAGGCCTAAAGCAAGTCTAAATCATTGATTCTGTTATTGTTGCTCAATCTTTACATTTGTATGCTAATTGGGATGCATTTTAAAGTGTGTAGGAAACAAAGAGGGTATTACATTTATAAGTATTTACTAATCATGTAAAAAGTATGCTGGGCAAATTCTACCAGGAGTGGTTTTCACGAATTTTTTAAACTCTCTGCAAGATCACCTTCTTATATGGCCATGTTCAAAGTCAAGATTTCTCTCAGCAGCTCAGGCCAAGACTTGTACCATTTTGTAAAATGCTTTTGTTTCACGTACAAATCCTCCCAAGACCAGACTAAAGAGACCAGATTACTAAGACTCAAGTCTACAAAGAAAAATATTGTACTTGTTAAAAAGATGGCTTGCTAATTCTATAAACTCTGATTTTAAACCGCTCATCTTCTTGTGTTTTCTGCATCCCCCTGACATCCACATGAGGGGCAGCTGGGATTTGAGGAACAACATTTTGGTTCAGGCAAATTTTGTTTTAATTTGTATTTCAGAACATATCTGTTTTAATGTAACAGTGTGATAAAGTGGGCAAACAGTTGGAGCCAGTGAGATCCTTAAATAGAATATTAAAAAATTGTCTTTATTTATTTGATGGTGTTAAAACATTTAATGTTCAGCAAAGTTTTCAAAAATATATATCTTAAAATACGTTTTATATATTTATCTACCTATAATAAATCTTGAATACATACATGTATTGTTGATGCATAAATATGCATATGAATTATATGTATATATGTATGTATATATATTTCTTAAATTTAAGTGATAAGTTTATCTTTACAGTAAAATCATTGCTAGAGTCAGTCTCTAGCTGACATTGTATGCTTTCAAAATGGAATGTTTTCTATTGTTTTTAATCTGGGGTGATACCAAAGTGCTTTCAAATATTATATATTTAAAAAATAGATTATTATCTTGGAGGCTTTTTAGGAAGAGAAGATAGTGCGGAGTTACTTTGTAAAATATGGGGGTGATGAGCCAGGCTAATGTGGTTATTGTGGTCATAGACTTTTGCCTGGATCAAAACCACAAGCATCAAGAACAAGTAGAGTTTCAAACATCAAATCATTACAATAAATATAATTAACTACTGTAGAGAGGCCAAGCTCAGGAATCTGGGGGAGTCTAAAGACATTGAAGCATATTTTAAAATTATTTTCAGAGAACAGAAATTACATGGTTCCTGAAAGCAATGCTTACACTCAATCTGATTCCATTCATTAGAAAATTTATCCTGGATATTCAGTGTCTCAAGTGAGCGCATGTGGCATCCAATTTGGAGGAATCTGTGTGTTTGTTTTGGGGCTGACTTTAACACTGGGTTATATTTCGTCATTAGAATCAGCTATTGTAACCAGTTGGCATAAGACTGGCCTTGATTGGTTTGCCTGGTTTAGTTTAATAAAGGGATTCAGTTCCAGGGTTGGCAATGCTAAGGGAATTGGATAGAACAAGGAGGCGGGGCAGTTGGGGAGGGGTGGAAAGGCTGGATAACAGCAAACTTTGTCAAAAAGGTAAAGTGCAATCATTAATTTAAAACGTCTTTTGTGATGTTGTCATTGCTTTGCATTATATGTTATCGTAACTAAAGACTGAACAGACACAATACCAAAGATATGACAATCAGAAAAGTTGCCTGCAGCAATTTTGACTCCAAATATAAAAGTCATGATTTTAAATAATGCTTTTGAAATTAAACTTCTTCAAGCCGAAATCATAGCTCAGAAATTCAGTGTTTCAACAGAATACTAGAAAATTTTAGAAAATAATGTTCAGAATTTTTAAGCCTAGGATGCTATTTTGAAGATAATTTCATTTAAAAGTAATATTTTTTTTTTTTTTTTTTTTTGAGACGAAGTCTCGCTCTGTCGCCCAGGCTGGAGTGCAGTGGCGGGATCTCGGCTCACTGCAAGCTCCGCCTCCCGGGTTCACGCCATTCTCCTGCCTCAGCCTCCCGAGTAGCTGGGACTACAGGCGCCCGCTACCACGCCCGGCTAATTTTTTGTATTTTTAGTAGAGACGGGGTTTCACCTTGTTAGCCAGGATGGTCTCGATCTCCTGACCTCGTGATCCGCCCGCCTCGGCCTCCCAAAGTGCTGGGATTACAGGCGTGAGCCACCGCGCCCGGCCAAAAGTAATATTTTTATGTATTTAATTACCCGGGGAATTCTCTTATTCCTTTACTTACAAGTTGATATTGTAGTCATTCTTTTATAACATACAGGCAGACATCTCCAACTCATCCTGTCTTGCGGACCATGCTTTCAGAGACACCTTAATTTGAAATTCACTTACGGATCTTGTAAGACGCAAATTCTGATACAGTAGATCTGGAGTGGGCCTGAGGTTCTGAATCTGACAAGCTCTCAGACGATGCCAACACCACTTGTTTGAGGACCACTCTATAAGCAGCAAAATCGCCAAGAGTTCTTTGTCTTCTTCCCCAAACTTGTTTTCCATCCTGTGCCCCATCTTCCAGATAACAGCATTATTTGTCCATAAGCATAATCACATACATATCTCTCTGTAGCATCACTACTGCACATTGCCCTCCACTTCTTCCACACTACAGACAAGTACCATGCGTTGGCCACCCCTGCAAACACAAATGCTGACACACCTGGATTTGCACCCTACTCTTCATAATTTATTTGCCCCTCCATTCTCTATTTTTGTTTGTTTATTTGAGACAGAGTCTCGCTCACTCACCCAAGCTGGAGTGCAATGGCATGATCTCATCTCACCACAACCTCTGCTTCCCAGGTTTAAGCAATTCTCATGCCTCAGCCTCCTGAGTAACTGGGATTACAGGAGCATGCCACCACACCTGGGTAATTTTTGTACTTTTTAGTAGAGAGGAGTTTTCACTATGTTGGCCAGGCTGGTCTCGAACTGCTGACCTCCAGTGATCTGCCCGCCTTGCCCTCCCAAAGTGCTGAGATTACAGGCATGAGCTACTACGCCAGCCTGCCTTTCCAAGCTCTTATATTTGTCCTCATAATACTCAGAAAAGCTTTGTAATTATCTTTTTATCTGACCAGTGTCTTATTTCACTAGTTTATACTCTACATATGACAACACAAAGATCTTTCCAAAGCACAACTTTTTATCATACTATTGTATGGCCTCAGTACCATTCACTCAATCTAAACTTTCTTCTCTGTTTTTCATGGTGATAAAACTCTTACCTCTCTTTCAGTTTCCCACAAGGAAGCCTCCTCTTTAAAACCTATTCATCTACCCTTAATAGCAGAAAGAGTATTATCTCCTTAGGGCTTTTGTAACATTCACTAATATGTCTTTCATGGATCCAGCAACACTTTATAATAATTACTTATCATTTTTGCCTTCTTTCTAGACCTCAAATGTTGAAAGGTAGGACTGGATCCTTCTTATTATTTCATTCTCAAAACCCAGTACAGTGCTTGGTAGTGAGTAAATTCACCATAAATGTTGAATGATAGAGTTTAAAAAAATTAAATGATCTAGTTCATTTAACAGGAAAAACTGCTTTCCATATCTAAGATAAAAATAAAAATTAAAATGTTGACTACAATTTATCCGTGTCCTTAGCTCAAACAATTTCTCCTATAATTTTTAAATTATAGGACTGTGAGTCCCTGTTAAACATGAAGCATTTAAGATAAGAATAGTTGAAAATGCAAAACCTTCATTTTCAATAAGTCTTGAATATTTCGTTTCAAAGCTTCAGATTTTTAAAATCAAATTAATTTAAGTCCTTATAATTAGTGAAATTATATAAAACAAGTTAACTTGAAGTAAGGGATAACTATTTGTCAACTACTAATAAGCACATGCAGTACACAAGTCATTTTCAGTGCATGTTTTTTATTGTGTGACTACCATATTTCAAACACCAGCCTCATGCTAAAAGGAGCAAGAACCAATCTTTGCCAATGAATGACTCATGGTGCCATGGAGGAGGCTTGATACTTCCCCCAGCTTACTCTGTGCCTCAACAAGGTGTATAAAAAGAATGCACGTATGGCCTGCTGTTGGGAATGTTCTTGGACCAGGAGGCCAGTAGAAGTGTCTGGAGGGAAAAGTGGAAGGTGAAGCTAACAAGAATAGTAAGCCATCAGTTTCAACACACACACACAAACTAGCACTGAGAGAATGAGCCACTTCTTTACAACTCATATTTGCTCTCTATACAGTGTTTTTATACTCACTTGCTTATTTCATCCTTTCAGTAATTCTGAAAGGGGAATAGAGAAAATATGATTTTCCTGATTGTGCAGAGGTGTAATTGAAATGTTTTGTTCAATGTTACACAGGTATAATCAGAACCCCTGTGTGCAGGTGTAAACATAGCCTCTCCTCCACAATATCGCCTTTTGGCCCTTGGGTCTAATCACCACACTTGCCTTTCCAAGGTGGCATCCGGCAAGACTGCTGTCACCAACAGGAACACCAGCAATCTGAGCAATCCCACAATGCAACGCTGCAATCTGGTGTGGGGTAAACTGCGGCTACTTGAAACCATGTTGTTTACCTGCCATCTTGAAATTTGATCTTTTTTTCGTTTTGCTTTGTATTTTGCTTTCCCAGTTGTTTATATCTTAGCCAATGAAATGAATTAGAAGATATGTGATCAAGACAAATGAAAAAGTCTTGCACAAGTGTGAGCAGAAGGAAGGAAAAGGTACCTGGGCCAAAGTGGATATGGAAGAATTAGCAAAACTGTCGATAGTGATGCTAGTGACAACCACTCTGAGTTGGCATCTGTCTTAAACTAAAAAACAGGTTCAGTTGTCTCAATAGGAGTTCACAGTTTTAATGTTTACCTTTAGACATGAAAACTGCAATAATGAATTTAATACAACAAAAAAGCAGAACTACAAGGTCAGGCACCATCTCATGGACTTTTCCTCATGAAGATAAGCCCAAATCTTGCAGGTAGCAATTCAAAATTAAAAATCAGCAGGTTAAAATGTTGATAGGCTTTTGGAATCTGAATTACACATTTCTTTCCTTTTATTCTTCATCCATGTTTGGATTTGTTTTCAATTACTGCTGCAAAACACTTCCCCTGCAGCACAGGAAAAATGTGAAATTCTAAAGGCTGCTACTATTTTTCTGGCCTATCTGTTTAATCACTTGACCATCTAAATACTATATTTTGATTGTAAAAGTGGTCTCAAGAGAGGCTGGATTGAAGGCAGTTAATTTTCTTTAAAGGAAACAAGTGGCATAAACAGAATACTGACGGGGCAGAAACCAGAGCTGTCAGAGTCCATATGCCTTATATTTTTAGAACAGGAAGCAGCAAAACAGAAGGAAAGGGATCTAGGTAAATAAATGAGACACCGTTTGTGACAAGCAAAAGCTTTTTTTTACCTACTGAACAAACATGAAGACTCCAGTAGTCTTTGGCAGCAACTCCATAGGACAAAGCCAAGACTGAGAGCTGTTATTTATGTAGTGATCCAATCTTTTTCCTGAATGTCTTTATATATAAAAGGCAGACCATTAACAATGGAATATTAACCAATTTAAATGTAATAGCTTGCCCATGTGGAGACGCTGCTGCTGAAATGTATCCCAACAATTATTTACGGGTCTCCACGGCTCTTTATCTGAAAGAGGGAGGCAGGAGCCGCGACCACAAAGATATTTTTTTTCCTCTCTTATGATCCATGATAGATATAAACAAGATGATGGTGCTCTGAATCTATTTAATTGACCTGACTGTAATAAATTGCAGCTGGATCTTTTCCCTTTATTGTGCTCTAAAGCCACTCACACTTCAGGCATTAGGAAGTCATCATATTCTGAAAGGTTTATCTCAGAGTCATAGAATCACAGACGGCCAGAGCTGCAAGGGGCCTTTTTCATCCTTCTTTTGCTTTCCCAGAAAGCCAGGTTTAGGTTTGGCTGTCAGCCCATGAAAACCTTCCAAACAGTTATCAAGAACAAAATGGGTTTCCAAAGCCTGCATTATAGAATATATAAAAGCTTTTATTATTTATTTTAAAGTGTAGACATAACATCTGCATACATTTTGTGGATGAGATTTTAAAAGAAAAGAAAAAAAAAACTCATTGGCAACTAATAAGGTGTTTGTGAACAAACAGGTAACTTGGATCACTGATATTTGTCTTTTTCAACATAAATCAAGACCCATATTTTGATATTGCCTTGGACTTTGTCTTCCATTTAAAAGCACGAACATAAATATGTCTGTAGAAAAGCACGTCTTACGGTCGTGTCTACCTGAGGCAATGAAAGTCAGCTGGGTCTGTACAATTGAGTTCATTTTAGCCAGAGGCTCCTAGTCTGTCTGCACAGATGCCAAACAGCACAAATTGGGACTTGCACCGAGACACATTCATCACAAACAGGAGCATGCCTGAGCACAACTTCATCTAATTTGGCAGCGTCAACAGCTCCCAGGAAACAACAGTAGCATGGGCAGGAGCTCCCAGCATCGTCTTACCAGCAAGAAGTCGCTTCTGAGCAAAACGCTCAGGTGTTTCACCAGGGATGGATGCAAGGTCGAACGTTATCAACAATGATTTTAACAGTGCCTAGTTAATGAAGACAATGATGGTTCAACCACCAGTTTTATCTGTCAGGCACTTTCATACACAGGTAGTGATACATGAACAACAGAATTGTATTCAGATAACGATGGTCTACAGTGGCATTTTCTCTGCTGAATTCCAGCTGGTGAGTGAAGCATTTTGACGAATGTATAGCCACGTTCTGTCAGAGTTACCACAAATGCTATAGAATTGTGCAGTCCAGTGGGGTAACCATTAGCCACAGGTGGCTATTGAGCACTGTCAATGGGGCTAATCAAAACTGAGATGTACTGTGCATATAAAATACATGTGGGATTTCGAAGAATTAGTGTGAAAAAGGATGTAAGTTGTGCCATTAATAATTTTATGTTGAATATATGTTAAAATGCTTGGATGTCTTGGATTATACAAAATACATTATTGAAATTAATTTTGCCAATTTGCATTTTTTAATGTGACTACTAGAAAAATTTAAATTACATGTGTGGCTCATATTCATGGCTCATATTGTTTTTAATTGGGCAATGCAACTATAGAATGTATGGCTAATTTTTAAGCCAAAAATTATCAGCTTTATTTATTTTTGCAGTCATGCTGAATACAATTTAGTTTTCCAAGTGGATCAGAAATTATTTTCATATTTTTCACAACCTCAAAATAAGTTTTTGGGATGTTGAATTATGGATTTATAGATTTTATTCCACATCAGATAAGCTATGTAACTTTTGCATGTAATCGACATTCTCTGAAGACAAAGGATAGCATTCTACAGATAAATAGTAAAGAAAACAAATTAATGTATTCATTCAAAAAAATGTGCTTTGGGCCTATTTGGCACTAGGTAGTGTGCTGTGTTCTGGAGGGCAATAAAAAAATAAGGCAAGTTTCCTGCTTTCAAAGAGTTCTCTGTCGCATGGAAAGGATGATCTTGCATACAGATGAAACTACAAAAAAAAAAAAAAAAAAAAAAGGAAAGAAAACTAAGGAAGAGAAACAAGATCAAAATATACGTGGAAACACCGTGATGGAAACAACTGACTAGCCGGTGGAATGGGAGGTGACCTGGGAGCTGGATTTGAAGTGTAGTCTTCCCAATAACCCTACAATGTGACAGGACCGTCGTTTTGAAGATGAGGAGGTCGAGGTTTGGTGAGGTAAAATCCCTGGCACATAAACAGAGGTGGGGGAAGCAAGGACACAAACCCAGATGAAAAGGACCGTGAATCCTATCATTGCACAAGCTCCATTAAGGAAGGCCAGTGATGGGAACGCGGAGGGACAGTCCTTACAGAGGAAGTGTCATCCTAAGGAACTCAACAACAAAAAGCTCTGTGTGTCCAGGAGGGCAGGGTGATTCTCTTTGCTGATCATGAGGCCTGGTGAAATAAATTGGAGGATGAAAAATCAGTTCCATTCTCTGTAACACCACAATTTTCAAAAGGTTAAGACCACTGTCTTGCTAAGACTCTACTTGCCATGACATTCAGCTTCATCTGCATTTCTCCCATGCCCCCAGCGGCCGTCCTGTAACCCAGCTATACGTGTTTCTGGGCAGGCCACTCGCTTGTGATGAAGGCTGGGAGGCTGGAGGCTCTTTCCTCCAAATGCTTGTTCATCAAAAGTCCTCAGCCAGGGATCCCTAAAAGGAGAGCGACAAAGTATTTCTGCAAAGGTCCAGATGGTAAATATTTTCAGTTTTGTAGGCCAGTAGGTCTCTGCCAGAAGTATTCAACTCTCCTGTTGGAGAATGAAAGTAGCCATAGAAAATACAGGGGGAAAAAAAAAGGGCTTGGCTGTATGTATTCATCTACATTGTATTTGTGGATACTAAAATTTGAATTTCATACAATTTTCACGTATCACAAAATATTATTCTTTTGAGTATTTTCAATGAACTAAAGATATAAGAAGCATTCTTAGCCCACTGAGCCCATCCCTACATGCACCTCCTCTGGGACAGTCATTTTTAGCAGGTACACCTAGGTCCCCTCACTTATTACTTGGGTGAAGTCATTTTTGAGAATCTTCATCATTTTTCTACCTTAATTTCAGAAACATACAAGAATAATCTATGAGCACATACTAACAGGTTGATACTCCCCTTAAAGGTGGCAGTGAAAATGGATTAAAATCCTCCTAATGTGGTCTTCTAGGACTGGCTATCCTGCAAGCATCTGGATAGAATGTTTGATTCACACTGTCTAAAATTGTATTTGCACTATTTGCTGAACTGTGCTTAGAAGTGCTCAAAGAAAAATGTTCTAAACTTGTAAAATTGTGGGTTTTTCCTTATTTTTATGCTAGTTAATATTCATCAGCTCCTCAGAGGAGAAAAAGCAGGTCCATATACTCTATTGCCATATCTACTCTACCTGCTAGGCTCTCAGAGTAACTTATATTTACCTAGCAGTTCCAAGGAACAAAACTCTTCCAAGAGTCATTTATTTAATCCTTGCAACAGAACTAGGAGGTGGTTCTTATTATCTCTTGCCTACAAATAAAGAATCTGAGGCTGATACAGTGACAGGCATTCCAGCCGCACACTCCTCCCCTCTGCTCTCTCTTTGAGTCTCCCACTGCCCCTGTCCTGCAGCCAGCAAATTCAACACCTGGCTCCCAAATCATTCCAGGACAACTGGGTTTCTCCAATCCCTGCTTTAGTGGAACTCATAACCCAGCAAGGGACGTGGAAAACAATAACTGTACTACAAGGGGCTGAGTGCTCTCAGAGACAGATGAGAGAGGGGCCGCCCTCGGAGCAAAGCAGACAAGATGAATGAAGATAAAAGGGAAGAAAGAACTAACATGGCAGAGGAGAATGCTATCTTCACATCTTTCCATGCTTAGCACTTATTCATACCCTAATTAAAAATGTTTTGGTATTTTTGTGAAAAGAATGTCAAACAGAGACGCCTCTGAAATGAGGACAATCCATGGGTCTGTTTTAGGGTTATTAGACCCTGAAAGTTTAAATCAGAAAGTAATGTACTTAAGCACGTGTCAACAGAATTTAAGAACAAAACTGTTTCCTCCACTGACTGAGCCTGTACATTTGCATGGCCCTCAGCATTGTCATAATAAAATACCATTTGTTAAAATTTCATTTGTTCTTACATAAGAAGCAATTCTAATACTGACAAAGGAGTGTCCGTTGTAAAGCCAGGAAGCTTGATGGTTAATACCAATTGCTTGCCCTGGGATATTGTCATTTGTGAAAAAGTTAACTACGATAATGCCACCATCTCTTGCCAATCTGTCATTAGTAAGAGGGTTAGGAGAAATACTTTTAGCCCAATTATCATTCCAGCTGCTTGTCTGCGTTAGTTGTATTAGCACAGCTGAGACTTAGCATAAAACCTAAACTACAATCAAATGATTACTCAGTATTTTCTTTTAAATCAGACAATTGCTCCCCTACATAGAATAATATGTGAATTCTGTTTATTAATTGAAAGAAAGATGAAATTACAACTCAATATATATGAAAGAGCATTGTATTGTTTCTCACATTGAAATTAGTCAAATATATCAACATTTATATGGATAATTTGTATTAATAGAGAGAATGAAAATGCCTTTAAAGACAATGCAAAATGAATTATTCAAATACATAATCCAAAAAGGAATTTTATGTTTTGTTTTATAATTTGTTTGAAAAACTACAAAAGCTGAAAATCGGCATTTCTATGCATTGAAGGAACCTTGCAAAAAAGTTAAAAAATCACAAAGCCTACTTGGTTTCATTTCCATCACGGCAATTCTGATTTCCAACAACTAAGATAATACAGGCCTCGCCACCACCTTCCTTACATCTAAAAGTGAATATTTGAAAATTTGAGAATTGACTTCAAAAACATTGAAACATACTATGAAGTTTTGACTCAAGCTTCAAGTCCCAACAGACTGGCCAAGCAATCGCCGAAATTCTCAGGTTTCAGAAAGAACTGGGGCCACAGTGTACACTAAATTGAAGCAAAATTCCAAGCACTTGGGATCAATCCTGCACCTCCCTATTCCCACCGAGGCTCCTGCGAAAATGTAGCCTCCTAGGTCTTCTACTCCTACAGTCCTCAGTGTGAAGTAGAGGCATCTTAGGGCACAGGCTTTGGATCCATCAGAGTGAGGAAACAAATGTCAGACCCACTCTTTATGCTTTTGAGTCTATAAAAGCAGAAAATAACCTTTCCCAAAAGTGTAATCAGCACAAGTAGCCTTGCTCAATCCATATTTGCTAATCAGTTTTAGAGATCCTGTATCTAGCATTAACTAAATTAATCTTTACAAATTAAGTGATGCCTTCACCATAATATTACCCCCCCAAAAAATCTCCAAAATCAAAACGAAATAACCCTGCAGTTCAAAAGTAATACTACTAATATAGACACATGTGAACAATAACAAAATAGGAAAGCTGATGCTTCCTCGACTTTAAACATGAGCCACACACACAATCTGTTCCTTAAAAGTAATGATGTCTTTTCAATAACGTGTGCTTAGGCTTTTGAAAAAATAATGTTTGATATACATTTGGAAATATAACCAACTCCATGATTATTTTGCTGGAAGCAAAGTGTCACTTGTAAAACTTTCAATTCTGTGTACTTAAAAACGTCAAATATCGAATTTTTTCCTAACCTATTAAAAATTCAAATGACAAGTTTCAGTGTGTCTTGAATTTGTTGAAGGTAAAAAGTGCAAGTAAGTCACAATACTTCCAGGAGTTTGAAAGTAATTGATTACTGACATCAGGAAAGCTAGCAATTGATCACCCCCATTTCAGAAAAATCTTTTTTCCAGCAACACCAACACCGCACTCCTGCCTTGTGGCTCCGCCTCTGTGTGGGATGTTCACCTACGTCATCTCTGGTAACTTTAAAAGCAAGGATGAGAAGAAGTGTCAGATCAGGGGGAGGATTTATACACCAGTCTGCCCAACTCTTCACTTTAACCAAATCACTCCTGCTTTTTCTAAAATCTCGCTGTAGTGAAGTAGATAATCTATTGTCTAGAATTGAAAGGTATGCTTCAAATACAAGGCAAATAAGTGGGGCTGCTGTATCTTTAGGGTGAAGATTAAGATGAAGACACGATACTCTGTTAAGGAAAGTCTTTTTTTCCACGCTTCCCAAGAGACTGAATAACAAGTGTCATTGGGGCAGAACGTACTACTGCATCCTGAGAAAGGCAACAGATGTTTGATTGCAAATATGCCCCATCTATCTGATTTTCCACACACGTGTACATCTAACATCATAAGGTCTACATTTATGTAACTACAGGAGTAATGAGTGTTTAAAAAATAAGTTAAAGGTGAAAGAACTAAAGAGAACATAAAACTTAAATTCAAAATCTGAATCATAAGGAAATATGCTTAATTGCTAAATATTACTGTAAATTTTCCATAGGTATTTGGCTATACATGATCATAACAAATCAATAAATCAAATCTTATATCCTACTGTCATAAATACATCACAAAATTTTATTTGTTTATTAAATTCAGTACATTGACAAAATGAATTTTAACTATTTCACAGTCAAAAGTGTTTGCAGTAATGTGAATGCTGATAATATGGCAAATATGGAGTTCTCTGTACATCTTTCCAAAACTCTAATTGACTAAAATGCACAAAATCCATAAAAAAACACATTACCATTTAGAAGACAGTCACATTATCTATGCTCATACATGAAGGCGAAAGCCACATTCATTAGTTTACAAAGAGGATAAGTGTTTTATCCTAAGATGAAACTGCCTTTGCAAAAATCATAACAGGGAGAAAATTATGACAGTGAAAATGATCTGATCTAACCAACCTTTTGCCTTTAACCTTCAAACTGCCCTTGGTCATTCCTTGGCATGGGCCAAGCTAACTTTGAGAGAAAATCAGTTTATAATTTAAATGATAATAGTCCTTGCTAAAACTAAACCACCTTTGTAAAACTAATGAAAATCTACCAGGTCAGGAAGATGAGAGGGGCCTGACTTCTGCTAAGATGTGAGTGTAAACGATTGCGAGCCATTATTCTGGAGGTCATAAAGATTTGCAATTTTCCCAAATAATTAACATTACTGATGTAAAAACTAAGATTGGCTTTTTGAGATGTCTTTTCAGGCTTTTGTATTTCTGACAACCGAATGGCCATACCCAGACCAGCGACTCCTCTGTGGCCCCCACTCAGAAGCGGGCTCAGTGCAGGAGGGCCACTTGGCATACCCCTATGATCGCATCTTCGGCCAATAAGCATTCCTCTTCCCACCAAACTATCCTTGAAACACTGTATCCTCTGAATTTTTGGAGTCACAATAAAGCTGATTTGAGTCATAATAAAACTCCACTCTCCAGTTCAGCTGGCTCTATGTGTATTAAACACTTTCTCTATCATAATTCCTCTTTTTTGATAAATTATCTGTATCTAGGCAAGATAGATCCATTGGGTGGTTACAAGAATATCTTTTTTAAAAGTCTTTTAAGGCTGGGTGCAGTGGCTCATGGCTGTAATTCCACCCCAAGGTGGGTGGATGGCTTGAGGCCAGGAGTTCGAAACCAGCCTAGCCAACATGGCGAAACCCCATCTCTACTGAAAATACAAAAAACAGCCAGGCATGGTGGTGGGCGCCTGTAATCTCAACTACTCAGGAGCCTGAGGAAAGGAGAATTGCTTGAACCCAGGAGGCAGAGGTTGCAGGGAGCTGAGATCATGCCACTGCACTCCAGCCTGTGTGACAGAGCAAGACTCTGTCTCAAAAAAACAAAGTCTTTTAAGCATTTTCGCTTTTAAATATAATTATTTTTTTTAAAAAAAAAGTTTGGTCTTCCTTTTCAAAGAATATATGGCTTAGGGTGTTTCTAAAATGTATACTGATGGGTAATTGTTCTTCAAAAGAGGGCTTTAGTGCTTTAAACCAATGCCATTTGATGGTATAGTCCTCATTTGAGGTGTGGAACTCTCTCCTTTACTGAGGGATGTAAGAATAAAGCAAATCATTTCCACAATTATTTTTCCCAAGCCTGCTCCGTAAGTCTCTCTCATCATTGTTTTCATAGCAAGTCACTTGTAATCCATGGAGTCCATCATCTTTGGCTAGCAGTATCTTTTCCCAGCAACACTTTTCTTGTTCACCTTTGTATCTCCAGCACTAAGCAAGAGCCTCACATCTTGTAGATATCGCAAAACAAATGTCTGAAATAAATGAATGTATGAATGAAAACAAAATGTTAAAAGCATAACTGGTTTTAGGTAGGTCTTGTAAGATCAGTGGCTTTAACAACTTTTTTACATTGAGAATAGTGATAGGATGGAAAGTTTTTGTGCCATCTGGGCACTGACTGGAGGCTGGGTGGTAAATCAGAAATTTACGGTTTTTGCAAAGGTGGTTTCAGGAGGAGACCATCAAATCTATCTTCCCAAGGAGTTCCAGGCTGGATTTTTTTTTTTTTTAGATAGGGTCTTGCTCTGTCTCCCAGGCTGGCACAATCTTGGCTCACTGCAACCTCCACCTCCTGGGTTCAAGCGAGTCTCCTGCCTCAGCCTCCCGAACAGCTGGGATTACAAGTGCACACCACCATGCCTGGCTAATTTTTGCATTTTTAGCAGAGATGGAGTTTCACTATGTTGGCCAGGCTGGTCTTGAACTCCCAACCTCAGGTGATCTGCCCACTTCGGCCTTCCAAGGTGCTGGGATTACAGGTGTGAGCCACCACGCCTGGCACAGGCCGGGGTCTTTATGGGGATCATAAAGTCAAGGGAGATTGGAGAATTGGAATCTACCACGTCAGCTGGTCTGCAGGGTCCCACTGACTCAGCAGGTCTGAGGGACCCCATGAATTCACCAAAGAAGCTGATTCACCAAAGAATGCAATTTCCACATCCTAATGATTTCATTCCAATTAACCGCATCAATCAACAACCCCAATTCTCCAGTCCCTTGACCTCTATGATCCCTTTAAAGACCCCGGCCTGGAACTCCTGGGGAGATGGAGTTCAGAGTCTCTTCCTGAAACCACCTTTGCAAAAATTATAACAGAAAATTATTACAGTGAAAAAGATCTGACCTAACGAATTCCATCTTGTTTCTAACCTCCAAGCTGTCCTTATCCATTCCTGGGCACAGGCTGAACTAACATTAGGAGAAACTGAGTTTATAGTACGACTTTGAAACAAAGAAGATAACAGCTCTTTCCCAAAACAAATCTCCTTCTTTCCTGAGGACTAGACTACCTTTGCAGGACTAACAAATTAGCCGTAAGATTAGAAATTATGGTTTGGGAGCCTCTGTTATAAAACCTGGGATCAGTGCTTGAGATATTTCACAGGCCCTGCATTCCAATGCACCAGCTGACGCCACCCAGATCGATAAACTGGCTCATCTGAGCTTGTGGCCCCCACTCAGGAACTGTCTCAGACCAAGAAAACAGCTTAACTCCCTATAATTTCATCTCCAATCCAACCAATCATCAATCAGCACTCTTCACCTTCTGACTCCGGACCCATGAAATTATCCTTAGAAACCCCAATCCCTGGGTTTTTGGAGAGACTAACCTGAGTAATAATAAAACTCTGTCTCCTGTACAGCTGGCTCTACATAAATTAAACTCTTCCTCTATTGCAATTCCCCAGTCTTGATAAACTGATTCTGTCTAGGCAGTGGGCAAGAAGAACTGATTGGGCAGTTACACTCTTGTCTTCTCACTCGTGCCATGTGATCATTAAACTCTTTCTCTGCTGCAAACTCTGCTGTCTCAGTGTAGTGGGTCTGTTACTGTGCAGTAGGCATATGAACCTACTGGTCTTGTAACACTCTTGGGTCAAAGGAGAGGCACCACCAGCTGGGGCTAAGAGTCATGAAATGCATCTGCAAACAGACAACACACTTTTTTTTTCTCTAACAACAGTAAAACGAGAAAAAGATAAAGCTTCCCGTCCTTCAGGTATACCAAAAATACACATCCAGGTATGCATTACAAGTTAGTGTGTGTACTACTTTCCCTTTCAAAATTGTCTCGATGTTAATTTTTACTTATGAAATTATTTGGAAATAAAAATCAAAATAATTATAAGGGCTAATGAACACAGTAGAGAAAGTGTAAGACATGATAAAATCATATTCCAAAATTCCTATGCCTTCCAAGGACATCTTTAAGACAAGATCTTTAATATTTGGGATTGTGAATGTACAACAAGTCAGTCTTTAGACCTCACAAGACTCTCAGGTTCTCCAGCTACTTAGTGGAACTTGTATAAGCCTATTTCTATTTCCTAGGTTCCTTTGAAAAACAAGATATGTTTTTAAATTTTATATATGTATGTATGTGTACATACATTTAGATATATAAATTCCAAAGTATTTTGCTATTTTTATTCCTTTATTTAAGACTCCTCTGAGCTATATTAACTCAAGTCATAAGAAAATAGGCAGAGGTGCATGTAGAGGGGAAGAGGTAAAAGCCTACAATATCTAGTTATATCAGATGTTATTCTCTGCAGTAAAAATGCAGAGGGATAAAATTTTCCAAAAACCTCCTATTTCTGTACGTAGCATTCCTGCCTGAAAGCCAGCTCTCATAGTAACCCCTAGTAAAAAAGAAACCTCAGGAAAAGACCTTCTGTTTGTACCTGTTTGACTTCGTGAGGGGAAGGAGTAAAGGAGCAAATGATGGTGAATTATGTTTGACAGGAAGGAGACGAATCTCGGACTTGATCATTAACAAAGGGTCTCTTTAAGGAATAGATACATAAAACCTTGTGTATTAGTCCATTCTCACACTGTTAATAAAGGTATACCCAAGACTGGGTAATTTATAAAGGAAAGAGGTTTAAATGACTCACAGTTCAGCATGACTGGTGAGGCCTCAGAAAGCTTACAGTCATGGCAGAAGGGGGAGCAAACACTTCCTTCTTCACATGATGGCAGCAAGGACAGGTGCCGTGCAAAAGGGGGGAAAGCCCTTTATAAAATCACCAGATCTCATGACAACTCAGTCACTGTCATGAGAACAGCATGAGGGTAACTGTCACCATGATTAACCTCCAACCAGTTTCCTCCCACAACATGTAGGGATTATAGAAACTACAATTCATGATGAGATTTGGGTGGGGACACAGTCAAACCATATCATTTGGTACTGTGACAACAAAGAAAAAGAAGGCATAGAAAATAGGGGAAAAATGTTTTCATTTTTAGATTGAGTAACTTTAAACAGCTAAAAGAAAAGCATAACTACTATTTTATCAGGAAGACACTGACTAATGTTATCTGCAGAAAACAGAATATCTAGTTTTCTCACTAATTCATGCTTAGAGATAGTTAGTAAAAAACTAGATGCTTCACAAAGCCTCTGGGAGGGTCAGGAAAATGTATTTGGATATAATCACAGAAATGGAGCCTGGACAGAGCCTCAATTGTACTAGGAAGGTGCCCCTGCTGAAAGGCCACTGTTGCTATGAGCTGCTCATCTTCAATGTCTGGGGATGGAGCTGCAGAGAAAACAGATACTTGCCCACACTCTAGAAAAAAACACCCTCTTTCTATGTGTGTCCACAGCTTCACAATCCTCATGTCCATGCCCAAATCTCATCCAGATGCATCAACAGAAACTAGGTCAAATATGTGATTTTGCTTTTCTCTTATCAATGGTACATGGAGGCAAGCTAAAGGAAGTTGTGTGTATATTGAGTGACCCAACCATAGAGTACTTTTACTGTTCTAGGACCTTGAGACACTTCAGTGAACAAGATGAAATGATGTTACTGCATATTTGAATGAGGTTATCATTCGGCATTCTAAAGAGTGTGGTGAGTAGTACAGGTTACTTTAGGCACAAGGGAACTTGGATTCTAGGTCTTGTTGCATCCTGGACTCCCAGTGTGACTTAAGTCACTTACTTCTCTGTGCTTCAATTTTCCCATCACCGAAAATTCATGGCTAATAAAATGTGCCCAGTTTTCTCAGTCATGGTACAAGCAAGAAGTAGAAGTCACCTGAGACCGTTCAAATGAAAATGCTAATAAAAGGATTACTTATAAAGGTATGGGCAGGTTGGAAAAATAGACAGACACTCTGAGACTATTAACAGTAGGACGTTGTTACCAAACCCAGGACTGAATGGAAAAGCAGTGGGAATAGTGTTAGCAAAGCCCACCGAGCCCTAGAGCAATGTAGGATAGACGACGTGGAGGGAGCACTGGCTAGAGAATGGAGCAGCCATTCCTAGAGACATTGCCCTAATCTCTCCCAATGCATCCCACATCTCCTCCTGGTGCCCACTGGAGACCAAGCCCAGGAAGCCCGCTGCAAGGAAGCCTGGTGAAGACAGAGCCCCTTCTGGCAGGGCACACAGCAGAGAATGGCCTGGGGAGAAAAATGGATGCTCTCCAATGCGGCTAAATATCCCATAGAGTGATTACTAGGATTCCATAAGGTCGTATACACAGATGCACACTTTAGAGAGCATTGGAAGTGTTGATTTTAAAGTTGATAATATGTGTATTAAGGGTAACTTCCATTTAGGACATGCTATTCTTTATCCTTCTCTTACCAAAGAAACTTTGATTTTTCTAATTAGTTCATGAGACATGAGAAGCAGTTGGAATGAGTTCAAAGAAGTAAATGAAAGATCATGAATAAATTTGAGGAGAAGGCTAGATAGTCAGATAAGTGGGGGCCAGAGACAGGGTCTTAAATGAAAACTTGTAAAACAAGGATTGTTGGGGCCAAATGGATAGGAGATGAAGGGATGTGAAATTTAGCCATGTGTTAGAAAAGATCATTGCAATCAATCCTCCTGATTTTCATTTTAAAGTAAATATTATTCTCCAGATTTAATGTAAAAGATAGAGCAGTAATGGAATAGTAATGACAAGCAATACAAGCAATGAATCAACTTACACTCTTCCTCGATTTCATATAAGGGGCATACTTCTTAATTGTGAAAGAATAACATTTTAAATGAATAGCATTTCTTCCTGGATTAAGAAAAACACTCTAGCTTCCTTAGTTTGGTAGATATAAACATCACCAACTTAAAAATGAGTTACAGAAAATATCTCTCTAAAACAAATATTCAGGACAAAAGTCTTTCAGAGAAGAATGATCAGCAGATGTGAGTAGTGACAGATATCACAGAGTGATTGGAATTCTGGCTTAAAGAGAAACTTTTCTTTCCCCCTGAGTGATTTTACTGTTTTTCAAAGTTGCATTCTTCTGCTAAGGTGAGTAAAAATAAGAAAATTAACATGTTAAAACTGTATGAAAAGAATAACATAAAATCCAGTATGTTTGTTTATACTTTTGTCAGATTTCATTTAAGAATCTGAGATTGGAAATTTTAGACTAGAAATTGGGCAGGGATTAGACACTCTATCATGTTTTCGTAGTTTCTATTGGCATTGGGGTCCGAAACATAAATTGAATCCATTGTTAGAGTGGTGCTGCTATGAGAAATGAAACAGTGAACCTAAGCTTCAAAAATCCTCTCTAAATCTGCCTTTTCAAAACTGTTGCTTTGGGAGGATGAGATAACACGGGGCATTGTCATAGTGGCCCTTTGGCTGTGCACAAGAAACACATACATCTCAGCAGATAATAACCAAAAACACAGTAAGTGATTTAATGATGTCAAGAAGGCACCAACTGGATATCAGCCACCTTGCTAAAGCTCAATACAATCAGGTATATTTACTAAGAAATAATGAAAAAGAACCACGTAGGAATATCCAAGCTAGTAACGATTAAAGCTAAGGGCAAAAGGAAATGTTTGCATAAGTCTGAAATATTCAGATTAAAACTGTGGTGCACCAGTGTTTGGAAGAATCATTGCTTGTTTTATGAGGACTGGGTTCACTTAAAAATTAAAATCTTATAGCTACCAAGATGTAGGTTTTCCAAAAACCAAATGACTACAATTGTGTGTTCACTACCTGCCGCCTTAAGTCTCTCTGCTTTTAGCCTCACATGCTCTCCTGTAGATTTGAAGTAAAATTCCCACCAAGCTAAAGATCTGTTTTAGGCCAGCCTTATGAATGGACACCATTTATACCATTCATCTAGCCCTTTGCCTTTCTTGTGCAGAATGAAATATGGACACTCATTGTATTACACTCTGAAGGTAAAAAGCTGTGGCTAGATTGACAAAATAATTATGTAAATAATGATAGACGTCTAAGGAAGACTAATGGCTGAAAAAGCCGAATAACATTAAAAAGTTAATATATTTAATGTTAACCTTTGTAGCTTTCAGTAATAATTCAAATACAGGAAAATTGTTGTTGAAAGCATAGTAATATTAAAGCAGAGAGCAAAATGTCATGGTAATAAATGAACCCCCCAGTTTTCTGGGAAATTGGCAGGATATTATTCTACTATAACACTAAAAGCTAAACAGAAATTTTTATTAATATTGAGTGCCATTATTCTTTGTTTTACTGGATTTGCCTGGAAAATGGATACTTTTTATTTCTAATTATGTATTTCAATCAAAGACCTAAACATCTCAACATAAAAGCTTACAAACAAAAACTGTTACAAGACAGAAGAGAAATAATCATTTAAATTCAAAATACACGACACTTAGTTGGATTTTTTAATTAATATATGATGAGTAGCTTATTTAATAAGTGATTTTTTAAAACTTCTCAGCTGTGAAGATTATATAATTACTCATAAAACATAGTTTACCTCCAAAATATATGGGGGATAATAATTATAATGCAAGAGCAGGTTGAGATTAGAGAGACGGCGATGAGATGATATCTTTATTTTAATTTCAAAGGTGGAAGGTGGTTTGGGAAGAGTGAAAGAAGGTAAGGAACTTTGTTAAGGGAAAATAATGATCTCCAGAAATCTGGGTATTTGAACAATCTGGCCAATATTAACACAGAAATAATATCTGTTTTCTTATTAGCTTCCTTCAGGCGAGACTTGAGATCTCACAGGGAAAAAGATCGTGATTATTTGGTGTTTGTTTTTATGTAAAAAGACATTGAGGACTGAAGATGAAGTAAAGACTTGAGAGTTCGTAGATGGGACTCCCAACACTTGCACTGCTGTTTTTGAGTTTTGCATTTGTTTCCTCTGCTGAAAAGTTTGACTTCGAAACATTACTTATATTCTGACGAGGAAATACGCAGAGGTGTATTTTCCTATCCTATCATTAATAAGAAAATAAGATAACATCACTAGACAAGCCCATTTCTAGCTACAATTCCCTCAAGTCAGTTAACAAAAATTTTTTGCAATATCCATATATTGCCTAGCATTTGATTAAAATCAAGCTGCTGCCTATGACGCAAAAGTCTAAAAATTTATCTGTCACCTTCCATATTAAATGCTAAAATATTTGTGAAATCATGGAAGCCGATGGGTTTTTAAGTCTTTGTATACTAGCAGTGAAAGAAAATGGAAAATTCACCTGTAAAACAACAAAGTATGTAGAATTGTATTAAGTTCATAGGCTTCTGGTTTTTGAGAAACACAGTTTCTCTCATTCAGCCCTTAAAAATATCAGAAAATGAGCAAACAGTGAAAAAGCAGACATTCATGAACATACTTGACACTAAATATAGAGGATTCTGGACAAGTAGCATATTAATACCATGCTGTGGTAATGACGCTAGAAAACAGAAGAACTAGAAACATATGACTTACGGTGACAACTCCTCCAGCAAGTAGCCATATGTAACACAGGCTCTATGAGGAGCGTATTCAGTTATTATTCCCCAAACACATTACGTTGTTCTGTTCTACTCTGCTAGCTTGAATGCATATTGCTCCCCGGAAAGAACTTACAATTCCCTTTACAATGCATTTACAGTTGATTAAAGAATGGATTTGCAATTCTGAGTCTATAATTAGAGCAAAGGGTCTCTATAATTTTAGCTACCCTCATCCACTAATGATGATGTTATGGAGATTAGCCACTATTATAAAGACCCATGGCCACTAAAATGATTACTGGAAAACATGTATTGAGGTTTAGTAGTCTATTCTTTTACCACAGGAAGCCTATTATAAACAGAGTGTTATACAAGGCTACTAGGCAGCAAAAATGAGATTAACAATTAACACCTTGCTCAAAGGATTAGTATATCTCTTACGCAGTGATGACCTGGATTCTAATTAAAACTCTTAGAGGTGCGTGTGTGTGCGTGTGTGCGTGTGTGTGTGTGTGTGTGTGTGTGCACCCATGTATGCATGCTTATGTTTTTTTCCAGGTGTCTGCTGCTTCCTTGGAGGTTTAGAACAAATAGGTCTGTACATGCCATGAGCTGGGAGCAAACCTTTTTATTAAGAGGGATTTCTCATTGATCTTTAACCAGAGTGTCTTCTAATATAAGTCTCGGTATAAAGTATGTGTATTTACCTCTCTTACAAATTTATTTGGATATTATTTTTTAATGCATGATGCAATTTCACCACCACTGACTTCTGCAGTAATTTCTTTTTTTTTTTTTGAGACGGAGTCTCGCCCTGTCACCCAGGCTGGAGTGCAGTGGCGCGATCTCAGCTCACTGCAAGCTCTGCCTCCTGGGTTCACACCATTCTCCTGCCTCAGACTCCCGAGTAGCTGGGACTACAGACGCCCGTCACCACGCCTGGCTAATTTTTTTGTATTTTTAGTAGAGATGGGGTTTCACCGTGTTAGTCAGGATGGTCTCCATCTCCTGAACTCGTGATCCGCCCGCCCCGGCCTTCCGAAGTGCTGGGATTACAGGAGTGAGCCACCGCGCCCAGCCTCTGCAGTAATTTCTATGAGATTCCACAGCTGAGTAAAAAGTTCTAGCACCGTGTGTGAGCAGAAAACAATCTACAGCGGCTTTCCAAATGCATAGTCCATCCACTCTGGAATTAGAGGCCATAAAACCATCATAAAGGTGTGAAGCAAAAGATAAAATGTCCATGTATATTCTGAAAAATGTATCTTTTCTATTAGGTTGGTGCAACAGTAATTGCGGTTTTGGCTATTTAAAAGTAATGGCAAAAAACCGCAGTTGCCTTTGCACCAAACTAATAATTTATTTGTGATTTTTAGAGAGCATGTGTGGTAACACATCATATAATTAATAAGAAGATGCATATAATACATATGTGTAGGGTTTCTTTCAACTGTAAAGACATTTGCAAACAAACAACAAAATATTTCTCTTTTTTTCAATCTTGGTCAGGCATGTGAACTTATTAAGATGTCTCGAATACTAATGACTCTTTTTCCTTTCCGTGCAAATTGAGAGGAAAATAAAATTTGTTTCCCCTCAAATTCCCTAGTTAACATGGGCCTAACTGACTTAGGATTACGCACGTCATGGTTAAGCAATTTCATTGCTGGTGTGAAAATGATAATGAGAAAAAAATAGTATACATAGTGAATATTAGATGATGACTAACTTATGTTTCAGGCAGGTAGAAAATATTATAGGTGGAATAAAGCTTTACTTTAGGCTTAGTTAAAACTTGTAATAACTGAATACTTAATCCCAGTTAATGAGAAAATGTTGTGGTCATCAGACGGCAGAGGCCAGAAGAAACCTTCTTCAAAATTGAGAAAAATCAAACGTTCAAATCTGCGACTATGGTGTAGCCACTACAGTACCTCTTTGCTTGGAATAGCCAGTGCTCAGTAAATGTCTGTTGAGTAAATAAACAAATTTATGACATGGCTGTAAACAATTAAATGCTTAGCTAGACATTTATAATAAACTCTTGATTATTTATAACTTTTTAATTTGTAAAAGATATATAAGACTGCAGAATAAAATGGGAACTCAAAAATATAGCATTTTTAACCATATTTATAATTAATGGACTTCTTCCAAAAATATTATAGGAAAAAATTAACTGTGGTATGATCTCTAGGGATTTAAAAAAAACGGAGTCAAAGAACATGATAAGCATGAGAAAAGTATAAATTAGTCTCACAGGAAATAATCAGATGTTTAATTATAGAAAAATAAATATTAATTTAAAAAGATGATTGAAGAAAACAGGACAAAAACTGCTTATGTAAACATACATGTTTACCTTATTAAAGCAAAGGCTAACTGATAGACTATTAGCTATTATACTGAAGATGCAATTACTCTCGTTTTTCATTATATATTAAAATCCTCATTCTTACATAATGTGTAATTAAAACCTGAACTAGGCCGGGCACAGTGGCTCACGCCTGTAGTCCCAGAACTTTGGGAGGCTGAGGCGGGTGGATCATGAGATCAGGAGTTTGAGAACAGCCTGGCCAACATGGTTAAATCCAGTCTTTACTAAAAATACAAAAAAATTAGCTGGGTGTGGTGGTGGGCGCTTGTAATCCCAGCTACTCGGGAGGCTGAGGCAAGAGAATTGCTTGGACCTGGGAGGCAGAGATTACAGGGAGCAGAGATCTCACTGCTGCACTTTAGCCTGGCCAACAGAGCAAGACTCCGTCAAAAAAAAAAAGAAAGAAGGGGGGGGGGGAAGGAAGAAAGGAAAGAAAGAAAGAAAGAAAGAAAGAAAGAAAGAAAGAAAGAAAGAAAGAAAGAGAGAGAGAAAGAAAGAAAGAAGAAAGAAAGAGAAAGAAGGAAAGAAAGAAGAAAGAAAAGAAAGAAAGAAAGAAAGAAAGATTGAATTAATAGAGGTCATAGGCAAATCTGAACTAATAAAAGTCTAGATTGACGAATTATTTTTAAGAAGTTAGGAGACTAGACAACTTTACTCTGGAAAGCACAACTAAAGAAGAGAGAAAACTAGTAACTGTATGGAAAAGCATTTACCAACTGATTGAATAAACACATTTTCCTGCTCCTCACAGAGGGCAAAACTAGTTGCAGGTTTAAAAGGATGAAGAAATAATGTCATTTAAATGCACTGCCACGTTCCCCTCATACGAACATGTGAGTGAGAGGTGATGTTGGGTAGCTTGATGGTGATATTGGCAGTCTGAACTTTTAAAAAAGAAGAACATAGCTTTGTTAAATGAGTTTAATTATTCCAGGTTTCTGTAATATTTTAGGTTCTGCTGCACAAAACAAAAGTAGTTGATCAATACGTTGAAAGAAAAAAAATTAATTTTTAAATTTCAGGTTGTTAAATTTGGAATGTATGTTTGCTCTTTAAGATAATTTTATCATAGAATTAATTAACAACCAAAACAGAAGAAAGTTTAGTACATAAATAATTTTATACTTTCTTATTTTACCACGAATAGATCTGTAAAGTTTTCTTTTTTGTTGTTGTTTTTCTTTCTTGAAAAGTCTATCATAAGTAGAAAGAACCATGCATGCATTTCTTTTTTCCAGGTAAAGTATGGTTCCCAATGAAGAGTGATTTTGTTCCAAGGGGACGCTGATAATACCTACAGACTGGGGGATGGTTCTCAGTGTCTAATGGATAAAAGCCAAGGATACTGCTAAACATCCTACAATGCACAGATTCAAAAATCTGATTTAAAGTCATGACATAGGCAGTTTCTTATTATTTGAATTATTTAAAAGAGATTTCAATAGTTGCATAATACACTATCACACAATTTATTATAAAATACTTAACTCTGCGACATTTGTTGAAAATAATACTGTTTTAAAATGTTAGTTAGAATTTTGACTTAAGAATACATTAGCGGAAAATCCATGATAAATTTTCTTTCACTTTTTCTTAAGACTAATGGCTGTGATGATTTCAGAGTATTATAAGATAACATAAAGTTTGTTTCCTAAAAACTTAAGAAGAATTCCAAAACACCGCAGTCCCCTCCACCCTTTACTAATCTTTAAAAATCACCCATTTACATTAAGGGGCTGATATTTATATAAAAATATCAAGCAAAAATTAATAGATTCTAGTGCCAGTTTTCTTGACTGATACGTGAAAAACGTTTACTCATCACATATGCACAAATTAAGCAAAATCCAGCCATTTTATAAAGCCTGGGCTAGTTGTTGCCTTGCTGTTTCTGTTTTGAAGCAGTATAACATTATACATAAACAACCCAAACTCAGGCCTCACCAAAAAACAGAAAAAAATAAAACAAAACAAACCACAGATTGAAGATGTGATTGAGGATTTATTTCAAATATTCTTCTCACTAATATACAAAACTACCAATTATCTCTTATACTTACCAAT
Organism: Homo sapiens; assembly: GCF_000001405.40. Taxonomy (NCBI): domain Eukaryota; kingdom Metazoa; phylum Chordata; class Mammalia; order Primates; family Hominidae; genus Homo; species Homo sapiens. The sequence goes on from NC_000013.11 coordinate 105,868,006, forward strand.
TTTCTTAAATGCACAATTTACCTGTAGGTTTATGCCACTCTCTCTACATGCCATGAATTGTTAGAAGATGCATACTTAGAAAAAGATATTTTAATTGTGTAAATGCTAATGTAAACAACTCATGTAGGTAACGCAGATTTCTTTGTATAGTTTGGGTAGCTTAGTATTTTCTAATTATGTTGTACACATTGATCACATTTGTCAAAACCTACTCCTTGACAGCTAAATCAAAAATTTTAATGAGGAATAATCTAAAAGAATTAGAATTTATTCCCCCTCCCAAAGTAAACTCAATCGAAACAGCATTGTTGTGAAGAAGCTCAATATTAGTTTTAGGAGGTAGGGGAAAAGAGGCAAAAAGTAAGTTTTATGAAAGATATTACTTCTAGTTAAATGTTCCTATCACCTTCTTTAGGTTCAGAAGATTATTACAATAACTGAGTCTATATAAAAACCCTGGAAGACAACCTAGGCAATATCATTCTGGACATAGGAACAGGCAAAGATTTCATGACAAGGACTCCAAAACCAATTGCAACAAAAGCAAAAATTGACAAATGGGATCTAATTAAACTAAAGAGCTTCAGCACTGCAAATGCATCTATCAACAGAGTAAACAGGCAACCTACAGCATGGGAGAAAAATTTTGCAAACTGTGCATCTGACAGAGGACTAATATCCAGAATCTATGAGGAACTTAAACAAATTCACAAGGAAAAAATGCAAGCAACCCCATTAAAAACGGGCAAAGGGCATGAACAGAAACTTTTCAAAAGAAGATATACACGCAGACAACAAGCATATAAAAAAGCTCTACATCACTGATTATGAGAAAAATGCATATCAAAACCAAAACGAGATATCATCTCACACAAGTCAGAATGACTATTATTAAAAAGTCAAAAAAAAAAAAAAACATGCTGGGGAAGTTGCAGAGAAAAGGCAATGCTTATACACTGCTGGTGGTAGTATAAATTAGTTCAACCATTTAGGAAAGGAGTTTGGCAATTCCTCAAAGAACTAAAAACACAGCTACCATTAGGCCCAGCAATCCCATTACTAGGTATATACCCAAAGGAATAGAAATTGTTCTACCATGAAGACACATGCATATGTTCATTGCAGCACTAGTCACAATAGTGAATCAAACTAAATGCCCATCAATGGTAGATTGGATAAAGAAAATGTGGTACATATACACCACAGAATGCTATGAAGCCATAAAAAAGAATGAGATCATGTCCTTTGCAGGAATATGGATGGAGCTGAACGCCATTATCCTTAACAAACTAGTGCAGGAACAGAAAACCAAATACTGCATTTTCTCACTTATAAGTGGAAGCTAAATGATGAGAACACATGGACATAAAGAGGGAAACAACAGACATTGGGACCTCTTGGAAGGTAGAGGTTAGGAGGAGTGAGAGAATAAGGAAAACTAACTATTGGGTACTAGGCTTAATATCTGGGTGACAAAATAATCTGTACAACAAACAGCCATGACACGAGTTTACCTATATAACAAACCTATGCTTGTACCCACTGAACTTAAAATAAAAATTTAAAGACAAATAAGTTTATTGTAAGCTTTCTTTCAAACAGATTGTTGTCTGATGATAAGAGCTGTGCTCATTTTGTTCAGTCTTCCTCAAATGTGTGATAAAATATAATGTAGTAAAAAGCAACTGTGTGCCGTATACTTCATAGGTAATCAATTTTTTGTCATTTCTGAGTGTATGTGCGTGTGTGTGTGTATGCATGTGTGTATGTAAAATCTTACTTTACATCCATATATCCAGCCATATGAGTGATTTTTTTAGTGACTGTTGATTTTATTTTTTTCTTGACCTCATAGTCGAATTAATATCTTTGAAAACAGTTAGCCTATTTCTTATTACAGTACAGTATTCCAGCTCCAGGCATACTGTCTGTCATTCTCTATATGTGTATAGTTAGGTTGTCGAAGGGGTAGAAGGCTGTCTTCTAGGATGAAGTAATTCTGTAACTAACATGAAATATGCCTGTCAAAGTTCCATCATTACCAAGATGACCAGCAATGCCGCTCTTCCACCAACCGTCCTATTGGCCTGAAACCTGATTCTATGAAGCTGTCATCTCACTAACAATATACTATTCTTCACAATATAATGTTTCTTTCCTTAACAAATGCATTGTATTTTTCCTCTTTACGCTCTATCCTGCATTTTAAACCAATATTCAAATTAAGTATACTTGCATTTACTTCAAAATTTTATCATTCAAAATCCTCACTTTCATCCCCCATAGTCCAACTATTGATAATTTTTTTTTTCAATTTAAAGGCTAAGTCTATATAATTATGAGAATTTTTTAAGAAATTTAAGAGTTTTAAATAGGTATTTTCAAAAGCTGTTTTATAGAAGATTGCTGGAGGTACTTGTGGTGTCAATTTAGAATATCATATATTCACTGCTTTTCATAGATAACCTGTCATTGATCATGCAAGCACTCCCTCATCCTGACATTTTCTCCAAAGTCAAGCAACACTCATGGGTATATCATTTTTGGTTTCCCTTTCTGCTTCCTCTCCTATGGCACACCTGAGTGCTGGTGTGTCTTATCAGACTGGTGAGTTTGGAAAAAGAACTGAGCACCTTCACTCAGCCCCTCCTCTCCTCGTGAGACCAGCCTGCCTGCAGAGAGAGAGCACTCTCTCTGTCATGTTAGACTTAAGAGTAACAGTGCTGTTCTCATAGGAGACCCCTGTGGTTCTGCAGAACTTTCAGAAACTGTGTAGGTGAGTCTGTGAGATCCTGAAATTCAGGGATAGAAGCCTATTGTTACCACACACCCAAGGCAATCTTATAACTTAAGCTTGACACAGTGAAGACGCTGTCTGTATCTGCACCTCCTTGATCCTCTCCTATGCATTTGCTAAGGAGCTGAAGCAGGGAGGGGGGGTGTTCTTTAGGGAGCCTCTTCAAACACCACAGTGTGAGACCACATTGCACTTCAGTGATGATTGTGTCCCACTGTGGATTATAAGTGACAGCGTGGTCCAGACTACAATTCTGAAGGATTCCTGTGAACATTTATTAAATCCCCCCTTTCTCTCCTCAAATATGGGACTTTAAATTTATTTCCAGCTAATTTCATCTGATAGAATTAAATGCATTTCTTCATTTTCAAGATCTTTGTGGATCTTGAACTACTAATGTGCATGCCATTCCTCTCAGCTTAGTTTCATCTTGAAATCTGATGACAATGTCTTTGTCACGGCTATCCCTGTGAATGAAGACTAGGACAAGCCTGAGATGGTGCCTGGTGGCACTTCACTGGAAATGTTTTCCACATTCAAATTCAATCTATTCATCAATTCTCTCTTGTAGGGTCCTCCAAATTTTTAAATTTGTTTTATAATGAAGCATAATTTATGTGTTGTGAAATTCACAGATCTTAAATGAACATTTTAATGAGTCTTAACAAATGTGCACATTCTTGTAACCCACACCCCAATCAAAATATGGAACAATTCATTCACTCCAGAAATTTCTCTTATGCTCATTTACCAAACACTTCCCCATAGTGGGAGCTACCACTGATCTCATTTTTATCACCATAGATTCGTTTTGCCTATTCTTTTGTGCCTGTTTCTTTTTCTTCTCACTGAGTTTTGCAGATTCTGCTGGTCCTTCTGTGTGTGTGTCGACCCAGGCTGGTTTTTTTGTTTGGTTTTGTTTTGTTTTGTTTTTGTCTCACCTCAGTTCTGCCCCAAGTGTTTACTTTTTTATGTCAGGTGTCTTACAACAAGCTGTAGACACCCTTCATTGGCTTGATAACTTACTCAAAAATCATTTTAAATACTGAGCTGTTGTACCGACTGTTATTTTAAGATAGGGTTTCTGGAACATGGACTGCAAAATACCTGCCACCTATTGATGATTGCCCTGGGAAGCAGTTTCACTTCCTATGAATGTGTATCCACCTCTCAGGCTTATCTCTGAATGTCTCTCACTCTGCTGGCTAGGGATTTTTCCTACACTGGGATGCCAGACTTAAGAAAACACAAACCAAAACAAACAAAAGAACAAAAACTGGACCTTCATTTAAGTTTCAAGTTCTGATGAATAACAAATAATATTTAAATATGTCTTTAATATTGCAAAAAAAGTATTTGTTGCTAAAAAAGTATTTGTTGTTTATTAAAATTTCAAGTTCAAGTTGGCATTCTGTACTGCAGCGGGAAATCCTATGCCACATGTATTGTGTTCCACTAGCATTTTAACCCCTTCAACAAGAAGAGCAACTTCTCTTAGAATCACCCAAGTGAAAATAGATTTTTCCCAGCAAACCAAATCATTAGGCCATGATAGTTCCCATGTAACACCATTAAACACTATCACCTTGCTGCAGCAGCTCATGGGTTAAAACCTTTAACTTTTTCCCAACTACTATCTTTGTATGAGTTTCGTTACATGAAAGTTATACAGAAAGTGTGTAAAAATCATCACCAAAGGTTTCCAGCTCAGCTTGCTACTCAAGGAAAACTTATTGGGGCAAGTTGTGCTGAAAGTTGTATTTGCATTTCCTTCCTAGTTCCCCTGTTACTATCGCTAATGCTTTTACTGTGGCTTCCTTCCAGCCTTGCCAGCCATGCTTCTCAACATTGGCTGCACAATGGAATCACCTGGCGAATTTCACAAATCTTAATATCCAGATTCTTTCCCAGATCAATTAAAGTAGAATCTCTAGAAGTGAGACTAGGGCATATATTAAGTTCCCTAGATAATTATAATATGCAACCAATGTTGAGAAACAGTGCTCTATTCCAACCCAATACCCTGCATACTATACATTTACCGTGAACGAGGGCTAGCTCTTGCTCCAACTGCCCCTCCCAATAAGCTCTTTATAGCAATTTCTTAAGCTTTTGCTTATTTGTTCCCAATCTGCTTCTTTTATGCTTTATTGCAATCTGATTCTTGACTTTATTCTTTATTTTAATTTATTTTTTTTTAAGAGATGAGGTCTTGCTGTGTTGCCCAGGCTAGACTCGAATTCCTGGGCTCAAGCAGTCATCCTGCCTCAGTCTCCTGAGTAACTGGGACTACAGACTCATGCCACTGTCTCTGGCTTTCTTCTTCGTTTTTTAATTTGGTGTTTGAATGCGGTCTTTCCGGATTTGGATTCCCAGTGATCTCTTCAGGGCTTGGCTCAGTTTCACCTCTATAGCTCTTCCTCTCGGGATATCTTGGCTTGAATATTCTCCCCCAGTTAACCCATCAAAACCCCACTTCCAGGTCTGTAGCTAGGGTCATGCTGCAGCATAGCTAGCCAACCCATACCCTGTGCAAGGGGGAATGTTTGCGGTTCCATCCTACAGGTTGTGCAGTAATATCCATTCTGCTATGCATTGATGAAATATTCTTTCTGGCTAATTATAGGGAACATTTAAGTCATATGCATCCCTCTAAGGACTCCAGTTCTTAGAATTCGTTGTTCATGGGTGCTGAAATTAAGCCATAAGATTACAAACTAAGTCATAAATTAGGTAGTGAAAGAGAGGGTTACAACTAAAAAGATATTGTCAATTACCATATGTAATCGCTCAAGTTTTCCAAATACTTGTAAACGTTCCATGTTCATAGCTGGAGAAAGACCATATTTCATCAGTAAATAACATAGCATCCATAGGATATCGACAAGAAAAAAGAGCTCCCATTTCCCATCTTATTATCTTCCAGATAATAAGGACATATAAACATACAGATAAACAAAGGACATATATTAATTGTCACTCATGTGGCCTTAACAGTAAATCTGGGCCTTACAGATTCTCTGTAAGAATCTTTCTGTTTCTTGTAAACAGAAAATATAAGAAAACCTAGGTAATTAAACACAGCGAACAGGACAGTTGATTTAGTAGGAATATTTCTACGAGAGAATGTCTTATTGAAAGAGATAAGTTATTCCCCTTTTTTTTCTTTTTTCTTTTTTTTTTTTTTTTTGATACGGAGTCTTGCTCTGTCACCCAGGCTGGAGTGCAATGGCATGATCTCGGCTCACTGTAACCTCTGCCTCCCAGGTACAAGCGATTCTTCTGCCTCAGCGTCCCGAGTGGCTGGGACTATAGGCGCACGCCACCACTCCCAGCTAATTTTTGTATATTTAGTAGAGACGGGGTTTCACCATATTGGCCAGGCTCGTCTTGAACTCCTGACCTTGCGATCCACCTGCCTCGGCCTCCCAAAGTACTGGGATTACAGGCATGAGCCACCACACCTGGCCAAGTTATGGGTTTAAATAACTTTCAGGTGGATTACAAAAGAAAATGAGAGAAAGAGAGAACAAAAGAAAATAACTAAAATTTCAGTCTGCTTCTCTTTTTAACACTTAATTTAGATAACTCATAAAACTCCTGTCTCTCTTAAATGAATTTTATCATATATAGGATTTTAAATGCATTGACTAATGCTCACATTTCTGAGAATTATTCTTGGCATTGGAACTATTTTGATATCACCTTCAAGCCAAGAGAAACACTCACCGTCATCTGTCTTCCCAGATATCATACAGAAATCACTAATGGTGCACCATGGTTTTTGTACATAAATGCTATCTTATTTTTAAAACCTATAATGTTGCATACATTGAAATTTATTTCTCTCTAATTTAAAATTTTAAAAAGTTTATCCGTCTTTGAGAAATAATAATCCATTACCCCTGTATGTCACCCTCTCTCAAATAAACTGACATAAATTTTAAAAATCCACGGCCAGTTACTTTACACACATGTATGAAAAGAAAACAGAGTTAATACCAGCTAGAAGTATGTCCATATCCTGAAATGTCATTAGTCCAAGAAGGGAGTGATCTTTGACTATTTATTTTCACCTGTATGGCTAAGAAAATGTAATATTACATGTATGTTTAAACAGAACTTTCTCTATGGTGGAGCACATGCATATATTTTCAAGATTTAATTCAAGGTGTTGACATCATCCTTTACACCACCCCATATAGTCTGGACTTTGGTTTCCTCAGGGATCACTTCAGCAATAACTACCAAGATAACTTGGCTCAAGGCACTGACTCCAGTCTAAGTATTTATACTGAAAATTGAGGGTCCAGTATTTTAAACTAGGTTCCACCAGGGACACTCACACTTAAGACAAATTATCAGTCTCCTGATATTCTTTTCTCAAAGGGATGTGCTACTTCAAAGGAAATATAGCACTTCTCTGCTGGTTCTAATTTAGGGGAGCAGTTAATTTGCACCCTTAACTGAAGATTCATACCTTGCTACTTACTGGCCAGGTACCTTCTGGACAGAAGTACAATGTCAAGGACACATATGGAACAACAATGAACAAGCAAATAGAAGCCTATCCATCCAGCCAAGCTGACAGAATCAACTTTGGAAATAAAGAGGTATCAGGTCTTAAAGGCATAGGACTCTCATGATCATTCTTTAACCCCACAAGTGTTTCCTGGGACCAATAGGTTAGTCCCTACACTGTGAGCTGGGGACACAACTTCTCTGCCATTGTAAAGCTTACAGTTTAGTGTCATCCTATGTCAATGTTCACTAAATAATGAGTCAAAGATGGATTTTAAAAGTCTCAAATATTTATATTCTTTGTTTAAAAGAACATGGTGTCACCTACTAAGAACCTCCCTAATATCTAAGCATTAGAAAAAAATGTCAGTATCACACAAATGTAATGAAAGAATACAGGCAGTTAAATGGTCCCTGAGAAACTGACTCTCTTATAAGAAAAATGAGCACCTACTGGTACCCATAAAATTAATCACATATTCTGTATGTGCCTAGTGAAGAAGGAGAAAATTTAACTAGTGGACTTGCTCAAGCAAATTTGGTTGGATTGATAGGGAACCCTGGCTTTACACAAATCCCAAACTACCCTTTGGTTCATTCCAAATGATATTAACAAACTCTGCCACAAGAATCTTTGGCTAAATTTTGGAAATAGGCCCACCAATCACTCCAGAGGGTTAGAGTTATGGCATATTTGTGGAGAGTGAGAATTTGAACCATATTCTGAAACAGACCCTCAATTAGGTGAATTACATCCCATTCCTCTTAAAAGGTAGATTTGAACATGGGTGATTTGAGTGCATAAAAATTTCAAGATGCCTTGGAATGGTAAGAAGGAATTATGCACACCCATTAGATCTCCAAGAGGCTTCACACAAGCAAACATTTAGTACATAATTAAGATATTAATGCTGGTATTATCACCAAACCAGACACATCACTTCAAACAAAAGTTATTTTCCCTGCTCTACAAAGTAAGTATTCCTCTAAAAAGTCAAAGTTCTTTTGTGTGGGGTAACATCTCTTAGCAGAAAAGAGGTGGCATATAGGGCGAATACATTTTTCCTGGGGTAAAAGAAGTAGGTGAACCAAACAGAAAATACTGTCTAGAACAGCAGAGCCAAAAGAACATTGAAAGCAGAAGCACTCTGAGAAGCCAGGAGACAAGAATGGGAAAGATGTGATTCTGAAGACAAATTATGCAGAGTAAGGATTGTGTGTAGGGCTGGAGAAAATATCCGTTTGTATCTTTCTTTGGGAAATTAAAGTCATCCTAATACTACATAATGTGATATGCTCAGTTGAAATTGATTTTTCCTTTCTTGAAAATTGAACTCATTATACCACACTGTCTCCTTTAGTCCTTTACTCTAGAGAGCTTGGGCCATATTACAAAACAAAAAAAGTCAAGAGCTTACCAGAGAAAAGTACTGGAATGAGACTCAAAGTGGCAAGAGGTATCTCAGCCAAGCCCTGGAGTCTTTTCCTATGGGTTCCTTCCTTCTTTTGAATTTCTCACATTGGGTAATTACCTCTGTTACCACCTTGCTACTCTTGCTTCTCACTTAAAATGCCCCTTTAAGTTTTTTACCTAAAATAGAACCCAAACCTCTGATAGGAATTCAAGATAGGCTGATATTTTCAAAACTATCTCTATTAAAGAGCAAGACAATAGAAAAAGGAAAAGAAAATTGTGGCAGATTTCCTGAATACTGCTTTGAATTATAAAGTAACTGTTCTTCATTTTCAAAAAGATATTACATTTATCCTAGATATAACCTGGACAGCCTTCTGGCCCTCATCCAGCCTGCCTGTTTCCACTTGACAAGATATATCTTTTTCTCCTTCCTCAAACCACCTGCTCTCACCTCAAGCAATATTGAAATTCAGTGTTTGGCCATAGGCCACAGTGCATAAGATCACATGGTGCACGGTAAAGACTGTGCCAGTGCCCCTCTATACCACTGGTTTCTACCTGAGTAATTTACTAAAAGCCATATTTAAAGAAGCCAAACATCTGGTGTTTAGTGGGGGTGTCCTAGTCCTTCCAGTCCCCTCAGATGAAACCAGGGTATCTCTGCGTTGCCCATGCTTTGCTACTGATGAAATTAGAGACCAAGTAATTTAACATCTTTTCCCAGTTTTCCTGCTATAAAATAGGCAATTAGCACAAATTGCTTGGATCCTGTGTTAGTCTGTTTTCACACTGCTATAAAGAACTACCTGAGATTGAGTAATTTATAAAATAAAAAAAAAAGAAGTTTAATTGTCTCACAATTCCGCATGGCTGAGGGGAACTGAAGAAATAATCATGGTGGAAGGTGAAAAGGGAAGCAAGGTACCTCTTACATGGTGGCAGGAGGCGGCGGTGGGGGAAGTACCACACTTTTAAATCATCAGATCTCATGAGAACTCACTCACTATCACGAGAATACCATGAGAGAAACCGCCCCCATGATCCAGTCACCTCCCATGAAATCCCTCCCTCTGCATGTGGGGATTACAATTGCAGAAGAGATTTGGGTGGCAACCCAGAGCCAAACCAATATCAGAACCACTAAGATGATCTGAATCAATAAAAATAAACAGGTTAGCTATGTTCAATCTTTGTATTTAAATGAGAGCTAAACCTTTAATGACTTCATAATGATAATATTAGTAATTGCTCAATAATTACCTTTTGTCCAAGAAAAAAAAAGTTGATTATAGGTGCTTTTATAGCACCTAAAGTATCTGAAATCAATGCCACTGGTTTAACAATAGGAAAAAAGAACATAGTTTCACCTACTCCAACGGCAATTTACTTTGAAAAGCATTTTACAGAAACACACTATTATTATTATTTTCATTACACAGAGGCTAAAAATGGCTAGAAACAAATTTGCAATCATTAGCAAAGGGAATCCCTTTTGGCAAATGATGTCACATTTCAACACACAACAGTATATATAGTCAAATAATCATATGCCATCATGCTTCCTGTTTCATTCACTTGCCTTACAGTGAGGATATGGGAACCACTCTGTGAATTTCCTTTCATTATTTGCTTTATATGCTGTGAACTTCCCCTCTTATTGTAGTGTGTGCAGGAGAAACAATGGTGTACATGAAAGTGTTGCATATTCCTCTCTAGTCTCTTGTTCATAACCTTTACGCAAAACAATCCTTTTTCAGATTGAATTTCAAGAGTTGGTCTCAATCCAAAGGTAAATTATCTTGGAGAAGTAGAAGAAAATACAACCAGATGTATTTGATTTACATGATTTTTTTAAACATGCCTTGTTGATTTAAAAACAATCTAAAATATACAATACTATGGGACATTGATAACTTAGAAATGAGTGCATGTATTTTCATCAAACTGTGAGAACTGTAATTTAAGTAGTGTCATCTTGAATTCCTGGACTCCAGCAATCCTCCTGCCTCAGCCTCCCCTCGAGTTATCTATTGCTACCTCGGGATTGCTGAGGTCAGGACTCTGCAGTAGTGCTTATTTTTACATTTGCGAGCGAATACCAAAACCCTCAGCAAAGGCAAGAAAAAATTTCACCCAAATCTCGTGTTTTTAAACTTTAAGTAAAGCAAAAGGAATTATACAGTCCCTATGGAGCACTCTGTTCATTCGAATTCTATGCAAGGAAGTGAAAAAATAAAATTAAGAAGACGTAATAGAATTTTCTTCTCTAAGTAGTAAATATGTTAATATTGGTTAGATACATATCGATAGTAATGGTTTTCATGAATTAATTGCTAATTTTAAAAGCAAAAAAATGAAAGCACTATGAAAATTGCAAAGTTTAGTCTGTTTTCAGTCAGATAAAAGTAAGAGTACTATAGATTGAGTGACCAGACAGTGTCCAGTATTATAGTTTACACGGACCAACAGTACTACGTCCCTGCAGACAGAACGTGTTTGTAACTGTGTTAAAGGAATACATATTCCTTCATTGTATTTAGAAAAGCAAAAATTTAAACTTTCCTAGAAACTGTGTTTTTCTGCACACTCTTTTTTATTAAAGCAAAACAAAACAAAACAAAACAGGACAGTCCCTGCTGGAAAAAAAAAATGTGCAAATGGAAAATCCATATTCTGAATTCATATTTTGATATAATGAATATTTGAGATTAGTTGGTTCGTTTAACAGTTGGTAGCTAACCTATTCTTAAACTAAATATGTACTCTACCTTTGGTAAATGAAGCTGCTTACCTAGAAAAATTACAAATTTTCTATTTCCTCTCTTAGTACAGTGTTTGTGGGAAAACATAATGGAATTCATGAAAGTATATGATATCAAACTCTGCTCTTTTCACTTATTCATAACTTTTCCACAAAGAAACCCCTTTTAGATTAACCTTCTAGGCTTGGTTTCAACCAAAAACTAAATTATGCTGGAGAAACAACATTCTTTCCAAACCCAGATGCTCACTTTAGCAGGTGGCTGAAAACAAGGAAGTTCAAATCCTATTATATGTCACCAAATCAGTCTCCTGGATTTGATTTAAAACTCAGTGAATGAGAGGACAACTCTAGGGACAGTTTTCAGAAGAGAGTGAGGTCTCAGGAAACAAACAGTTCTGCTCTAAAGATGAAGTGCAGCACTGAATTGCTGAGAAGACTCATAATCTCGTTTCTGTGTAAAACCCAGAACTCCTGGGCATTAAGTGATTCTGACCAGGTGGGATAGGTTACATGGTTCTAATCCCAAACTAACAACAAGGATTTTTGTTGCTGTTTGTTTGAATTGTTTGTTGTTTGACTTTTCTCTCTCTACCTCACCATTATGGTTCACCTGGGACCACGGCTCCATCTCACCTTCACTTCAGGAACACGATTGATGAAGCAGCTTCTATCAGAGACATCTCCTATCTGGGGGCAGAGGAAAGAGATGTGGTAATTCATGACATTTAAGACTTCTGCCAAATTTGAGCATCAGCCAAAGCAAGTCAAAGAGCCAAGCCTTATATTAATGGTGCAAGAAAAAGATACTTAACCATCCCCCTGATGAGTAACCATCCCACGATGAGGTAGTATTTTTTTAATAATAATACAGTCTACCTCAGGGACATGCTGAAGTAGGCAAGGACAAGAATCTATCTAGCTATATCAGAAGGAGCAAAGAGTACCACTCTTAGACACAGACAAGTGGAACCCCGGCCCTGGTCCCTGAATTTCAGAGAGCTCTAACATGGCTTCTTTCCTGATGGGGCGAAATGTTCAGAGAGCCAGCTGAAAACAATACAGAAAATCAACAAGTCTCAGGGTTGGTTCAATAAAAAGGTTCTAAAAATAGAAACATTCTTCCAGAGTGGTCAAGAAAAAAGAGAGAAAACTCAAATAACAACATCAGCAATGCAAGTGGGGAATGACTACAAATCCTATAGTCAACAAAGGATAATATAGGGATATTATGATTAACTTTATGCCAATAAATATGACAATTTAGGTGAAAAGAACAGATATCCCAAATGACCGAAATTACCACAACTGATGAAAGAAGAGACAGAAAATCTAAATAAATGGAGAAATGCACCCTGTTCATCAGTCGAAGACTCAGCATCAATAAATGTCAACTGTCCCCAAATAGATCTATAAAATCAATGCAATTTCAATTGAAATACCAAATGGATTTTTTTATTTTTAAGAAAATAAAAGGACAAGTTTATCAAAAAAATATAAGATCTACATCACTCAAAACAAAGTCTTGGCAAAGAAAAATAAAGTTGGAAGATTTAAATCAAATTGCTTTTGAGGCTTACCATAAGGTTACAGCAGTCACATGAGTATGGTATTTTTGTGTGGTTAGAGTAATAAGCCAATGGAACAGAATAGTAAGAGAAAACAACATATATGAATACATGTTCAAATGATCTTCAATGAAGGCACCAAGGGTATTTCACAAGGAAAAAGTATTTCCCTAGAACAATTGGATGAATGTGTGTTAATAAATGGATGTGGAACTCCTTCCTAACATCAATGCAAAAAATGATTGAAATAAATAATTGGTTTAAATGTAAAAGCTGAAACTATAAATCTTGAAAAAGAAAACATAGTAAAATATATTTGTAACTTTGGGGTAGGTAATATTTTCTTGGAGAAGACCCAAAAATTGTTAAACATAACCAAAAAAAATGATGCATTAGACTTCATCAAAATAAAGAAAACACATGTGTTTGTCAGTAGAAGACATTAAGAAAATGTAAGGGTATGCCACAGAGAGGCAGAAAATATGTATAATTTAATACATATATACACATATTTGACAAAGGATTTGCAACGAAAATATATAAAGAACTCCTACAAGTCAATAACAAAAAGACAAACGATGCAATTTAAAAATCGGAAAGACTTGAAAAGGTACTTCAAGAAAAAAGATGTATTTCCAGAAAGTATATGAAAGCACTCCACATTATTGGTCATCAGATAAATTCACATAACGTCTACAATGAGATATTCTTTCTCATCTACTAGAATGAGTAAAATTAAGCAGAAAAATGTGAACACAGTAAAAGCTGTGAGAATGTGAAGCAAATGGGACTCCCATGCATTTCTCTGTGGAAATATAAAATAGTACAACGATTTCAGGAGAACGTTTGCAGTTTCTTAGAAAACTAAAGACACACCTACACTCTGATTAAGTAATCTTCTTTATATTTATCCAAAAGAAATAAAAATATGGGTACACAAAAGATATGTACAGGTAGGTTTCTATCAACTATCCTCACAATTGCAAAACCTGAAAACTAAAGCCAAGATGGATGAATCTTAAAAATTTTAGTTGGAATGAAAACGAAAGCCAGACACGAAAGAGCTCATACTGTGTGAGTCTGTTTATTTCAAGTACATAAACAGGCAAACTAAAATACGGTAGTATAAATCAGAATGATGGTTGCCTGTGAGGGAGGGTTGCATATGTCCCAGAAACGGACACAACGGAATTTCAGGGTGCATGATGCATCTTGATCCAGGTGGTGGTTACTCAAGTGTGTATTTTATCAAAATCCATTGAATTGTGTACCTTAAACCTATAGATGTTATTGTATAAATGTTTACCTCAACACACACACACACACACACACACACACGTTCTCAAGACACATGAAACATTCTCCAGGATAGAACCTATGCTAGGTCATATCAAATCTTCAATTCATCTAAAAGCATTGAAATCATACAAAGTATGTTCTCTAACCACAATGGAATAAACTTAGAAATTAACAGCAAGAAGAAATTTGAAAAATTCACAAAAATGTAGAAATTAAACATCACTCTCTTACATAAGTGTTAAGTCAGAGAAGAAATCACAGGGAAATTAGAAAATACTTCGAGGTAAATGAAAATAAAAACACAACATGCCAAATGTGTTTGATATAATTGAAGTATTGAGAGGAAGCTCTAAACCTCTAAGCATCCATAATAAGAAAGAACAAAGACATCAAATAAATAATGAAACACTGAAAGAAGAACATGCTTAACCTAAATCAGAATTTCTGCCCCTCCACTCTTATTCAATATGGTACTAGAGGTCCTAGCCTGGAAAATTAGGCAAGAAAATTAAATAAAAGCATCCACACTGAAAATGTAGAGGTAAAACAATCTTCATTTGCAGATGACATTATCTTGTATACAGATAACTTAAAAGAATTCATTAAAAATACTATTAGAATGAATATACAACTTTAGCAAAACTGCAGGATTAAATGGTCAATATGCAACAATCATTGTATTTCTATATTTTAGCAATAAACCATCTGAAAAGGAAATTAATAAAACAATTTCATTTATAGTAGCATCCAGAAAAAAAAATGCTTAGGGAAAAAGATAACAAAAGAAGTGCAGAGTTAATACTGTGAACATTACAAAATATTGTTAAAAGAAATTAAAGAAGACCCAAATGAATGCAAATTGTCTATGTTCCTGGACAGGAAGACTTAATATTATTACAGTAGCAATACTCTCCAGGTGACCTATAGATTCTACACGATCTTTATAAAAATCCCAGCTGTCATTTTCAGAGAAGTTGACAAACTGATCCTACAATTAATATGCAAATTCAAGGTCCCCAGAATAGTCAATAATACGGAATAAGACTACAGTAATTGAGACAGAGTGGCACTGGCATAAGATAGACATATCAATACATAAATGGAATAGAATTCAGAGTTCACAATAAACCCTTAAATACACTAATGGTCAATTGCTTTTTGACAAGGGTGACAAAATAATTCCATGAGAAAAGACTATTCTTTTCAACAAATTGTGTGGGACAACAGAATATTCTCATACAAAAAGAGAAAGCAAATAATGAATTTTTGACTCCTTTCTCAGAGACTACACACAAATCAATCACGAACAAAAGTATAAGAGCTAAAATCATAAAATGGTTAAAAAACAAATACGAGTAAATCATTATGTTCATTGGTTGAACGTCTTCTTAAACATGATGGCAAAGCACAAGCAGCAACAACAAAAAAGAGCTCAATTGACTTCACCAAAATTAGAACTTTTTTGATTGAAAGAATTCCATCCAGAAAGTGAAAGGATACAAAGAAATGGAGACCTTCACACATTGCTTGTTGCAATGTAAAATGATGCATCTTCTTCAGAGAACAGTCTAGCGTTGTTCAAAAATGTTGAATATAAAGTTGGAACCAGTAATATACTCTAAGTATATACATAAAAGTAGTGAAAACCTATATCCCCACAAAAACATGTACATGAATTTTCTTTTTTTTCTGATTAGTCAAATAGTGTTTATTTCTTGAAATATGTTCTTCCCATTTAGAGTAGCACTTGAGTGTGAATTTGTGTGATTTCTGTTTGTTTTCTTCTTAAATGGAAACTCCAAGAGCTTCCAACATGTTTCCCAGTCCTTCTTTTGGAAAGAGAACGTTAGAAGGTTCCAGGATGGATGGCTCAGAGATAATGCTTCCACTTACATTTTGAAGTGACGAGGATAAGGGGGTGGCAGGTAATTTTAAGATTCCAATTCTGATCATATGAACCATAATGATAGCAAATCTTGCATGGTCCTACAAATGTCTCTACAGTGAAGCCTTTGCAAAGCACATCTTGTTTATGACAGATTATTTGGTTTCCCAACCAAGCAATATTCTTTTTTCTTATTTTTCTATTTTTTTAATTATACTTTAAGTTCTAGGGTACATGTGGACAACGTGCAGGTTTGTTACATATGTATACATGTGCCATGTTGGTGTGCTGCACCCATTAACTCATGATTTACATTAAGTATATCTCCTAATGCTATCCTTCGCCCCTCCCACCACCCCACAACAGGCCCCGGTGTGTGATGTTCTCCTTCCTGTGTCCAAGTGTTCTCATTATTCAATTCCCACCTATGAGTGAAAACATGCGGTGTTTGGTTTTTTGTCCTTGTGATAGTTTGCTGAGAATGATGGTTTCCAGCTTCATCCATGTCCCTACAAAGGACATGAACTCATCATTTTTTATAGCTGCACAGTATTCCATGGTGTATATGTGTCACATTTTCTTAATCCAGTCTATCATTGATGGACATTTGGGTTGGTTCCAAGTCTTTGCTATTGTGAATAGTGCTGCAATAAACATACGTGTACATGTGTCTTTATAGCAGCATGACTTATATACCCGGTAATGGGATGGCTGGGTCAAATGGTATTTCTAGTTCTAGATCCCTGAGGAATCACCACACTGTCTTCCACAATGGTTGAACTAGTTTACAGTCCCACCAACAGTGTAAAAGTGTTCCTATTTCTCCACATCCTCTCCAGCACCTGTTGTTTCCTAACTTTTTAATGATCGCCATTCTAACTGGTGTGAGATGGTATCTCATTGTGGTTTTGATCTGCATTTATCTGATGGCCAGTGATGATGAGCATTCTTTCATGTGTCTGTTGGCTGCATAAACGTCTTCTTTTGAGAAATGTCTGTTCATATCCTTCGCCCACTTGTTGATGGGGTTGTTTGCTTTTTTCTTGTAAATTTGTTTAAGTTCTTTGTAGATTCTGGATATTAGCCCTTTGTCAGATGAGTAGATTTCAAAAATTTTCTCCCATTCTGTAGGTTGCCTGTTCACTCTGATAGTAGTTTCTTTTGCTGTGCAGAAGCTCTTTAGTTTAATTAGATCCCATTTGTCAATTTTGGCTTTTGTTGCCATTGCTTTTGGTGTTTTAGACATGAAGTCCTTGCCTATGCCTATGTCCTGAATGGTAATGCCTAGGTTTTCTTCTAGTGTTTTTATGGTTTTAGGTCTAACATGTAAGTCTTTAATCCATCTTGAATTAATTTTTGTATAAGGTGTAAGGAAGGGATCCAGTTTCAGCTTTCTACATATGGCTAGCCAGTTTTCCCAGCACCATTTGTTAAATGGGGAATCTTTTTTTTTTGTTTTTGTCAGGTTTGTCAAAGATCAGATGGTTGTAGATGTGTGGTATTATTTCTGAGGCCTCTGTTCTGTTCCATTGGTCTATATCTCTGTTTTGGTACCAGTACCATGCTGTTTTGGTTACTGTAGCCTTGTAGTATAGTTTGAAGTCAGGTAGTGTGATGCCTCCAGCTTTGTTCTTTTGGCTTAGGCTTGTCTTGGCAATGTGGACTCTTTTTTGGTTCCATATGAACTTTAAAGTAGATTTTTCCAATTCTGTGAAGAAAGTCATTGGTAGCTTGATGGGGATGGCATTGAATCTATAAAATACCTTGGACAGTATGACCATTTTAACGATATTGATTCTTCCTATCCATGAGCATGGAATGTTCTTCCATTTGTTTGTATCCTCTTTTATTTCGTTGAGCAGTGGTTTGTAGTTCTCCTTGAAGAGGTCTTTCACATCCCTTGTAAGTTGGATTCCTAGGTATTTTATTCTCTTTGAAGCAATTGTGAATGGGAGTTCACTCAGGATTTGGCTCTCTGTTCGTCTGTTATTGGTGTATAAGAATGCTTGTGATTTTTGCACATTGATTTTGTATCCTGAGACTTTGCTGAAGTTGCTTATCTGCTTAAGGAGATTTTGGACTGAGACAATGGGGTTTTCTAGATAGACAATCATGTCATCAGCAAACAGGGACAATTTGACTTCCTCTTTTCCTAATTGAATACCTTTTATTTCTTTCTCCTGCCTGATTGCCCTGGCCAGAACTTCCCACACTATGTTGAATAGGAGTGATGAGAGAAGGCATCCCTGTCTTGTGCCAGTTTTCAAAGGGAATGCTTCCAGTTTTTGCCCATTCAGTTTGATATTGGTTGTGGGTTTGTCATAAATAGCTCAATACCGAATTTATTGAGAGTTTTTAGCATGAAGGGCTGTTGAATTTTGTCAAAGGCCTTTTCTGCATCTATTGAGATAATCTTGTGGAGTTTGTCGTTGGTTCTGTTTATATGCTGGATTACGTTTATTGATTTGCATATGTTGAACCAGCCTTGCATCCCAGGGATAAAGCCCCCTTGATCATGGTGGATAAGCTTTTTGATGTGCTGCTGGATTCGGTTTGCCAGTATTTTACTGAGGATTTTTGCATCAATGTTCATCAGGGATATTGGTCTAAAATTCTCTTTTTTTGTTGTAACTCTGCCAGGCTTTGGTATCAGGATGATGCTGGCCTCATAAAATAAGTTAGGGAGGATTCCCTCTTTTTCTGTTGATTGGAATAGTTTCAGAAGGAATGGTACCAGCTCCTCCTTGTACCTCTGGTAGAATTCGGCTGTGAATCCATCTGGTACTGGACTTTTTTGATTGGTAAGCTATTAATTATTGCCTCAATTTCAGAGCCTGTTATTGTTCTATTCAGAGATTCAACTTCTTCCTGGTTTAGTCTTGGGAGGGTGTATGTATCCAGGAATTTATCCATTTCTTCTAGATTTTCTAGTTATTTGCACAGAGATGTTTATAATACTCCCTGATGGTAGTTTGTATTTCTGTGGGATCAGTGGTGATATCCCCTTTATCATTTGTTATTGCATCTATTTGATTCTTCTCTCTTTTCTTCTTTATTAGTCTTGCTAGCGGTCTATCAATTTTGTTAATCTTTTCAAAAAACCAGCTCCTGGATTCACTGATTTTTTTTAAGGGTTTTTTGTGTCTCTATCTCCTTCAGTTCTGCTCTGATCTTAATTATTTCTTGCCTTCTGCTAGCTTTTGAATGTGTTTGCTCTTGCTTCTCTAGTTCTTTTAACTATGATGTTAGGGTTTCAATTTTAGATCTTTCCTGCTTTCTCTTGTGGGCATTTAGTGGTATAAATTTCCCTCTACACACTGCTTTAAATGTGTCCTCAGAGATTCTGGTATGTTGCGTCTTTGTTCTCATTGGTTTCAAAGAACATCTTTATTTCTGCCTTCATTTCGTTATGTACCCAGTAGTCATTCAGCAGCAGGTTGTTCAGTTTCCATGTAGTTGAGCGGTTTTGAGTGAGTTTCTTAATCCTGAGTTGTAGTTTGATTGCACTGTGGTCTGAGAGACAGTTTGTTATAATTTCTGTTCTTTTACATTTGCTGAGGAGTGCTTTACTTCCAACTGTGTGGTCAGTTTTGGAATAAGTGTGATGTGGTGCTGAGAGAATGTATATTCTGTTGATTTGGGGTTGAGAGTTCTGTAGATGTCTTTTAGGTCCACTTGGTGCAGAGCTGAGTTCAATTCCTGGATATCCTTATTAACTTTCTGCCTCATTGATCTGTCTAATGTAGACAGTGAGGTGTTAAAGCCTCCCATTATTATTGTGTGGGAGTCTAAGTCTCTTTGTAGGTCTCTAAGGACTTGCTTTATGAATCTGGGTGCTTCTGTATTGGGTGCATATATATTTAGGATAGTTAGCTCTTCTTGTTGAATTGATCCCTTTACCATTATGTAATGGCCTTCTTTGTCTCTTTTGATCTTTGTTGGTTTAAAGTCTGTTTTATCAGAGAGACTAGGATTGCAGCCCCTGCCTTTTTTTGTTTTCCATTTGCTTGGTAGATCTTCCTCCATCCCTTTATTTTGAGCCTATGTGTGTCTCTGCACATGAGATGGGTTTCCTGAATACAGCACACTGATGGGTCTTGACTCTTTATCCAGTTTGCCAGTCTGTGTCTTTTAATTGGAGCATTTAGCCCATTTACATTTAAGGTTAATATTGTTATGTGTGAATTTGATCCTATCATTATGATGTTAGCTGGTTATTTTGCTCGTTAGTTGATTCAGTTTCTTCCTAGCATCGACACTCTTTACAATTTGGCATGTTTTTCCAAATTTAGTGCCTCCTTCAGGAGCTCTTGTACGGCAGGCCTTGTGGTGACAAAATCTCTCAGCATTTGCTTGTCTGTAAAGGATTTTATTTCTCCTTCACTTATGAAGCTTAGTTTGGCTGGATATGAAATTCTGGGTTGAAAATTCTTTTCTTTAAGAATGTTGAATATTGGCCCCCACTCTCTGGCTTGTAGAATTTCTGCTGAGAGATCCGCTGTTAGTCTGATGGGTTTCCCTTTGAGGGTAACCCGACCTTTCTCTCTGGCTGCCCTTAACATTTTTTCCTTCATTTCAACTTTGGTGAATCTGACAATTATGTGCCTTGGAGTTGCTCTTCTCAAGGAGTATCTTTGTGGCATTCTCTGTATTTCCTGAATTTGAATGTTGGCCTGCCTTGCTAGGTTGGGGAAGTTCTCCTGGATAAAATCCCGCAGAGTGGTTTCAAACTTGGTTCCATTCTCCCCGTCACTTTCAGGTACACCAATCAGATGTAGATTTGGTCTTTTCACATAGTCCCATATTTCTTGGAGGCTTTGTTCATTTCTTTTTATTCTTTTCTCTCTAAACTTTTCTTCTTGCTTCATTTCATTCATTTGATCTTCCATCACTGATACCCTTTCTTCCAGTTCATCAAATCGGCTACTGAAGCTTATGCATTCGTCACGTAGTTCTCATGCCATGGTTTTCAGCTCCATCAGGTCATTTAAGGACTTCTCTGCATTGGTTATTCTAGTTAGCCATTCATCTAATCTTTTTTCAAGGTTTTTCACTTCTTTGCAATGGGTTCGAACTTCCTCCTTTAGCTTGGAGAAGTTTGGTCGTCTGAAGCCTTCTTCTCTCAACTCATCAAAGTCATTCTCTGTCCAGCTTTGTTCCGTTGCTAGTGAGGAGCTGCGTTCCTTTGGAGGAGAAGAGGCGCTCTGATTTTTAGAATTTTCAGTTTTTCTGCTCTGTTTTCTCCCCATCTTTGTGGTTTTATCTATCTTTGGTCTTTGATGATGGTGACATACAGATGGGGTTTTGGTGTGGATTTCCTTTCTGTTAGTTTTCCTTCTAACAGTCAGGATCCTCAGCTGCAGATCTGTTGGAGTTTGCCGGAGGTCCACTCCAGACCCTGTTTGCCTGGGTATCAGCAGCGGAGGCTGCAGAACAGTGAATATTGCTGAACAGCAAATGTTGCTGCCTGATTGTTCCTCTGGAAGTTTCGTCTCAGAGGGGTACCCAGCTGTGTGAGGTGTCAGTCTGCCCCTGCTGGGGGGTGCCTCCCAGTTAGGCTACTCAGGGGTCAGGGACCCACTTGAGGAGGCAGTCTGTGTGTTCTCAGATCTCAAACTCCATGCTGGGAGAACCACTATTCTCTTCAAAGCTGTCAGACAGGGACATTTAAGTCTGCAGAGGTTTCTGTTGCCTTTTGTTTGGCTATGCCCTGCCCCCAGAGGTGGAATCTACAGAGGCAGGTAGGCCTCCTTGAGCTGTGGTGGGCTCCACCCAGTTCGAGCTGCTGGGCAGCTTTGTTTACCTACTCAAGCCTCAGCAATGGCGGGCACCCCTCCTCAGCCTTGCTGCTGCCTTGCAGTTTGATCACAGACTGCTGTGCTAGCAATGAGTGAGGCTCTGTGGGCATGGGACCCTCTGAGCCAGGCATGGAATATAATCTCCTGGTGTGCAGTTTGCTAAGACCATTGGAAAAGCACAGTATTAGGGTGGGAGTGACCCGATTTTCCAGGTGCCGTCTGTCACAACTTTGCTTGGCTAGTAAAGGGAATTCCCTGATCCTTTGCACTTCCCAGGTGAAGTGATGCCTCACCCTGCTTCAGCTGACGCTCGGTGTGCTGCACCCACTGTACTGCACCCACTGTCTGACACTCTCCAGTGAGATGAACCTGGTACCTCAGTTGGAAATGCAGAAATCACCCAGCTTCTGCGTTGCTCTTGCTGGGAGCTGTAGACTGGAGCTCTTCCTATTTGGCCATCTCGGAACCGCCATGAATTTTCAAAGAAGCATTATTCACTATAGTGAAAAAAATGTGTGGGAAAAAGGACAAATGTCTAGCAACTGATGAAAGCATAATTAAAATGTTGCATCGCCAGATGATGAATATTATTCATCAATAAAGAGAAATGAAGTACAAATACATACTATGACATGGATGAACCTTGAAAACATTATGCTAAGTGAGAGAAACCGGCCACAAAAATGCCACAATGGTATTCATTTACATGAAATGTCCATAAGACAATCTTATAGAGAAAGAAATTAGATCTCACCTTAGGCCTCTGGGGGAGGAGGGAAACAAAGAATAATTGGTAATGTGTTTAGGTTTTATTTTGAGGAGATAAAATATTCTAAGATTGATTGTGGTGATGGTTGTATACCATTAGTGATTACACTAAAAACATTACATTGCACACATAAAATTGGTGAATTGCATGGAATGTGAATTTTATCTCAATAAGGGTGTTACTCTGTCTGTGTGTGTAAGGTGTCTTACACAGAGAGAAAGAGAGAGAGAGAGAGCAAGAGGAAAATTACTCTTCCAAACTCAGTTTGGTAGAAGTTTCTCAATTGAGAATAAAAATTCTTTTATGTAGAAGCCTCATCTAGATGTGAGTTATTCATTGTATCACCATCGTACCAATAAACCAGTGAGAAAAAAATGATAGAGTGAAAAACAGCATCATGGAGAGACTTGGTTTGCAGTCACGTTGAGCTATTAGGCTTTACTTTAGGCAGGTCATTTACCATCACTGCACTTCAGTTGTCTCACCTGTAATACAGGGTGTTTCAACCAGAAAACTTCTGAGATTCCCTCTAAAACCCAAATTCTAGCATTTAAATTGAATGATTGAATTTACACTTTCATGATCAGAATACTATTTTCCTGTTCAGTATGTCTTATAGAATTTTTCCCATTTAATGCTAAACAATGTGAGCCCTTTGTCCATATTTTTTTAGATGTTACCTTATTTCTAAGTCAGGACAAATAACAATCTATGATTTGAATACTCATTGCTATTATTTACTACCTGCCAATTGTCTTGGGGTAAAACATGGTGGAAATAAATAGCACAGAGATCTTCATTTTAGAGGTACAGTGTGGCTCTCAAATAGTGTTAAGTTTGGACTTGGCCTACTGTTAAGAAATTAGTCCCAATGTTCATGACATTTGCACAGATTTTAGAGAGTCTGAATATCGGTTGGCCAGTAACAGATATTTGTTATTCACACTGCTCTTGACACATAATTTATTTCTAAACATAAAATAGCAACTTCCAGCCATGCAGAAGAAAGTGGTTCCTATATATTACTAAGAAATTGAATACTGTGACAATGGAGTGGGGAATGGACTTTAGATGGAGAATACTTTAAATTGTGCGTAGTTGTCCATAATATTGAGACTGAGGGATGGATGAAGGCAAACTGTTTAAAGTCTTCTCACCATAGCAAAGGTCAGTGCCTCCATAAAGTGGGAGAAGACGTACTTTAGACATTTTATTCCTAATAGTTGAGTCCATTATTATGTAAGCTATTAATGCTGATGGTGGAAAATCTGGAAATTGAATATCTGGAATTGAGTTTCATGCATAATCACGAAAACTTCCTTCAGGCATTCTCATGTATCGGATTTTTCAAAAAGTTCCATTAGAATTATATCCATTCTGTTTATGTTTTTTGAATTTTGTAACTATTAAATAACAACTAGAATAGCTCACATTTTGCTTTAAGATTCTCTCTTTGCCCAAATACAAAGAGTCATTTTGTCTGCAAAGCACGCATTACTCCTGAAGCAGAGTTTCTTTCTGAACTGTCTGATTCTGTGACTTGCAAGGTAGAGGTCAGGCTGTGAGGAACCCTTAGAGAGGGAAATACTCTGTAGTCTATAGAGAGTCACAGTAAAGGCGTCCTGAGTAGAGAATGGTGCATCCTTAGGGAGCTAGGGGCATTTGAAGACATCTTGCTGTCAGACCCTTCTCCCTCATCTCCTACTCTGAATAATTATACACAAATAAAACCAAGCCACAATAAACACTCACTGAAGGCTTAAGTGGACAAAATGTTATAAAGGAAACCTGACTATCAAGATTAAAAAAAAAGAGAGAGAGAGAGAAATCCACACTTTTCTTTGAATGATGTTTACATGCTGACTGTTTATACAAGGGCTACAGTGGTTAATTCTCATTCGATGACACCCAGACCTATCCCAGTAATACTGGGGCTTTGTTGGGGAGAAGAATGTCCCTAACTATGGGACTCCAAGCATTTCAGCCCACCATAACTTTGAGAAAGTTTTAGTGATGTCCTTTAATTTCCATTTCTAAAAAAGTACAGAAATGGGTGATAATTACTTGTGACCCATGGGCCACATTTCTATAAATTACTTGAAAATTTGCTAAAGATCGTAACAGTTGTTGGAAATAGGTGTTGGGTTTATTATACCACCCTCTCTTTACTTTTATGTCAACATGCAATTTTTTATAATAAAAATCAAAAAAAATTGTCAAGATAGCTACAATTCATGTCTTCATTCATTACAGAGTATTAAACATGAGCTTGGGAGTTGAAAAAGCTTAGTCTCAGTTGGGTGCGGTGGCCCACGCCAGTAATCCCAGCACTTTGGGAGGCCGAAGTGGGCAGATCACCTGAGGTCGGGAGTTCAAGACCAGCCTGACCAACATGGAGAAAACCTTGTCTCTACTAAAAACACAAAAATATTAGCTGGGCATGGTGGTGCATGCCTGTAATCCCAGCTACTCGGGAGGCTGAGGCAGGAGAATCTCTTGAATCCGGGAGGCGGAGGCTGCAGTGAGCTGAGATTGCGCCATTGCACTCCAGCCTGGGCAACAAGAGAGAATTTCCATCTCAAAAAAAAAAAAAAAAAAAAAACAACTTAGGCTTGCCTGCAAGAAAGTTAAAAACCAATGTCACATTATGAAGACGTCTCCAGGATTGCAACCCCACTGTGGGCATATACCCAAAAGAAAGGCAATCAGTCTATGGAAGAGATATGTGCACTCCCGTGTTTGCTGCAGCCCCGTTCACAGTAGCCATAGACTTTTAGTGTTGGAAGACAGTTTAGAATCATTTATCTTAAACTGTCTATGAGTGTAGAAATGAGTGACTTCTACACAATTACTTTCTAAATGCCCTATAGAGGCTGGGCACAGTGGCTCACGCCTATAATCCCAGCAGTTTGGGAGGTCGACGTGGGAAGATCCTTTGGGCCTAGGAGTTCAACATCAGCCTGGACAACATAGTGAGACCCTGTCTTTACCAAAAATACAGAAAAGAAAATATTAGGCAGGCATGGTAGCATATGCCTATAGTCCAGCTACTTAGGAGGCTGAGGGAGGAGGATTGAGTGAGCCTGGAAGTTCCAGACTACAGTGAGCTATGATTGTGCCACTGTACTCCAGCCTAGGTGACAGAGCAAGATCCTGTCTTCAAAGAAATAATTACTTAATTAATTGCATTTAATAAAAATAAAAAATAAATAAATACCATGTACATCACAGTGTCTCATCTGTGGCACTGCTGATATCTCGGGCTGGATTATTCTCTGTTGAGGCTGTCCTGCACATTGTAGAATGATGACCAACATTTGAGCTGAGACTTCATTCTTTTCCTACCTTCAGACTTGAAATAAAACATCAGCTCTTCCTAGGCCTCAAGGCTGGCAGTATTCAGACTGAAACTACACCGCAGGCTCTCCTGGGGCTACAGCTTGCCAACACACCATACAAGCTGTAGGACTTCTCAGCCTCTATAACTGCATGAACCAATTCCTTATAATAAATCTTCTCTCAATAGATGGATGGATGGATACAGACATAGATGTTGATATGAGTATAGACATATAGATACATATCTCCTATTGGTTCTGTTTATCTGGAGAACCCTGATTGGTAGGACTCCATAACACCATGAAAGATACACTGTTATATATCCATTCTACAGATCAAACAATTGAATCATAAAGGAGGTCTAGTAACAAGTTTAAGGATATACTGTTTGAAAGAGGCTGAGCCAAGATTTAAATCCAGGTCTGTCTGACTCTATCTTAATCCTTACATAACTCTTTTTTTTTCCCTAAAACACAATGGCTATTTCTGTTAAAAGTATCATGATTTTTCCCTGTAAATGGGCTCTAGTCCTCAGAAAGAACTTTATCTTCCTCTGCCTTTCTAACACTAATGCATCTTCCAAATCTACTCCTGTCTCTCTCTTTATTTATATTCCAGCTGCTACAACCCTAATTGAATCTCTGAATACATCACGGTTGCAAAAAGCATGAAAACTGAATTGCATGCCTTCCTCCTTTTCATTCTTCCACTGTGGTTTATTAGTGCTCCTAAGAAGCACATTGATTGCATCATTCCACAGCTCAAATGCCCTAAGTGGATTCCCACTGCCTTGCCCAAGGGTGTAGCAGGACTGATATTCTTCTAATTTGCCCCCACGCTGAGGGGGCAGGGCCCATGCTGCACTAGTGGTTAAATATTTTCTGTATCACCAGAGTACATCAACATACATCTTGGGAGTTTTCTGAATCTAAACATACACTCCATTTGAAATTCTTAAGTGACAACTGGGCACCTGTCTTCCGAAAAAGATTCCCTGATGTGTTTTCTCTATTGTTATTTATCCATTTAGAGGGTTAATTTCAAGATGACTATAATATCATCATCTCAGTTCTGTTCTATTTTTCCAACCTTTTGACCCATTGATATGCTGTAGAAATTCCCTACTCCAGATAAGCTTTTGCTCCAGCCTCTGAGCACACCCTTTGATTTCCCACTCTCTGTACGTTTCTGTGTGAGATCACATAACTGGAGGGGCCTCTGAGTCCTTTGCTATTTATCAAAATCCAACTCGTTCTCATGTCTGCTCAAAGCCTACTTCGCCAGTGAATCTTCTAGACCATCGGGGCCAAACATTATCCTTTCTACTACTTGACTCTAGTTATTTCATTGCTCACTAGGTGGTTGGTCTGCAGGATAGAATATGACATGAGTGTAAACAAGGTTAAAAGGCCGATAAATGCCACCCTAGGAAGAGATCATTGCACGATTCAAGGTGAGAACAGACAACACAATACATTTCGAGTTGTATGGTGTTTACTTACACCAGGAGAAGGGTATGTGTGTGTTAAGATCCAGCTCCTTGGCCTTGGTCCTCCGTGGCCAGTGGATTCACCGTGGAGCTAACCATGCATTTCACTTACTGCTGCCATGGAAGGATTCCCATCTTTTCCCCTGGGGTCTGAAATACAGCAAGCTAGAATCATCCCAGGGGGCCATCAAGGCATGCATTTAGGCAAAAGAAAGGGATACATATTGAGCCCAGAATAGAGAAAGATATTCCCAGACAAGATGATGAGCCCAGACTGGAGAGCTTTATGACTCTTGATAAGAAAATGTTCCAGGCCCAAGTCTCTCTCATGTGACCAAACAGATATTGCAAGACTGTAGGCATGAAGTTGACTTTCCTGATAGTAATAATAGTACTGCTCTTATAGTTTTAACTATGCATGTACATACTATATTGTTTTTGTTTGTTTGTTTGTTTTTTTGAGGCAGAGTCTCACTCTGGCACCCAGGCTGGAGTGCAATGGCCTGACCTTGGCTCACTGCAACCTCCGCCTCCCAGGTTCAAGCGATTCTCCTGCCTCGGCCTCCTGAGTAGCTGGGATTACAGGCACCCACGACCACGCCCAGCTAATTTTCATATTTTTAGTAGAGACGGTGTTTCACCATGTTGGTCAGGCTGGCCTTGAACTCCTGACCTCAGGTGATCCACCTGCCTCGGCCTCCCAAAATGCTGGGATTTTCATATACATATGTCTTTTCACCTCAACTATACTGTACACCACCTGGGTAACATAACACCAACTTAGTTACTTCTATGTTTCTGAAAGGATATTATATTTGGAGATATTCAGTAAACATTTATCAATAAAAAATGCTGAAGACGGAGGTCCAAGTTAAGGAAATTAGTATCGGGTGTAAGTATGCTGAAAAGCCGAAAGACAACAGGAAGGCAGGCCTTACACTTGAGACCCTCCACTCCATGTCAGCACTTATTTTCACAACCTTCCCCACCACATGCATTTCCAACGCCTCCTCCTCTGCCAAGTGCAGAGATTCTAGAATCCTTTCTGCACCTGGAAGCTACAAAAACATTTTACGTCCTTTCTTAATTGAAAAATAAATGACACAAATTGCCCTTTGCAATTGCATAATATACTTAACAAAAATCATACAGATCACTTCATCTATTGCCTTAGCTCATTTTGTTTTTTTGTGAAAAACATCTAATAAAGTAATTTGAAAATTTATGACTGTATAAAAATGTTTAATACCACTTTGTGCCAGATTTGTTACGCCAAGTTGAGATTTCAAAGTTAATGACAGGCTTTAATTAGAACAATTTCGGGTTTGCATAGTTTAAATTAAAGTAACGTTGAAGAAATTCAAGAGCTACATTATTTTGCTATTTAATGTAGAAAATATTTCCCTGAAATTACTTTCTGTCTAACTCAGACATTTATATAAACTGCCCTTATAAAACTTGGAAATATTGTTTTCTCATAACCCGGTTTCCAAGTTGCAAATCTTCATTATCAATAGCTTTTTTGTTTTTTTGAGGCTGAGTCTCGCTCAGCCGCCCGGGCTGGAGTGCAGTGGCGCCATCTGGGCTCACTGCAAGCTCCGCCTCCCGGGTTCACGCCATTCTCCTGCCTCAGCCTCCCGAGTAGCTGGGACTACAGGCGCCCGCCACTACGCCTGGCTAATTTTTTTGTATTTTTAGTAGAGACGGGGTTTCAATGTGTTAGTCAGGATCGTCTCGATCTCCTGACCTTGTGATCCGCCCCTTTCGGCCTCCCAAAGTGCTGGGATTACAGGCTTGAGCCACCGCACTCGGCCCATTATCAATAGTTTTTTAAAAGTTTAGGCATCTTTTTTCTGTGTGTGTGTGTTTTTTTAATTAATATCTCCCCAGAGGAACATAGCACTACTGAGGGCTATCACAACCTATTGCAATCTTTGGTAACAGCATTAAGCGTTCTTGGTCTCACAGCCACGTGAACCTTCTTTGAAATGACCTACCCCTCAAAAAACTAAAGCTAGAACTACCATATGATCTAGCAATCCCACTGTTAGGTGTCTATCCAAAGGAAAGAAAACCTGTATATTGAAGAGATGCTGCACTTCTGTGTTTATTGCGACACTACTCACAATAACGAATAGTGTTGCAATAAACCAAGCCAAGAGATGGGATGATCCTAAGTGTCCATCAGCAGATAAACGGATAAAGAAAATGTATGATATGTGCAAAATTGGATATTATTCAGCCATAAAAAATGAAATCCTTTCATTTGCAGCCATACGAATGGAACTAGAGGACAAATTGAATATGGATGAAATAATCCAGGCACAGAAAGACAAATATTGCATGCTCTCGTGCATATGTGGGAGATTAAAAAGTGAATCTCATGGAGGTAGAGACTAGAATGTGGTTACCAGAGGCTGAAAAGGGACAGGGGAAAAGCGGATGAAGAGAAGTTGGTTAAGGGTTGTAAAACTACAGCTGGATAGAAAGAGCAAGTTCTAATATCTGGTAGTATGAAAGGGAAATTATTATTAACAACAATTTATTGCCTATTTCAAAATGGCTAGAAGAAAAGAATAGTAATGTTCCCAACACAAAGGAAATATAAACCTTTGAGGTGATGGAAATCCCAATTATTCTGACTGACTTGACAGTTACACATTGTATACCTGTGTCAAAATATCACATGTACCCCAAAAATATATACAACCATGATGTGGCAGTTTAAAAAATGCGAAGGTTGATTAGATCCCATTTGTCAATTTTTGCTTTTTTGCGATTGCTTTTGGCCTTTTTGTCATAAAATCTTTGCCCGTGCCTATGTCCAAAGTGGTACTGCCTAGGTTTTCTTCTACAGTTTTTATAATCTGGTGTTTTACATTTAAGTCTTTAATCCATCGTGAGTTGATTTTTGTATATGGTACAAGGAAAAAGCCCAGTTTCAGTTTCTTGTATATGGCTAGCTAGTTATCACAGCACCATTTATTAAATAAGGAATCCTTTCCTCATTACTTGTTTTTGTCAGGTTTGTTGAAGATCAGATAGTTGTAGGTGTGTGGTCTTATTTCTGGGTTCTCTATTTGTTCCATTGTTCTATTTGTCTGTTCTTATACCAGTGCCATGCTGTTTTGGTTACTGTATCCCTATAGTACAATTTGAAGTCAGGTAGCGTGATGCCTCTAGCTTTGTTCTTTTTGCCTAGGATTGCCTTGGATATTCGGGCTCTTTTTTGGTTTCATACGAATTTTAAAATGGCTTTTTCTAGTTTTATGAATAATGTCAATGGTAGTTTAATGAGAATAGCACTCTCCACAGCAAAAAAAAACTTGTCAACAGAGGAAACAGACAACCTACAAAATGGGAAAAAAATCTTTGCAAACTATGCGTCTGACAAAGGTCTAATATCCAGCATCTATTATGAACTTAAACAAATTTAAAAGAAAACAAAAACAAAACCAAAAAGATTAAGAAGTGGGCAAAGGACATGAACAGACACTTCTCAAAAGAAGACATACATGTGGCCAACAATCATATCAAAAAAGCTCAACATCACTGATCATTAGAGAGATGCAAATCAAAACCACAATGAGATACCATTTTACACCAGTCAGAATGGCTGTTATTAAAATGTCAAAAAATAACAGATGCTGGTAAGGTTGTGGAGAAAAAAAAAACACTTATACACTGTTGGTGGGAGTGTAAATTCGTTCAACCATTGTGGAAGACAGTGTGGCAATTCCTCAAAGATCTAAAAACAGAAATACCGTTCAATGCAGCAATCTCATTACTGCATATACATTCAAAGAAATATATATCATTCTAGTATGAAGACCCATGCACATGCATGCTCACCGCAGCACTATTCACAATAGCAAAGACATGGAATCAACCTAAATGCCTATCAATGACAGACTGGATAAAGAAAATGTAGTACATATACACCATGACACACTATGCAGACATAAAAAAGAACGAGGTCAGGTTCTTTGCAGGGACATTGATGGAGCTGGAGGCCATTATCCTTAGCAAACGAATGCAGACACAGAAAATAAAATACCACAGGTTCTCACTTGTAAGTGGGAGCTAAATGATGAGAATACATGGGCGCATGGTGGGGAACAACACACACTGGGGCCTATTGGAGGGCGAAGGGTGGGAGGAGGGAGAGGATCAGGAAAAATAACTAACGGGCACTAGGCTTAATATCTGGGTGATGAAATAATCTGTACAATAAATCCCCATTACACACATTTACCTGTGTAACAAAACTGCACATCCTGCACATGTACTTCTGAACTTAAAATAAAAGTAAAAAAAAAATACAAAGAATAAATAAATGGACAAAAAAGAGTTTAGGGCCTAGATATTTAGCAGTTTTATACTAAGGGACTGTTTTCTAATTGATCCCCAGCCCTCCAGGGGTTGAGGCGTTATTTATCCGTTCTGGCTTATTTGATCCCCAGCCCTCCAGGGGTTGAGGCATTATTTAACCGTTCTGGCTTATTTTAGTTCTCCTTTCTTCTGAAGTGTGCTTGGCATCTCTCAAATGGTGCCAAGCCTCAGTGCGTCTTGGGCTGAAGCAAAAACGTTGTCCCCTTGCATGCTCACACCACCTCCCTTCTCATATATGAAACTGCTTGGGTTGAAATAATTAAATTTTATCTTTAATTCCCAATTTGTGCCTCTAGTAACCAGCAATCAGAAATTACAAGATAATATACCCAGCTCACCTTTGAAAAGTTCCATTGAGGAAAGAACTACCAAGGGTGATTTCCCATCCTGTTCATGCAAAAGAGACAATTGCTAGAACACCATGCAGTTACGTACCTCCTAAAACTAACTATTGCCAAGAAGAAAACAAATGACTGAATTAAGCCTGGTTTTTTCTTAATGCCAAAAGTCATTTTATTTACCTATTCTCCTTAGAAATGGAGTCCCCAACTACCCATTCAAAAGAAATCAGATATAAAATAAACAGACATCAGACGATATGATATCCTTACTTGTGCCATGTTTTCCAAGACCGGTGCATATTTTTAGATATCTTTTATTTGCCCAGCCATCTGCATGACATGGGTATTTATTAGTATGACTAGCTGGTGCTCAATGTCAAGCAAAAATATTTTAGTTTGAGCGATGCTTTTCTTTTCCCCCCTCCACTGCGGGGACTGGACAGTGACGCAAGGCATTTATGTAAAAAAGATTCTCCCTCCTTTCATATTTATAGTAGCAAATAAATTGAAAAAATAAAAAACTAAATTTGATGCACAGTAAAATGAGCAGTAAAATATGATTTTACATTTTAAATATTTGGGAGAGTTAATTTGTTAGCTAAATAATTCAAAGGAAAGAGATGATTCAACTGGTCATAATCACCCCGATAGATATTATTACTAATCTTAATTGTTTATTACATGTCTTTCTTAATGGATCTAATGTTTCAATTTTTTCCCTACTGGTAGAGAATAATAACAGAAGTAATTTTTATATTATACCCTTGGAGAAATAAAGTTGAAACAGAATTAGAAATATTTCTCAAACAACTACATTACAATATAAATTATACTAATTCATTTTGTGTAGACATTTTAAATCATGAAAATAAGCCTGGTTTTTAAAAGCTATTTTAAAAAGAACATTTTGACAATATACTTTTAATTTCTTGAAAGTGCACAGGTTGAAAGAAAATGCTTGACTTTTCCCTTAATCTCTTCCTTAGGATTGGTTGCCCTTGAGGCAACATAGTCCACCTAGTTGCAAGTTACTGTGCAGAGTTTAGGGTCTTTTATTTCTTATTTAACTGCTTCACTGCACTGCCTAGAGCTTGGTGCCCAGGAAATTTTGGCAAATCCTTCAAAAATGTCCCTGTAAAATAAGTAAGCATTCATTGGAACAGACTTCCTGTGGCAAGCACCATTTTTTCTTCGCTTATCTAGCAACAAACATAGTCACAAATGTTTACCATTGAAAACAATGTCATAAGCCCATTATCCCTCATATAAGAACTAGGAAATGTATGGAGTAATAGAAATAATAATCATTACATGTATCTTCTTCTTCAAGGTAGAAGAATGGAGTTAACTCCATGTCTTCAGAAAAAGTCTATTGACTTAGAGTTGTGAATAAAATTAACACGATTTATTTTAAATTTTAATCACCTAAGGGTCATATAAAAGCCCCTTCAATTTCTAGTAAGTCACACTGGGCAAAGAAAATTGTAGAAATATAATACCACTCTCAGACAGTATCAAACGATAATGAAGTAAGAACTGATCCCGGGGGGTAAAACAAAACAAAACAAAATTAACAATAAATGAAACAGCAACTGTGAAATCCAGCATCTTCTGACCACTTTGTTTAGGAGCAAAAATCTTTTTCAGTTCATACTAGCATATAATATTTTGATAAAATACTTGATATTTGCCAACTAACCTTTTTTATTAAAAAAAAAAAGGTCACAGTATCAAGTCAGTGAAATAACATTTAAGATGACCATCAGTGTTCTTACACAGGTCTGGACATTACAGGTGAAATCACTTAGCCATAGCATCTTCCAATTGAGAAAATTACATTTTTGATGACACTGAAGTCTCATTTAAAACATTATTCAGTACATTCTGCTATTATTTTCTCACAGTCATGAACTATTACCACAATCTTAGTAGAGATAGTGGCAACAGAAACATTTGAAATCTCCATATTTTACCAAAAATTAAGATCAGAAATAGAAACATGCATATAATGCTATTATTTGCCACTGTTCAAAGCACCTTACTTATGTTATCTCAATAAATCTTCACAATAACCATCAGTCTATCATTTGTCCTATTTTAAGAGCAGGAAATAAGTACAGAGCAATTAAGTAATTTGCCGAAAGTCACGGAGCTGCCTTCCCATCTAAACAGTGTTTCACAATATCTGAGAATCCTCTTGTCTTCAAAGGAAATTTATTACCAAGTTTTTTGCTTTAAACCTTCTGTGTATTTAAATTTAAATGTTTATAATGTGGGGTTTAGTTGGCTATTGCCTGAGTGTGAGGTTAAATATGTGTTTCTGTTTCCTCTGAAGAGAGACATTATTCTAGTCTTGTAATTGTTTGTTTGTTGTATATTTCAAGGGAGAGTGGTAAAAAAAGAAGAGCTACAGAAAATATCAGTAAATTAGGACACATTAAACAATTTTTGCAAGCTATTATTGAGCACCTACTGTGTACTGTGCTTGAATTCCTCCTATCATATCCCCACCTGGTGGTGACCTAGCCGCTGGAAACCTACATTCAGTTTTCAATCCAATAAAATGCCTATATCTATTTTATTTCTAAAAGAGTCCTAATTTACCAAAATTACAACTGTCTCTTACTTGAATGATATTGGGTATTTGGATTTACAAGAAGTGCCAATATGCATTCTTCCAACCTCCAAAGATTAATACATGCTTAGAACTGATCAACATCTTGCTAAATTTTTCTTTAATAACATGCCATTCATGTCCAATAGGTTTACTTGTCATTGGACAAACAGAATATTTGTTCAGGGAGTAGGCACATTCATTATTTGCCGTAACCTGTATCCTAATTTGTTACTTCAGCCAATGATGAGATGAGCGTCCCTTCATTAGCAAGAATGGAATATTTTAGAACTCAGCTTCATCATGGCTCTCTCCTGTTGTCTAAATATACTTCTATAAAATAAATTTATGCTCTCTGGAAGAACTGGATAGACAGAGGATTGCGATGTCTAGTCAGAACAGCGCACACACACACTTGTGCATGCACACACACACACACAGTTACCACAGTTGTAAAGTTGGAGGGTTTAAAATTGGTTTTAAAATATGTGGCTTTTTAGATAAGGATCGTTTATGTAGTGATGAAATTGTATCATTCCTTCAAAACAAGACCTGCCTAAAAAAAAAAAACAAAGAAAAAAATTACCCACTAAAAAAGCAGGCCGGGCACAGTGGCTCACTCTTGTAAACCCAGCACTTTGGAAGGCCAGGCGGGCAGATTGCTTGAGCTTAGGAGTTCAAGACCAGCCAGGGCAACATAGCAAAACCCCATCTTTATAGAAGATACAACAATTAGCCAAGCATGATGGTGTGCACCTGAAGTGAACAAGACACAGTCTGTGCTATCACAGTTCTAAGACTATAGAATCTCAGGGCTGGAAAGTACAGCTACTGGGAAGTCTGAGGCAGTAGGGTCACTTGAGCCTGGGAGGCAGAGGTTACAGTGAGCCGAGATCGTGCCATTGCACTCTAGCCTGGGCAACTGAGCCATACCCTGTCTCAAAAAAAAAAAAAGGGCAATTTACACAAAATAATGGAAATCTTGGGGATAATAGAACTGCTTGACAGAAGTTTTCTTTGCTGCAGAGTCTGCCAGAGTAGTTTTTAACTTTGCATGAAGAGTGTCTATAACATGAGTTCTATCTGTGCAGTTACAGAATCACTAATTTATGGACTAAAGGTTA
The DNA here is from genome assembly GCF_000001405.40 of Homo sapiens. Classification (NCBI taxonomy): domain Eukaryota; kingdom Metazoa; phylum Chordata; class Mammalia; order Primates; family Hominidae; genus Homo; species Homo sapiens. The sequence goes on from NC_000013.11 coordinate 105,904,120, forward strand.
CTTCCAGTGATACTCGTAGAATAAAATGTTAGGTCACTTTGACAAATAGGCTTATGATACCACATCTTTAAATAACTGTCAACAAAGAGAAGGCCATTGCTGTTAGGCAAGCCCAGCTGGGCACGGTGTGAAACGCAATGGCCAGTGGGTAATTACCCGGTAGATCTCAGCAGTGTGACTAGGCAGTAAGGCAATTTAAACCCTGGTCGTCTGCACTTTCCTCAACCTACTGGCTAACTGAAGAGGATTTAATATAGGCAAAAAGAGATAAAACAGCGTTTCTAAATTTTATGAGGGAATGGGATGGGCAACATAGATATACTGTTTTTTCTTCTAGATCTGAATAAATACAGGATAAACACCCAGCCTGTATCCGAGAGCAACATTCTGCCTCCAGGAGAAACAAGAGTAAATATGGGTGTGGATAACAAGATTTTTCAGGAAAATCTTGCTCAGACCAGTCTGTTCACTAGCTGTGAGGTGAAGTTGCTGGTTATCTTTTGGATGTGTTTGATTAATCTTACGTAAGTAATGCATTGGCATCAAGAGAAAAAAAGGATTATATTACTGATTTACAAGATCTGCCTTCCCAAAATTATGAGTCCTTCTTGGTTCCGTAGGCTGATTCTCAGTCTTCTATGTTTATACAGGAAGAAATGAGAACTGGCAATGAGGAGGTGGGAGATTGGATATGAAGATGTCAGGTAAGGAGGGAGATGGGACACAAGTGAACGAAGATACAAACTTCTACAAAATCTGTCAACATCATTGTTTAAGCTCTCATCGTTTATAATGCATCTATTGATTTATACAGCATATATGTTTAGTGCCATCTATAGCTAGGGGACAGATGTGAATAAGATACAGGCTGTGCTATCGTAGTTCCAAGACTACAGAATCTCAGGGCTGGAAGGCACATTCTTGCCCAATTATCCAGCTAAAGCATGAATCCCTTCTATCAAGTCTCTGCCAAAGTTTTATATTACACCATAGAGCTGGAATTAATAGCTAAAATGTATTCGTTCCTTGACAAATACTGCTGCTAAGCCATATTTATTCCTTCTCATGTTTATGCAGGAGATTTATTTTTGTTTAAATTTAAGTGCTCTATCTTGTGCATGTGCCCATAACACACCATCTTTAAAAACCTGACCTATTGTTCTTGCTTATTAAGAACTTCATGGAGCCAGGGGATTCATTCACCCTACCAGGACCGGGTTATTGACACCTATTATCATCAGGTCTTCATCACTTCACCTAACTCTTTATAAAAACGATCACCAAGGCAGAGTCCTATTGGCGAAACACAAGTCTGCCTGCCAGGCTGAACCTCTGCCATCTACATACAGAGAGGGTCAGCAAGTGTCCCGACAGGCTCCTAACTGAATGTTATTGTAGAAACTTATTCATGGCCAATCAAATTGTAAAATAAAGGGCTGTAAGGATCCCTACCAACAGAGTGACAGCAAGTTAAACAGAAAATAAACTGTTAGATCGTTTCCAAGAAATAATCAAGTATGCATGAAGAGTACCTGTGTGTACTGATCTACCAAGGAGTCTCAGTTCACACTGTGGCCCAAGGCGGTTATTAAACAGACACCGATTCACCCTGAAAAGTATCTTGGTACAAACAATAAGTTATGTACTATGGCCCTGCCATGATGAAACAAATTTCTATCACTTCCTCCTCCTTAAAATTCCTTGGTAATATCTCCAAGGAGGGTTTAGGAAGCCATTTTCTCTCCCCCTTTTAATAATATTTGCAGAGTGTTTAGGCACCTGTGTCACTGAAGAGCATGAAATATTTGAGGCTTGTGCTCAGTTCATTGCTTCATTCCTAACAGCCATCCTGGTGCCTGGAACGTGGAGGCACTCCATACAAATTTGTTGAATGAAAACTGAATTAACGAATATTCGTGTTAACCAATGGCCTAATCTGTCCAGTATGAGTCTATTACTATATTCTTAAGCCAGTGAGGACATATGGATACGAACATGAATCTCATCTGTTTGGATTATACTTTGCCTTTTGCCACATCTCACTTCAGGAATTTTATTTGCCCTGTCCTGTCACACAGTCAGCCTATCCTCTTGGTCTTCCAGGTAACAAATAACATTTTGCCTCCTGGCATGAGGCTTCTTTAGAGTTTAATTAAGTAATAGATCCCCATGCAATGGCCCTGGGTACCTACAACTGAGCAGGTTCATGGCTTCACACCCTTGCTCCCCATCTGCCCTCGTGAACACCTGAAGCAACTGGAGCTGGGTCTGTAACATGGAACTCCTGGTCAGAGACTTGGGCTCCTTGCTTTTATTCACCAATATTTGTCTGTTAAAATTTTCATTATCATTGAACATTCTATTTTGTTAGTTTCCCCTGACATAAATAAAATTTATCTATAGAAAAAAAAATGTTTGAATATGACTTGCTCTAATTTTGCATAAAAACCCTATATTTGGTTTCCTCAACCATGGTCTATGTTCAGAGGCAGCACTCAAATTATCATCTGCTGACTCTCAAAAGACATTTAATTTAAGAAAAAACTGATTATTGAGGCCCTACTGTGTAGCACATATATTGTCCCATACATTCTGAATAATAAGAAAAATGAAATATTCAAGTGGCATGGCATTTTTCTCTAAGAGGGAAAACCTTATGAGATGCAATCTTTGTGCATTGGCTAACAGATGCCAGGAATACGATTTATTTTTAGAATAATTTTAGGCTCACTACAGAAAACAGTTGAGTGCATTTTCATAAAGTCCTCTGGTTTCCATGGCAAATGGGGCCATTATTTCTTCTGAAACGGAAGGCTTTTACTTACACTTTCCAAATGCTTTTCATATTGTGCCAAAAACTCAAGTCAGTCTAGAAACAAGTACGCTAGTGGCTTATTGTCAAAAGCAGTTCTTAAGTAAAAATGTGCAGCAGGTCAAAGTGACCTTCCATTCAGGCCTGTGGAGAACAGTGCGTAATACACTGCCGTCAAATGGCATGTGTGCCTCTTAGATGGAGGCAGTGGAGGAGGAAAGAGTGCCCATGACCCAAAGCATTTCATCATCGTGAGACATAACCACAGTTGGTTCAGATGTTCTCTGTGAAAACGATGATGATTGTTTCTTATCTTATAAGATACAGGACCTGAAAATCACTTATATTCAAATCCACTTAATACCTAATATGCATCATGCATATTAAAACATAAAAAATAAAAACTATGTCATCTTGTGAAGCTCTGCTTAATTTTATGATGATAGGTGATGATATTTCTTCCTTAGAGGATCATGGAATCTTTAATATTGAATATTAAATGGATCTTGAAAATGCAACTAATTAGACTAATAAATATCAACATGCTATTTATATTGTTTACTGTTTCTTTGCTTATAAAAAAATTACGCAATAACAAATGGAAAATCAGTTACAAATTAAAACCACTAGATAAAAATTGAGGTTGAATTCTCCTTCCTTTCAGTATAAAATTTAGTCTATAGTGTAAATTTTTAATAATAGTGGAGTTAAATCTATAATGCTAAATCATATTTTTTCACTTAATATCAATGTTTATTAATTATTTTTTTAACTACCTATTTATATTTTTTATTGCAGTGTCTATGGGCAATGTACAACTACTATATGACTAATATTTACATAGAACTAACATATAAGTATACTCAGGGAGGGACTATTTAAATATATGTGGCCCGGATAAACTAGTTGGGTTCAGCAAGGATAGTAACCTCTTCTGTCTGCTGAACACCAACCAATACAACATAGGCATTGACAAACTAGCACTACCGCAAACAGCCCTTAGTCTTTATTTTACATCCTGAGTTTTGAAGTCAACTTGTTACCTTTCAGGCTCTTATCTCTATACTAGCATAAGCAGCTCCATTTTCACTCTTGCAAGATCTCAAGTCACATTTGATAATATCCTGACCCCTAACCTTGCCTCTGTAATTTTCATTTTTGCAAAAGTGAAATTATTTTGGATGTATTTTTAAACTATGGCCAATCTAAAATATATGTGCTGGGATAGCTGTAGCTACATGTTACAGAGTGCAGATAGATCATAAGGAATCGACAGTCATTCCAGAAGTGAGATTCACAGATACACGCTGTCTACTACAGCACCCCATAGGAGCCAGGTCAATGCTCAATGGTAAAAAAAATTAATGTAATTTTAGGACGTAAAAAGTTTAAATTCATTGGCATGAAGAAATGGTTTGACTTTTCTCATAAATGTCCCCTACCATGCTACATTGAGCTTCTATTGTCCTCTTTCAGGTGTTTCCCTTAATGACATCTGGCTGGAGTACATACTTTCAGTCAATTTGGGTTATTTGCATAGTTTTATTTTAGTATTTAACACTTGGTTCTTTTTATCTTATTGGCTCATCTCGGTTTTGGTTTAAAGTCCATTTTCTCCCTTTTCCCCAAACAGGTAAGAGTAAAATCCACAGGAACTGCATGATCGTATTGGAGTGGTTGGGCTCTCGTTTCTGTTTGGCTCTTCCAGTCATGCAGTGAGGAGGACAGAAATGGAAACACAGATTTTTTTAACGATGACCTTCATTTCCTGGGCCAAGATCTGATCCTCTAGATTCCTACTTCTTTTAAAAGTCATCGTCAATGTCTGCACAGCATGTGTCACCATGCAGGCTCTCTTGGAGCTCAGATGTGGTTTCTACAGGAAGTCCCACAGAAGCCGCAGTAATGCACATTTTCTTGAAATGGGAAAAGATCTTCTTGTGCACTTATCTCTCCTTTCTTAGTTCCTACCACAGGTAAATCAATCTGAAGTCTTTTGCTCGTTCTTGGAGGTATCTACGCTACGGATTAAGTTCAGCCGTATCCTACCATGTCTACTTGACAATAAGAAAAGCAGGTGTCTTGGGGTGCTGGCTTCTTTACCGATTCCCCTCTCTTGGCTTCACCAGTTTTCTCCTCTGGTCTTTCTGTTCCCTTAAAAATATTAAACAGTGAGCAGGGCTGGTGCCTGACCAATCCTCATGAGAGACAATCGTTAGTTCTGGTTTAGTGAGGGGAAAAGGCAGTTTGGTTCAGCACAAACATTACTGATGATTCCCTCAGGTTCTTCCTTTTCTAATTGTGGGAAAAGGAAACACCCAGCTCCTCCCCCACAGAAGAGGAGAGAGGCTCTTTTCATGAACTTTGCACTCCCTCCAAATTTACTTCCATCTCCCATTCCTTCATTTGAATTTGCCAGGAGACAATGATTATGATGATGGGGCTAGCGGTGATGGTGACTGTGCAGTGGGAAGATTAGCTCTGGAACTTCTCTTTGAGCCTTAAAAGGAGGTAGCGAGTTCTAATTACAAGCAGCTTTCTAAACTTGGAACATATGGATACATAGCACTTTTTATTTTCAGCTTCGGTTTTTAGATAAATTAATGGACTGAAAAAAATATTCCAGAAGATACCTCATTGCATATACAATTATTTCTTTCTCAAACCAACCCTACCAAAATGTGCGTTTCTTCAAAGCCGTAATTTCCAAAGATTGTCAGAGAAATAAGAGATGTCAGAGGAATAATAGGAATAAATGGGTCAAATTCCTATTAAGATGTGTGAGATTCATAACGCCTTAAGAATTTAGGGTTCTTTACCTTCATAAAACAAGGTAGACCAAAGAAAGACATCTTTAAAAAGGACATTTCACCCAGTTGGCTTAAGAAGATACATGAAATGAAAACTTCGTGGTATCCTTATATATTAGTTTGGGCTGCTGTGACAAAATACCACAGACTGGCTGGCTTAAACAACAGAAATTTATTTCTCACAGTTCTGGAGGGTGAGAAGTCCAAGACAAGTTGCAGGGGGATTCTGTTTTTGGTGAGGGCTTTCTTCCTGGTTTGCAGAAAACTGTCTTCTGCTGCATCCTCACATGCTGAGACAGAGATCATCTCTCTCCTGTCTCTACTTATAAGGGCACTAATTTCATCCTGAGGGCTTCACCGTCCTGACCGAACCACCTCCCAAAGGCCTCGTCTCCAAATACCATCACCTTAGGGTTAAGGTTTCAAGATATAAATTTTAGGGACACAATTCAGTCCATAGCATTATACCAATTTCAGCCTTGAATGAGTTTATTGTTATTCATCGGTGTCTCTGTGAAAGTTTCATCAAAATCTTTCCCAAGAAAAAGACAAAAATAATAGGATGATCTAACTGATACCACAGTTTTCTTCCAAATGAAATGTTAATAGCCTAAGAGAGGCTATTATTAACAACCTTCTTATGTCCCAGTATTTTTTTTTTAAGTTTAGAACAGCTAGACAAGGCAGTGCTTGGTTTGGGATGCTGATTGGATAACTGTCTAATTAGGGGAATAAAATCAGTGGGGTAAGATTCTGGCTGGAGGAAATAGACAGGGAAGATTATGATTTAGGAACTACTTTGATAGGAAAAGTCGGGAAAGCATGGCAACAACACAATATTTAGTAGGTAAAGAAATGGTCTAGTTTAGCCTCTCCTATCGAATTTCTATCTAGAAGGAAGTTAGGAGCAGAAATAATCTTGGGGTGGGAAGGGGATAGTGGTAATTAAGAGACTTCTCTTGGTAAATTTAGTGTTTTTAACAAAACCATATGTTTATTTTGAGTGCTTGAATAGACTAGTGGCAATTTCAGGAGGGCCAAATCTTTTAGACAACCACCCCTCAACAACACAAAGCAAACAAACAAAAATAACTTTCAATCACCACTGATCAGCTATGCTGTGAGAGTTGGGGATGATAGAATGACCAGAAAGGTTTAGAATAGCTAAGAGGGCCAGAAGAACGTAAAGTGAGCACTGTTATCTAGAAAGTGAAGATAAATCAGATAAACTGGCATCCAAGGGTTTGTAAATGATGTCTGCAAATGGCTTAGAAGGTTAACTCATGAAGGAAGAGGCAGCAGGTTAAACATTGGAATTCTTTTTTTTCTTTTTCTTTTTTTTTTTTTTCTTTTTTGAAACAGAGCCTCACTGTCACTCAGGCTGGAGTGTAGTGGTGTGACCTCAGCTCACTGCAACTTCCACCTCTCAGGTTCAAGCAATATTCTCCTGCCTCAGGAGAATATTGGGACTACAGGTGTATGCCACCACGCCCAGCTAATTTTTGTATTTTTAGTAGAGACTGGGTTTCACCATGTTGGCCAGGCTTGTCCCCAACTCCTGACCTGAAGTGATCTGCCCGTCTTGGCCTCCCAAAGTGCTGGAATTACAGGCGTGAGCCACCAAGCTCAGCCGGATTGCCTGGAATTCTGATAATGGAAAGAAGGAATAAATACTGGATCATCCATTTCAAACCCTTTTAATTTAATAAATAATCTCTTTAATGGCTGCTTAATTTGAGAAGCAAGACTGATTTTTGAAACCCTGATGGCTTTTAAAAAATAGAATGTATAGGTTGGGAAAGATGATGGAAGACCTATTGCCATTCATCTTACAAATGAAACATCAGGTATGTAGAATATATTATACTACAGCTTGAATTAGGAGTTGAATGTTCAACAAGGGACTTTCAATTTTCATAAGTGATGATACTTTTATTTGATAAAGAAAAGTTTGGAGCACTCATTTGAAAACCAGATTTTAATGAGCCCTTGTTAATGTTTATTGCTTTCAGTCCTCATTCGTGGCTTACAGTATATCTACTCGGAATAGCTCATTAACCTTGGCAAGTTTTCTGCATTGAGGCATAGGGATAGCCTGGCAGAAAATACAAGGTGCTTTGAGCACTTCAGAAAAAATTATATATACACATCTTGGCAAAAGTGATTAGCAGTCTCATTCGAAACAGCCCAAGTATCACCAAGTAAATCACATAGTGGAAAAAGTAAAAATAAAAGCCCAAAGCATTAAATGATTCTACTTGAATTGAAGAGAAGCATTAAAATCAACTGAGCAATCAGCAGTTTCAAGATGCCACTCAAGCAGATGACAAGCAAATTCCACAAACATCTAGGGCTGCCTTCAGCTTATCTCTGCTTGCTTATTTGGTCATATAGAGAGTATTATCTAATAATTAAGGTAGCCAATTAATAGAGCTGCCACAGAAAAATATAAGTATATTAACATCTCAGGTGATAATAGCTTGCTAATAGATGATAATAAATCAATATTTGCCTTCAACATTTGTTGGAAAAGCTTTTACCTTGAGATCTTTTGACTTAGTTGGAAGCATACAGAGACATTATAGCCCAGGTTTTCCCTCTTTAGTTTCTCTAACAGTGGGAGGGGTTTCCTCAAAAGCCTTATCTGCCTTAACAACCCTTGTACAGATATCTGATTCACTAACAAATTACTGTCTTTTATTCCCTATCTAGAGAAGATGTAATAATCATACTTGTTTTCTAATACTCAAGACTTTGAAAAATGATATTACATCTATATGACCTTTTATCTGTACAAAACATCAGGAAACTTTAAAAATCAGACAGGAACACTTTGGGAGGCTGAGGTGGGAAGATCATGAGGTCAGGAGATCGAGACCATCCTGGCCGACATGGTGAAACCCCGACTCTACTAAAAAAAAAAATACAAAAAATTAGCCAGGCTTGGTGACGGGTGCCTGTAGTCCCAGCTATTCAGGAGGCTGAGGCAGGAGAATGGCATGAAACTTGGAGGTGGAGCTTGTGGTAAGCTGGGATCGCGCCACTGCACTCCAGCCTGGGTGACAGAGTGAGACTCTGTCTCAAAAAAAAAAAAAAAAAAATCAGAGATGAAATTTAGACTAATTCTCAAGGGTCATTGGAATCCATATGTCACAATTAACATCAGAGTCACCCTTAGCGTAACCAGCCCATCACATTATATTTCACTATTTGCAAAGAGGAAAAAACAAAAATGAGCTTTAACTCTTAAAAGTATTGAAGTAATCTTAAAATGGGTCCACATTGGTTTTAATATTAAGAAGAAAAATCTTTAAAAACAAAAAGAAGCAATTTCTAAATAGATCCTCTGGTATGTTACAATAGAAGGTTATTATCAATTATATATTGAAGGAAATCTATATGAACAGCACATGCGTACTTGTGGTAATTAACTTTGATGTTTATGCCATCCTTTTCTTAAGCTAAAATATTTGAACAAATAAGAGAATGTGTATTTCCAAAAGAGACAATATGGGATAGTGTTTCGGAGTCTCTGCTCAGTAACTTAACTAGCTCTGAGCTTTTCTGCAAGTTACTTCATAGACTCCTTATGCTTCCTTTAGTTATCAATAAAAATAAAGGTAATAATACAAGAATTTAATAATAATTTAATGAAAAGATGTTTGAAAAATGCTTAGCAGAGCTCCTGGTGCCAGACACATAGCAGCTAATTATCTTAAGTAAAATGAAAATTAAAATTGGAAATATACATTTACATAGTGCTAGTTGTTTTAGCTTTGTTCGAGCTCGTTACAGAGCTTAACAGAAAAAAAAATTATAATTGGAATGCTCTAGAAGAAAGAATACTTGGGATGTTCCTCAACAACAAAACAATTCGAACACTGCAGACCCTAAATGGAGAAATCCGAAAACAGTAAAAAGCAATGGGGCTATCTTTAAGTGTCTTAGAAATGAAGTACATAAATTAGGATTAGTATATGGACTGTAAATAGAGTCATTAAACATATCGAAGAAAATGTGTTTTTTTTGGTTTGTTTGTTTGTTTGTTTGTTTTGAGGCGGAGTCTCGCTCTGTCGCCCAGGCTGGAGTGCAGTGGCGTGATCTCGGCTCACTGCAAGCTCCGCCTCCCGGGTTCACGCCATTCTCCTGCCTCAGCCTCTCGAGTAGCTGGGACTACAGGCGCCCGCCACCGCGCCCAGCTAATTTTTCTTGTATTTGTAGTAGAGACAGGGTTTCACCGTGTTAGCCAGGATGGTCTCGATCTCCTGACCTCGTGATCCGCCCACCTCGGCCTCCCAGAGTGCTGGGATTACAGGCGTGAGCCACCACACCTGGCTGAAGAAAATGTTTTTAGGAAATATTAGAACATAACAATCTAATGATTACATAAATTCTTTCTGTTTGAGTATATGAATGTTTATACGTGTGTGTATATGTTTGCATATACACACATATATATACAGATAACTTTATAATTCAAATATATATGATGATAGAACACACTTTGAAAGGAATTATATTTAAAATTTCCTTTTTCAGTGTCAAAAATGAAAGTAAGATCTTCTTATCCTATTATTCCTATGATAGGTTGATTACTTTCTTATGTTGTCAGACAAAGAATTTTTCACTGTTTTTGTAAATGTTCCAAGGTCTGAAAGCCAAATTATTTGGTGTAATTCCAAATTATATACAATTTTTTGGAGAAAAAGGCTTTCTGCCATGTTCCCATGGTTTTACTAATATGTTATGATTTGTTGAGTATCTATTCCAAGTTATATTCAATCTCCTAGAGAAAAGGTTTTGCATGTCCACATGCAATTATTCTAATATGAATTATTATTTTCATTTTGTATTTCACTGTTAATTTTATTTAAAAGTACCAAGGTTACGGTTTCTACAAGCAAAGTGGCAGATAATGTCCCAGAAGCATTTTCTCTCCTCCTTTTCTCTCTCTGATCTTCTGCATGTGCCTGCACACACACAGAGAAAGACACAGACACACACACACACACACACGAGATGCATAAACACATACACACAGCTGTGTGACACTCATTGGCCAAAAATGAAAGAATGTTGTAACCCATTACAAATCCCTTCCTGGGCCTCTTCAAGTGTCTAAAATTAGAGAAAGCCAAGCTAAATTCAGAGCAGCCTCCTCACACAACTGTAGTCAATGACCACAGCTGGCAACTTAAAGGCAAAAAAGCAAATCCTGAGACATGGCTAGGATCCACCACGGAAGCAAATCTAAATGGAAGCAGTCAGCGCCACACAGGGTGAGCTGGGGAGGGTCACCTGCATGTCAGTTGGCTCCAGCAACTGATACCAGGTCATTTCTTTTTTAAGTATTGCCCTCGGAGGCACAGAAAATAGCTTGTTTATACCCTACTCTTATCTTCTGCTTCTTATTCTTTTTCCATTTGTTTTATTTTTTCATTCTTCTGAGGCACAAAGATTACAAATTCAATCTGCAGGAATAATTTTATCATTTGGGGAACAGTATTAACTTGCTTGCCTCCCGGGGTGTGGATGGCCAAATTTATATCCTGTGTGAATGAATTCCCTCATGGGGTTACTTAATGTGAATCTGGCTTTGAGAACAGCCAAGTTCTTCCATTGTCCAAAGTATCTAAATAGTGGAGAATTCTGGAAAGCTACGGTATGGCTGACACACATTTGGCAATGTCGGACTGAGTCTTAGGATTCTGCAGAACCTTCCAAATATCAAGTGCAAAGAAGTGACACTGTCTTCTCAAAAGAAAACATTTATGCTGTAAAAAAGCATATGAAAAAAAGCTCAATATCACTGACCGTTAGAGAAATGCAAATCAAAACCACAATGAGATAACATCTCACACCATTGAGAATGGTGATATTACAAACTCAAGAAACAACAGATGCTGGCGAGGCTGTGAAGAAATCGGAATGTTTTTACACTTTTGGTGGGAATGTAAGTTAGTTCAACCATTGGAGAAGATATTGTGGCGATTCCTCAGAGATCTAAAACCGGAAATCCCATTTGACCTAGCAATCGCATTACTGGGTATATACCCAAAGGAATATAAATCATTCTACTATAAAGATACATGCAAGCATATGTTCGTTGCAGCACTATTCACAATAGCAAAGACATGGAATCAACCCAAATGCCCACTGATAATAGAATGGATAAAGAAAATGTGGTACATATATACCATGGAATACTATGCAGCCATAAAAATGAGCAATATCATGTCCTTTGCAGGGACATGAATGGAGCTCAAAGTCATTATCCTCAGCAAACTAATGCAGGAACAGAAAACCAAACACCGCATGTTCTCACTTATAAGTGGGAGCTGAAATGAGAACACATGCACACAAAGAGGGGAAAAACACACACTGGTGCCTGCTGGGTAGGTGAGGGAGAGCATCAGGATAAATAGCTAATGCATGCAGGGCTTATTTAATACCTAGGTGATAGGTTGATGGGTGCGACAAACCACCATGGCATACGTTTAGCTGTGTAACAAACCGCACATCTTGCACATGTATCCGAGAACTTAAAATTTAATTTAATTTAATCAAAAAAGAAAGCAATGACACTGTGTTTCTGAATGCCTTAAAAATAGGTTGATAAACCTATTTTGCAATGCTCTGTGAATACAAACATTAGCACTCTTCTTGGAGGTAAACTTTAGTATCACACATTTTGCAGGAAACTTTTAGAGACTACTGATATGATAATAAGTATGATAATGTCATACTTACATGATATAATAAGATAGGTGCATTTTTTAATTAGTCAAATGAAAGAATCGTGCAACACAAGGTGCTGGCTCTCTCATCTTTGCCTGAGTCTCATAGCTGTGCTGAACTTTTCACAGCCAACTGTTCATGGAAATCATGAGCTCTTCCTGGTCCAGCTGAGGACACAGCTTCTGCTACATGTCTGGGATTGTACAGAGAAAGAAAGGAAGACTCATGGCCCCAAAACACTAGGAAACAGAAAATCTGAATTCCAGAGTCTGTTCCATCTGAGAATTGCTGAGTGTAACTTTAAGCAAGTTACATTTCAGGACTTCGGCTCTCAATCTGTAAAACAAGGATAGCAAATCATCTTCTACCTACCCCAGCATTGTTGTGGAAACTAAAACAGATATTTGATGTGAAGCCACAGTGAAAGTTATGAATAGGTACAGAAACACTTAAGATAATTCTTTTGTGCTTGAAAATATTAACCATTTATTAATTTAGCAAACTTTTGTAGAAAGTCTATTATGTGCTGCCTACAGACTATTGGATGGGTTGCTGGTTAGATATTCTAACTTCAGGACCTTTTTGGGTGACCTCCAAATCTGCTCATTGGCTGTTTATCCAGACTGGAAATATGCATGCTAAATAGTTCCTCAAGGCCGCCGCCCAATAGGTAAACTCCAATACACACTTTACATTATTTAATAACTTACTATAGAAACAAGAAGACAAGTGGGATGGATGCAACCCATGAGCTTGTTAAGGTCGTTAGTGAATGGAATAATGGGTATTAAACATACATAGAAAAGAAGGGAAGGATCAAGAGACACCCAGTGTTCTCAAGACACTAAATAAACATAAGCCATCAGGGTGGGAAGTATCCAAGTTACTCTAAATATGGACGAGCCATGATACAGCAAATATACAAGAAACATTCAGTCCTTTCTCAGGACACACTAAATATACACGAGCACTCGGTATGCCTGAGACCTTGACTTAGCCGCCGACTGGTGACACCCACTCTGGTCCCAGAGTCTTCTGCCCCAGCAATGCAATAAATCCCAGGGCTGTTCAGCTAGCTGGGGACAATCCACAGCCATCTTCCAGGCTTACTTATCCCTGTGTCTCTCCAGGAGACCAAATGAGTGCTATTAACCCGGGACATCTTGCTCAAACCTCAATTACTCCATCTGCAGGAAAGATGGATGTGGCATTGAGAGAGAGCCTGTGCGTGTAGAAACACTGCACATCCTGGGATTCAGGAGTACGACTCCTCCACCCCATTTGCACCCTATCCTAACTGTTAACTTACCCCATCTACTCTCCCTTGGGTCTAGATGCAAACTGATTAATACACCATGGTCTATGAAAAGTTTAAGTTGGTCTATGATTTTTTCTGTTCAGTCACCTGTGGGATCACTTTCTTAGGATTGTACTTATAGTCTACCAATGCACAGAGCGAATCTCCCACACGACAGCACTCTTCTAAAGCAGCTGCAGAGTTTGACCCTACGAACTAACCCTGACAATCAGACGCCATCCGACATCCCTGCTGTCCCCACCAATGTTGCTATGCTAATGCCACAGTGTCCTCTGATCCTGTTACTTGGATGACAGGAACTCTTAAGCCATACAGCTATTGCTAAAATTAACACCTTCTATTAATTGAGGTCTGGTCTAAGCCCTTTTTATCTATCATTTCATTGAATTGTCATGGGAAACCAGTGATATTAATGGTATAATTATCCTTCTCAGATGAGGAAGCTGATATATAAAGATAAAGTTGTCTTGATCAAGAGCTAAGGTCACACAGCTAATAGGAGGTAGAGCTTAAACGCAATCTGAGCATTGTGGCCCCAGAACCCTCACTTTAACTCCCACGTTCAAGGCTGTCTGTGGCCTTCGTGCTTGGCCTGTGAATTGTACAGTCTCTTAATGCACGTGACCCTCTTGAGCCTGTCAATGAAGCTCACTTTTTGTTATCTCCCCCACACCTCAGTGTACTTTGGATTTGAGAAAGAGACTATTTTAAAGGAGAGATCAGCAGGAAGCTAAGGGAACTGCATCTCAGGCTGGAATAAGGCTTTAAATTAAGAATAAATGCAAGATTCTGAGTTGTGTCCAGTGGTTAAGCCCTGGACGAAGGTGAGGGCCGAGGCAGTGTTCCCCTCGAAAGCTGCTCTTTGCTCTACAGTTCTTCACCACTGGGGAAGCTTAAGGGTAGATGGAATGAAAAGAGACTTACACTGTCACATGCAAGAGATTTAGGAAGCTTCATAAGAAATTGTTAGGAGGTCTTCATTTCATCTCAATTAGATCCCATTCTGTTCTTTCTAATCCTGCTCCACAAGGCTTTTCCTGTAACTTCACACATATGATCGTATTTAGTCCACATCCAATCCTGTAATGAGGCAATGACTCTATTTTACTTTATTTTTTCATTTTTATTGTTACTATTTTTTTTTTCCATAGAGACAAGGCCTCACTATGTTGCCCAGGCTGATCTTGAACTCCTGGGCTCAGGTGATCCTCCCACCTTGGCCCCCCCAGTGTGCTGGGATTACAGGTGTGAGCCATTGCACCTGGTCCCTGTGACTCTGCTTTAGAGATGAGAAAATGGAGGCTCAAAACTTGCAGTAATAGCCCCAGGTTACAATGCTGATAAATCATAAAAGTTGATTATGATACTGGCCTTGATGACAGCAGGATACGTTCTTTCCATTTAATCTCATCACTGGTGAGCCTACACTGATAAGAAATTCACAGTCATATTGTCACACTGCCTTTTCACCCGGTTCTATAAGGCACTCCCTGGCAATGAGTCATTCCTGCCTCAGCCCTTCTTCCGGAAGGAGGGGCTTGACCGGGCAGAGCAGCGGCTGATTTCCCGGGAGATCAGAAAGATGCAGATATGAGCAGGAGAAAGGACAGGAACTGGAAACCCGTAAACTGGGCAGAATTTAAATGCTCCTTTTCTCTGAGAGCGGTCCATTTTTACACATTGCAGAAATTTTCTCTGCTCCCACCTCCAAACTCACTCACAGTCCTTGATGTTTTTTGGCTGCATCAGCATATCCAGCAGTCAGGTTTCATAATTATCTTGTTGGTCACATGTGGCCCACATTTTCAGACATTCCGGAAATACACCGTGTGGTCTGTGCATCCACACACCTAACAGATCACTCGGGCAGCGCCGACCTGCAGAGCGACTCACCTCCCGTGTCATCTACCATCTGTGCTTACCTTGTTGCAAGAGGCAAGAAAATTCAGATGACATGGATTTGTTCCTGATTAATAGAACCGTAACCATTAATGAGCACAACTAGCACTAATATGCTTTTAAAACAGGAGCAAATTAGGCCTCTATGTGGTTGTAATATGTTATCAGCTAATTGATCGTTGCTGTTTTTTGTGGATTGTTAAAAAACAATGTGGATAAAACATGGTGGGAGGGATTTTAAAAAACAATGCGGATAAGGAGACTATCTATGAAATAAACAAATGTTTAATTAAATTAAAATTGTACAATTCTTTTCACTTGTTAATTTTTTTAAGAAATCCTTTGAAAGAGTGCTTCTAATTAAAACCCAGATCACTGGACCCTAAAGTACAGCAAAGGGACTTCAGGAGACTTTAAAGTGACTGCAGGAAGCCCAAGAATCCATATAGATTGAAAGTCGTAACCACCTTTGGCATATTTATTACCATTTTCACATTTAAAATTACTATTTTCAAATGCAAATTTTCACTGAACAAAATGGAAATTCATATGCAATTGATACTGAATTCCTAGTAACTTTTGTTCTTAATCATTTAATTGATTCTTTTCTAAAAGTACACTTTCTTTTTTAGGAAAAAATCTGAGAGAAAAGGTCATTACAAAGTTGTCCTCCCATTCTAGGGGTCTGGGAACCACTGATCTAATCAGGTTCTCTTTTTCTGGTATTGCACCCATTTGAGTCACGAAGAGTGAACTTTTGACACAAGCTGTCAAGATTTCCTCATAGACACGAGTGATCTATATCTGAGTCAGCCTGGGATTTCTTCGTTTCTTCCTTTGCCTTTGGTATTATTTGTGCAAATCAGCATTGTAAACCATTTTCCAGTGAGTTGTAATAGAAACCCAGGGCAAAAGGTCACTTCCGTTTTGGAGCCTCCCTGACTCTGCAGAGTTGCTCCCTCTGTCCTCTGCCCCAACACAATGCCTCATAATCCCCCTATTATACCCCTCAACTCAAAGCTCTTCTACCAGCTGCTTACATTATCTCCAAAAGAAAAGGGAAAGCTGAGATCCTGCTCCTTGGGAGAAGGTAGCTCTAGATCCAGAATCCTAAGTGTAAACATGTTACAGTAATTACAACATAGATGGCATCTACCAAGCACTAAATGAACCACAGGTAATACTGATCATTGATAAAAGTTAATTCTCTTTACACCACTTCTTCTTGATTCTGGCCCTTATAACATGATTTAGAGACATCAGTAAATTCAGAGGGTAATAACACTAAGCATGGAAAACAGTGACCCAGGAGAAGGCCATGGAGTAGGGATGGTACAATAGGAGAATGAATGAAGAAGATACAGGCTTTTCTAAAAAATGGTGAGGAAAGTGAGGCAAGAATCCTGGAGGCAAGTTAGGCAGGTGGTAAGAAGGGTAGCTAGTGCATATGATATCTCTGTACTGTTGTTAATGCAAGTACTAACTTATTCCATTTTCTGAAAAACACAAGGACAAATATACATTTAATTTCTCCACATTAAAGACAAATAAGCTTACACTCAGAGAGGTAAAGTAAGTTGTCCTAAACCCCACTCACAATTAATGAGTGGCAGAGGGTGATTCGTATCCAGATGAGCCTGATTTTTGAGATGCACCTTGAGCCAGGACAAAGTGGACATGGACTTACCTTCCATATCACCCCCGACGTCTTAGTCCACCACTCGGCATAGTACCACAGGTCTGGGATGAAGAACAGAGACAGAGGAGTCTGAGAGAGAGACTGGGGAGGGGTCACTTCTGTCAGACACATTATATTATTAAGTAGTTTTACATGAGCTTAATCCCTATGGCAAATGTATTGGAAAAGTATTACTGTTATCCTCTTTTTGGAGTCCTCTTTTTTTCTTTTTCTTTTTTTGAGACAGAATTTCACTCTTGTTGCCCAGACTAGAGTGCACTGGTGCAATCTCGGCTCACTGCAACCTCCACCTCCTGGGTTCAAGTGATTCACCTGCCTCAGCCTCCCAAGTTGCTGGGATTACAGGCATGTGCCCCCATGCCTGTCTAATTTTTTTGTATTTTTAGTACAGACAAGGTTTCACCAGGTTGGCCAGGCTGGTCTGAAACTCCTGATCTCAGGTGATCTGCCCACCTTGGCCTCCCAAAGTGCTGGGATTACAGGCGTGAACCACAATGCCCGGCCAGAGTCCTCTCTTTGAATTGAACTGAGACACAGAGGAGTTTATTGACTTCCCTAATAGCACACTGGAAGGGACTGGTGGAACTGCTTGTTATCAGGAACTACCTTATTTACCTTTATCCATCATATAGCAGGATGTCTGGCTTAAGATTAGTGTTCAATAAAGCATTCTGTAAATTGGTTAGATAAGAAGTTCAAGGGCAGACACGCCCTGCCTCTACAGGCAAGACCACTGGGGCTGAAAAAGAAGACAGGCAGGAGACGAGGCTTTCTCCCTCCCTCCCTCTTTCCCTCTTTCCATTTTTCTCTCCCTTCCCTCTTCCCTCCATTTCTTCTTCTGAAAATATATACAGAAATTGGCTTTGTGTGAGACGATTTTGTTCAACTGCAGGCTAAGTGTCCTTAGCACGTTTGAAGAAGGCTGGGCTAAGCTATGATGTTCAGTAGTTTAGGTGTATTAAATTTATTTTTAACTTACAATATCTTCAACTAATGACGGGTTTACTGGGAGGGAACCCATCTTCATTCAAGGACTATCTGCACGGAGTATCCACTATATGACAGAAACTTCAATAGAAAACCTGAAAAAATGTAACCTCGCTTAGCCCTCAATAAGCTTGTAATAAAATGAGGGCACACAACTATAGTCAAACAATTAAAATGCAAAAATGTCATGATTAAATAATATTGAGTTTCCCTCTGTGGGGATACTTTAGATAATGCTGAATGATGAACAGAAATTGGAAGAATTTTACAAAATGGGTGGAAGACCTTTCACACTGGGAGAACACAGGCATGAGGCAAAAACTGTGTGAGACAGAGGAAGCACAACTCTTCACTATGGCTGAAGGGAATAAGGAGTATGGGGTAACAGTGGGGTCACTGGGCTGTGAAGAGTATGGTACCTGCCAGGAAGGAGTCAGCACTCATCCTAAGAAACTGAAGAATGCAATCATGATCAGATTTGTATTTTAGAAAATCCCTTTAGCAGAAATAGAAATAAATGGTGGGAAGAGTGATTTGGGACAGGGAGATGAATCGGGCTATGTTTCTGTTAAACATTTGGAGTGAGAATAAGCAAAACCATGGGATCATTCTGAAGCTCTTCACAGAATATTCAGGTTTATGTAATGATGCATAGTTTAAAATCCAGTATCTAACATGGCTAGCATGTACAGCCTAGAGAGGCATGTGCAATGCAAATGAAATGTTAAGATAGAAGAGAAGACAAACATATTTTACTTGTAATGGAAATCATTTCAGATTATGTCCAGTTTTGTCTCAGGCTATCTCTCTGGGACTCCTTTCTAATTAGGGGGGAAAGGGGGGCGGGGGGGGGGCGGGCAGTTTTAGAAGTCCTAAGAAGGGAATATTGCTGTCATCCATAGAAGAAATGATGAAGATTTAAGAAAACGAAAGTAGACATGGAGAGAAATTGATGAATTCAAGTAATACCAAAAGGGTAAGATCAAGAGGACTTGGAGACAGTAGTGTGATGAAAGAAAAGAAGAAAAGAAGTCCAGGGTAACTGAGGTTTCTGCAGGAAACGTGAGAGCTGGAAAAAGAGCTGCAGATGTGGAAATGAAGAGGATGATCACGGTTGTAGTTGTACCAAGCCAGAAGTGGCCATGGGGCTCTGAAATGAAGAAACGATCAAGATACAAAATAAGAAGTCATTGCACGCATTGACAATGGAAGCCTGGGTGTGAATGAGGCTCACCCAGGGAACATGCACACAGTAAGGAGAGAAGAAAGCCAAGAGGTCTCCCAGGAAACATGGATATTTTAAAGATAAGCAGTGGAAAATGAGGCAGCAAATGAAATGAAGAAGGCAATTTCAAAGAGTGAGGAGAAAAGTCAAGGAGATGGATGTTATGGACATAAAGAAAAGGACACATTTCAAAAAGGAGGAAGTCAACCCTGGTAAATGGTGCCCAAAAGTCAAGAATGTTCTCTTGCTTTGGCCCCAGGAGAGTGAGAATGACCTTATGCAGGTAGTTACACTGGCGCATGCCCCGACAGAGGACAGCACTCCAAGTTTCAGTGAGCACCATGAGAAAGGAGAGCAGGACTTGACGGGTCTACTGGGAGGAGGGCCAACCACGGAGGGTGTTCATAGTTACAAACGTAGGCACTGCCTGTCATTCCACCTAAAAGGCCATGCTCAAGAGTCATGTAAAACACATGAAGACTGCAAACTTAATTGATAAATGTTGTGTGGGTTCTGACTGCTCCGCCAACTGTCTGTTTCTCCATCGGCTCATGAGGCTTAAGGAAAGAAGCCATCTCCATAACACAAGTGTAAGGCAAAGCAGCAAGTGCTGATGTAGAAGCTGCAGCAAGTTATCCAGAAGATCTAGCTAAGATCTGATGAAAGATCAACATGCCAGATATAATAATGAAAAAGTTTGAAACATCACGAGAATCACCAACAGGTGACACACAGACATGAAGTGAGCACATGCTGTTGGAAAAAATGGCACAGATAGACTTGCTTGCCACACTATTGCCACAAACCATTAATTTCTAAAACATGCAACTTATGTGAAGTGTAATAACGTGAAGCACAATACAGTGAGGTATGCCTGTATTTGACTGACCCGGGAATTCTGGCCTGTAGCTTCAAATCAAAATCCCAGGCCAGGCATGGTCGAAAACACACACACACACACACACACACACACACACACATACACGAAGGTATATCTTGGTAATTTTTCCAATTTATTTTACGTATACTTTTTTCTTTTAAAGCAGAAGGATCCACTAAAGACTGTTTTCTACAGTGCTCCTCTGAGAATGCCAATTTACTACTGCAGTGTTCACTGAGTGTTCCCCAGACGAGGCATCAAAGGATGACTTCTTGTTTAATCTTTCCAGACACAGTTTTTTTTAAAGTAGGAATTGTAAGTAATTCTGCCCTTATCCCTAAAATAATACACTGGGAAAATTGCATTCCTACATTTGCCATTGTTATTCAGTGCTGCGTAAGTTTGTGTTCACTCTCCCTTACGAGTGTCTCCTATCACTAAGCTCAGCCCATTTAAAAGGTGTCAGGAGGATGACCCACCATGAACTGTGCTGTTTTCCATGCCCCAATGACATTGATTCCATCAGTGACTGTCAGAGCTTGGATGGAGATCCAGTTTATGTCTAGTAGCACAAGTAGCAAGGAAGGCCATGTTACCAGTGCCTCCATCTGGACGTGTAGTAAGTGGCAGAGCCCTTTCTATTTCATCATAGTGGAGGCTGCGACTGTCTTGGGCACCAGTGCTGTGGCTACAAGGAAAGAGTTCTGGGGAGTTATTGGTGATACCCTATTCCTGGCTGTTTTTCAGTGTGGTATTAAAATTATTGATATACAATAATTATTTCTCTTAGTTATAAAAACTCTTTCTTTCTCATTTAGAAGGAAAACTACAATTGCTTCTCTTGAAATTGAGTTCTAATCAATAGTATGATTCTTTGCTGTTTTCTTAGCAACTCAACAAACCTTCAGTTTTATCTGGGTTTGTTGTACCATCTACAACTTACTGTTGCTTAACTATCTCCATCCTTCACACACACACACATACACACACACACACACACACACACACCCCTATACGTGCATGTGTGGCCCTCTTGCATCTAATAGAAAGTACAATGTATTTGTACATTTCAAAGGTAACCACTAAAGCATGATTCATGAGGCATTATTGGGGATCTCTTTGTCTTTACTATGTTGTAAAGGTTGCAGTGGTGCTTATGCAATTTGGTTCTATTCTTGGCATTGTAAAGTCAGTTTAATCTCATTCTCTACATCTGGAGGCTTTTGCAGAGCAGTGACTATTACATACTTAAGAGGATTGATATGACATGAATAGTGCTTGAGCGATTAGGTCTTGGAAGGGGATTTTGTGGGTGTGTCTTGCTTTCCTGTTCTATCATGCACTCTAGACCTCTGTAATACCTTTTTAAATAACTCTGACACATCTTTTGGGATCTTCCATAGCTTTTTTACATGCTTTTTTAGTCTTTTTATTAATCTCCTTACATAGACTGCCTTGTTCTTTGCAGACCATTTTTCACCAGGGAGCTGTTCTTTATTTTCTGTTTTCCATGGTCTTCTCATGTAGTAAACATTCCAGAACCCACTCTTTTCTTTTCTTTTTTTTTTTTTTTTTTGAATTTAAAAATTTCCTTTTTGGGCATAATGTCAAATTCTAAAAGTTTTTCAGGTATTGTTCTTAAATTCCTCCAGGGAGTAAGTGATAACTTACTTTCCTATATTTCCTTCACCTAAACTTGAAAAGTGAATTTCATTTTCCCTTAAGAAATGATTATGTTATTTCAATGTTTTGAATGGGATATTTCTGGACTGATACCATCGTTTCTGCTGGTATTTTTTTTCTGAATGCATCTTTTTTTTCTGAACTATTTCTGAATTACTCAATGTGTTGTTTCCTCATCAGCATATAAAGCTGCCCAGACTAAATGTGTCTAAGGCTGAGATGTCAATGTTTGCTTTGCATCCACCTTCATACTCATAACCTGGCAGGAAACATCATGTGAAAATACTCTTTATAAGGATATTAATTATTAATATATCTCTCAACTCCACTCCATGCTAGTTTCACTCAAAAAGCAAAGAGATTTAATGCTAAGGCCCCTGAGGCAGTGAGGGTGCCACCTCTCAAATTGTGATAATCTTGTCGACATTTTGATATTGGTTTGCAAGGAAAATCCCTTTTAGGTGATGCTTTTGGCAGGACAGTGACACAATAATTTGTACCACACAACCTCCCAGGTAAGAGGGGACAGAATGCCTGTGAAACAAATAAGAAGATTAAGTTAACATGGGAGTTCCTTCAAACAAAATAACTCAGTGACACCCAGAAGTGTCAGTGGAAATTCAGGGAGCACAGGTTTTCAAAGAACTTTTGTGTCAGAAAGGAGCTTTTAAATTTGAACAGCTCAGGAATTAATAAGATCTGGGCCAACAAGCTTTGGCTCTATCCAGACTGCTTGTGTACTGACAGCTTTCTAATGTGGAGACAGAAAAGCTCTGGGCCTGGAAAGGGAGGCCTGAGCAGACTCAACTGAATCCTCAGGCAAGGGAGTCTTGACATGGTGGTGTTTTTGACCAATTGTGATGAAATTTCTGTTTATATTATAGCTTTGAGGTTTTAATCTTTAGAAATAAAGCTGGATGGCTAGTATTTATTTAAATGCATTTTCTTCTATCTAGAGCAGTGGTTCTCAACCAAGGGTGATTGTGCAGCCACTTTCTATGAGATATTTGGCAATGTCTGGAGATGCCAACTTGGGGGAGGGGAGCTACTGGCGTCTACTGGGTAGAGACCAGGGATCCTGCTACACATCCTATGATGTACAGCCCAGAACTCCCCAACAAATAATTATCTATTCCAAAATTTCAGTAAGTCCAAGGTTTAAACACCTTTGTTTAGATCAATGGAATATACAATTACGTTTTTTTAACCTCATGATAGTCAAAGATGAAAGCATAAATTAATAATCAAAAATATACTTTGCAGTAATAATTTCTGTTTCTGTACAAATCCTGAGCACTGGTTTCAGTTTCTGCAGATCCTCAGCTGATGCTTACTTCAATTGGAGAAAGAAAAGAGCATTTCGTGTGAGACAGTAATTTCACAATGAGACAGGGTTTTCCATTCATCCATCAGGCCTAAAGCAAAACTAATTTTGTAGTAAATTGTATTTCTTTATTGATTTTTATGGAATCTGTGCCGATTATAATAAAAAACTTAATAATGTATGTAATTGTTGATTGTTTTCTAAAATATAATTATAAGCCAATTATTCATTCTCACACAGCATCAAATAACAGAAACAATGAAAGTAAATCCTAAACTTCCTCAATCTAAATTGCCATAATTTTTAAGGAACACAAAAGGAAATTTTTGTTTTTGTGTTTCTAGTGGAAACCTTGGAAGTTAGGCCTAAGCAATGAAAATAAGCCTGACTTCGGGTACCCCTTTTTCATATTTGAGAGAAGTGTCTTAACTCAGTAATCGATAATTAGCATAAATCTTTGCATGGAGATGAAAATGCATACTCTCTTTTTAGTTTTTAAAATGTCTAAATTGGTTATTTGCTAACTATGAGATTCATTCTTTTTTCTTTAGCTATTAAATGGACAGAAACAACATGGGTACTAAAATGTTTAATTATTCTGTATATTTAAAAAAAAAGTGTCCATTCAAATCAGTCTTCACGTAATGCCTTGATACTACAACTCTCCTCAAAGACTTGGATGTGGTCTTGGCCTCTGTCCTTCCACAGCAGAGTGTGGGTTGGCTGGGAAATCCCTTTTGGGGCATGGAGCTGACCTCAAGAAATGCACTGTGGGTGTGAGTGCAAGGGCCAAACAGTGTGCTTCCTTCTCCTTACTTAGTTTTGAGCCTCACACTTTCCCAAAGCAGCTTTTTCCATTTTCTCTGTGGGGATTTTACATAGGGACATCTTAAAAAACTACTTCTCTCATACAATTTCCTGTCCATAATACCTTTCACAAGTGGACATCTGCTTAATCTAGAAATCCAAAGAAAACAATGTCACAGTATCCTCTTGTCCTGAGTTCCTAGTCCAGTACAACCGATAATACAAGCAGGCGCTTCTAACTCCACTTTTTCTCTGGGAAGTTCATTGCAGCCGGTTACAGCCGTATGGTTCCTCTATGCACCCGGAAGCTGAAAGCCACATTAAGCCCATGAAGGGGTAACTCTCCCAGCTTCTATCAGGTTTTCCTTTCCCATTGTGCAATGATTTCCTCAGCCTTGCTGCCTACATTAGACTCCTTGCTTGCCAGTCAAAATCACTTCAAAAATGTCTACATTTTCAAAGGTTCCTCGCTGAAAATCAATTCTGTGGTGCACATTTCAAAATGGCCCAAGCAAAGGATGATAATGTAGCCACTGTGGCCCCTCCAGGTCACTTCTGTTCATTTCCCTGATTTTCACCATATGCTCCACCAACTCTGGCCACTGGCAGTCCCCGGATCACACCACACCAGGATCTCCCAGTAAGAAGGGGAACTCTCACTGTGCCCACTGATCAGACACCCGTGTCCTCAGCCTGGATCATTCTATTTCCAGGACTCAACCTCGCCTTGGACTTTCTCAACTTTCCCTGACACTCCAGGGTGACAAGTGGTCTGTTTGAGTTTATCCCCTGTCCAGACGGCTTTCTGAGGCAGGGACAGGCTCTTAACAGGAGTGTCTCCCCAAGCCTGGCACATTGCCTGGTGCACAGGAGACTGAATTCATAAAAGAATGATGGGATGAATCAACAGACCCATGCTGAAACCTCAATCTAAAAAAGAAATTACAAAATCAAGTGGAGAAAGCTACCTATTTGACAGGGAAAGCTACAGATGATGCTATGGACTGAATTGTGTCCCCCCGAAATTCTTGTGTTGAAGCTCTAATCCCCAATGTGGCTGTGTTTGGAGAGAGAGCTTTTACAAAGATCATTAAGGTTAAACAAAAGCATCAGGGTGGGGTCCTGATTCATTTGGGTTGGGGGCTTTAAAAGAAGAGAAATAGACACCAGGAGGAAGGGCCATGTGAGAACACAACAAGAAAATGTTCTTCTGCAAACCAGGGAGACAGGCCCACAGAGAAACCAACCTTGCCAGCAACTTATTCATGGAAGTCCAGTCTGCAGAGCTATGTGGAAGGAATTTCTGTTGTTTAAGCAATCTAGACTGTGGTATTGTGGAAGCCTGTGATGGTGAATATTGAACGTCAACTTGATTGGATTAAAGGATGCAAATATTGTTCCTGGGTGTGTCTGTGAGGGTGATGCCAAAGGAGATTAACATGTGAGTCAGTCGACTGGGAGAGGCAGACCCACCCTCAATCCGGGTGGGCACCATCTCAACAGCTGCCAGTGTGGCCAGAATAAAAGCAGGCAGAAGAACGTGGAGAGACTAGACTGGCTTAGCTATGAGCCTACATCTTTCTCCCATGCTGGGAGATGCTTCCTTCCTGGGAACATCAGACTCCAAGTTCTCCAGCTTTGGGACTCGAACTGGTTTCCTTGCTCCTCAGCTTGCAGATGGCCTATTGTGGGACCTTGTGATCTTGTGAGTCAATATTCCTTAATAAACCCTCCCCCCTTTTTTGAGATGGAGTTTCCCTTTTGTCACCCAGGCTGGAGTGCAATGACATGGTCTCGGCTCACTGCAACCTCCACCTCCCAGGTTCAAGTGATTCTCCTGCCTCACCCTCTCGAGCAGCTGGGATTATAGGCTCCCGCCACAACGCCCGGCTAGTTTTACATTTTTAGTAGAAATGGGGTTTCCCCACATTAGCTAGGCTGCTCTTGAACTGCTGACCTCAGGTGATCCGCTCTCCTTGGCCTCCCAAAGTGCTGGGATTACAGGCGTGAGCCACCGTGCCCGGCCATAAAAACTCCCATATATATATGGGAGCAAGTGCTTGCTGAGTGCCTTCTAGGTAGCATGCATGATGATAGTCTCTGTAATATTGTATCTTATTTTAATATCCAGAGTGACTCTAAATGATGTGCTACCAACATAAATCATTGAAACAATCTTGCATGGAATCTTTTATTAAATTCATTCTCTTTTTCTTGCAATTTGTTTATTTACGTAAATAGCAGGCTCTGGTATCTACTATCTAACTCAAATCATTGGCACCCTAGACTAACGCTCACATTTTATTGGGCAACAATTTTTCACTAAATTAAAATATAAATTTCTCCTAAAGTGATGAAACAAAATCTTTAGAATTGGTCATTAAAAACATATTTTAAGTTTTCAGTGTGCTAAAAATATGTGTTTAAGTCACCCATAAACTAATGACTTTAGATGAGCCCTCAATTCTTTAGCATATTTAAGGTATTTTGACAGCATCTTCAAGTTGACTGGGTGAGATGCTCCCGGGATAGCTCTCATCACACTCCAGAGCTCACACCATGTTATTAATTGTGATAAATTCCCTGCCTTGCCCACTAAACTATACATCTTGTGAAAGCTGGAACTTTCTTATTTCATTGTATTGTTTCTAAAGTGGAGATACTACAAACACTGCCTCATAAGATTACAGGAAGTAATTAACACATGTAAGCCACTTAGAACCCACCTGGCATGCAGTCAAAATTAGACAAATTTCAGGTGTCACTGCAATTTTTTGGCTATTATTATCAGTACTGTTCTCATTCACTTTTATAACTGTGCTGAACACAGTATCTGGGAAATTATAGTTCCCTAAAGTCTTAGTCAGTCTGGTTGCCATAACAGGTTACTATAAACTGGGTGGCTTACGAACAGCAGAAAATATCTCGCCACTCTGGAGGCTGAAAGTTTGAGATCAAGGGTGCCAGCATGGTCAGATTCTGGTGAGGGCTGTCTTCCGAGTGGCAGATGTCTGCCCTCTTGTATCCTCACAGGGCAGAAAGAGAGAGATTTACTCTCTTCGTCTTCTTACAAGAGCACTTATGTCATCATGAAGTCTCTACACTCACAGCTTGATCACCTCCCAATGCCCCACATCCTCCTTCGACATAAGAATTTTGGGGGCGCACAGACATGTAGTCCATAACACTTAGTATTGTTCCAAGGATGAATAAAAATCATTCCGCCTTCAACTACAGTTCAGTGACATCAATTCCCATTAGCTCTCAGGCTGTCTGAGGACAGGGAATGTTTTCAGATGTTTCTGATGTCATTATTCTTCACTCCACTAGCCCAGCATCTCATATTTAGTGAAAGCCCACTCAACACTAGTTGGAATTCCCTGAAAGAATTGTATAGTGGTGTCAGTATATGGACTCGAGACTTCTGGACATTTCTCAGGAGTGGCAAAAATTTTCTGAGCCAATTCCCTCCCAAATTAAGGAGGAATAAATTTAGACTTATTTCTCTATGCAGCTTTATAAATAAGTTACTTCTGGTTTCCTTGGAAGTCTCGATAGTAACAATTGCAATCTGTCTCAGCTTTTTATTTCATTAACGGAATAATAGGTACATGGCAAACATTATTATTAATTGCAGCCTCCATCTTCTTATATTTATTTATTTTAACATGTCTCAAGAGTTACTGCATTGATCTGAATTCCCAAATATCTTTTACTCTTGAACTTCTAATGGAGTGACATTTCAACTCTCTTAGTAATTATTTTATATAATTTCACAACTTTGATGGAGCATGACAAAATATACACTGTTAGTCTAAAAAATAGCCGATACATTATTTAATATTCTATTAAAATATGTATTTAAGTACCGTCTAATACTATTCACAACATTTAAAGACCAATCTCAGCTTTTTGTGTCTAATAACAGCCCTTGTGCTTCCAATTACTGTTAAATAATTATGTAAGAAATGATTTGGGTTTTTCCAACAAATAAATACAAAATTGCACATTGTATCATTTTTGGTTTGTGTATCGAAGGCATGTGCATTCCTGCATTCTAAAGAGTAATTGAAATTTAACTATACTTATAACATCAAATGTGTTTCATAAACTGATGCTTATAATCTTTTTTCTGAAAAAAAAACGAGTATATTTGTATAGATTTTGTATGCTATTTCTAAATTAGGGCATGGGAGTTTTCAGGCTGTTCTTTGCAAGCTCTTTTCTAAAAATAATGCATTGAGGACATGGAAAGGCTTTATTCTGAACAAACAAAAGACAATTTGGACATAATAATCACTACATTTTTCCTCTTAAACATGTGTTTTTAAAGAGCCACAGACATCCTAAGATGCCATGTAAGAATTTGGATTAGATGAATGCAAATTATCAATCTGCTGATCAATTCATATTGAGGCAAATTTGCAGAATTAGTATCAATTTTGTACACTTTGATACTTAATGCATTTCACTATCAATGTTTTTAAACAATAATATGGTCAAAATGAAGGCTATCAACTAATACGTATTAGTGACATTCAGCTGTGGATCGACACATTATGATACTCATCTGGTTGCCACTACATATTGTAAATGAAACAGTTATTCAAATAGCCCACCTTAAAATTTAAAAAAAGGAAGCTCAAAATTATTATTTTATCACCTTTTTTTTACAAAGCAGACATGGAGACTGACACTATTCCTATCTTTCATAAGGGGAACCCCTTGGAGTTTGTGTCTCACCAAGTGGAAACACCTGTCTGGCTTGTTCTTCCTCTTTCTTTGAATCTTGTGTATTACAAGGACTCATAGAAGCTGACCACCCTTAAAGTGGATGGGAGAAAGACAATCAGAAGTCCTAATTCTCCTTTTAAAAGGAACAGAGAAAATCTATGAGATGGGAGACTGCAGTGAAGAATCCAGTCATTATTTTGATTATTAAAAGTTTTCATTAGACCTATGTTATTTCCTGAAATGGGAAAGCACCTTATTGTAATCACCTCCCCCCTAAGATGAAGATGAAATGTTTAATGTTCTTTGGGAATACTACTTCCATTCTTCGTGAAGAGTGACAGAGGAAGGATGTCATCATGATTATGGCGTCAGCACTTCATTTTTAGAACTACAAGTTCTTAGGACTGAGACGCTAGGCTGTCCTTCAGAATCCACATGTAGTAAGTACCTGAAAACCAATTCAACCATCTTTCCTGAGTTTGCCATTGATGTCCTCCTTGAAAGCCACATTCCTTAAGACACCCTGGTCATGTCCAACTGGGCGCACTGCAAATCCAAATTTCTATTAAAATCATGTTTCTCTTCTCTTAACCCAGCTCTTCAAGAGCATTCACTTGCTCCTTCTACTACTCTAAATTTCTGACTCTTCCCTTTAAGACCATTTCAGTGGTTCTCCCGTTCAGCCCAGAATACTTCCTCCCGTACATTTTCCTCCTTGCCTTGGTCCAGTCCATCCATAAGGATGGTCTTTGTCATTAATTTCACCTGTCCAAATCCCAGGCTTCTGTGGAAGTTGAAATCGGTATAAAACTCCTGAAGAACTACATTTTCAAACCTTATAACTGACTTTAAAGTTCAGATCCTAAAATAGCTTTGCTTCATGCAATATGTGATGATTCAGATGTAGCCATTTATCAGAGTGTATTCTTACCAGATTAATCTAGTAAAATTGCTGCTTTCATTTTATCTTTACTTTGCTCATAACAAAAGTTTATATCTGGATTTCCAAGGCCTCCATCCACCAGTTCAACAAATTCATTTCAGTTCATTCCAATAATACAGTAAAAGTAGAGTTTTAAAAATTGTAGAAAATTAGCAATTCTGCCATTTAGTGAACTAGGACACAGAGGTAGTATAACTGCATTCACTTATTTAATTATAAACTAAAAGACTTGAGAATTTACATTGCTTGTGTATGGTTGACCTAGAAAGTTAAAGAAGAGTTAGGACTGGGAACCATACAGCCCAACAAACATGGACATTTCTGCTTCTCTGGACTTAATATGTCTGAGAAACTAAATTTTGATTGCAATGATTGTATATATGTGCACATACACATACCTATCTATTCAAATCTCTCGTATTCTGATGAATAAGATCAATATCTAGACCAATATCTGGACCACTTCAGTAAAGTCCTTCCATAGGAGTGGAAAGTGCACTAAACTGCAGTCAAAGAAGGGATTCTGGCCATATTCCCAGCCTCTGCTTAGTTGCTGTCTGATCATGTAAACCTGAGTAAATGATGTGACTATTTTTGGACTTCAACTTCCTCATCTATTGTCAAAAATGTCACTGTGAGGCTCTTGGTTGCACCATCATCTGCAGCGGGCATGACCCTCTTTGGCAGCTTAGTGTACCTATGTGGTTACAGCTCTCTCTCTCTCTCTCTCTCTTTCTTTTTCCTCCCAATTTACTTAGTATGTCAATTCTTAACCCAGTTCTTCAAGAACTTGATCCTATTAACAAGAAGTCTAGTAGCTCTTTCTTGATATTTCCCTGTAATTTGAAGAACTCTACTTGTTTTAAGTGTTCAGTGCCACTTCCAAACAAGACAAAGACAAAAAACCAGAAAGTCAGACCCAGACACTAAAACTGTGGCTTTGACTGCTTCTACTTGGCACTGCTGTTGAGCCAGTGCTGCACAGTCCTGTGACTCTGTATGTCCGGATTCGAGATGCTTCTGCTAGTCCAAAATGCACCATAAGGCAGAGTGAGGCCTCACACTTAGAATGGTGAAGATCTGCACAAAGCAAGAATTTTAAAATGCAATTAAGGCCTAAAAGATTATAAGAATTTGTGACCTTGGAGCACTGGGAAAAGTGGGCAGCATATTTTGCAGTTATGATGGAATACATGGAGTTTAGCTTCCTCTGCTAAGGTTATTTAATGGACAGAACTCTAGAGGAGGCTGTGAAGTGTGCTTTTTTCTTTTTAAGTTGGTATTTATTTGAATTGGGGCTCATGTTATTGGAGATACACCATGCAGAAAAATGTGTGTATAAAAGTTGAATTCATCACAGGGCTGTTCTGAGGGTAAAGAAATAATGAGAGTCAAGAGACATTTACCAACACTCATCAGTGAAGCCTACCAGCAAATGAAAATATAGATAAGCCATTCGTTTAACTTCCTTGATGAGTCTTCAATAGAGAAAAATATATATATTATTTTCAAGGTCAATGTTCTCTTAGTTCACACTCCGTGTCCAGCCTCTGCTTCCCAAAACACGGCAAAGAAAATATGACAAGGTCTTCAAGTGGCCTCCAGCCTAACTTCCTGCTCTGTAAAAGCCAGTCCTTCTCCCAAATACATTGGTGCTAAGTTATGCTGAAAGCAAATCTTTAGCATGGTCTCACTCTTTCTTTCTAGGAAGTCCATTTCTGGAAACTGAATCCTTTCCTGCCAGTAGATTTTTGCTTAGGGCTAACCAAGTCTACACCAGAAAGTCTTCCTCGTCTAAGGACGCCTTGTGAAAATTAACTCTCTCTTCACCCAGCCCCACCTGAAAGCTCCCTACACTTGGCACAATAAGGAGTGTCTGATTATGTCAAAATAAAGGCTTGGTTACCTCTCTTCCTCAAGGCTAGGACTTGCCTGACTAAGAAGAACACCTCTAGGGAAGCTGTCCAAAAGAGGGATGCATGTCTCACCTAGAGAAAATAGAGAAGAGACTGACATCTATTCATTTTTTGCAACATAATCTAGCTCCTTTTAAATACTAGCTATTGATATGACCTATATTGAAATAAAAGTGATTTGCTGCACTTTAATGAAATACATTATTCACTTATTTTCTTTCTTTCTAACATTTCAATACTTATGAAATGAACCACAGAATGCAGCATGTAATGGTGCACTCTTTTATATCATGTAGGTTTTATCTCAGACTTGGCTGTAAACTCCCTGGATGACACTTCCATTGTATCTTAGTGGGAAGGACATAGGATGGGTTATAAACACTTGTCAATTTATTGATTTATAAACAAAACTAATTGTTGATGTTTTCAAATTGTGTCTCTTCAGGTAATCATTTTGCATACAAGACATATTTATTGGCTGTTAGATTATTCAATATTTGTTCTCCTTTATTGAAGGCTTTGCAAAGGCGGCTAAAAAAGGAAATTGTATGTATATTTTCAGTTACATGGATGGTTCCTAGACGGCCATTTAGTAAATTTTTATTTCCTCTGATATTCACATTCCCTCACAGTAGACCTGCAAAGAAGTAGGCCTTGCACACACATTGGTGCACAGGTAGGCATTTCAACTAACATGAGTCCCAATTCAAATAAATACGAAGTATGTAAAAGCACACTTCACAGGCTACTCCACAGCCAACACTCCTTTAAACACCCCAATCGAACAACATAAACTACACAGCGTTCAGGTGTAAGACCAAGCCTGCTGCCTGCTGTGCAGGGAACTGTGCAAATCTAGGGCCCAGGTCAGTAAAATCCCATCTTTCAAGCTCCTGCCGCAATTTTTACTTCTTCTAAACCTTAATTTTGTGCCATTTTTGACATTCAACAATATCTCTTTCTGTGCCACTCCAACAGAGGAAAAACTAGCTTATAGCTCCAACAAAAGCCTATCAGAAACATATTTCGGACTTCTTGCAGATGGTGGTTTATTATTACATCACATTTCTAGGTAAAAGCTTCAGTTTCCACATGTACGTCTCACTGACTCAGCATGAGAGTAGCCACAGCCTCTGTGTCTGCCTTGAAGTGGAGACGCTGAGATGAGCCAGTCGCATGTGTGTGGAATGACATGAAGGCGAAGGTGTAGGGGAGGGATGTCATGCTGTTTTTCATTTTTGCTGAAAAGCCACATTTTCAATTAGTTCCCAGAACATAGCTAGTGAATATGCAGTTTCCCCTTGGCAGGGAGCAACTCTGGCAGCCCCCAAACCCCATGGGATTCCTGCAGATGACATCAAACGAGGGAAGTAGAGCAAAAAACTAGGGTGAAATCAAATGTATCTTGGGCAGAAAAAAGAAAACCCTAACCAATATCAGAGGTTTTATGAAAATTTTAAATAATGTAAACATTGCTGGTCTCAGGAAGTTTAATGGTAAGTGAACAACTTGAGAAAGATAGAAAAATTCAGGCTACGCTTAGCCGGTATAAACTCAGGTTTGGTCTCCCAAATAGGCAGTTTCTTCATAGATTTATTTTAAATCAAAGGTAGGAAGGCAATAAGAAGTATCCGATCATGTGAAGACAGAATGAGTCAGAGTTAGCAAAGAAGAGAGGGAAAGAGGACCCATAAACAGAGTGCACTGGGATGCTGCAGCAGGAAGCCTGCCCTGAGGGCAGCTGAGCACAGGCAGGCGTTAGGGACCTGGGCAGGAAGGGAGACACCATATGGAAGATCACACGCACTGAGAAAGCCAGACAGATTGGGACAACAGCCTCCCAGATAAAGGTCATTTCAGGAAACCAAGTGCTCGCCTCCAGTAAAACAGCTTTCCCAACCTTCATACCCTCAAGCACCATTGACCAGTGCCTAAAATTCCTCTAATGTAATTCAGCCTGGAATTACCCAACAATAATAAGATCTAACATACATCAAGAGTAACTTTGTATAAAGTTTATATTTAAGTAAAATGTATTAAATACATCAGATGAAAGGGTTTTGTATAATGCAGAGGCCTGGGCACCTGGAAGTAAGCAGAAGATGAGAGAAAGGAGTCAAGGGGCCTCCCATAGAGGAAGACAGAAATTATGGGAGTTAATTTATTTCTGAAAACAAATTTACCTAGCCTGGTCTGCCAGGAAACGTGAGCAAGAGTTTTGATTTCTTCACTAACGGCTTTAAATTTAGTGAGCACCTACTATGCACCAAGTCTCCTGCTAAAGTAAAGGACAGACTCCAAAAACCTTTTCCCAGTCCCAAGTCTAGTGAAAGACACATCCACAAGCCCACTGTAACTCACAAGCACCACTATGACCTATGGAGAAAGTACCTTGAGTGCACACCGAACGCTGTGACGTCTTCAGGGAGTAGACTAGACTTCTGCTTCCATTTTTTTTTATCCTCAATCTCCTCCAACCTGGTTCTCATCACCACCAGTTCACAGGTCAATAAAAGTTAATTAACATAGTTGAGGCAGGAAAATTGCTTGAACCTGGGAGGCAGTGGTTGAGTGAGCCGGCATTGTGCCACTCCATTCCAGCCTAGGCGAAAGAGCAAAACTCCATCTCAAAAAAAAAAATAATTAATATAGTCATCAAATAACATAAAGTTGATTTTTTTTCTTTTTTTTTTTTTTCTGAGACGGAGTCTTGCTCTGTCACCCAGGCTGGAGTGCAGTGGTGCCATCTTGGCTCACTGCAACCTCCACCTCCCAGGTTCAAGCAATTCTCCTGCCTCAGCCTCCCAAGTAGCTGGAATTACAGGTCCTCACCACCACACCTGGCTAACTTTAGTGTTTTTAGTACAGACCGGGTTTCACCATGTTGGCCAGGCTGATCTCAAACTCCTGACCTCGTGATTTGCCTGCCTCGGCCTCCCAATGTGCTGGTATTACAGGCGTGAGCCACCGCACCTGGCCACAAGTTGATTTTTTTTTTTTTTTTTTGAAAAAAGTCCTCGTCCTTCACCTTTCTCATTCTTCAAAGGTCCAGGTCAAATGTTTCTTCCCGTGACAAACTTTCCTCAGTTTCACCTTAGAGAGCTGAGTGCAGCAGACCTGGACTCAGCCTGGGGCTCTCTGGGCACTGGGTGTGTTTCCAGGAGGGACCCCAGGAACAGAGTTGCCACTTGTCTGGCACAAAGACATGCCACGCATCAGCCACAAAGACACCCCTGACTCTCCTCAGTCATGTGGCCAATTTTGACCCCCCATGAACATCTCACAAATTTCTGCCATTACCACCTGTTTCTGTCATCATTTTCCTCCTACTCACCTCATTTCTATGAAGCAAGCAGACAGAGGTGGAAATAATGAGTGTCTTAGGAAGTAATTTTCAGAGAGCAGACTCCTTAGTCCTTCCACATCTCATAATTTAAGCCTCTTTGGATGATTTATAAACATGCAGTGTGTACGTGGTGTTAGTTCATCCTGCTGTGGAGTAGCTGCTTTGTTCTCAGACACAGTCCAGCCTTCAGTAGAGGAGTAGCATGCAATAGGTGTGAGTAGACTACTCTGAGCATCCTGAAACTTGTTCACGTTGAAAGAAACTATCCAGGATCCAGTTAGTCCCCCATCGCAGCCCTGCGTCCCCACCTGAAGCAACACACCATACATCCTTGAGCTGAGTATTCTTCTCGGAGAAAGAAGCACCAAATACAGACCAGCACAGGACAGGACGGGATCATCACGGCACACCCTAAATGACTGTTTGGTCCAGATACATCTGATTCCAAAAAGCAACAACTACAGTCATGATCTTGTACTTCCCAATCCTACCAAAGTGCTCAGGGCATAGAAAGTGTTGATTAAATGTTGAATGGAGAAAAAGCAATAAGACGATACACAGTGTCTTGGAGAAAGTGAAATACAGGTGAGCATTTCCTCATATTCTAGGTCTCAGAAAATACGTAAGTAAATAATAAAAGGGTGCCAAAGCTGTGATATGGTATAGAATATTTCTCACTGATGTGGTTTGGATCTGTGTCCCCACCCAAATCTCATATCAAATTGTAATCCCCAGTGCTGAAGGTGGGGCCTAGTGGGAGGTGGATGGATCATGGGGCTGGTTTCTAATGGTTTAGCAGCATCCACTTAGTGTGTTCTCATGATAAGGAGTCCTCACAAGATCTGGTTGTTTAAAAGTGTGTAGCGCTGCCCACTTGTCTCTCTCTCCTGCTCTGGCCTGGTAACATGAGCCTGCTTCACCTTCGCCTTCTGCCATGATCGTAAATTTCTTGAGACCTCCCCAGAAGCTGAGCAGATGCTAGCCTCATGCTTCCTGTACACCCTGTGGAACTGTGAGCCAATTAGACCTCTTTTCCTTATAAATTACCTGGTCTCAGATATTTCTTTATGGCAATGTGAGAACGACCTAATACTAAGGAATGGTTATGAGGAGCAAATGGTAGAATGAAATAATCCCTGAGCTAATTATCCATTCAGCTGTCTCAGCTCTTGTTAACTCAGTCCTTTCATTAACACACCTGACCTCAGTTTCCTCATTTGTTTTAAGGGTATTGAAATTACTGGATTTCTGCAGTCTCTAAAATACTATGAACCTTGAAATGCTATAATCTAGCTTTTAAACTTTTTAAAAAGAAGCAACAATTTCTTTGATAAACTTTTATGAGAAACCATCATTTGAAAAAAATAAAAATAAATAAAAGCCAATATTGTTGAGGTTTCAGAGAAGGTTCCTATTAAATTAAAAGAAAGAAAGAAAGAAAGGAACTCTCTCCTCTATACCCAAAGAAACTGAGAAGTAAGTTAAGAAAAAAAAAATTAAATATAGAGGCAAAAATGGAGTTTGAGGGAGTAGCTATAACTCTTAAGAGAAAAATGGGCTTTGCTAACACTTAATCCCCAAGTTAGGCAGACACCGCCACCCAGTAGCAGGCAGTGCTGAGCTAGGACAAACCTCGAGTCATAGAGAGTTTGGGGGCACAACCTGACCAGGTACTCAGTATTTCCTTGCAATTTCTGAGGTCATCTCTGATTTAAAATAATAATAATAATAATAATAATAATATAGAACCTTGGGAGGCCTTGAATCCTAAACAACCTGAAAATCTCACAACAGCCAATCACTGATGTTGAGCCAATGATGAGTCATCAATTCTTTCCTCCAAAGAACTCACTCTGTGAATCCAGTGGGAAAAATTACTACAAAATGTTTCATGGTGTGTGGGAAAGCTTCATTCTTCTTCTTAAAGATGTTCTATATTTTTGGTCTTACATAAGATGAGGAATTATATTTTTTAATGATGGTATAGCAATAACCGCAGAGTCTAAAAATAAGTTTCTGTGCTTATTTCTTCTTGTAGAATTTTTGTAAAATTGAAGTTGCATATGGTGATTTTTTATGATACTTAAAAATTTTTTGAAATATGTAGTAATTAATAATTTAGAAAAAGAATATACACATGCATATATGTCAAGTAAAACTATGTATTATTTTTGTAGATATTTATGTTTGCAGGTATCAAACAGTTGTAATTTTCTATTAATTTTTAATTTAGCAACATCATATGGTTTCAATCTTGTATCCAAGAAAACCCAGATAACTTTAGGAAGTAGGTAAAAACCTTCCCCCCTGTTGAGAATGAAATGATCAATAAGTCAGACTTTATTGACCAATCTGTATTTTTCATCTGAATGACATATCCTTAACATGCCATGTCAGATGATCTCTAATTTCTTGCAGGAACATACTTGAGGCAGAGGGAAGAAATGTTCTGTTTCAAATGCTGTATTGTGACTAATCAGGGGTCTTTTCAAAACTGGCTGCCCAATTGCAAATTTGAACAATACAGATGAGGGGCTCGATCATACTGAAGTTTGGAATTCCTCCACCCAGTGAACGATTGTATGCCAACAGGATGTAATTAACTATTTACCAATTTTATAGCCACAAAATGATTCATGTGATGCTGAGAGCAAGAGTTTTTATAGAAAAAAAGCATAGTGTAGTGGATGGAAACACTGACAGGAATTCGACTGATAAAATTAATAAACAACTGAGCATAGGCAGAAACAATTCTGAGAAATTATTTACTGATCTTATATCGACCTGGAGAGGTACTTTGTTCAAAAGTCTAAGCTTATGGTTTATATTTAAGTAATTAAAAAATAGCATAATTCTTCCTTGGGTCTGATAAACAAAAAGCAAGAATGTAAATTAAACTTTATAACAGGATCTCTGCAGTCACTGCCACAGTTGATCACAATTAATGCTATGCCACCTCTAAATCTATCATGGCCTGAAAATTGCTAGTAAAGTGTTTCCTCTTAAGATGGCAATAAGAAAGGAAATATGGATATGCTAAAAAAAAAAAAAAAAGCAAAATTGGTAATGAACACAGAAAGGAAATTCCTCATTTAAAAATGAACATGAATGAAAGGTCAGCATGGAGATTTCCTTCACTTACACATTTACTCATTCATTCATTCATTCATTCATTCATTCACCGGGGTGATGGATAGGCATGAAGCATTGCAAGTTAATTAAGTGAACAAGAGTCAGCCTTGTTCCAAGTTGCTGAGTGTGAGTGTGATTTAACCAAAGTTCTATTTTAGGATGATGTACATAGCATCAGCGTTTTGGAAGAATAGCAGAGAGGATATAGATTCAATTCGTATGGTGGTTAAAGTGAAAAGTAATAAAATAGAAAATTCAAAGGCTATTGAGAGGTGGAACCTATAAGCCACAGCCACAAATCAGTTGAACTAGATAGGATAGCCTTAACCTTCCTTCCCTTCAGAAACAGACAATGAGAGAACTGTTAAACTTTAAGGAAGAGTCAGCCAATGCTGGTGATTTAGTTTAGATATTTGTCTCTGCCCAAATGGCATGCTGAATTGTAATCCCCAACACTGGAGGTGGGGACTGGTGGGAGGGGTTTGGAACATGGGTGCGGATCCCTCATGGTTTGGTGCTGTCTTCATGATAGCGAGTCCTCACAAGATCCAGTCATTCAAAAATGTGAGACGCCTTCTTCTCCCCACCCGCATTCTCTCCCTCTTGCTCCTGCTTTTGCCATGTGACCTGCAAGCTCCAGCTTCACCTTCTGCTAGGAGGAAAAGTTCCTGAGGCCTCCCCAAAAGCTGTGCTTCCTGTAAAGCCTGCAGAACCGTGAGCCAATTAAACCTCTTTCTTTATAAATTACCCAGTCTCTTGTAAATTACCCGGACTCAAATAACAATCTCTCCCATTTGAGAAATAATGCCAAGTTAGCGAAGACATTTGAGCTCTCCACATCTTCTTCACCTGCAGGCTTAAATGGCCCTCACAAGAGTATACCATTTAATTTCCCCTCTTTGCACACATTCCTTAGCTACTGTCCATTTTAGTAGAAAAATACACGTTTAAGGGGGGAAAGAGAGTCAATAAATATGATGGGTAGAAATATGAATAAAAAAGAATTAGATCACTCCATTTCTTTGGCTGAGGTGTGCAAGTGCATGGGTGCATGTGAGTGTATGTGAGTGTGTAAGTGTATGTGTGGGCATCTATGGGGCCTGTCAGTGAATGCCCATTTTTCTTGGATTAGAGGGGAAAACTTGCTCTATTTTAATAAATTTGCTCTACATGACCATGTGTCCTTTTATTCCCTGAAAGTTCAGTCTTAATGAAAAACAGAAATTTCACATGGATAAATCCACTATGCAAGTTTAATTAACCTCATAAAGATATAAAATGACCCAATCGAAAGATATGTTTTTAGTGCCAACCAAATTAATATTTTAAACTAAACTGAAGAATTTAGCACATTTCAAATCATATATAATGCTCATTTTATAGGACTAATCCCATAATGCCTCTGCCTCCAGATGGTGGTGAATTACGCATATTTAGCAAGAGTGAGTCCTTCCCTTTCATACAACATAGGCTTATGTAAAACAGATACAACATATTTTGCACCATAAAGTTGTATCTTCCACGTAAAATATGGGTTTTTTAAAAAATGTTATTTACATAAGTTCAAGCCTTCAAAGCATTGTGTATAAGAAAGGACTGTACAGTAATGAAATAGCTCATTACCCCGAGTGGGTCCAGTTTTGCAAATGTGAAGTGTCTACTATAGACAAATCTCACTCGGAAAATATGAATGAAGAGTTCTCCATATCTAGCATAGAGTCTAAGAACATGACGGTAACTTCCTTATCTGACTCTGATCAGGCCAAGTGAAATGACGCTCAGATCATTTGAGATCCAAAATAAATCTGAAGATAAAAGTGGGTCTATTGGCCTATAATGTAAAGGGAATGGATTCTGGGCAAATGAAGAAGAAAGCAAAGTTAATCTTTGGGGGCCCTTTGCTGATTTTCTTGGTTTTGGTGACTCCTCCCTCCTTCCTCAACAAACGTCATCCATAATGTCCAGGTGCCATTGTTTTTATTCTACACAGGACATCTCTTACCTGTGACTACCTGGGAAAAGATGTTTTTCTCAATGTACTCCATATTCGAAATCCTTCCCCACATTTTTTGTCCAACCAAATTTTCTATTCCCCCTGGGCTTCCATTTTGCCCGTTAAAAATGTACTTCTGTCAATAACTTAATGTGTGCTACTACCCATGGTGCTGGCCCAGCAGGAAAACACATTTGCTGGAGTGAAGCATGATGGTTACATGTACAATAGAAGATGATGTAGGCAATGATGTATATATTTGGTAAAGAGATGGTGATTTTGAATGATGCTTGGACTATAAAAAGCCCCTGGAGTCTTTGACAAGACTCTTGCAAATGAAGCACTTTGGTGGCCATCTTAAATCTCACTGGGCAATAGAGTAGAATTAAGAGTCCTAACCAACATACAGGCAGTGCCATGCAACTCAATAACTAATGTGATGAGAAGGTCTTCTTCCAAGACAAGGAGGTGGCCTTGGGCATTCCTGGACCCATGGACACAAATTGTACCTTGGTAGGGATGCTCTGCCTCCAACACACACTCTTCCTCCCATGTCTGCCTTCTTCACTTTTTTTTTTTTTTTTTTTTTTTTGAGACAGAGTCTCGCTCTGAGCC
Source organism: Homo sapiens (assembly GCF_000001405.40). Lineage (NCBI taxonomy): Eukaryota > Metazoa > Chordata > Mammalia > Primates > Hominidae > Homo > Homo sapiens. The sequence goes on from NC_000013.11 coordinate 105,944,981, forward strand.
CAGGCTGGAGTGCAGTGGTGCGATCTCTGCTTACTGCAAGCTCCGCCTCCCAGGTACCTGGGATTACAGGCGTGAGGCCACCGCGCCCAGCCGTTCTTCACTTTTGAAGTGTTTTTGTCTCTAATTTTGCTTGTTTCAGCTTCCGTGAATGAATCTAATAATTGGCTCATTTAGGTCACATAATTCACCTGCAACTCAGTAAGAACAATATGAAATTCTGTAATTGGTCCAGCCACAGGGATGTGTCCAGTTTTGTAACCAATATTCCTGATTAAGAGAAATGAGGGAAGAAACCTGCTGCAGCAGAAACAAAACCACCAACTGTGATAGCCAAACCCACCTGCCACGTTCCACCACTGAAGGCATTCAATACATACCTTCTGGTTCCTGCTGGGTGTGGTGTTTTTTGTTTGTTTGTTTGTTTCTGAGAGGAGTCTCGCTTTGTTGTCCAGGCTGGAGTGCAGTGGAGTGATCTCGGCTCACTGCAACCTCTGTCTCCTAGGTTCAAGCGATTCTCCTGCCTCAGCCTCCTAAGTAGCTGGGACTACAGGAGTGTGCCACCACGCCTGGCTAATTTTTGTATTTTTAGTAGAGACAAGGTTTCACCATGTTGGCCAGTCTGGCCTCGAACACCTGACTCAAGTGATCCGCCCACCTCTGCCTCTCAAAGTGCTGGGGTTACAGGCACGAGCCACAGTGCTCAGCCCAGGTTTGGATATTAATCTTGCCCTTAAGAATGAAATCAAGGAAGCTGAGGGAAAGCAGCTTTGTGTAAAGAAAGCTGAATTGGAAATGAGGAGACAAGTTCTCGAGGATGTGTTTATCACGCCACTCCACCACTGCAACTGCCTTTCCACCTTAGTTCACTCTGTGTTGCTGTAACACAATACCACAGAGGTGGTCATTCATAAAGAAAATAAATTTATTTCTTATACTTCTGGAGGCTGGAAAGTCTGATATTAAGGTGCTGTTATGTGGTGAGGGCCTTCTTGCCATGTCATCCCACGGTAAAAGGCAAGAAAGGGTGAAAGAAATGGAACTCACAGCCTCAAGCCCTTTGATAACTGGCATTAATCCATTCATGGGAGTTAATGGGGGAGCAGTGGGAACACCTGGATCTGGAATCAGAGGCTCTGAGCTTGACCAGCCCCACCACTTCTGGAGCAGGTTTCTGGGCCTGTCTGAACATAATTGTCCTTAACCATGAAAGTCAAAATGGTACCCTTTCTTTCACAGGGGAGGTGTACAGAATAAACAAGGGAAAATCATGTAAATGTATTATAAATTGTAGAGAACCATACAAAGGCAGCAGGTTAGCTGATGTATCTGTGGGTCAGGGCAGTTGTTCCATGAAGTTAATATTGGGAGCAGCCTGGCCTGCTCTACACGACCTCGAATGTAATTTCTGTTCTGCAACACACCTGCTCCTAAACAGCAACCTAGAAAACAGGTGTTTCTGGACATAGGCACCTGTCATCACCATAACAGCACTGGGCATTCTTATTCATACCACCTTTCCTAGTGGCCTCACCAGCTCTGGTCACCTTCCTGCAGATGGGGAAATGTGCCAGTCAGCCTAATCCATTCAGACTACCATCAGAGAATATCATAAACTGGGCGGGTTATAAACAACAGAAATCTGTTTCTGACAGTTCTGGAGGCCGGGAAGTCCAAGATCAAGATGCCAGCAGATTCAGTGTTTGGTGAGGGCCTACTTTCCGGTTCATTTTTGCTGTAACCTCATGTGGTGGGAGGAAGGGGAGCAGGCTCTCTGTGGCCTCTTTTAAAAGGGTGCTTCTCTCATTCATGAAGGTCCTACCTGTGACCTAATTAACTACCAAAGTCCCCACCTTCAAATTCCATCACACTGGGGATTAGGAGTTCAACACTGATGGGATACAAACATTCAGTGTATAGCACACATACACTGCAGACTCCTATTTCCCCAGAATTCTCCTGCCAGCAGGCACTTCTGATGTTCCTCTTGCTGTTACAAGAATGCCTCCTACAGAAACCCCGAAAACTATGTCCTGCCTAGGAGCTGTTTTGAGAAGATGGATAAAAAACCTGAATAGGAGTATACAAGTTGGAGATAGAAAAAAAGTAAAACTCATAATTGTTCATTATTGAATGTTTCCAAAGGGCTAGGCATAATATTAAGTGCCTTGCATGCATTATTGCATCTTACACTTCCTGCAAAATTGTTAGATAGGTAATATTACATATGAGTAAATGAAGACTGAGACAATTTAAGTAACTCGCCTGAGTGCAGAATCAGAAGAGAACCAGATGGGCCTGTGTCTATACTCCATGCGCCCCATGGAATTCACACGTGAGCTAAGACTTCAGAAATACTGGACTAAATTTCAAGAAAAGAGGTAAGTGGATAAAAGAAAGAAGATAAGAGTAAGTGAAATTCTAGCAAAACTCTTGGAGAACTTTGGAAAACAAAATTCACGCTTTAGTTCAGCTGATTACAGTCAAATACACTCTATTCGGTTCTGGCACTGCAGCATCAATACCTAAATGACCCCTTAGAAACTGTTAATGTAACTACCAGAAAAGATATACCCACTTCTTATAGGAAGGTATTGATCTGTGTAGAATGAAAAAAGTTTTTGAAAGGTTTGATTAAAAATAAAAGTTTTTAACGGAGAAGAAAGTGGGCTGACAGCAACCCCCGCAGGTCTTGTGTTTGTTAATAGTTTTCACTCTCCCTGTCTTTTTTTTTTTTTTTTTTTGGATATATGTTGCTGAGAAAGAATAAAATACAGAGACTAATGACTCTGACAAAAGGCTCTTCTTGTTTATTGATTAGCACCAGGACTGGGTTTTTGGACGGGTGTGCTGGTAGACATTCAGACTGCCAAAAATGAAACTAGGCATTATAGATGGGGCAAAGAAATACTATAAAATTAAAAAGGCAATAAATTTAGAACCAGTACAACTAAAGTGCTTCTTCATATAGTACACGTTGTATATTATTCAGAGCAGGGGTAGTCAGATGAACGCTGAGGTAGGAATAAAAAATAGAGTTCCTTCCCCACAGTGAGTCATAGCTGTATACAAGCAAACAGGAAATGCCCCGACAACCCTTCCAATGAAAGTTGACGGATTCGCTGTGGGGCACAGGAAAACACGTTGCCAGATCAGGTAAAATGGTTTCCCAAAATTTAATCCACTCTACTACTGGAAATGCTGGGTCCTTACCAAGGAAAATAGACAAATTAACTGTGACGGAAAGAAGTAGATGAGCTATGCTGTCCCTCTGGGTCTTCATGCCTCTTAAGTGAGGTGTACCCAGGTAGTCAGGGAGGCAGGATGTGGGGACAGCTGGGGAGCAGCTGAAATCAAAGGGCAGCCTGAGAGACCAGTAGGGGGTAGACAGGAGACCTGGTCAATTTCGAGCAGCACTGTGTTTTTCTGACCTGGAAAAGAGAAGGAAACAGCTGTGCTTTGAGCCTGAATCCTTGTTTAAACCCGAGAGTGGCCATAGCTCATGTGTTCCCTAATGAAATCCAGAATGGACACTTGGATATTGAGAGTTCCCTATACTCCCCTGTCTAGCAAATAAGACTCCACATCAACATCTGGCCCTGTGGAGAAGCTCAATACATCATTGACAAACACACAGGGATACCGTGAAGATGGATTCAGTCTCTGAGAGGCTGCTTTAAAACCTCTCCGGAATTTAAGCTGCAGCTTTATTTAGTATAGTCCTAAGGCCCCCCAAAACAGACTGGAATTCCTCTTCAGCGATGATCTGAAGTTTTTCAGGTAAGTCATCTGGACTCAGCTCTGCAGACAAAACAATATTTCTCTAAAAGTGTAAATGACATTAAGGATGTGATCCACAAACACTCCCTTTTCAACTTCACTGTCTGTTGGTTGTGGGTGGGGTAGTTGCTTGATTGTTTGGGAGCCTGAGATATGGGGATAGGATGTAGCTTCTCGTTAATCCTGGGGCCATTAGACTCAGACTCTGTATTAGTTTTCTATTGCTGCCATAATCAATTACCACAATTTAGGGGCTTAAACCAACATCAATTTGTGATCTCAGAGATCTGTAGGTCAGACATCTGGGTTAGCTCGACTGGTATCTTTGTTTCAAGTCTCACAAGCCCCAAATCAAGGTGTTGGCCAGCTGGGCTCCTACCTGAAGGCTCTGGAGAAAAATCTAGAGCCTGGCAAAATTTCGTTGTGTGCAGTTGTGGGAACTGTTTCCTGTTTCCTTGCTAGCTGTCAACCAGGGCCTGCTCTTAGCTCTTAGAGGTCTGTCCCTGGGCTTCACATGTGGTCCTTGCATCCCAGCCAGCAACAGCACTGCAGGTCCTGCTCACACTCAAAATCCCCATGACTTCCTCCTGGGCTGCAAAATTCCCTTCTTTTAAGGGCTCATGTGATTAGATTGAACCCACCTGAAAAATCCAGGCACTCCACATATTTAAGGTCCATAGTCCTGATTATATCTGCAAAACCTCTTTTGTCCTGTACTGTAACATGCACAGGCTTCAGGGATCAAGTCCTGGATTTTTTTTTCTTTTTTTTTTTTTGAGGAGTAGGAGGGTGGGAGCATTTTCCTGCCTATTAAAGTCTCAGAATAAGGCCAGGTAATAAATTGCTATGCATAGCCAGTGCACCTTGAAGGACATTCACCTTTGGATGTCCTACAAGAATGGCAGATCTTGCAGTATGATCTCACAGTAAAGATTCTTTTTCTGTCAGAGTTCATTGTATTTTTAGAAATGTAAATATTTTATCTTTAAAATGGCATAATGTCTTGCTTTTGTGCTTGTACTATGCATATGTGTACTTTAGTGTGTGCAGAGTAGGGGTGGGGGGGCGGTTGTGTGTCTGTACATTACTTTCTTCTCTTAAAAAAGGAAATCCAATATGCTGCAAGTCCAGTATATTCCAATATACTGTGATTTAGAAAGGGTAAACCGTTGCCCTAAGCTTACATTGTAAATACACGCTAGAAATATAGCCCCTGACTTCAGTCATTCTGAACTCCTCTGCAGAGTTTACTATATCATACCGTCTTGCACAAAAATGTTCTTCATAGAAACCATGATATAATACAGTTATAAATAATAGAATTGGGAAAAAGTAAGATCCATCCCCATGTAGCTCTCCATATTTATTGGCATACAAAAACTACACGTTCCCCCAAGATTGGTTAAAATGTAAACAAATAAAATAAATAATACTTCCTGAAGTTTTTTTTCTTTTTTTCTTTTCTTTTCTTTGAGATAGAGTTTTGCTCTTCTGCCCAGGCTGGAGTGCAGTGGTGCGATGTCGGCTCACTGCAACCTCCGCCTCCTGGGTTCAAGTGATTGTCCTGCCTCAGCCTCCCTGGTAGCTGGGATTACAGGCACCCGCCACCATGCCCAGCTAATTCTTGTATTTTTAGTAGAGACAGGGTTTCACCATGTTGGCCAGGCTGGTCTCGAACTCTTGACCTCGTGATCCGCCCGCTTTGGCCTCCCAAAGTGCTGGGATTACAGGTGTGAGCCACCATGCCCGGCCCATCTGAAATGTTTTTACAGAGTAAAAAGTTCAAACAATTAACAAAAAGAAGGAGGAAGAGAATTATATGCATTCTCTGACCTTTACTTTATTAAAACTATCCTTTCAAGTCCATCAGGTAAAACTTGATTTAATGCTAGCTACTAAACATTTTTCTTGTTTTTCTTTTTCCATTTTTTTAAACCTGGCTTCATTGGCTGGGAGAGATGTGAAATCCAGGCCATGGGTATTTCTCTCTAAATGCTCAGCCTCCAAATGTCAGATTTGAATACTGATAAATGAAGTAAACCATCTTGGCTACTACAGAGGCCCTGAGGAAGGGATATAATTTCTCCAACAATCTGATCAAATGTACACAAAATAAGCATTTTGCACAAAATATTTATTTTAAATGAGCTTTTCTTTGAACACATCTTTATGTTCATTTTTTAAACTCTGCCCTAATGAGAAAAGGTAGATTCGATGCAATTTTAGTTTTAGAGAGCATAAAACCTTCTTGCTTAGGTACCCAGTGAATGGCTGATACTGGATTAGGAATTTGTTGTTGAGAATAATTAGTTCCATGCAAAACATTTCACATAAAATGTGTTGAAAGTCAGAAACCATACTGGTTGGAAAAACATACAATAACACAACAATAATAGGATGTAATTTTCAAGCCATTTTCAGGTTAAATAAAACTCCTTCCCAAATGTACTTAATTCCTTTAACGAATATCCTAAAATGGTAAGAACTAGATTAATATTAGCTCTACTTAACTGAGAGTTCAATTAATTTTGTAGCAACTCTGACAAGGTTTGGAATAAAGAGAAAGAAATAAGGAAAGAAGATTTGAAAAAAATAGGAATGTGGCTATCTAACTTAGCACCAAACACTCAACGTAAGTGTCCATACTTTCAAAGAGAGTAGAAAAAAAACAAAACATAGTCTTTGATGATGATTTTAAGCAAAATAACTATAGAAAAGAAAGAAGTTTTCTCTCAAATAACTCAGTCATGACTCAAGCAGGGAAGAAATGTTAGCTGATTGGAAGTCAGTTGTGCATTTTCTCACTAAAGAAGGTTGTCTGCACGATGGAGTCCAGTATCTGCTGGGGAAAAGTTACAACCCTTGGAGGCAAAAGAATTGTCCTCTAATGGGCTCCAGGTCTTCCAATTTCCACTTCATTCTGTGGCCCAGACAAGCAGAAAACATGTTTGAGGAATGATAAGACAAAGCAGTAAACATTAAATATTTTTAAATCCAAGGGTGGTCGTGAAAATTCTTGTCCCTCTACTTTCTACTCTGTCAAAGGCTCTCTTTGTTTAATCAATGAGGTTATTTTTTGAACAAAGAGAAATCAATATGCACTCAACAATCATCTCCTATGATCAAAATATGTCCCCCATTCTTAAAGCATAGCAAAGAAGGCTCAGTTTGGATTTTTAACAAAAAACAAAAACAAAAACAAAAACCAAAAAAAACACGTCATTCTGATGATGACTTGCATTTCCAGGAGACCGACAGTGCTATGCAATCTGATATTGAATAACATTTTCTATGACTGTGTTACTGCAGTTGAAAATATTTACTTTTAAAATTTTACTTTATAAAAATGTTTTAAGATTTTTTTAAAAAAAAGCAAAAGATACATATATATATGTATGTATATTTTTCTTTCCTCTTGGTTCTCTACTGCCAGTGTAAAAGATAACAACTATTGAGAGATTAGACATTCTTATGTGAACATGTACACACACACAAAGCAATGTTAATATACATACATGTGTATACATATATGGGTAGCTATAATTTTTAAATGGCTACACAAAATATATCTACAATTTTAAAATGGCTACATAGTATTATTTTGAGTGAATATTTATAATAACTGTCTTAAGCAACTTTCATTTAACTCACCCACTCACTTCCACTTCCTCTTACAAAACACAGTAGCATCTACTACCTGCTTACAACTTGCTAATAATAGGTTTTCCAACCCTCCCTCCCCACTGTCTACAAAGATTTAGTTCTGCTTGTCTTTAAAGCAAATTGCATTTGTAAGTGTAATTATGTAATTTAATTAAGCATGATATAAACCAATTAAATATGAGTAGGATAGGACAAAGATATGTTTCTACAAAAGCTAAGTTTAATGCATTGGGAAGATTCTCTTAAGATGACTATACAATTAAAAAGAAAATACAAGTGAAGTGGGAAGTGAGACAACTGTGAGGGAGAAAAAGATTGGGGCAGAAATGTGTAAATCTAAGAGTCTATATTCATTTTGCTTTACGGGTATTCTATTGTCTGGACAAGTTTAGTTATGCACATACTGAATAAAACAGTTCCCAGCCAACAGCCCTGAGATTTCCCTGGCTTAAAACCACAGGCTCCTATGCCTTGCTCATATTACATACTCAACCTGGATTGGTGAGGGACTCTGTTCCACATTGTTCTCACTCAGGGTCCTGGATCTTTGGAGCATCCATCATCAGGAACAAGTGCTATTCAACATGTGGAGAAAATAGGAGGAAGATTGTCAGTGTTGGCTGCTAAAGATGTCCCCTTGGAGGTAACATATTTCGTTTCCACTAACAACACATTAAACAAAGCAGGCCTATTGGCTAATCTCATCAGAGCCTGAATACACAATCCTTCCACCTGACCAAAAGGAGATGGCAACCGAATCTGGTGCACAATAACAGTGTTTACTCATCAAGATTTCAGTGACCCTGCCCCTTAAAACATAATCTGGACGTTACAGATCAAGCCTTAAGGATGAATTTATACAGAAGTAAATGATGTAGGATACCAGTTCAGACTCAAAGGAAAAGGCTTGGCTTGCATCTTTTGCCAGTTTCTCTGTATATTTCTTGATTAGTTGAAATTGGTCCTCTAGTATTGACTCTTGGAAAATATATTACTCATGGGAAATACATTCCCTGTATTCATATCCACATCCAAAAATAATTTTCTACTACATTTTTACTTAAGAGACAGTTTGACCTAGAAAATCCTTGAGGCTCTGTTTTTCTCATGACATGATAGACAAAGTTCCACATTTTTTATCTCTGCATGTTATAGTGGGAAACTCTTTAGTCAGCCTGAGTTTTCCTGTTGATGGATGACTTAATTTTCTGTCTGTATGTTCTAAAGATTTTTAATGCCCATATATTTATTGGGATAAAACTCATATTTGAACATTATTTCAACTGTTTCTAATACGTAAGATATATTTTCAATATGTAGTCATCTCCCTTATTTTTGGAAAGTTTTCTTGAATAATATCTATAAATGTTTTATCCACTATTTTTTCTTCAGAGCTATTATTTATGTATATGCTGGGTTTTTTTTTTTTTTTTTTTTTTTTTTTTTTTTTTTTTTTGAGATGGAGTCTAGCTGTTGCCCAGGCTGGAGTGCAGTGGCACGATCTCAGCTCACTGCAAGCTCCACCTCCTGGGTTTACACCATTCTCCTGCCTCAGCCTCCGAGTAGCTGGGACTGGGACTACAGGAGCCCGCCACCATGCTCAGCTAATTTATGTTTTTATTTTTATTTTTTTTTTTTGTATTTTAGTAGAGATGGGGTTTCACGGTGTTAGCCAGAATGGTCTCGGTCTCTTGACCTTGTGATCCGCCCACCTCGGCCTCCCAAAGTGCTGGGATTACAGGCGTGAGCCACCGTGCCCGGCGTATATGCTGGTTTTTGCCTTAATTGCCTCCATCCTTACTTTTTTATTTAATATTATTCATAAATATTTGTTCAAATAATATTTTGTGAATACTGCCAACTTGCATCTTATCTTCTTCTATTGCCTTACCGTAACTTCTTTGAGTTCTACTTTGAGATCTCCTTTATAGCAGTACGTGATTCATTTTCTTGAAGTATCTTTTCATTAGTCAAGCGCTGGTTCTTTTCACTTACGTTTGAGCGAAGTGAGTTCATCCAGAAGAAGGTGTTAGCAAGAGCATTATGTGATACAAAGGCATGTTCATACCTTAGCCCAGAGGGGCACAGATGGGTGTAAGTAAGTGATGATATAGAAGTTAGTGCTGGAGTTGCTTGGTAGATTAAAATAACACTTTCTGATTTTGTAAATATGTGCTTTTGGGAGACAGATTTGGGATTTCCAAATCCGGAATTGTTTCCTGGAAGAATGGGTAAGTCTTTGGAAGTAGCTCTGACTCTCAAGTAGACACAGTGGGTAGGGAGCGAATTGGAATAAGAAACCGCCTTATAAACAAAGGTGGAAGATAGTAAAATAGACTGTGCGTTGAAAGAATGTGCAAAGAGAACAATGGACTTATTGAAAATCCACTGTGCCTCATGCACCATGCATTTTTCCTACAATATGCTCAAGAAATGTGTTATAACTTCCAGGAATAATTTACCTTTTAAATTTACAGTAAATTTTCAACAGTGATGGGAGAAAGGGAATCCTTCAGGCATCTGCCTAGCTGTGTTGTTTTATTCTGGAGAAGATGTGAGTGTGGGTGGTTCTTTTCTTAGCCATTGTCCTAGTTCTTATAACAGGGGATTTTTAAGAAATCTTCGGATTTTTAAAAAAATATTGGCATGTGTAATTTAATAATGTCTTTATTTTCAGAATTATTTTGGTGTCACATGTACTAGGAAGAAATTTCATAGTTTTGTATCTTGAGGGTAAATGTCATTCATAACCTATATTATTTAAAAATTATAGGGCAGGTGCGGTGGCTCACGCCTGTAATCCCAGCACTTTGGGAGGCTGAGGCTGGCAGATCATGAGGTCAGGAGATTAAGACCATCCTGGCCAACATCGTGAAACCCCGTCTCTACTAAAATGCAAAAACTTAGCTAGGCATGGTGGCACACACCTGTAGTCCCAGTTACTCAGGAGGCTGAGGCAGGGGGATGGCTTGAACCTGGGAGGCGGGGATCGCGGTGAGCCAAGATTGCGCCACTGCACTCTAGCCTGGCGACAGAGTAAGACTCTGTCTCAAAAAAAAAAAGATTACAAAAACATTTGTGACATGACCACCTTCCTTATGTATTAGCATCTGGTTAATTGCAGCTACATGTGTTTCAGATATATTGCTTTTATTTTTTTCTTTTGAGATGGAGTCTCATTCTGTCGCCCAGGCTGGAGTGCAGTGGCACCATCCTGGCTCACTGCAACCTCTGCCTCCCAGGTTGAAGCGATTCTTGTTCCCCAGCCTCCTGAGTAGCTGGGTCTACAGGCACAAGCCACCATGTCTGGCTAATATTTTGTATTTTTAATAGAGACAGGGTTAACTCAGGTGATCCACCCGCCTTGGCCTCCCAAACTGCTGGGATTATAGGCGTAAGCCACAGCACCTGGCGTATTCTTTATTGGAATATAAAATCTATGAAGGCAATGAATTTGATTTTATTCTCCTAGCCCTAGAAGTGTCTCTGGCATGTAAGTTTTTGAGAACATTGATTGTTTCTTCATCTGAAAACCAAACACAAAGTAAATGACAACATGTGCAAAATTTACAAACATTAAATAAATGCTTTTATAGTTTCCAATAAAACTACAAATAGAATTCTATAATAGTATGTTAAAGTATAAAGTTGTATAAGACCATCACATCAATTATTATAACTAAATATATTCACTGCTTACCTGGATAGAAAGCACCCAGGCATATTTTTAAAGAACAAATGAATAGATTGGTAGAAAAATGCATGCACGTACAGGGAGGTTTAGCTCACTACTCTTCCTCTGTTGCTTTCCACAAATACTTACTGAGAACTAATCTAAATATATATAGAAAGGAATAAGCTGCAGTTCTTGTGGACAATATACTCAATTTTTAGAGGGTATATTAGTACAAAAGTAATTAATAATAAAAAAGATAAGGGCAAAAATGAAGATAGATAGATATCAAGGGTTATAGAAACATGGAGAAAATCTGAACTAGCTCTAGGTAATGGCTTCATGGAGGAAACCTTGGCTGAGTATATCTTCAAAATGAGTAGAAGGCCACACGGCAGAGAAAAATATTCCAGGCCAAGAGATTAAAATAATTCAGCCGGGCATGCTGGCTCACATCTGTAATCCCAGCACTTTGGGAGGCCAAGGCAGACGGATCACTTGAGGTCAGGAGTTCGAGACCAGCCTGGCCAACATGGCGAAGCCTTGTCTCTACTAAAAATACAAAAATTAGCAGGGCATGGTGGCGGGCGCCTGTAATCCCAGCTACTCAGGAGGCTGAGGCAGGAGAATTGCTTGAACGTGGGAGGCAGAAGTTGCAGTGAGCCAAGATCGCACCACTGCATTCCAGCCTGGGTGACAGAGCAAGACTCTGTCTCAAAATAATAGTAGTAATTCAAAACACAAAATGAGCAACACTGTGCCCTAGACAGAGTGAAAACTACTGGGACTTGATCCTGGGAAGTGAGGGAGGGAATGGTAGGAGCTCATCTCTCTTAAGACAGGGGTCGTTCAGGAAGGCATTCATTCGGTGAATGGAAATTTTTAAAATAGCGACTATTTTTTCTCAAATCTAAATTCTCTTAGGCTTGGCATGTTGCTGGTGTTGTTTAGCGACATCTCAGCTTTGAGCTGGCATCTCTCCAGCTCCCTTGGCTTGTCCTTATGGCTACAGTCCGTCCGCAAGAGCTTCAGGCATTAGGACTTAACTATTGCATTCAAAAGCTGAAATGCAAGGAGCTGTGGCTTCAGGCAGAGAGGAACATCTCTGCCAGAAACTCCCATGAGGTTTTCCAAAATATACAGCAGAAGAAGATCACATGCCCAAAACTAAACAAGTAGCTCAGCCCCAGCTTCCCTGATAAAGAGGTCTCATCCAGACACTTCACACAAATTGGATTCTGCAGAAAAAGAAGGAGGAGGTGGCTTAAAGTAGGCAATAAGCAATGTTTATTGTGTGTATTTGGGGGCCAGATATGGAATCCTTATTTGATATGCTGTATTAATAAATGGGCTTTTAGCATGGTGTTAATGAATAACCATGGAAAGATTTGGTAGGAAATCACTGCAACAAGAGTCGTAATTTAGGAAGATGATTCTGTTGGTAATGGAAAGTTTAGTCTGGGGCAGGAAAAAGAATAAACATAGAGCAGCCAGGAGGCACTTACTGTAGCTTAGGTGAGAAAAGATGAGAGCCTGGACGAAGCAGAATCGGACATGGATGGCAGTAAAGTTGTTTTAATGTTATTTTCTTGATTATAGTAAAAGTAACTGATTGGCTGAGTGTTAGGGAGTACAGTTAAGGATGGAGTACAGTTAAGGATGGTGAAGAAATAAAGTTAACTAAAGGGTTTTTTTTTCTTTTGGTGGTGTTGTTTGTTTCTTACATTAGCGGTAACTACTGAGGCTGTTGGCCAGAAAGGAAATGGTACAGATGGAAGAGATTCTCTAGCTGATGTGACACGAAGTTCAGGTTTTGATTTTGAGGTGTATGTGGAACTGTTAGTGTATTAGTCAGGGTTCTCTCGAGGGGCAGGACTAATAAAGTAGATGTAAACAAAAAGGGAGTTTATTAAGGAGAATTGACTCACACGATCACAAGGTGAAGTCCCACAATAGGCTGTCTGCAAGCTGAGGAGCCAGGAAGCCAGTCCAAGTCCCAAATCTCAAAAGTGGGGAAGCTGACAGTGCAGCCTTCAGTCTGTGGCCAAGGCCCGAGAGCCCCTGGCAAACCACTAGTGTAAGTCCAGGAGTCCAAAAGCTGAAGAACTTGGAGTCCAATGTTTGAGGGCAGGAAGCATCTAGCATGGGAGAAAGATGGAGGCCAGAAGAGTTAGCCAGTCCAGTCCTTCCACGTTCTTCTGCCTGCTTTTGTCCTAGCCGGATTGGCAGCTGATTAGTTGGTGCTGGCAGCTGATTGAAGGTGGGTCTGCCTCTCCCATTCCACTAACTCAAATGTTAATCTCCTTTGGCAACACCCTCAGAGGCACACAGAGGAACAATACTTTGCATCCTTCAGACCAATCAAGTTGACACTTAATATTAACCATCACAGCCAGGAATAATTGCACTGAAAAATTGCAATCTGTATCTCAGGCAAAAGGTCAACAGTTATTCTAGATATTTAGTAATAATTGGCATCAAAGTATTTTTTTTAATTCTATGGGAATATTTAAAACAGGCAAAGAGAAGGAAGACACAGGGCAGAAACTGGGGAAGTCATAAGCGTTTGCCTTTAATTATTAAAAGAAAGTATCCCAAACAAATATATTCAAGATAGAAAAGAAACTGGAACAAAATAACATCACAAAAACCAAGGAAGATGAGAACTTTAAAAAGAAAGCTTGTAGTCAACAGTGTCAAATAGCCTAAGAGTCAACAAGGAAGAGAATTAGAAAGAGGAGGTAAATGGACCAGTTAGGAAATTATTAACATTATTGAGAGCAGACTTGGTGTAATATTGCAGTAGGCTCTAACTGGACTATCGGATTTGAAGTAAAGCAAACTGATATTGCTATTTCAAAAATTTTGCAGGACTATGTATAAAAATGTATCTTATGAAGATGGCAAGGTCATATAATAACTTTTTTTTTTTTTTTTTTGAGACAGATCTCCTGTCACCCAGGCTGGAGTGCGGCAGCGTGATCTCGGCTCATTGCAGCCTCTGCCTCCTGAGTTCAAGTGATTCTCCTGCCTCAGCCTCCCAAGTAGTGGAGATTACAGGAGCCCGCCACCAGGCCAGGCTAATTATTGTATTTTTAATAGAGATGTGGTTTCAACCAGGCTGGTCTAGAACTCCTGACCTCAAATGATCTGCCCTCCTTGGCCTACCAAAGTGCTGGGGTTACAGGCGTGAGTCACCATGCCTGGCCAAATGTTTAACTTTTAAAGAAACCATCCAACGGTTTTCAAAGTTGGTTTTGTTAGTTCCCACCACCCCAAGCAATGGATGCTCCAAATCCTTACTAACATTTGGCTTTCTCAGTCTTTCTTTTTGAAACTTTAGCCATTCCAGTAGGTGTGTAGAGGTGTCCTGTTGTGGTTACAATTTGCTTTTCAAGTAAGAAACTCGTACTGGTCTCAATAGTCTCCACTAAAAAAAATTTTTTTCAACCAGAAGAAGACTGGGAAGAGAATATTTGGGTCGATTTTCATATTGATTTTTTTAAAGTTAAATACAAATGGAATGAGAAAATTAAGTGTTCTCTTGAGTCTGCAACTGAATTTATTCTCTAAGTCATCAAGGGAAAATGGGGACCATACAGGCCTCAGGCAGAGAATGGTAGACTAGAAACGTGGAGTGGGTCAGCACATTGGAAATCTTGACATTGAAGAGTAGGGTTAGAAAGGAAGGGAAATGAACAGCTGTGATTAGAAAGATCAAGGTAAACATACAGATTTTGCCCTGGAAACAATTCGCTCAAGAAGAGTGGAGGGAAAAGTAATCTGAAGTAAAGGAAGCCAAAGATGTGTGTGCTTAGTGCATTGGCCGTATTGTATCATGAGAATGGATAAGCAGAGTAACAAATGCATGAGCCGAGCAGTGAAGACACTGATAAAATAGAATGTGGAGAGCTGGATATTCCATTCCATTTCAGGAGTACTTCTCAAGTTCCCAGGCTCTCCCTAATGCCATGACACAGCAGGGAGTTTTGGTCACAGACCGTGTCTCAGAGACGCGCCTCCCTTTATAAAGTGTGTGGGAGACTGGGGGCAAGACTGCAGAGGTTAATGTACAATTACTCTTTCTCCACACCTCTAGCAAAAACCAAAATCTACGTTGAAAGACCCTTTTTATACTGTCTGGATGCAATAAGTTGTCTTAAATTCCCTAGATAAAATATGCTAACTATGAAGCCTTGAGTAACATTTTAAAATCACTTATTTGAATATCTTGATGTAATTTTCAACATTTGTTACGACTCGTGACACTAAGTGGTTAGGAATAAGTTGTGATTGCAGAGTTAATTTCAGAGTGGTGCTCCACAAGGCTGCTTCATGATTATTAACACCACCACTGCTTACCCTGGCAAGGGCCGGACTGGGCCACCATTCAGATACTGGCATGAGATACCGAGTGCCTTCATTACTCATTAGAATCAGAAAGCCAGTTCTGCTGGCAACAGCCTAAGGGGGCCAATTAGGACAGGATGGGTAAACAACTCCATGCCTATTGGTGCTGCCTCATGCTGATCCGCCGTGGTGGCAACCGCAAGCTAATATATTCACTGCACCCCTGGAACTTAATGGAAAAGCTTCATCATTGCTCTCATTCCACTAAATGTAATCCTAGAAATGATTTTTAATTTTATTCATTTACTTGAAGTAGTTTATTGAATAGTACAAAATGAACAAGTCAAAAATTAATATCTCGATTTCTCAAGAAAGGATTAGGAGTTACTTAGACATTTTAAAGGAATTTCTGTTGTTTTTAATGTGCATTCATTATACTGCTCTGTGTCTGAGCCTACCATTTAAATACCTTCTTGTGTCATGTTTTTCACTGTGAAATTAAATGATATTGATAATGCATGTCTGAATGCTAGTGATTCTCATTAGAGGATGGGAAGGTGGAGGTAACAAAAAAATGGATATTTAACTTGTAAAAACCAAAAATATGAATAATATCAGTATAATATTTCTCTTTGTGATAATTTTACTATACCATAACTGAGATTTGCTAATTTAAAAAATAAACTATTTTATCATATTGGGTTATTTGTTTTTGACATTACATTTCTGATAGGAAATTGTAGGTTTTGATCACTATCTTGAAGTTTTAAAGTTTAAAAAGGGCTTCAAGAACATTTTTATTTTGACGATGATAGGACACTCCCATCTGAATAATGTACATGAGGTTCACACAGAGCCTGGGGTCTGCCGTTCCAGGGCACGGGCATGTTCTGTGAGTGTGTGAATGTTGTCTTTCACAATCTTGCTGATGGATGTTAAACTAAAAGGAGTTTTACAGGGTTCATTAAGTCCAAATTTACTTTTTATAAATCATAAAAATGGAACAGGGCTTGAGAGAATACAGTATATATAAAATGATTTTCAAATTCTGAATGTGCCTTACCTGTCTGTCAGGAAAGCCTTGGAGGCAGGAATGTTCATGTGTGTCCCTGTGTTTCAAACGCTCTTCCGAAGCCTGTTTTTGATGTGGTTCTAGCCACACAGGTTCCCGTCACATTACACCTCCTGTCACTTGCCCACAAGGTTAGCTTGGTGAAATAGTCAAATGTACCAAGCTAAACTCAGCTCATTCAGGTTGACACACGCAATAGCTGCCCACCACATCCTTTTCATCCTGCTTCAGGGGAAATTGGGTCAAAGACAGCTTCCCGTCTTTCCTGAGATTCAGAGTGACCATGTGACTAAGGTCTGCTCAGTGGGAGTGAGAGGAAATAATGGTTGCCCCAAACTGGAAACAAGCTAAACATCCATCCAGAGGGGACTGAATAGATCATCCTAACATACTCATTCTGTGAAGCACTGCTCAGCACTGGGAGAATTTATGCTTGATAAAGAAAACAATCTGGATGGATCTCAAATAGTCACTCTGAGGAAAAGAAGTCCACAAAAAAGAGAGGACAGACTGTAATATTCTATTCACATACACCTCCAGAAATTATAAACTAATCAGCAGTGACAAAAAATAGATCAGTGTTGCCTACAGAAGGGAGGTAAGGAGGTAGCAGGAAGCATGACGAAGGGGCCTGTGCAACTCTTGGGGACATTGGATGTGTCCTCTGTCCTGAGTATGATGACATTTTCACAGGTTTATACGTATGTCAAAAGTTACCGTACTGTACACTTTACATATGGGCGCCTAGCATATGCCAAGTGTACCTCATAAAGAACCTCATAAAAGGGCTCTTTACCAGTGTAAAGGGCAGGTGAAACACATTCCAGCCATTTCAAATGGCAAATGCCAAGATGTTGTGTATGAAGGTGTGCACGTATATGCTGAGTGTTCAAGACTTGGCTTAGAAATGTAATGACACTTATCTGTTTCTCCGTGTCACGTGAAGTCCAAACTCCCTGCTCTCTTCGATTTTACCGTCTCTCCTGTCTGACCCCCCTCATATGCTCCACATGGCACCTACACTAGACCACTCACCGTTTCCTGCATATGCAATGCAACTCTCTGCATTCATTTTGTTCATTTCCTGCCTTCATTTTACAATTTACCTCTCTCTAACTTTCTGTGCTTTGAATAAGGCTCTAACGAACTTCCAATCCCTTCTCATGCCTTCCCAGATAATCTTTTTTTTTTCTAATTTTAGTTCCAATAGCACTAGTGCACATTAAGTTTAGAATTTATTTTGTAATATTAGGCCAAGGCAGGGCTTTCATTCATCTTCCTATCTGCTGTGGCTAGCCTGGTCCGTAGTAACTGTTAATGAGCCTCAAATAGGTCTGTGAATAAGGCAATAAATGAATGGATAATCTTATTAAAATTTTTAATAAAAAGAAATTACTTTTGGCCAAATAGGTGTGGTAGGCACTTCAAATTGAGTACTTTTAAATGTCATGGCAATCTTGCGAAGTAGGTCTTATTATCCACCTTTTACAAATAAAGAAACTGAGACTCAGAAAGATGAATGATTTTCCTGCAGCCACAGGGATAGTAAGTGGCAGAATTAGGAGTGGAAGCCAGGTCTGGTCCTGATTCAAAGTGTACTGCAAGGGCAGCAAAGGAATCTTCATATGTGTCCAGGTAGAGTGGTTTTACAATCCATGCAAACTTCTATCACTGTGCTTATTACACAGCTTATATTCTTTGTTTATTATTTCACTTTAAGTTCTGGGACATATGTGCTGAACACGCAGGTTTGTTACATAGGTATACATGTGCCATGGTGGTTTGCTGCACCCATCAACCCATCATCTAGCTTTTAAGCCCCGCATGCATTAGGTATTTGTCCTGATGCTCTCCCTCCCCTTTCAGGCCCCAGTGTGTGATATTCCCCTCCTTGTGTACATGTGTTCTCATTGTTCAGCTTGAACACTGCATGTTCACTTATGAGTGAGAGCATGCAGTGTTTGGTTTTCTGTTCCTGTATTAGTTTGCTGAGGATGATGATTTCCAGCTTCATCCACGTTCCTGCAAAGGACATGAGATCATTCTTTCTTATGGCTGCATAGTATTCCATAGTGTATATGTGCCACATTTTCTTTATCCAGTCTATCATTGATGTGCGTTTGGGTTGGTTCCAAGTCTTGCTATTGTAAATAGTGCAGCAATAAACATACATGTGTGTGTGTCTTTATAGTAGAATGATTTATAATCCTTTGGGTATATACCCAGTAATGGGACACAGCTTATATGCTACAGTGAGATTTCATCATTGCCAACTCTCAACTTTTCTTCAAGACATTTCAGGTTTGCTTTCGGATGCAGGCACATGCACAGATAGCATGGTTACCTCTGTCTTCACATTGCCCTCAGCACATGTGCACCAAGACCTTCAAATCACCTCATTGTTTTTTCTATCTATTTCGTGTCTTGTGCCATCTTTCTTCATTATTAAAATAAAGTATGCTTTGAATGAAACCTGTCAAAATATTCCACAGAAACTTAGGACACTGGGACAAAAATGCCTACTCATTCCTGAGCAAAGATTTATTTAAAGATGTTTCTAGGTTCTCAGTGAGGCAACATTTGTCAGTGGTAAGGAGAAAGCATGGTATTAGCTGGTGATGGTTGCTTGAGTTTTTCACAGGAATACACTAACAAGAAGATTATTTGATAAGTTCAGATGACCTAAAACAACGAGATTGCAGCACCTATAAATGAGGTCTGCTTTCAGCATCTGTTCCTTTACTCAAGGTAGAGACCAGAAGTCATGGTGGACTTCTTTCTGTCCCTCAACCACCACATCCTCGCTCAGCAGGTCCTGCTGACATCACCTCCAGAATACCACTTGGATCTGGCATCTCCTATTCTCCCATCCAACACCACCTCTTACTCCCAACTATCATCATGTTGCACCTGGAGCAGTCCCGGCCTCCTAATTGGCCTAAACAATTCCACTCTGGACACCCTCCCTTCCATTCTCTACCTGGAAGTCACAGTCATTCTTTCAAACTGCAAACCAGATTGTGTCACCACCTGTTTAAGCATCCAAAGGCTTTCCATCGATGTTGAATCCACACTCCTTATTTCATGTCCAAGGTCATCCAAGGTCAGGCTCTGCTGCCCCTGGACCTTGTCTCCTCTATATGTTCTGGCAGTGTCCACTGCACGCCCGCGCTGTGGTGTAAGAAGCCGGTGTTATTCCTACTGGCAGCAGAAGCAGCTCATCTTACACCTGCCTGCTTCACACGGTGGTTCACTTCATGACCCTCTCAGGCATCAGATTTTCTAGCTCTGGTCAAGGTGGTTTTAAAAATCTGCCTGGATTCCGGCATTGGTAGCTTTCCTTTTGGCATTGGTGTGTTCTTCCCCCACCCTGCCCCTATGCTCTGAGAGCTTAGACAAAGATATTTTAAGATCCCATACCTTGCATTGCTGGGTGTGCCGCCCTTAAGTCAGTTTAGAGCATGCCCCCACCCTGACACACAGGCTTTCCCCTCAATCCCCTTCCTGCTTCCAGACTGCGGCTGCCTGTGTATGGCCCTGATTACAGAACCCACCTGGAGATTTTGGCCTCCTAACTAGTAAGATTTCCTTGGCACTCACCTTCAGTTTCTAAATCTGATCTTCTCTAGAACTTCTAAACACTGGAGTCGACTCTCCTTAATCTCAAGATGCCACTACCTTTTTAAAGCTATTCAGCCTTTTTTTCTTAATGGTTTCTAAAATATTCTTAGATATACCTACTACTATGTATAAGAGCAAATTGATTTCAACTCCTAAAAGTTATTGTTATATTAGGTAAAGAGATATTATTCTCAATATTAACATAAAATTACGTTTTACAACATATGTGAAGGTGAAAGCTTTGATTAAAGCATGCTCTCTTTTGTTTCCTATGGATGAAATAAATTTAACCTGTATTTATGTTGCTAAAGTGGTATTAAGTGTAAGTGATATTAAGGTAGCATTAGTTTTCAATCCCAAGCTAAGAAATTGATTTATACATATTTTGTGAATTTTACCTAGATGTATATTAAAAAATGATGAAATCAATTTAAGTTAAAATAGTATGACTTAATTTCAAAATACATACACTAATATTACTGGATTAATACATAATTAATGACTTATTTAAAAATAGAAAGTTTCTACTATCTTACTTTGGATTAAAGTAAAAAAAAATCCTTAAAATTTTAAAAAGTAATGATAAATCACAAAGCCAGGTAATCTTCAAAAGCCTTCCAGAAATTTGAGAGAGTCTGAAAAATTCAGTAACAAATGCCTACAATCTAAAATAGTGGACTAATTTAGTTTAGTTCTATCTACATTTTGTTTAATCTCTTCTTCTAGTGAAACCTGACACAAAGCTCAGTGTGTCTGCCACAGGCGGCCCACAAAACACCTCATACTTGCACGACATCTCCATGAAGATCTTCAGCTCGCCAGGGATAGTATCCCCTTAGGTGATTTATTCCAATATATTCGCAAGTTTGATCTCAGCTGTCACTCAAAAGGACCAAGAAGATTTCCAAAATTAAAAATTAGAACCCAATTAATCTCCAGCATAACGTCAACACGTTTCATATTTCCTTCAGTGAGCCAAGAAATTTTGGAAGGTGACATCATGTCTGCAAAAATGTCACACCCGGGAGGAAAGGTTCTTTGACTCATTAGAGTATCCCTTTGAGGTGATACTGTGCAGAAAAAGTGCTGAAAATGTACAGTTGTCCAAAAAGGGATACGGTGGCTCACTTTTCTTCCATGATATACAGTATTTGAGATTCATTGCTCAAGAACTTACGATCTCATGAAATCGTTCTGGTTTGGGGGACTTATGCCACATAGATTATAAAAACACTTATTTTCCTGTTTTCCAGGACATTATATCAAGAACAGTGAGAAAACAGATTAATAACTGCAGAGAAATTAAATGTAGACAATGGTTATTATCATTATAGGAAAGACCATGGAATTCTTGGCTTATTGCAGTTATAGAGGGCTGAGCACAAATCAGTATCTCCTTTCATGCTAATTGTTCCTCTGAGGAGGCTGATGAAATCATCATTTCTTACATGCAGTTAAAAAGGCAGCTTCTTGAATCCCAATAAAATGTTATATTATATTGTGATTCATTTAAAAATTTATCAGTTTTTGGTTGAAAAATATTAGTTTATTAAAATGATATTAAACAGCATAAATATTTTGTTAAAGACCTTGCTTCATGTTCATCTTCTTGCAAAAACAAACATGAAATAAAGACAAGTTAATATAGGAAATCTTTTCTTTCTCTTAAAACCAGTTCTCTGTTACAGGAATATGCCCAAAAATCATGTCCCAATCACAAAATCCATCTCATTCTTTCAAGAAAACAAATATGCTTTGAAAAATACCATGTGTTCGTATTTTAAAAGCTTAAATAATTCATAAAATATACATTATGTGTTCCTCCCTTAGTTATCTCATTCTTTTACTGAGGCTTGTTTGTAGATCACTCCCAAATTTGGATATACAGATGCCCAAACCACTTTCTAAAATTTGGTCCACCTTCCCAGCCACCTGGTGACATGTAAGCCCACCTGCCATGCCCACACCCCGTCTCAGCATGGTCACAGGGAAACTCAACATCTTCTCCAAACCTGCTTTTCTCTTTGAAGTTCCTATCACATCTTTTTTCCTAAACTCAGGCTGAACATCTAGTCAACTTGGATTGTGATTTCCTGGTATCTCTTATTCATCTTCTCCTTGTCTGCATACCACTTTCTTGTTTCAGGCCCTTGGTGCATGCTATCTTTTGGCTCAATGATGAGAGTGTTCCCTAGACTCTCACTAACATCATTCTTTTCCTACTGTAATCAATCCTACCCATCTCTTCCAGGTCATCTTCAAATAATGGAGTCTCTGTCCATTTACCTGCATCAGCATTCACTGGCTCACCCATGTGCTGACACATGGCCCAAGTTCATTACCACAGCCCTTCAGGCTGTGTAGACTGTGGACTGTTTCCCATGACTTCCCTTCATGGAGTGGAAGACACAATTTCTTACATTGTTTTCCTTCCACGGCTGGTTCAAAGCCCTTCCTCCTCACCTGTATATTCACAGTCTGTGCTCCCTCCAAGCCCCTCTTGAAGCCAGCTTTTCCGCTAACCTTCCAGTCTTCGCAACTCCCTTTTCAGAACTGAAATATCAACTAAATGGTGCCACCTCTGTCAGTTAACACTTCCCATCATGTGCAGTAGTCATTTCTGCATTTATCATATCATATCATATCAATCATATCATATGATATCATCTCCTTTAGTTCTCCCCAACCAGAAACTAAACTTCTCGAAAGACAGCATCTTATCATGTATTATTCCCATTTATCTTGAGAACTAAAATAAAGTGCTTAATAAATTGCAGATTGTTTGCATTTTGCATATTATGGATACTGCATTTTTTTTACTTTTAGCTATAATAAAGAATTATAAATTAAATATTGTTTTATATAGAGGAAGTTGATTCTTCAAAGTTTGTCTTGTCAGAAATAGTCAACTGAAATAAAGACACCTGTAGTGCCTTAACTGTTCCAGTTCAGCTGTGATAACTAGGAAACCCACTGATAATTTCACGTAAAACTCAGGGCATTTGGTCTTCACTTGTACTTATCATGCAAGAATACTAAGTATTTTACAGAGCATGACCTTAAAATTATGAGATTGATCTCACAAGTCAAATGAGAAAACTGAAATCTTATGCAACGGATAAACGATATATCAAAAGATAGCAAAACACAACCACGTGACTAAGGGCATTATGTGAAGAATTAAAATACATTGGCTAGAAACAGCCATATGTGAAGGAAATGAGATACTAATATATCAATATATGAGTTCAGACACATCATGTAATAATAGAATTGAAGTAGATTCTAACAATCAATATCAATCATTCTCTCAGTTTAGAGACTGTTTCCCAAAAACCTGAGGAGTCATCATCTAACCCCTTATGGAATATTTTTTATGATAAAGAGCTAGCAACCTTTAGAGCAGCACTTTTTGATACTTCTATAATTCAAACAGTTGTAAATGTCATAATTACATACTTGAAAACTGATCAAACTTTTGTCTCTGGTCCCATATCTTTAGAGAAAAGTGCACTTCCACTAAAATACCTTCACAACAATCAAGACAGTGATTATATTTATCCAAATTATTGCTTAGCCAAGACACGCCCTCCCTTCTCCAGTGTTATTAGATGACGCCCACCAGCATCCTAGTCATGGCTCCCTAACATACACTCGATTTTGTTCATTCATTTAGCACACATTTCTGAGGGGTTTAAATATGCAAGCATTGAGCTCTAACCTGAAGGGGAGACAAAGATGGACAAGGTAATTTACTTGCAAAGTAATCTTCTTTATTTCTGTGTCACGATTCCATGATATTTGCACTGGGAATCTTGGATCGTTTGTTTTTGTCTGGACAATTGCAGGTATGACAGCCAATTTTGAATTATGCAGGTTTGAGAATTTCTCCAAAAATGTGCCATTGGCCAAAAGTTCCAAGAAAAACTAATATTCCATATAAAATCCCAGTGAACATTTTAAGCATGTCCTATATATTTAAACAAAGAATACATTGCTTGGTATGTGTGTGTGGCCTGGACGGAAAGTAAATACACAGAGGCTATCTTTTAATATCACATATGATAAGGTCAAAAGAAATGTGCCATGTGTTCCTTCCTGATTTTGATTTGACCACCTGTACTGTGAGAGTGAGTCCAACAGTTGGCAAAAAGAGTCCATTTGAGCATAAGAAAACATCCAAGTGTGGCTAGGTTTTGCAGAGGAAGGGACGTTTTCCAAGGATCACATAATATGATATGTGTACCCACTCTTGGGGATGGAAACCAGTTATATATTCTGGCTTTTACTATTTTCTTAAGCCAAAGCAGAGATGTGATGAGTCCAACTCATAAAAATTCAGGAGAACATATATATATATATATTTCTTAACAGATGGGGGAGCCTGCTATTTCAAACAGCTGAATTAGAGCAACTTGGAGTGTAAACCCACCTCTCTGACCACCTCTCTGTGGCCAATCGCATAAATGGTTTTAATTACCCCTGAGTAAATGGAAACTATAGAATAATTATTTGCATGTTATCACAGTGTTCGCTGCTACTACCAGCTTCCCCCACGCAAAGTATGTAACAAGTAAGGTTTTGCACTTTAAACTTTCACTGGCCTGATTGCCCTGTCCTCAAAAGATCCAATCTGAATGCTGTTCTCAATTTCCCTGCCACACTCGACACCAGGTAAGCATTCTTTACTCATTCCCAGCCCTTCTCCCTCCTACAACATAGCAAGGAGTGATCTGATAAACTCACAGAGTGGTATTAATGATTTACGATCCCTCCCAGCAGCGTTTGCATTTTTATAGGGGTCAAATGTTTAAAACGTTCATCTCTTGTGGTGGTGGTGGAATTTCAGGCATGATTGGCAGCATGGACCTGAGGACTGTAGTCTCAGCCCCTTCAAGTCTTGCCCCATAGACAGCTCTCTAGTTTGCCTGCAAGTAAGGACAGCTCTGAACATTATTGTTCTGTGTGATTCATAAGATGAAAACAGTTATTTTAGGTGCTTGGGTTATAAGGATGGGAGAACAGATAAATACGTTCAATTGCTCCATAGTGTCTGTATCACTAAAACGCCCCATCTCCTCCCTCTCCTTCCTCCCACAAAAGTGCGGGGCATTCTTTGCTGACAGTGAAAGTTTCTAAACAGCCGGATCGTCAGCGCAGTTGCCTCCGTATTTTTTAAGGACTCCACAGATAAACTTGATGCACAGAAAGACTGAGAACCACCCTGCTGGGGAGTTCACATTTTCCTCCTGTTACAGTTCTTGGTAGACTTTGGGTGGCTGAATTTGATCTGTGAATGAGGTTCTCCAAGAGCCAAATACCCTGGTTGAACTCATAACTCCATGAGCAGAAAGCAATCCCTGACGGACTCACCGGACAGTGTCCTGGCCATCATTATTATAACCAACCTGGGCTGAATCATTCTGACTTTTAAAAACCACAGTACTTATGGAAGAGAGACACCGATAGCTGGTCTTCTGACACAAGCAGCTAAGAGTAAACGTCACTTAAGAGGATGTGCTATCATTTTAAACATTTAAAATAAAGCTGATAACAGGAAAAAGATAACAGAAACAAATGAAATTAATATGATCTCAATACATAAACTAAGTCACATATTAGCACAAGCAAGATACCCATTCAACACATAAAATATTAACTTCTGGAGAGCAAGGCTGCCAGGGTTTGTGTTGCCCCTGGCTATGTAAGAGGAGGCTTTCTTCCCAGTTCCTTCCCCTTCTCCCTTACAGTCTGTTCTCCAAATGGAAGCCAAAATGATACTTCTTTTTTTTTTAATTTTATTATTATTATACTTTAAATTTTAGGGTACATGTGCACAATGTGCAGGTTAGTTACATATGTATACATGTGCCATGCGGGTGTGCTGCACCCACTAACTCATCATTTAGCATTAGGTATATCTCCTAAAGCTATCCCTCCACCATCCCCGCCACCCCACAACAGTCCCCAGAGTGTGATGTTCCCCTTCCTGTGTCCATGTGTTCTCATTGTTCAATTCCCACCTATGAGTGAGAATATGCGGTGTTTGGTTTTTTGTTCTTGCAATAGATACTTCTAATATGGAACTAGATTATGGCTTAATTTTGCTCAAAGCTTCCAATGGCTCCTTATTGTTCTTAGACTAAATATTGAGCCTTCACAACGTCCTGGAAGGCCCTACTTGATCTGGCCCAGCTATCTCTTTAGTTTCATCTCCTGCCTCTCTCCCTAGAGTGTAGGGGCCCGGCACCTGGACTTCCATGCTGCTCCGGAACAAATCACTCTTTCTCTTGCCTCAGGGCCCTTGCATTTCCTGTTTATTCTTCCTCAGCTTTAAGGCTTAATCTAATCAGCCATTAGATTTAGTCTTCTATTCAAATGTGACGTCATCACAGGGCTTTTCTTGACCAGTCTAGTTGAAACAGCACTCCCTGCTTCTCACTCTGATTTATTTTTCTTCTTAGCACTTAAGTCTGGCAAACATCGGTTGTGTATCTTCTATTTCTCTCCCAGAAGAATTTGAGAGCAGGAACCATGACTCTTGTTCACTTGCTTTATCTTTAAGGCACATAACAATGTCCAACACATAGTTGGTGTTCCACAATAGTTATTAATAAAACAATGAATAAAATGACCATGATCTTATGCCTGACTGATGCATAATTTCATTTTTAACCCTTACAATGATTTTGTGAGTAGGTGTCGTTAACCCCAAACTCAGAAAGGTTAAGAAATTTGCCGGAAGTAATAAACAAATAGTGGAACAATAATAAAAATGTCAGCTTGCCAGTCCCCAGAGTCCAGAGCCTGGTTCACCACACTCTGCTGACTAACACAGAGAAAAGAAAAATCACAAGACATTTATGCAAATGCAAACATATCGGTAAAAGATCCTTCTGTTTATTATGTATATGAACCTCCAAAGGAAGACTGAAAGCTATTTGAAATTGTAGGGTTTCTCAGAACCTTCTGTAGAATCTTGGGTCTAAACTGGTTTATAGCTTTCCAAGGAAAAGAAAGTTTGCTTGCAATCAGGGAGGCTGAAGAGCCCACTTTGTTTTCAGAAGGGAAAGAATAAAACAAGAATAAAACAGAAAGAAAAAGACAGAATAAAAGGAAGGAAAAAAAAAATACTTCCCCTACCAGATGCACTGAAACAGAACTGTCAAACGTAGCAAAATCTTGTAAAATGTTCCTCTGCTGTAGGCCATAGAATAGAACTGTAATAAACTCTGACCCATAAAAAGTCATGTCAACATTATAACCTGTTTTTACTAGCCCTTTAAGCACGGGGAGCAATTGATCTAAAACAGCTTGGCTCTCTTCGGTTCCCAAGTCTCCATGAGAACCCCGCCTCCAACATGGGTGTTCAAATGCCTCTGGCACCGAAAGCCAAAAATAGGAGCTAGAAAATTGCAGCTATTTAGCTATTTGCCCTGGGCAGATGTTCGATATTTCCAAGAGCAAAACAGCCAAAAGGAAAACTCCCGAGGAAAAGTACCTTTGCAATACCTGTTGCCATGGAATTATTTAATCTACATCCTGTGTCCATAAGCAAAACAAATATCCATGTCATCCTCAGCTGCTGATTTTAGATGTCCCTAGAAATCACACTAAGAAAGTTTTTTAATGCAGTGAAAGTAGTCGTATCAATGCCTCAGGACAGATGAGGTCTGACTGTCTCCCTACAGCTAAAATGCTTTACCATATGAAATATAAATGTGGAAAAATTCAAGTAAGATTTTTACAGGTGTCAACATGAACACTCATTCTACTACGTATTTGTGGAATGCTAGCTAAGCCTGCCTTGCAAATATCTTTTTCTTCTACATTCCTAGAATCTACAGGGAGAGCTAGGGGAAATTAGGCAGGAAGCCCAGCAGTGCCTCAGCAGATTGTAAATTGTGACATCTTTCTGATCTTGTTTTTGATCATCCTTCTGAGGGACTGAGTGTCTGAATTCGTCTCAGCTCAAAGGCGCGTGGTCTTGGCTAAGAGCAAATGGGGACATTCGTTAATTAAAGGCTCGCTGAGGTGGACATATGCTCACGGTGGCTGAATGGTCTCACGATGCATCTATCACTGCCCATTTCCACGATGGCCTCGTGGGCCGTCACTCTGTAGCTTCACATTGTGGATGGATTGACTGACACAGTTCAGCAGTTCAGTGCAGTTCCGCAAACACACTTTTCCTATCTGCCTGTAAAGAGCCAAGGGCTTTGCTAGATGTGGATGAGTGATGCAAGCCCAACTCTCAAGGAACTTAAAAAAACTTAGGAGTGTCCCAGGTGAGGACTGGAACCTGATGCTGATTCAGACACTCTGGGAGTACTGGACAAAGGCGGTGTCTCATATTCTCGACATTTGATACCAGAATCAGAGATGTCAAAAGTGCTTGCTAAGTAGTCACAGTAAATTGTTACTAAGTGAAAAAAGAGAAATTAGAAATGAGTTTTTTCTTATTCTAACTTATGAATTGTGAGAATTTTCTAAAATCCTGAGAAAAGCATCAAAGCTTTTGTCTAATACATCTGTTTTACATAAATACATGTATGAATAAATTTCTTAATTGGGACAGTAACTTTCCCTAAGGAAGCTTTATATTTCAGATTTTAAAAAGTGTGGAAACCTGAATGTGTCTCTATTTTTTTTTTTAAGCACACTGACAATTTAGCAACTTACTGGATTTGAAGGGGGAAAGTATTTCTTTCCACCTTCCGGAATCCCACAAGCACTCCCTGGGGGCTTAACCAGAAACAGAAAGAAAAATTATGTCTTGCGTATAAATAATGTCTAAAGATTACTCAAATAGACCAATGCATTTTATCTTCAAAATAACCCTGGAAAATTAGCTGATTAATGTATCATCTTCATTTTTTAGATATGCAAAACTGAAGAAAAGTTATTTTTACCAAAATTGCATATACAGGCAGGTCCTCAAACTCTTAATGTTCTTTTTAATATGGCAAATTTGATTGTAGACATTCCTGGTCCCTCATTTCTGGTCCTGCCTACCCACCTCTTTTCTGACCATTCTTCTTGAACAAAAGCAAGTGAAGCGAAGGTGGCACCTTCTCAGAGAGGAGAGCTTCCTCCTGGAACTCCACCACTTAAAGCACAGCCTGGGCCAGGCACGGTGGCACATGCCTGTAATCCCAGCACTGTGGGAGGCCAAGGTGGGTGGATCACCTGAGGTCAGAAGTTCGAGACCAGCCTGACCAACGTGATCAAACCCTGTCTCTACTAAATACAAAAAATTAGCTGGGTGTGGTGGTATGCACCTGTAACCTCAGCTACTTGGGAGGCTGAGAAGGGAGAATCACTTGAACCTGGGAAAGGAAGGTTGCAGAGAGTCGGTATCATGCCACTGCACTCCAGCCTGGGTGAGAGAACAAGACTCCATCTTAAATAAATAAATAAATAAATAAATAAATAAAGCATAGCCTGATATTCTAGCTAACTGTAATGGGAATCATTACTTCTATTTTCTCAAAATTAAGAAATTGTAATATATTTGTCATTGCATTTGCATTTTGATGACAGCTCAAAGAATTTGGAGAGTTAATAATTAAAATCAAAGAAAAATAATTAGCTGTCATACACTGAGAGTTTCCTCTGTACTAGGCACAAATAAAAATGCTTCTCCTGAACCTCATTGAAACTTCACAACACACATATGAAATAGGTAACACAATTATTCCCGTTCTATAGCGGTGGGAACTGAGGCACACAGAGGTTAAGTAACTTGTCTGGAGCCACACAGCCAAAAAGTGGTGAGAAGAGCAGACTCTATGCTCCAGTTCTTAATCTCTATACTGTCCCGAAAGCACCATGTGCAAAGAGCATAGACTAGTAATCGTCAGACATATATCAATATATTAATTTTGACAAATAGGTTGAGACTGAGCCTAAGAACATTTAGGATTAAATAAATGCATGAGGCCTTTTTTCTCTTCCATGGGAAAAAAGAAATGTGTCAGGGAATCTGGGAGCAGAGACGTTCTCTATGCAAACTGAGTTCCATATAAGTTGGAAATGAGAAGGGGAGAACTACAGGAGGCTGAGGATGAAAAGAAAGCAGGGACGGGAGAGAGAAGTGGGAGGAGAGAGAAGCCCTGGATTCCATGGCAAGACCCCCTTGCCATGTTAACAGACTCCCTGTTAACAACACTCACCCTGCAATTGCAAGGAAAATGTTCATTAAATAATGGGTCCAAAACAGAACGTGGGTGCAGCACCCAGCCCATTGACTGCCACCTGTCTGGGTGGAAGCCCTGGGGAAGAAGAGTTGAACCCAGCAGGTACTTCTCTCCCTCTTTCAGGGTTACTCTTCCTAGCACAGAAAAACAGTGCTTCTCAGTACTTACTCAAGCCCACTCTACGTATAGAACCATTAAAATTTGCTAAAGAAGGATAGTACTTCCATCCTCCCACTGGGCATGACTTAAATTCTTAGGAAAAGAGAAATATATCATCATCCCTATCAAACAGAAAGAAGTTGTATTAGTCTGTTCTCACACTGCTATTAAAGACATACTGAGACTGGGTAATTTATAAGGAAAAAGTGGTTTGATGGACTCACAGTTACCCATGGCTGGAGAGGCCTCACAATCATGGCAGAAGGCATAGGAGGTGCTAAGGCATGTCTTACATGGCTGCAGGCAAGACAGAATGAGACCCAATTAAAAAGGGAAACCCCTTATACAGCCGTCAGATTTCATGACACTTATCACCACCATGAGAACAATATGGGAGAATCCACCCCCATGATTCAATTATCTCCCACAAGGTCCTTCCCACAACACTTGGGAATTATGGGAGCTACAATTCAAGATGAGATTTGGGTGGGGACACAGCCAAACCATATCGTTTCACCTCAGCCCCTCTCAAATCTTATGTCCTCACATTTCAAAACAATCATGCCTTCCCAACAATCCCCCAAAGTCTTTATTCATTTCAACATTAACTCAAAATTCCACAGTCCAAAGTCTCATCTGAGACAAGGCAAGTCCCTTCCACCTATGAGCCTATAAAATCAAAAGCAAGTTAGTTTCTTCCTAGATACAACGGGGGTAGAGGCATTGGGTAAATACGCCCATTCCAAATAGAAGAAATTGTCCAAAACAAAAGGGCTGCAGGCCCCATGCAAGTCCAAAATCCAATAGGGCAGTCATTAAGCCTTAAAGTTCCAAAATGGTCTCCTTTGACTCCATGTCTCACATCCAGGTCACACTGATGCAAGAGCTAGGTTCCCATGGTCTTGGGCAGCTCTGCCACTGTGGCTTTGCAGGGTATAGCCCCTCTCCTGGCTGCTTTCACAGGATAGCACTGAGTACTTGCAGCTTTTCCAGGTGCACGGTGCAAACTGTTGGTGGATCTACAATTCTGGGGTCTGGAGGACAGTGGCCCTCTTCTGACAGCTCCAGTAGGCAGTGCCCCAATGCGGGCTCTGTGTGGGGGCTTCGACCCCATACCTGAAACTTGGTAATTTATAAAGAAAAGGTCGTTTAATCGACTCACAGTTACACGTGGCTGAGGAGGCCTCACAATCATGGCAAAAGGATAAAAGCACATCTTACAAGGCAAGAAAGAATGAGAGTCAAGTGAAAGGGGAAACCACTTATTAAACCATCAGATCTTTTGAGACTTATTCACTACCATGAGAACAATACAGGGGAGTCAGCACCCCATGATTCAATTATCTCCCACCAGGTCCCTCCCACAACACGTAGGAATTACAATTCAAGATGACATTTGGATGGGGACACAGCCAAACCATATGAGAAGTGATCGAGAAGCTTTGGAATACAAGCAACCCAAGTATTTGTAACTCCATGCAGGAAAGTTACAAATGACCTATCTATGGTTCTTTCTTTCCCAAAGCCACAAATGAACATTCTGGGCCCATGGTGATATGGTTTGGATCTGTGTTGCCACCCAAATCTCATGTTGAAATGTAATTCCCAGTGTTGAAGGTGGGACCTGGTGGGAGGTGATTGGATCATGGAGGTGCATTCCTCACGGATGGTTCATCATCATCCCCCTAGCTGCTGTGTAGTGAGTGAATGCCCGTGAGATCTGGTTGTTTATGGTGAGCGAGTTCTCATGAGATCTCTTCTTCCTCCGGCCCTGGCCATGGAAAGGGCTCACTCCCCCTTTGACTTCTGCCATGACTAGATGCTTCCTGAGGCCTCCCCAGAAGCAGACGCTGCTATGCTTCCTGTACAGCCTGCAGAACTGTGAGCCAATTCATTCTGTTTTTTAAATAAATTACCCAGTCTTAGGTATTTCTTTACAGCAGTGTGAGGATGGACTAATACGCATGGTATTGGGTGTTGATGTTTGCTTTTGCCTCTTTGTAAAGCAGTTGTCAGGCTTTCCAAGCATCAGAACACATGATGTGGGCAATCTCATTCAGGAAGACTCGCAGAGGCAGTGGACAGAGCACACTAGAGATGTTGTGTGGATTTTATGTGTGGTTCTAACAGACATTGAGCTGGGATGCCAACATGGACAAGGAACCAGACTGTGCCAAGTCAGAGTTATTGTATCCAATTATGAGGGAGCCTGTGGGGAACCCTGAAGGAGCCTTCCTTTGAGTGGAGGCTTGAAACCTGTTCACCTTTGACCTCAAGGAGAGCATGGACAAAAAGAGTCACAAGAGGACGTGTAGACAAGGCCCATTCATATTTCACGGGCCCAAAGAAATTTGGTACATTGGTGTTTTGGCCAATGATCATCTTGCCATTAAAAAGTTCCACAAATCGTGTACACCCAACACTTCAGATGAGTGCCTGAAGTAAATCAGGGTTTACATGAAAACATTGCTTGCCATATTTTTTTGGTGTATTTTCTTTTCTTTTTTTTTTTTTTTTTTAAGATGGAGCCTTGCTCTGTCGCCCAGGCTGGAGTGCAATGGTGCTATCTCGGCTCACTGCAATCTCCGCTTCCTGGGTTCAAGCGATTTTCCTGCCTCAGCCTCCTGAGTAGCTGGGATTACAGGCACCCGCCACTACGCTGGGCTAATTTTTGTATTCTTAGTAGAAACAAGGTTTCACCATGTTATTCAGGCTGGTCTCGAACTCCTGACCTCAGGTGATCTGCCTGCCTCGACCTCCTAAAGTGCTGGGATTACAGGCGTTAGCCACTTCGTCCTGCCAAAGTGTTTTCAATTCTTTTTGCGTCCTGGATCATTTTTCAAGTTAACCTTAGTCTCATCATTGGCTGAAAAGGAAATCTGAATCCTGCCCTTCTCTGGAAATTGGCTGTAGGAGGGGCGCCCTCCTGTCTCTGAATCTCAGCATGTGTGAAACATCAACACGCACAGGCTGAGGACATCTACCACTTGCTCACAGCTGGAAATGTGGCCAGACTGGGCTCCCAGAAAGTGGGGAGGAGTGTGTTCATCTCCTTTCTCTGTAATCCGTGAATCAACAGAATTTAGAGGGCAGTGACGTACAGTCAGGTGAGGTAGCATTATCTTCTCATTTAGCACCTCAGTTAGCAGTGGGGTGGAGTCTTCTCACCTCTCCGTTCATGTTGGTTATTGGCAAGACTCAAAAGATGTCCACTTCTGTCTTTACTGCGGAACAGTGAAAAGTGAAGAAAAAATAAGGGCTAACGCTGGGTGTTTACTAGGCCACAGACACTGTTCTGAGAGCATTACATGCATGAACTCATAGGGACATCTATCAGTCCTCCCCAAAGAGATCCAAGACTTTAAAGAAAATTCAAGGTAACGTCCAATCTACTATGCTCAGTTCTCTGTGTATGTGTCCCATCGTGTTAGGGTTAGTGGGATACCACCACCTCAGATGATTTAGAGAAAAATTCTAGGAATTCATTTCTAATTAGAGAATCATAAAATTTAGATGCCTCCCTAGGTTTAATGTGTTGACTAAAATAATAAGAACTTTCACAGCTTAATATAAGGTAAATCACCACCTTAATCCCAGGAAATAGCTAAATAGTAAAATAAATAAAACCCTTGATGGGGAATAAATATCATATATGAGCAATGACCTAAAGTCAGGGATAATTCCAGCAGGCCCAAGGCTGGCCTCACAAGGGTGGAGGTTACCTTTGGAACGGAGTAGAAAGACAGATTAGGAGAGGCAGATCCAGCCATTATGCAGGTCTTGAAGTTACTGGGATCATTAACTTCTGACCATCCCTTTTGGGATGAGTAGGCAGTGACTCTGCAAGTGTGTTCAACATATGACCAATCTGCCTCAGGGTTTCTGGAAGAATCAATTGTATTGACAGCATTCCTAATTGAAGAGCAGTTATTCTATAGCACAGCTGAATTTTGTGTGATCATACGCGGAGGCTGGGCAGACTGGCTGGGCTGTTATGCTGCAGGACATAATCCCAGAACATTGCAAAATGGGCACTTTCATACGATTTTATATCGCTAGAGCCTTGCAGTAGAAATGAATCAAACGAAACAGCAGGAACCTGAAAATGTTGTTTGTTCAACTGAAAAGCAGCCTGGAATTTACTCCCACATAGTCTACTCACCTGAAAGCGCCGGCCCATAATCATCGTGTTTACACTGCCTGTCTGTACTTACATGATACTGCAGCTCACAGCTCAGAACTGCTCACACCCCCAGTACTTCCAGCCCAGCATCCAGGCCTTTTCATCTCCCGTCAATTATCTCTACCTTAGTTTCAACAGCTTAGCAAGCTGAGTCCTTGAGACACAGAGTGGCTTTATCAGAATAACTCCAAGTGCGCAGAGGACGACAGAGAGACAAGAGGAATGCTTCTCAGACTTACTGGTTTCCTCCAAGGATTTGCTTGACTCTAATTATTGGAAGACCTCCAGGGGCCAAGACTGCCTGAGCTTGTCAAGGGATTCCTCTTTCTACCAGAGGACACCACCACCCAGACACTAAATCAGATGAGAGCTAACATTTTCACAGCAATAAATCTCTGGAACAAAAGAATGAGTTGGAAAACCTTCATTGCATTCTTTTTTGGTGGAAAGAAATTATTTATAAGAACTAAATTAGGTAGAGCAAAAAATTTTTTCTACTCCCTATTTTTCTCACTTCTATTGCTAGTAAAAGCAAATGCCTTTTATAGTCTGCAATTTCTTTCTTTTGTTTTTGTGTGTATGTGCTATTGAGTTATTGTTTTCGTTGTGTTGCGAAGTTTTTTCAGAAAACTCTCTTTTGAATATCAGATTTTTAAGTCTAAAATCTGGCATACAAGATAACAAATGCTTTTGCTTTTAGGTATCACAATATGCTCAGATGTTTTGGGAATATGTGATCACAGTTTCAGGGACAGTTCTTTTAAAAATAATATAAAATCAGGAGAGTTATTTTCAAATTTATGTTCAGTTCTTAGAATCAGGCTTCCTGTAAGGTGGTCGCATCTTTATTCCCCTCTCCAGCTACTCTGACAGCGTGTGCTCAGGTTTGGAGCTCCCTAACTGAAGTCTGGGGCAGAAGGGGGGTACTTGTTTCTCTTCCTCCCCAGAGCGTTTCTCATTCTGTGACGAGAGCAAGAACAAAGGATCAAATTAAATGGACTTACATTAGAGCAAAATTAATTAATACACAACTAAATGCTTAATTCGCATCCCAAGTATTTGTAGCCTTAGAAGACGGTGTTAACCTAAAGATTGACAATGAAATACCTGGAAAGCGGTTCATAAAAAGGCACTAAAACTCCTGTTAACATACATTAAAGGGCATAGACGATGCCTTTCTCAACGGTATGAACAGTTAATCCTCCAGACACCTTATATCCCAGTCCAACCAAAATGTCACTGGTATTTTTGCAAAAACCAAGCTCTCGATTTTGGCAGGATGGATTTATTAACGATTCTGCCTTTAAAGTAACTGATTAATACCATATAAAAAGCAAATCTTTGTGAAAGCAGCATCCAAGCCTGCAAGTCAAATAAGAACACTTATGCCTGTTCCACATCTTTTTAAATATTTTATTCTCACACTATTGCTTTTCAAGCTATATAATTAAGCAGTAAAATACAATTGGCTTATAGAACAGTTTCCATATAGATAGGTCCCTGACACATACTGTACCAAAATGATCGAATAAAATAGATGGTATTTTAAGCTTTTATGATTAACTTTAATTAAGTTTTGCTTGGCTGTCATATAAAAGGTATTTGAAGTATTAATTGAATTTATTTTTTATTTTTCACATTATTATTTCTTAAGAAATAATATTACATTCAGTCAAACTCATGGTTTTGTTCAACTGGTGTTCTATTTGCAAATGCATTGCAATATTTATAGAGTCTAATAGAAAAGGATAATATAACAGGCCATTAAAAACTACACTGTATCAGAGATTCCATCTCTGCTAACACCTTGGGTGGGCTGGCATGAAATACAAATTGTGCTATTAAATCCGGAAAGATTTTAAGAAAATCCGGAAAGATTTTAAGAAAATCCGGAATGAATTCTAGCTATTCAAGACTAGCTTTAAATGACTTTCAAAAATAAAGAATCAAACATTTAAATAAGTTAAATATCATCTGTTTAACAGATTGATATCATGTGAATACATTAGAAACCAGAGAATTTCAGATCCTAAGACTACTGCCATTCTATACCACTCATGGGTGTATGGGAAGATTGACATTACAGGGACCCAGGAACAAAACTGATGGGGAAATTGGCTTATTTTTAAAGAATTTCTTTTTCATTTGAGGTGGGGTGAAGGAGAGAAAAAAATTATTTGTTGTTTCTTTTTGTTTTAGAACTTCACAAAATTCTGTTTATTAAAGCAGCAAGATCATATCATTATTTTTAAAAATTAAACCTCTTCATAATTCCTTCTTGACCACCTTTGGGCCTTAGAGAGCTGAAGCTTTCCTAGCTCTTTCTCTGGGCTCGCGTCTAAATCTGGAATTGTGATTATCAAAGAATCAAAAGAATGGCAGGCTACCCCTTGCCAGCCCAAGCACCTAGAGAAGGATTGCATGGGGAAAACGTTGAAGGAGAGAGAGCTGCTTTGCCATGTCTCTCTGATGGCTCCTTTCTCTAACACCAGACAGACTCACATCTCTTCCCCAGCCCCTCCTCCAGCTATCTGTCCCACACCCTTGACCTCCTAAGACCTAGCTCCCTTCTGCTAAACACTGAGAAAGTGTAAACTGGAGTTAACATATTTATGATAAAGCTCCATCTGTGACCCTTGCATAGTTAGAAGAGTGGTTTGAGAGCTACAGTCCACACAGGCCCCCTGCTGCAGCTGACTGGGGTACTTCCAAGTGGCAGTTCTCATGTTTATGACGCCAGTAGCGCCCCCTACAGATGTGCAGCACACACCCTACAGCCACACTCAGGTCCCTGCCCAGAAACCTTCCTGGGGAAAAACAAATAGAGATGCCTAGAGGGCCAGGCCTCAAGTATTCAAGATGCAACCAAAACGGCCTGATTTTATCTCTTCTCTGCCAGGTATTTCCTTTGGACCAAGGCTCTACAGTGAAAAACATTTAAATACCAAAAATCCTTTTACGGCCTCAGAGGAACAGCGGAAGGAAGAGTGATGAGGCAGCCGGGGCTCTGAAGTTAAATATTTAGGGATGTAGTTTGGCTCCACAGTGCAGGAGCTGTGGGGACTGCAGGTGCCATTACTATAGAAACAGAAAACTGCCTTCGCCTCTGAGTAAACAAATGAGTGCGTGTGGCCAAAGACAGGGACTCCTTCTGCACATCGCTTCACCAGCAGGTCAGGCCTTCCCTGGATTCGACTCTCAGCTGGGTGCCGAACTGAGGACTGCTGCAGAGCCAGAGAGAAAGGGCTTAAGCTGAGTTGGGGTGATCACACCCATGTCCAAGATACACCTTGCCCCTCTTATAGCAAGCCGTAAATCTCCTCTCGTTTGAGTAAATGCTGGTTGAGGCAGTTGCTTTTCCTTTTGGTCAACCCACAAAGAGGAAAATCAAGCCAGACACAGTGGCTCATGCCTGTAATTCTAGTGCTTCCAGAGGCCGGGGTGGGAAAATCATTTCAGGTCAGAAGTTTGAGACAAGCCTGGGCAACATAATGAGACCTCATTTCAATAAAAATAAAGAAAAGAGGAAAATCAGCTCAAATGTTTCACAAATGAGGACATAGATAAAATAGGAAGATGGGACACCATCTCTTAGTCAAGTGACTCTTAGGAAGGAAGGAGGCCTGGGGGTTTGTATTGGAATGCACATGTGTGTCCTACAGGGGCACATATAGTGATGGGTACATGGAATATGCTCCATAGAGGTTGTGGCTGGAGATGGTTGTGGATGGCTGGCCTAGTTCCGAGCAGGGGCTGTTGCCTGTTGACCTCTCAAGTCATGTTGGGTAGGAATTTGCCTATTTTTATTTAGTAGATGAAACTTGCTGTAAAGGATAAATATCCAGACAGATAGCAATCTACAGACCAATAGAAACTGCCACACAAAGAATGGTCATAAGTCTAAAATTCATTAAATTAAAAAAAGACACAGCATGCATATCAAGTTGAAAGCTAAGAACCGTCTCTGTCCAAACACACTTTGTATGGGATATGACATATGAAAACACACAATGATTAACAGAGTCTTTGCACATTTGCAGTTAACTTTAAGTTTAATACTAGAAGCTTTTTTAATATAAGCACAAATTAATTTTGAGTCCTCAGTTGGAAAAAAATTAAAGTAAATAAGTCCAATATGGAAATTCAAGGCAAACAGCAAGACAGAAGTTCCAAGTGCCAAAGATGGGAGATTCAATTAACAGCCAACCATCAGTTGTCAATAATACCCTGGCATTCATGCTTGCCTCTGGCTACATGCACCCTACATGTTTTATTCATATTGAGTATTGGGATATTATCCTCTTTTGACAACTGAACTATACTTGCCAACTCATTTTTAATCTGTGGATGAGTACAATTCTCCAATTTGTAGAATTTCAGTTTGCCGGTATTTCTACAACTATGGCTGTTGAAATTTCTGTATGTTTATTCTTTGCTGTCCCTTAAAGCTTCAAATATTTTCAATACCTCCTACAGGACTAAAAGAAATGAGGTTTCCTTATATGAATTGATTATCAAATACATTCAACAATATATCAGTTTTATCAAGAATATATCAATCTTAGCAAAGAAAATAAAATCCTCTGTCTGCATTTTTAGTGCCCTGTGGATAATTGGCCAGATGAAATCTGAGCCAGGGCTTAGGTAGATTTTGAAATAGGTGAGTTTCCTAGTCTTTTCTTATGAAAGTAGTT
Source organism: Homo sapiens (assembly GCF_000001405.40). Classification (NCBI taxonomy): domain Eukaryota; kingdom Metazoa; phylum Chordata; class Mammalia; order Primates; family Hominidae; genus Homo; species Homo sapiens. The sequence continues at coordinate 105,984,372 of NC_000013.11, forward strand.
CTCTCATTCTAAATTCCTTAGCTTTGACATAAGAGGCTTCAGAGCCAAAATAAACACATTTTTGATAACAGTGTAGATCACCATTTCTACCTGAATGGAAATTTCAGAATGTTTGAGCCAAAGGTCCCAAACTTTTCTGCAGGCAGTTTCCGCACCAGATCCTTAAACCCTGAAACAAGCCTGAGCAAAAGCGGCATCTTTTGTTATTTCCTCTATGTATGTATTTGATTTCACTCTGCTCTAGCATTAGTGAGGCGTCACACTGATTCTGGAGGCGTGTAACATGTCCTTTAACCGTGCCACCTCCCAATCACATGCCTTCTTTATTCAAGAAACAGTAGTGGCCTGAAGGCTCCTTGTCAGTGTGTGTCTCCCCTCAGAATGGATCAGCAGCAGAGGTTTGGGGCAACCATTTCTCCGGGTCCGGGCCTGTCATTCTGAAGTTGGCTGGCTAAGGAGAATCCGGAAGCTCACTCGCAGAGTAATTAAGTGTCAGGGCCAGAAGGTCAGGCAGCATCGTCTTCTCTAGCCAAAACCATTTGGAACCATTGCACCGCGATTTATGATTTCATTGCCTGGCCAACCACCAGGACCCCGGCTATCTTAACTCATCCAGGCCGCACTCTGAAAAGCTAATCTCTTTCTTTCTAGTGACATCTCTTCATTTGGGGAGTATCACCCATTCTCAGCATGTAGCTCACCAATTACGTTGGTTGAAATTACCGATGCTGGCTTGTTGCAATGTCCATAAATTGTGGCTTCCTTCTTACCCCTCTTGGAATAACTTTTACTATAACCTTTGAAGCAGTTATTGCAGAAAACACTGCAATAGCATGTCATGTTTCAACTACTGATGTATGCTTAGCAAGAGCATTTGAGTGAGCTGTTGGTATCTTCTTGTTAAAACAAATGAAAAACTGGCTACCTGGGCACTCCACAGTTAAAAATTTCTCCTGAATTATCTTGCAGATTTCTTCTTAAAGGGAAATAATGATAAAGATCTGTTTTATTCTTGTAACCAACAAACCACAAAATATCTCATTTGTATTTCTACCTAACTATATCAAAATGGCATTTTATACTTCAATGAATACCAAATTGGACAATCAGCTCTCAATAGTTCACATAGTTTCTTTAGCTCCTCTCTTGAGTCTAATTACTATTTTCATTAATGGGAATAAAAGTATTTAGCTAAAAATGTAAGGGGAAGCTACAAGAAAAACAAGTCAATCTCAGAATTTCCAGAACAAGCCTGCTGACACCTTTACTTTAGCCCAAGTGAAAATGATTCTTCACTTCTAGCCTCCACAACTGTAAGAGAATAAATTTGTATTGTTTTAAGCCACTACATTTGTGGTAATTTGTTACATCAGCAATAGGAAACTAATGCACATTCCTGTTTTCAGAGGGGTTCTTGAAAGTTCCTGTTGAACACTTGCCAACACTTGGTAGTCTCGGTGTTTTCATTTAACCATTCTTGTGAGTATACCTTTCATTGTAGTCTTAACGTGCTTTTCTCTGTTTAAAGATGGAATTTAGCAATGTTTACATGTTTAATATCCAAATGTATATCCTCTTTTATAAGGTGCTTATTTATGTTTTTACCCATTATTCTATTGACTTATCTTTCTTTTATTGATTTGTATCTTATTGATTTTCTCTTATTGATTTGGAAATTCTATAAATAACCTTTCTTGGTTATATAAATAAGGAATATAGGTTTGAATATTGATGTTGATATAAATTGGTAATAATCTCTCTTTACATAGCTGTCTTTTCATTCTTGTAAGGTTTATGTTGATGAAAATATATCTTAAATTTGATGTAATTATGTTTATCATCTCTTCCTTAATTGTTAAGGAGATTAGGAAATTCTTCCTTGCCTTGAGACCATGAAGATATGCTTCTATCTTATATTCTGAAAGTTTTATGGCTTTATTACACTTTTTCTCTTAATACAACTGGAACTAATTTTGGCTATGTTGTAAGATAAGTGTCAATTTCATTTTTCTTATACAGGTATTCGATTTTCTTATCACCATTTGTTGGGAATCTAGTCATCTCCTTACTTCCATAGTGCTGCTTCTGAGTATGTACACATATGTTTTTTCATTGAGCTGCTCACATCTGTCCTTTCCTTTACTACATTGCCTTTGTTACTTCAGTTTCATAATAATTCTTGATATTTGTTAGACCAAGTCTTCCCACTTGATTCTTCCATTTCATGAATGTCTTAGCTATTCTTGGCCCTTTTATACAAAACATATAAATGGCCAGTTGTATATAAACTTTGGATTTAGCATTTTAAGTTCTACCAAAAACCTATTAGGATTCTTATTGGATTACATTGAATCTATTTGGGAGATCTGATATCTTTAAAACATTGAAACTAGCCAACTTACATAGATAGGAGATATCTGTCCATTTAATTAAGCCATTTTTAATGGTGATCAATGAAGCTTTATGATTTCTTTCATTAAAAAATTATCCTAACAAATTTTAATACTTTTGTTGGATTTATTCCTACATTATATAGGAATATATAATAGTATATGAGATAGACTTGTGATATTACAGTAAATGGTGTCTGTTTTTTAAAAAATCAGTAATATTTATTAAAATTTTATAAATATTTTAATAAAATTCAATACTTAATTTCTAGCCTTAATTTTAAACAATAAATGCCTACCATAATGCTGTCATTGGGTCTTGAAAGTGCAATCACATCAAATGCAAAACCATGGTACTATGAGGTTTACCAAATGACTGAGGGAGTTGATGGAGCCAGCAGCTCTACAGGTCAAAGCCAGATGCATATGATGCTATATACAGGCTTGCATTAGCACTGGGGCTCATTGTATGATCAAAATACTGCATATGTTTTTGCAGACCAAATAAATGGGCACCAGTTTGTAGTTAACACAAACAAAATAAGCTGGTAATTTTGAATTCTAATTTTCACATGCAGTTAAAGAAATGTAAGTTTCAAAACCAATGGGATTCTATTTTTCACCTAACAATGATAAATGGTGGCAGAAATACAGAAAACAACCCCTCTCGTTGACTGGTGCCAGTTTTGTAAATTGGTGCAAACATTTTAGAGAGCAACTCAGTAATTTCTATCAAAATGTAATATGCTCATCCCCACTGTCTGGCAATTCTGCTGTTAGAAGTGTATACCGCAGATGTATTCTTAGACATGCACGAAGAGTATAAACAAGGATGCTCAATGCAGCCAAAGTGTTCAATCTCCCTAAATGAACATCAGTCAGGAGATGCACAGCATTGTGTATCCATATGAAGCATGCTTATACAGATGAGACTAAGGTAGACCATACTTACAGACAGTAAATGAATAAAATAAAAAGCAATGAACATAGTATGCTCCTGTGGAGTTTACTTTAAAAAAAAAAAAAAAGATGAGATAGACAACAAGTGAGAGTATATTAGTCAGAGTGCTCCAGAGAAAGAGAACCAAAAAGATACAATAGGATACAGATATATATAGAAAGAAATTGAGATGAGAGGGAAAGAGAGAGAGTTTAAATAATGGGCTCATACAGTTATGGAGGCTGGCAAGTTCAAAATTTGCAGCGCAGGCCAGTAGGTTGGAAATGCTGGCAGTTGTTCATGTTGCAGTCTTGAGTCCAAAGGCAGTCTGGAAGTTGAATTCCTTCTTCTTCTGGGGACTTCGGTCTTTTTTCTGAAGACCTTCAACTGATTAGATAAGGTTCACCCACCTTATGGAAGGTCATCTGCTTTGCTCAAAGTCTATTGATTTAAACATTAATCACATCTATAAAATACCCTCATAGAAGCATGTAGACTGATATTTGACCAGTTAACTAGCTAGCATAGGCTAGCCAAATTGATACATAAAATTAATCATCGCAGATAGATAGGTAGATAACTATATAGATAGGTATGCAAAAGAGATACAGAGAGAGATAGATAAAAGATAGCTACATATACATATATAGTTAGAAGATAGCCTATTAGTTCATTCTCACGGTGCTATAACGAAATATCTGAGACTGGGTAATTTATAAAGAAAAGAGGTTTAATTGGCTTACAGTACTGCAGGCTATACAGGAAGCATGTTAGCATCTGCTCAGCTTTAATCATGGTGGAAGTTGAAGGGGAAGCAGGTAGGCCTTATACGGCTGGAGAAGGAAGAAGAGAGACAGAGCGGGCAGGTGCTGAACGCTTTTAAACATTCAGATTGTGTGAGAACTCTATCATGAGAACAGCACCAAAGGAGAAAATCTGCCCCCATGATCCCATCCCCTCCCACCAGGCCCCACCTCTAACACTGAGGATTAAAATTAGACGTGAGATTTGGCATAGCCTAGGAGATACAGTATGGCCTGTTGTTTCTGGGCTACAAACCTGTACAGCGTGCGACTGTATGGAATACTGTAGTTAACTGCAGCATCATGAAAAGTATTTGTGATTCTAAAATAAACATATCTAAACAGAAATGATGCAGTTAAAAACACAGTATGAAAGACAAAAAGAGAAGGTATATCTGTACATGGCACTTACAACAGATGGAGCTTGTTGGACTGGAAGTTGCTCTGGGAGAGGCAGTGAGTGAGAGGTGGGTGAATGTGAAGGACTAGGACATGACTGTACCCTACTGCAGGCTTTATAAACTCCATACGCTTAGGCGACACTCAATTCATTTTTAAAATTTCTTTATTTAATAATAAATTAACCTTAGCTTATGATAACATTTTTGCTTTATAAATTCTTAAATTTTTAAAACTTTTAACTCTTTTGTAATAACAGCTTAAAATACACATTGTACAGCTGTACAAAAAGTATTTTCTTTTTTTATATCCTTATTCTATGACCTTTTTTCACTTTTAAGATTTTTATTTTTTAGTTTTTAAACTGATTTGTTAAAAATGAAAACACAAACACACACATTAGCCTAGACCTACACGGGGTCAGGGTCATCAATATCACCATCCTCCACCTCCACGTCTTGTCCCACTGGAAGGTCTTCAGGGGCAGTATCGTGTATGGAGCTGTCATCTCCTGGGATAACAATGCTTTCCTCTGGATACCTCCTGAAGGACCTGCCTGAGGCTGCTTTACAGTGACTTTCTTTTTAATAAATAGTGGGAATACACTCTAAAATAACAATAAACCATGTAGTGTGGTAAATACATAAACCAGCAACTAACACAGTCATTTATTATTATCAAGTATTAGGCGCTGTATATATTAATAGCTGTATGTGCTAGACTTTTCCATGACTGACAGCACAGTGGGCTTGTTTACACCGACGTCACCACAAGCATGTGAGTTGTGCTACAATGGTGCAATGGCGGCAGCATCACTCAGTAATAGGAATTTTCAGGTCCATTAGAATCTTACGGCACCTCTGTTATGTATGTCATTATCATTATATGATGCATGACCATGTAAAGCAACCCTAATCCTCACAATCCCTCAAGGTGAGCATTGTTCTTGCATTTTCGAGATGGGGAAGCTAAAACATAGAAGCCAGTAACTTGTCCAAGATGGTGCAGCTAGCAGGGGGTTACCGTGGATCCCCTGAGGGACAGTCTGACTTCTGCGTCCCCTTGTGTTCTTCCTAGGTCCCCTGCTGCCTTTCCCAAGACTGTCAGCACCAGCTCCTCGGCACCACCACCGCCCACTGCTCTCAGGTTTCTTTGGTGCCTCTATCTCTGTCTGCTATGTGGCTCCATTTTTTTGTCTCCTTCCCTCAGAGGTGGGGTTTTCAAGGGTAGAATTCTGAAGTCAAATTTATCTATCTTCTTTACTACTGTTTTCTACAGTATTCCGTACAGTTGCTTGCTGTACAGGTTTGTAGCCCAGGACCAACAGTAGTAAAGAACAGTAGATTCTAGATAGATAACTCCTGGGCCTACCTTCACAATAATTTATATCTATAATTTATATTGTTTAATTGGTGATTTCCAAAATCTCGACTGCCTTAAGTATCATTTCTGTTATTCTACTAGAAACATCCGGCTCAGGGATTCTCCACCTTAACCCTATTGACATTTTGGGTCAGATGAGTCTTTGTGGTTGGGGTTGCCCTGTGCCTCACAGGATGTTTTCCCACTAGATATCAGTAGCACTCCCTGGCTCCAGATGGGACAACCAAAGTGTTTGCAGACATTCCCAAATGTCCCTTGTGGGGTGGGGTAGGGGAGTGGTAAAATTGCCCTGCTTGAGAACTACTGAATTCTAACTGCATGTCCTGCCAGCCATTTGACCTAAATTAAATTCTTCCCCCAAATATCCCATTTTTCTCACTTCCTTATTTCTCTTTGTGGGTCTAATTTTTCCTCAGTCGTTCAAGCTCAACATGTCTGTGCTATGTCTGACTCAGCCCCCACCCCCCATCCTCCACACCCAACCCATCACTAAGACTCATAGCATTGACTTCTACTCCCAAGCCCCTCCTTCCCTTTCCTGTTTATCTTTTAGATTCTGGCCTCTGTGATCTCACATTAACGCCAATAGCTTTTTTCTGGTTTCCCTATCATTAATTCATCCTATCCAGTGATGATAGATAAGGTTTTCTCAAAGGTAGCTTGTAGTATGTTCCTTCTTTCATTAGAACCTTCAGTGTTTCCCAATGATAGACCAAATTAAGTACAAATTGCTCACTCTTGCATTTCAGAGCCTCCACCATATGGCACCAACTCCCTTTCCAGTCTCAGTTCACACATCTCCTCTACAAGTACCAACAGGGTGGCTCACTGCTCATCAAAAGTGGGCTATGCATATGCCCTGATGCCTTTTTCTCATGCTGTTACCTCACTTGGTGAGTTCTCCTCCACAATGTTCCCCTAAAAAAGCTCACTCTTCTTTCAAAGCCAGTCTGATATTCCACAATATTCACAAATCATTTTTTTCTGGTTGACCCAACAGAATGTATTCACTTTCCCATCTGAATCTCTGCAGCTGTTCATACTGCCTCTTCTGTCAGGTTACACATCATCCCCTGGTATAGCCCGTGTAGTGTTAATAGTATCTGCTTTGCCAGATTGTAATCTTAATGATGGCAGAACTATGGTCATATTCTTCTTCATACACTCTAGTATTTAGCACAGCTATATGCATTTTAGATGTTCTTAATTATTTGTCTAAATGAGTAATAACAGTGAACTTACCTGCTTACTATCTTAACACAGTTCCTCACCATTCTTTTCTTAAATAATTGGTTTCTCAGCTGGTCTTTTGACTCATGTCTTTCCAACCCATTCTCTGCCTGGTACAAAAGTCACTTTCCAAACACAAGTCTGATCATGCTGACCCTGACTGAGAACTTGGAATGGCTCCCGTTGCCTAGAGGATGGGTGCAAACTCCTTGGTATGACACACAAAGCCCTCTGTATTCTGGCTACTGTGGTTTGTCTCAGCAGTCCTCCCTCCAACTGCATTCTTGCGACATGCTAAGTTTCCAGTTCCAGCTGTCACGCTGCTCCTTTCCCCACATCTCCCATACCTTTGTTTGTACTGCTCCTTCTGCCAGGAATGCCTTCTGCCAAGAATGCCACCTACAACAGCTGTTTACTTCTCACTACTATGCAAGGAGGGCCCTGGCCTTCCACACCATGAGCCTCCTTCCAGGGGCATCCACTGGGCTCTGCACGTACTCCTGCCACAGCTCCTGTAATATTTTGCTGTGTTGACTTTTCATGCCTGAATCCAGCTGCTCACAATGAGCACATAGAGCAAAATGAACTGTGTTTTATAGTCCTTTGCCTTTCAGATGCCTAGATAGTGCTGACAATGGAGGAAGCTAATGAAAACTATCTTGCCCAATGACTGATGAATGGATGAATCCAAAGCAGAAAACCAGTCTATTCTAGTCACCAACTAGAAGAGTTTGTTTCATAGATTATGTATGTCAGTGTTTAAAATGCCACCAACAAACTCTGTTTATTTTGTGAGACCTGAATGTCTGACATCATTAAGAGGAGAGATCAGCTGAGCGAGTCTATTAGCCAGTGTATTGCCATTTTCAGTTTTATATTTAAAAACTTTTAAAACCACATTAGATATTTCCCTGACTTGGTCAACAGGATATTCCGGAAATAATGTTACTCTCCTCCTATAATGGAGTTATCATTATGAGAATACATTTCTATATGAGTTTTAATTAATTTATGCCTACAGGTACCATAAAGAAATCACTCACTGCTGTTTATCTGTCTTTCTCTGTTTATCTGTTTATCTGTTGCCAGTTTATCTGTCTTCCTCTCTGCTTCCAGTAAGTTTTGTTTTCTTTTCCTTTCCTTTCCTTTCCTTTCTTTTCTTTTCCTTTTTCGTTTCCCTTCCCTTCCCTTCCCTTCCCCTCCCCTCCCCTCCCCTTCCCTCCCCTCCCCTTTCTCTTTTTCTCTTTCTCTTTCTCTCTTTCTCCCTTTCTTTCTTTCTCTTTCTTTCTTTCTTTTCTTTCTTCCTTCCTTCCTTCCTTTCTTTCTTTCTTTCTTTCTTTTTTCTTCTCTCTTTCTTCCTTTCTTTCCTTTCCCACAAAGTTTTGCTCTGTTGCCCAAGCCAGAGCACACTGGCACAATCTCAGCTCACTTCAACCTCCGCCTCCCTGGCTCAAGGTATCCTCCCACCTCAGCCTCTGAAGTAGCTGGAACTACAGGCATGTGCCACCATGCCCACCTAATTTTTGTAATTTTGGAGAGACAGGGTTTTGCCATATTGCCCAGGCTGGTCTCAAACTCCTGGGCTCAAGCTATCTGCCTGCCTTGGCCTCCCAAAGTGCTGGGAATAGAGGCCCGAGCCACCATGCCCAGTCACAAGCAGGTCTTCTTCTTCATTCCTGTTAGGATATCTACTTAAAGCTTCTCTCCACTTTGCCCTTGAACTACTTCTTGACACTTTACCTCTGTCCTGCATTAATCTTATGACTCAAGGGAGCTGTTAGGGAAACCAGAAAATCAAAGGTGTTAAATCACATACTGTCTCAGCCTACTTGCACTGATGTAACAAAATGCTGTAAACTGGGTAGCTTATAAATAACGAGATTTGATTATTCTTAGCTCTGGAGGCTGTGATCGTGACCAAGGCACCTGCAGAGAACCCCCTTCCTAGCTCATAAGCATCCATCTTCTCGTTGTGTCCTCACATGGTGGAAGGAGTGAGGGGTCTCTCTGGGGTCTCTTTTGTGTGGGCACTAGTCTCATTCATAAGGGATCTGCCCTCATAACCTAATCACTTTTTAAAGGCCCCACCTTCAAATACCATCACATTAGAGAACTTGGCTTCAATATGTGAGCTTGTGGGGAACAAATCATTCAGTCTATAGCACGTACCTAGTCAGACATTTATGAGTAGGTACTGTCCTGAGATGAGGATATTTCTGTCTTCTGAAAAAATATGTGTGAGCTGTATAGGAACTGATTTGTTTGTGTTGCAATGGCTGGTATGTGTATTTCTGGTTTAAGCTCTGATCCTAGTTCTTAATGCTGCCAGAAGCCTGACCATTTAGGGTTCACCTGCCATTGGAGAGAGGGAATTCAGCATGGTCAATGGAAGTTGTTTTACATTTACATTTTGTGGCCTAATCCTAAAGAGTTGGAGTGGAAAAACAGGTGAAGGACAAACCTTCAATTCGATATGCCTGGTTGAAAAGAGGTTGGAACTGAAATAATAGCAAAGATGTTGTAAAAAGCAAAACAAAACAAAACTTTCAAAATAGCATGAACAGAAGTTAACAGATTAGAGATGACCAAGAATCTACAAAGGCAAATCTTGGAGTTATGAATAATGGAATACAAAAGGAAGTCTATACCTGTTGTAACTATCAAGGATGAAGTAAAAATGTAACTTCATCATCTTGAAAACAATTGAAAAAAATGAATAATTACAATTAAGTCATAGTTGATATATATGGCATGCTTAACAAAATAACTCGCTTTCCAACGAAAAGAAATATACGTTCAGAGGAAGGAATCTATCCAAAAGAAAGATGCAACAAAGTTGAGACTGGAAGGAGTCATGGCAGGCCCTGGTCTCTGAATGGTGAGAACTAATATTTACCAGGCCTGTACTATACGGCGGGCCCCATCTGGAGCAACTCAGGTGGGGTCCACATGTCTTATCCCTCAACAGCCTAGTTCAGACATGTCCTTCTGTGGCAATGGCATTGAGAAAGATTGCAAGTAGTAATGTGCAGGTGCGTTTTCAAGCCTCCGCTAGCATCCCATTGTTTATAGCAAGTCATAGGACCAGGACCAGGCCCAGAGTCAGAGTGGGTGGGCATGACAACATTACGTTCCTGAGGGTGTGACAGAGGGTGGGACAAAGAATGGCCCCTGTTGCAGCCTATCATGCTGTAGATGAGATCAGTTGGGTCACTTACAGAAGGTCATCAACTTCTCAGAGGCAGAGCCTGGATTCAAACTTAATCTTTCTGATCCAGCCCCTCCCAATCCACAGCTCCAGGAACCAGGAGAGGTTACAGCCCACAGGAGAGCTCTTAATGTATCATACTATGAAAGCCTGCAAGTCGGTTGGTAAGCAAAGTGTCAAAGAACGTGTGGGAACAATGTGATTTTAAAGAGGTGGAGCAGAAAGTCCAATTAAAAAAGAAAAGTAGAAGAAATTAAAACCAAATGTAAGACCTTAGAGATAAAGTCATCATGATAGCACAGCTTGTGAAGCACAGGCTTCTAATTTTGCAAAAGAACAAAAGCGATCTGGCAGGAGAGTAAATCATTTTATGAAAGTAATAAAAAGAGGAATGAGATAAGGGCAAAAATCTGAGTTTACAGCATTTATATTTCAAATGTTATTAATTTGTTGTGTCTAGATTTTATTTCGCATTAGGTTAGGAGAAGTCTTGAAAATGTTCATCAGGTAAATAGATTTTAGAGAACAAAATGCTATACAATGGACCTTCTTGACATTCACTAACAAAAATGCACTTTGCAAATTATAAACCCCTTTGGAAATCTGGGGAATTTTTATAATAGCAGAGCCAACCATCTTTCTTGAATGAACTAGACTAGGCAGTTGACCTGAGGCACCTTCTGTTTCAGGATGTTACATGCCTTTGAAGGAAAGAAAATAGCTAAGTTAAATACATATATTCGATGACTACTTTCTTAAAAGTAATCCTGATTTTCCATTAGAGTGGTATTAGGGATGAACAAAGTTCAAAGCCAAAGGAAGTCTTTAGTGTGTTAATTTGTTTAAAGTAGATTCTTTCTGAAGAACCTACTAAGGCTATTGCAGCCACATTCAGCTTCAACACAGAATCAAGTGAACAGGTAACATTGTTCATAGCTGATGAGTGACTCTGAATTTAATTTTATTCTCTGGCTAACTTCTAACTCATTGTCTTATATGACAGAACCATTTGCATTGCAGGGCTAAACTGAATGTCACAATGACATTCAGGAATATCAGTGTCACTGTCACTTGTCCATATTTCTATGTGGCCTGCTGTCCTGACGTTTTGCTCTCAAAGTCTCTGATGCTTCCTTTTTGGGTATTTTAGAGGCCATACAGGAGAGTGGGACTCTTTCTTCTTAGCGGTGGTGGCTCGGGCTGGACAGGAATGTTGCCTGCTAATGGGAGAAGTGTTTGGAAAAAGCCACACCCTGCATTAGGACATTCAAGCATCCTCTTGTTAACACAGCAGTTGTTTTCAACTAACTTATCCAAATTCATTTTTGCTTGTCATATTTGCATTGGTAAACATAGTAATAAGAGTAAAAAATAACAATTTTTTCAGTGTTAAATTGGCATTTTACCTACAATATCTTCTTTAATTCTCACAGCAACCCTTCCGGAAGCCATCATATTGCTTATTTTTCAAACAAGGAAACCGAAGGTCAAAGAGATTGAATAATGGCTCAAGGTCGCCATTCTAGGGCTTTTGCAGAGTTGGCCTTCAATTTTAAACTATGGCTCTTCCTGCTATGTGAAGCTGCGCCTTTTGTTATTCTAGATTTTGTTCTTACACCTTAACTTGGGAAGATAGAGCCCTATGTCCAGAAGGTTCTACTAGTATGTATTTCCATGGTTTTGTATTCACACTGACAACCTTTAAAATGTTAAACTTTCTAGTGGAATAGGGTCCGGAAGACCAGGACTCAGTACTGGCTCTCTGATTTAATTAGCCATGTGATCCGAAGCAAGCTCCTCGCCCAGCTGGCATCCCCATTTCTAAGAATGAAGTTACTAATCTTTGCCCTGCCCGCCCCACATCTCAGGGTGTGCAGTGAGGACGAACAAGGATAAAGTGGGTGAAAGTACTTTGCAAACGGTAAAGTAATGCACACATGCCACTGTGATTTCTGCCGTGTTAATCTCCTACTCAGGCCTTGGAACAGCTGTGTCATGTTCTCTTCGCAGAAAGGATGCATAGTTGGGTAGCCAGGCTGATATCATTCCACCTTTCACGAGGTTACCCTCCCGCTGACCGCTGCTCCTTTCCCATGCATGCTGATGATTTATCTTATAAAAGCAAAACAATGCGTCCTGCCCACTCCCCTGCCCCTACTGCACTTGTTGCTCTGTGCTTGCCTGTTGTGTTTTTCTACAGCACACAAGGAATGGAAACCAAATGCAAGCATCACCACCAATGAACACATGCTTACATCTCTTGCTAGCGATCTTTTTCCTCTCTCTCTCTGCCAGAACTCAAAGGGCACAGTTTTTCTTCTCCGAATTTTTCTAAGCCCTATGCAACATGTAGCTATGTGGTGCAGATAGTCTGAACATAGGAGCAAGCTGTGACTGTTCAAGTGATTGAGCTTTTTCAAAATTATTAGTGATATCCCCAGGACCTCGCTAAAGCACACTGAAAAATCGGCTTACCCTAAAGCTACTTTGTTTAGAAACTGTCTTTGACTTAATCTAAACCAGGATACAAGCCTCCCTTCTGCCAGTTGAGAGAAGTGGCTAGAGGGTAACCAGCCAACTGTCCCACTGTTAACACTGAAGGTCTCACGTCCCCGGAAACTCCTGAGTACCGAGCGAACAGGACAGTTAGACACCCCAGGAGTGGAGCCATACCCTTCCTGCATCTGCACCAACCTGCTGCCCCGTATTTTTCACGGGCTCCAACCACAGTGAATAATTTTCACCTTTCTGTTACTTGCACAAAGCCTTTTTAGAAAAGCATTAAAAAAAAAAAAAGAAAAAAACCCAATATTTTAGCTCTTTCACAAAACACTCTGTCCCCCAGTAAGCTGTGACTGAACTTGAACAGGTCACACCTCCAGAAGACAGGCCTCAGTGCTGCTGACTGCCGCCTCCGAAGCCAGTCTGGGTTCTCGCTGCATATTTAGTATTCAAACCTCTTGATAAATGATCGGCTGTTTTTCATGTTTGGAGCTCTCCCTGAACAATAAAGCAAAAACGTTTGTCATCCATAAAGTACAGCTGCAAGAAGTGTGTGGGAGTGATAATTGGATGACACTCCAGGAAGGAGGGGGAAATGAAAACAGCTGTTCCGAGAGGACAACGCGGTGTTGTGCGGGAGATGAGCCCGCGGCCCAGGAGGACTGAGCCCCCTGTGCTCACTGGCCCCGGCCCACGCAGGCTGCATGCCCCATTTCTGCTGCCGCAGCCACTCTTGCTCCACGCCTAGTGCCAGTGAGGGGCAGGCTCCAGCTGGATCGGGGTCTCACGGCCCCAGGCCTCACCCTGCCCTGGCCACAGCAATGCTTTCTGCTCACTTTGGCAGCTGGAGGTAGCCTGAGGGGGAACTTCATTTCTGTTTCCATGAGGGCCACCAAGCTAGGAAAGGCCAATCGCCTTTAACCCCACAAAAAGGCCCCTTTGACAAGTTCCGCTTTGATTCACGGAGGGTTTGGTGTGCACTGCGACGGGCAGCTGTCAAGACAGGGCCTCGGGCAGAAAGACGGAGGGGAACACAGATCACCATGAAGGCGACACCACACATGTTTGATCCTCTTAGCCCTGTCCTTCCCACTCTCAGATTTCTCTCGCACAGTGGTTGAACTTAGAGGATTCCGCAGACAAAGACGCATTTATGCACACTAAGCCCTGCAGGCTCCGCTCCTCTGCTGAACCACTTCTCAAACCCAGTCCCAAAGGCTGAAAAACTATCCCAGAAGTTTTAAGCTTTTCATGTAACATCCTAGACCAGCAACTTCAAGTTCAAAACTTAAAGACAGAGTCCCTACATTTGCACATCTCATGTGCAAGGTATGTGTGTGTGTGTGGTGTTAGTACATATATGTATGTGTTTATGTGTATGTATGTGTGTATCTATATATATGTATGTGTGGTGTGCGTACGTGTGTGTATGTATGTGTGAATATGTGTGTGTGTAGAGTATGTGTGTGTGTTGTGCATACATATGTTTATGTGTATGTACATGTGTGTATGTATGTGTGAATATGTGTGTGTAGAGTATGTGTGTGGTGTGCATACATATGTGTGTATGTGTATGTACATGTGTGTGTATGTGTGAATGTGTGTGTAGAGTATTGTGTGTGGTGTGCATACATATGTGTGTATGTGTATGTACATGTGTGTGTATGTATGTGTGAATGTGTGTGTGTAGAGTACGTGTGTGTGGTGTGCATACATATGTGTGTATTTGTATGTACGTGTGTGTGTGTAATATGGGTTATTATTTTTTTAAAAACCTGTGGAGGATGGTGAAGACTAGTCTTTCTTGATGAAAGGCTGTATCACCTTAAGTCTGGAATTATATATAAGGCAACATCTGGAAATAACATTAATATGTTGTTTAGAGGGCAATTTAGAAAAGTGCCACATGGATCAGAGAAATGGAGTCATCATATAAAAGGGAGAAAAATAAAAGGGGGAGATTTGATTTGAGCTGCTTCTTCTAATGTATCCTTCCCAAAGAACAGGAAGGTGAGGAATGATATTTGCACCTCACCAAGTCTCATTGAGTGAAGGGCTTTAACCATGGAGACTCAGATCTTAGGGGTTCTTAGGTCATTAGGCCCTACGTAGAAAACTGCTGCAACAGTTTAGAAGACAGCACCTGTGTGGTCTAGAGAAGGCTCTATGTGGAGTATGTGGCCAGCTGCAGGAACACAAAGACAGATCAAAACTGCACAGTCTTCCAACTGCCTGAAGGTCTGTTTTTGTCCCTAGACCAGCATTTCTGACCTTGGCTGTATTGACATTTGGGACTTCATCAGTCAAGATCTGCCTTAGGCCATTCAGGCTGCTATAGCAAATTACCATAGACTGAGTGCCTTTAATAGCAAACGTTTATTTCTCCTATTCCTGGAGGCTGCAAAGTCCAAGATCAAGGTGCCAGCAGATCTGGTGTCTAGAGAGGGTCTGCTTCCTGGTTTGAAAATGGCCATTTTCTTTTCTCAACCTACTCATCTGACAAAGGGCTAATATCCAGAATCTACAATGAACTCAAACAAATTTACAAGAAAAAACCAACAACCCCATCAAAAAGTGGGCAAAGGATATGAACAGACACTTCTCAAAAGAAGACATTTATGCAGCCAAAAAACACATGAAAAAATGCTCATCATCACTGGCCATCAGAGAAATGCAAATCAAAACCACAGTGAGATACCATCTCACACCAGTTAGAATGGCGATCATTAAAAAGTCAGGAAACAACAGGTGCTGGAGAGGATGTGGAGAAATAGGAACACTTTTACACTATTGGTGGGACTGTAAACTAGTTCAGCCATTGTGGAAGTCAGTGTGGCAATTCCTCGGGGATCTAGAACTAGAAATACCATTTGACCCAGCCATCCCATTACTGGGTATATACCCAAAGGACTATAAATCATGCTGCTATGAAGACACATGCACACGTATGTTTATTGCAGCACTATTCACAATAGCAAAGACTTGGAACCAAGCCAAATGTCCAACAATGATAGACTGGATTAAGAAAATGTGGCACATATACACCATGGAATACTATGCAGCCATAAAAAATGATGAGTTCATGTCCTTTGTAGGGACATGGATGAAATTGGAAATCATCATTCTCAGTAAACTATCGCAAGGACAAAAAGCCAAACACCGCATGTTCTCACTCATAGATGGGAATTGAACAATGAGAACACATGGACACAGGAAGGGGAACATCACACTCTGGGGACTGTTGTGGGGTGGGAGGAGGGGGGAGGGATAGCATTAGGAGATATACCTAATGCTAAATGACGAGTTAATGGGTGCAGCACACCAGCATGGCACATGTATACATATGTAACTAACCTGCACATTGTGCACATGTACCCTAAAAATATAATAATATTATTAAAGTATAATAATAATAAAAAAAAGAAAAAAAAGAAAATGGCCATTTTCTTGCCGTGTAATCACATAGCAAAGGGCAGAAACAGAGCATGAGCTCTCCTGTCTCTTTTCATAAGGGCACTAACCCCATTTGTGAGAGTTCCATCCTCGTGACCTAATCACTTCCCAAAAACCCCCATCTCCAAATACCATCACATTGAGGATTTAGGCTTCAATATATCAATTATTTTGAGGGGCCACCAATGGTCCATAGCAGGGTTCTCCAGAGAAAGAGGAAATATGTATATACACATATATATAATTATAGATATATAATTTTTTTCATTTTTAATTTTTATGGGTACATAGTGCTTATATTTATGGGGTACATGAGATATTTTGATGCAGGTGTACAATGTGTAATAATCACATCACAGTGAATGGGGTATACTTCTTTGTGTTTGGAATAATCCAATTATACTTAGTTTTTTTGTTTATTTATTTTTTTGTTTGTGTTTTTTTTTTCACTCTGCCACCCAGCCTGGAGTGCAGTGGTGTGATCTTGGCTCACTGCCACCTCTGCCTCCTGGGCTGAAATGATTCTCATGCCTCAGCCTCCCAAGTTACTGAGACTACAGGTATACTCTTAGCTATTTTTTAAATGTGCTGTGAATTATTGTTGACTATAGTCATCCTATTGTATATCAAGTACTAGATCTTATTCATTCCATCTAAGTACATGCTTATACCCACTAGCCATCCCCACTTCCCCCAACTCCCCCCTACCCATCCCAGCCTCTCATAACTATCAATGTGTTCCCTAACTCCATGAGTTCAATTGTTTTAATTTTTAGTTCCCACAAATGTGTGAGAACCTGCGAAGTTTGTCTTCTGTGCCTGGCTTATTTCACTTAACATAATGTTCTCCAGTTCCATCGATGTTGTTGCAAATGACAAAATCTTATTCTGTATTCTATACATCTGACTAATTTCCCATCCTGGGACCTCAGGTTTTGCTTTTAAGGCCTTCAGCTGATTAGTTGAGGCCCACCACATCATGGAGGGTCATCTGCTTTACTTAAAGTCAGCTAATGGTAGGTATCAACCACATCTACAAAATATCTTCATAGCAACATCTATATTCCTGTTTGATTAAGTAACTGGGTTCTATAGCCTAGCCAAATTGACACATACAATTAATCATCACAGGGCCCTACCTGATGATTCTTTGTTGAGGGAGGCTGTCCCACACCATTGTAGGAGGTTTAGCAGCATTCTTGCCAGTCAGCAGTCCCTCCACTTGTGACAAATAAAAATGCCTCTAGGTACTACCAAAAGTCCCCTGGAGATGAGGGGCAAAATCATCCCAGTTGAGAACCACTTTTCTAGGCCATTATGTATCATCCCAGTCTGCTCTGCGTTAGCCACCGTTTAAAAGTACAGAACCCAACTAGTAATGCTTGTGCTTTGCAGAAACTTATATTTTCACTTAGATGCTATTTTAACACATCGAAGGGTAAGGAACATAATAAATATTCCTATAAGTCTGCAGCGGGCAGGACGTCAACATGTGGAGAGCAGTAAACAATAAGTTCCACCTTCACGTACATCTTGTACTCTCTTGCCAGAGTGACAGTAACTTTTCTCCTGAGATTTGGAATTAAAAATGAAATAATAATATAACCAATGCTGAGATTTGTCCCAGAAGGCTCAATTAACCTGTTCAAGCTGAGCACTGGGCTCAAAAGCAGGTCCCTACTAAAAACTCTAAAAAAGCTTAATGTCACTATTTTATTTGATATTTCATTAAACGGAATATTTTTACTTACTGAATACATTTTAAAAAAGCTTTGATATAGATGAAGGCAATTTGACAAAGACTCACTTATCCTAAATTATAGAACTTTTTTCTTTTTTCACTGCATTGCTATTAGCAGATTTTTATATGTACCCTTTTAATACAAAAAAAAAAAACATGTCCTGTGCTCTTCCAACCATCTGGTGTGAAGTGACACATGGATGGCAAACTGCTATTTAAAGCACTGAATGCATTATCTATAACCAGGCACGGTTATCTTCTGCATTGTTAATTTCCTGCTGTGCCTGCGTAATTCTGGTATTTTCTTGGTCATGCACAACTATATAGTAACTTATAAGCAGCTCATATACTTTTTTTTTTAAGTAGAGAGTTATTTAATGGTATGTTAAGTACAAAATTCTGGTGCCAGGAATAGAAAATCAAGACTCCAAAAGGCTAATAAAACATTGTTTATAACTGGAACATGCTTATTTATTTAGTTGCTTTAAGCAAGGCAAGAGAAAATATCCAATTTGGAATTTTGACCCACTAAGCATCATGGTAGGATATGGGAATTTCTCTTTGGCATTCTCCTTTGCCCATTAAAACAAAAGCAAACAAACAAACAAATAAAAAACAGAAAACCTTCTTCACTGGATTCTTAAGTGGGCTGCATCTTCTGTCTGATTTACAGTGTGGTCAGCTGAGAACCAGATGCTGAATGCGGTATTGTGAAGTGTACAGGATGTCAAAATTTCTGGTCCAGTAAAGTGTTCGTTTTGCAAATGTAGCTTTAAGAGGTCTGCATAGACCCAGGCAAGATAAATATTCTAGGTTCATTTCTGAAGGAAGATTTCTTTGTTTTCTCCAACCCAACCCACCTGGATGTTAATATGAGGCTACTTCCCAAAAACAGATGAGTGATGACAACTTCTATCCTCTTCCAAATGTTTAAAGAGAAATGGATCTAACTGGTGAGAGAAGGAGCAACCAAGATGTTGAAGGATTTTTTTTTTTATCCTGAATCTTAATCCTCTCTGTGTGGCCCTTTTCATCCTGCCTTAAGACAAAATGAAAGTGATGTATGTATCTTTATGCTCTGTGCCAAACACAAATACGTGCTCTGCATCAGTTTATAAGGACAAACTCCCCCAGGTTAGAAGTTAATCTCACACACTCAACAATAAAGTAAAAGCAATATTCATTGCGAGGATGTCACAAATTAGTCATTCTATTCACTTTGAGCTTTGGAGTTGCCCAGCTATTTGTATTTGCTTAGGGAAGTTACCAGATTATGGCCCCATCTACTCTTGGAGAACTTGCATTGAAACAAGCTGAGTTTGTTTGTTTGTTTGTTTTTGTTTTTGTTTGTTTGCTACACTTTCCATTAAATTTAAGAGCAAACATTTAACCTTATGCTTGCAAAAAAAATCAAACAGAAACAGAAACAGGTTTGGGCTGATTCTGTGTCAAGGTAAGCATTTTGCTTCTTAACAAAGCAAATAACCTTTTTGTTATGTTTTATTTGCAAAGTCATCATAGCTTGATGGTGAAAAGTGAATAGCCTGGATTGGTTGCTTTGCATCGTTTTTCTCATTTATCTCTCATGAGAACCTTGAAAAGTAGATCTAATTATTCCCACTTACCAATATATATATTGAGGCTTCTCCATGAATGTGCCATTAATAAGAGGAAATATTTGAAAACACATCTGATCATCAAACTCATGTTCTTACCACTTATTCAATCTGACATACAGCTTATTAAGACTTTGAATGATAACCTCTGGACAATCACACACTTATGGCCCCTTCCGACTCTGAGTCAGAAGGCATCAAATATTACTATACTTACTGTAGATTACAATATTAAATGACTAATTTTAAATATCTTGAAATGGTGGAAGACAATGACAACTTGGAGAGAGGCACAAAGACTGGACCATGACATGATTATGAAAGGTGTCTTTCCATAATGAGACTGAGAAGCATGAATCAATCAACAGACTTAATCTGGACTATTTTTTAAACAAATATCCCATTCTAGAGCCTAAGCTCCTTCGTGGAGTGTTGTGAATTTTTACCTGGGCACAGGTTTGTTAAGAAGCGTCAACCAATTCAAAGTTTACACACTCAAGAAAATCTCCACCATAACCTTTCAATGGCATCCTCTCCTTCTCTCCTGTTCACACACGCATTCCAAACCAACACTGTCAGTCCTTTCTCTAGCTTAAACCTCTATCATGTATACAAGAATAAGAACTACCATGAGTGCAGGAAACATCTCTGCTCTGCTCTTTGCTGGGTTTTCACCACCAAGGCCAGTTCCTGGCTTCCAAGAGGTTTTCCATAAATATTTGCTAAATGACTGAATTAGTAGTGGATTAACCTACGAATAAATGTGTTTTATGTCATGGGATTCAAGGTGCTTCCTACCATGACTTTTTAAATAAATGTTTAAAAGGACTGATAGTCTGAAAATATAAGACAAAAGCACTTAAGATTTATCTCTGGCTAGAGGAGACCCTAAAACCTATTAGACATCAAGTAAACGCTTACTGAGTGAATGAAAAGATAAATGGAAATATGTGAAAAGGATTATTCATACAACATAAGTTATCCCAAGAGAGTTGCACCAGAGACCTAGACCTACCTTGTAAATGAATAGTTGGCTATAGTAAAAAGAAAAGATAAGAAAGGCCTTGTAGTTGTGCCAATTTTTCCACTGTTGCACAGCCATCACCTACTGTGTAATGCATAATTGGCTTGAGAGATGTGAAAGGGGGGGACTTCTAATTGTGGAGAAGTTAATGACGCACAAAATAATTAATCCAGAGCCTTTGCATTGTGTTGTTTCCATTTTATGGTTTTAGGAAAGAGAATGTGACATTCATCACCATCAGATCCAAATTCCTTCAAGATGATAAAAATGTAATACCAATTGACATGAAAGAATCTTGTTCAGCAAGTTCATGTGTGGTAACTCCTGCACAACCCCTGGCCTTTTTCTTCCTGCCATGGATTTCTTTTTTTTAAGATACTTCAACCATCTCCTTGCATTTATGGTTCTTGAATTTACAAATGACTTTGTTTCTTCCCAACACTTTATTTCTTCCAAAATAATACCCAGCCAACTTTCTATTTATCATAGTTCCACTATTTTACATTTCCCATGTGTCTTGCCAGCTCCCTAGTAAGGTACATACCCTCAACCCATATCCATTAGACAAACTCTTACAACTTAGAACCCTTTCTTAATGTGTTAAATAATAATGCAGTCATTAATTCTAAAACTATCTTATATTTTTTTCTCACTTTCTCTCTTTTTTTTTAATTGCCCTGCCTCTAAGCTCAGATTACCCAGGTTGATGCTGAAGTGTGCATTTTCCCAAGATTGCTTTATTTTGTGAGGGATTACTACCAAAAGAACAATAAACTTTCCCTTCGGTTCTGTACTCCCTCTCAAGGCTGAGCAAGAAGAAGCTGAAGTAAGTAGAAGCAGGAGATATCCAGTTTATCAGGAACTTCCTGATAAGAGAAATTGGCTCTTCAACTGGCAAGAGTGTAGAATCTCTTTCACTAAGGATCTTACAGTTGGGAAAGAAATGAAAATATTTCAAATAATTTAGGAGAATTACAGTAGAGCATCAAAAATCTTTGGGAAGTCATCTCTGTTCTTATGTCTTTCCAGAACAGAATCCCACAGCACAAGGCATTCTCATTGCACAGCAATGCCTGGTAATACACACAACACTCTCTGATAGTGCAAGTATCTAATACACTCTTAAATAATTTGGTCTGACCAGAAATTGAATGGGAGATAAATAACCTCATGTTTCCTCAATCTTGATGTTTCCATCATTACAAATATTTTATGAAGTAATTATTTCAGAGCAATACACTTGAGTTTCCTAATTTCTTACTAGTTCTTTCACATTTACCATAGACTCATCAATAAACCAATTGTTCTTACCTAAAATGCATCCTGATAGCTAAAGCTAACACAGACAAATGACATCCTGATTCAGAAAATACATAAAATGTATACAACTTAATGTAAATGCTTTTAAACTAAAAAGCATTTTTCCTTTTAAAACGTGTATTCTAAATTCTGAAATCTCAATTAACTATGAAAGTCAGTATGCCATTGGTCAAGATGCTGAAGAATACTACTTGAGAAAGCAGAACATGAGTTTTGGAAAGTCTTCGTGCTTGACAGTATATTCACCTTTTATTGATTGCTACAAATGGCAGCTACCCAGGTTGCAAGAGCCATAAAAGGTCAGGTCACCATAGTGCCCAGGAATGCATTAGGGATAAACACAGGCCATCTTGGTGGGAAAGTATGAACACTCAAAAGTATGAGAATTCAAGGAGGAAGGCTGTGGTAATGAAAATCCACAATACGACAGGGTATTGAACTGCTGTGAAAAATGTATTTGAATGTAAGAAGATACCCCCAGCGATCATGTAATCCAACTTCCCATTCATTTACAGACCAACCAGATGGAAAAAATAAACTGAGGCAGAGATGCCCTCCTCACCCACTCCGCAGTGTCACAGAGCCAGTTTCATGGCAGAGCTGGATGGAAATATGCGTCTCTGGAATGCTAACCCAAAGTTCATTCAACAGTTTTGTGCTGTCTGTCAGAAGTGAGAAAGGAGATTTCCATGGCTCATTTAAAATACAAGATGTATAATATGGAATTGGGAATATATACATTTCTATTTTGAAAATCCCACTTTCTCCAAGCATATACTCAAATCACATCCAAAAAAAAAGAGAAGTACTGTCTTTCTTTTTTAATGGTTTTCTGAAATGGATCAAAACATCGAGCCTTGTTTATAAACACTGAATTCCCATTGTAAGCTGGAGCCCTTCTCCCTCAGTACTGCTAGTCATAAAAAATATGTCTCTAACCCTTTAGCTATGAGTTAACCTGGCATGGAAATTTACTAACGTTTCAGGGCTTTAAAAAGCCAGTTAAATTTTTATTGCTTTAGTTTCTCTAAAATGCCAGAGAGTATAGAATGAGATTTTGTAGATTCTGCTGTCATCCCTGTTATGTAAATAACTGAGTTAGAAGTATTTGAGAGGTGCTTTTTGCTTTAGCCATCTCCTTTTGGGATTACCAATGAGAACCCCATATACATAGAATATCCTTGGGTAATTATGATTCCTTGGTCTATAATCTCACAACAATGTTCTAATGTTAGTCAAGAGTACTAAATGTAAAACATAAAGAGCGTGAGGGGAAAAGGGAAGATTTTCCAAGTCTTCCCATGCAAAAAAAAAAAAAAAAAGCAAGGAGTGGAAAGAATTATGTGAATACCCTCCTCTCTACAGGTTTCCTGTTTCCTTTTTCTTTTTTTGTTAATGTCAGACTTATTGAGGTAAAATGCACATACAGCCAAATTTTGACAAATATACAGTAGTGTAACCATCACAACAATTAACATGGAACATTTCCATCACCCCAAAAAGTTCTCTCATATCCATTTGTAGTTAGTTCCTATCCCCAGCCTCAGCCATTGGCAGTCTCTGATTCATATCCTATCCCTACAGTCTTGCCTTTTCCCGAATATCTTATAAATGAAATTATACAGTTTTTAGCCTTTTAAGATTGAGTGGTATTCAAAGACCTGGGAACTTTTGCTAGAACTCTGGGAGCCACGATTGTCAAAGAAAGTACACCTTAAATAGGAGACTAAAAAGTGTGGCCAGAGAGGTAGACGGTATACAGAGAGGTTGTCTTACGTTTAAATAAAGAGATGCAAACACTTCGAGAGGAAAAGGAGAAATAGTGATAGGGATAGAGATTGTGATAGACAAAGACAGAGACTTCACAAGAGAGACAGAATTAGAGAGAGAGAGAGAAATGGACGAAAGAGAGAGAAAAAAACTAGGAGAGGAGAAAAGAGAAGAGAGGAGAGGAGGCAGAGTGAAAGGAAGAACAGGGAAGAGAAAGGACAAAAAGAGAGAGGGGAGGGAAGGGAAGGGAAGGGGAGGGAGGGGGGGAGGGGACAGGAGAATCAACATTGTCATACTATGGTTATGACAAACAAACAAATGCATCAGGCGTTTTAAGAATGAAGTGAAAGTAAGAAAGTAGGACTGCCCAATGGAGGACAGTCTTCCAAGAGTTATATTTCTCTCTTTTTTCTAAATGCCTATGGCATTTTTCCCATCTTAATTGTGGTTCTTAGCAACTCTCAACTGAATGATAGAGTTTTATTTAATGTCAGCATTCTGACATTGGCACTTACTATAAGGCATAGAAGATGGGAGATGTTGCATGAGTCACCAGTTCAATTAGACCAGAAAGTCCTTAATGGCAAGATTTCTTAAAATTCACCTTTGTACCCAGCTCAGAGCATAGTACAGTGCCTGGTGAAGGGTGAATGTTTACCAATATGTGTCATATGTCTATGAGTGAATAAATCCATTGATTAAAGATGCAGACAGAAATTCTGCTTTAAAAACCAAATCTGCACCCAGACATTCAAAGAGTAAATTTCATTGTTAATCTCTTTAGAAGATTCCTTAAATCCTTCATTTTGTATTATTTTCCCTCTTTTGGTCATTTTCTGGCTCATGTAAACAATGACATAACCCCCAAATTAGTTAACAATAAATAGGAATCAATACTAGACACAGATGAATGCACCTCTGAGAAAATTCAATCATTCTGGTTTGTGGACTATGAAATTACGTAGCACCACCAAGGCATATGCCACAGAGCTTCATGCAATGTTCCTTCAATAAGTCATCATTAATTTCCTAACTCAGTGAGTGGAGCCCACCGTAGATGGTCATTTGTTTTGATGTTCTCCAATTACATGATATTATTCCTGCATTCATAAAAATAATGCCACTGACATGCCATCAATTGGCCATGCACTAGAGCCAGCTTTCAGCAGAGTGCAATGAATTCACTTACCATAGAAAGGCAGCCAGCTCAGGCTGTGGTAAGCTAATACCTTAGTCCAAGACAAACGTGTAGGCAAGTTGAAGAAAACTCGCCACTGACACCGTCAACCCATAGACCACTGCCTGCTAAGTTAGCCGTGAAGCTTTCTGTTGCTTTTCTTTTTTTATTTTTATTTTTATTTTTAGAGAAATAGTGGCATGAAAACCACCTGCCAAGGCATACAATCCGGACAAAGTAAACCATCATAATTTCAAAGTTTCTATAAGTTCTACCTACTGACATCATGAAGTGACAAGCATAGTAACAGATCCATTACATTTACATCAGTCCAGAAGAACATTATGGAAACCAGAGGAAACATTTTAAAAGCAAGGCATCAGGTTTGATAATTTTGTCTTTAAAAAATAATTTTCTCCTGATATGCTTCTAGGCTAAATTGCCTCTGCAAACTATTTTTAGTCTTTAGATGTGTGTGTTGGTGTGTCCGTGTGTGTGTGTGAGCCAATCAAAATTTTTCTGCTTGACAATAAAAAATAATCCTGCTTCTCCAAATCAGCCCCTAGAGAAGGTAAGAGAGTGGAGTACTCAGCTCCCTTTGGACTGACCTGGAGAAACCCCAGCCTAGCTCACCCTCCTGCTCATGGTGTGAGTTCCACCAGCGTTGGGAAGTGAACTGTTAGGGAATGGGTCTTTGGATCCTTGGTTTCTTAGGCAAGATAAGTCCTGTGAGAAGAATGCAGTTTTCCCAAAAGGGAATAGAGGATCTCATAGTGGAACACTCAGTCCAGAGTATGAACACTGCAGACAAATAAGTGAGCCTAAGAAATGGTGACTGACGGAAAGTGTTGTCTGACCCACATTCACCCTCCACCGACCCCAGGAAGAGAAAGCAGAATGTTCCTGGGCTGGACTATACAGTTGTTTTGGGCAAAAACCAGGTACAACTGGAAGTAAAGTAAGAGATGACCCATGGAGGAATCCAGAGTGGCTAGAGGAACATGGGACAAGAAGACGTGAAAGCTGAGCAGATGATTTAAGATCATACATAAAACAAACACAATTTCCAAATGCCCCGCAGATGTGCTGAATAAAGGGGATGGCATGGTAGAGGAAGGGCATGGTCCTCAGAGCACTGTAAGTGCATTACTAATAATTTTTTTCACAGTATCCCATAAAGTTCATTTGCTGCTGCTCACTATTAAACCCCATAATTGAGCTTTCTGTCTTGAAGAAAGCTGAATTATGACATTCCAAAGTAATTTCAATGTTAAGAAATGTACTAGATTAATAGTGTCACTCAAAAATGATTGTCTACCCAGAACCACAAAATGTGACCTTATTTGGGAATAGAGTTTTGAAGATGTCGTCTAATTAAAATGAGGTCATACTAGATTAGGGTGGGCCCTAAGAAAATGACTGTCCTTTTAGGAAGAGAGATTTGAACAGGGAGTTATATGAAGAGGGAAGGTGATGTGAAGACAGGCACAGAGATCACCATGTTACTGAAGAGATGCACCGACAAGACAAGGATACACCTATTGCCGACCATCACCAGAAGCTGGATAGAAGCAAGAAAGGATTTTCCCCTAAAATCTTCAGAGAGTGCATAATCCTGCTGATACTGTGACTTTAGGCTTCTAGCCTCCAGAACTCTGGGACAATAAGCTTCTGCTTTGTTAAGCCACCTAGTTTGGAATGCTTTGTTATGGTAGTCATAGGAAGCTAATATAATAATTAACCCTGAAAATCACCCAAATCAAGATGTGAACAACTGTACTCTGGACGAACTACTGAAATAATAGTTTCAATTAGAGCAATAGTAATATTGATCATGTATCAAAGAAAAATGCCTTATCTTTAAGACAAAAAGAAGAATATCCCACAAAATGGATGGTGTATGTCTTGGCAGGAAGCAACGTGTATGTAGACTTGCCAAGTACATAGGATGACTAGCAGAAGTTTGGGTGGACTATTCATCCCAACAATGAGCTTTCCAGGGCTGTGTTTTCTCATTGCCAAAATAAGATCAACAAAACTTCTTGTTGTATTTATTTCACATACTTTTGTTTTCATATAGATATTTTAACATCAAATGAGAAAATGTTTTGGGGAAGTGGTCAGTAAATTGTATCTGTGCAGATATTAATTGCTTTTATTAATAAGCTTAAGGTTGTTTTTTGTTTCTTAATAGCATTGACACTTTGAGGATGATAATTCAGAGATGATTGGAAATGATAGGTCTTCAACTCTTCTGTAATAAAATGTTCAGCCTGAATCAAAATCATAATGAGTGAGAAAAGTAGGTGCAAATAGATACCAGCAAACAACAAAAGAGAAAACCTTTAAAATTAAAAGTCAATTTACTTCTATAAACAACAATATGTTTCACAAATAAAGCTACAGGATGGAGCAAAAACATGCACTAAGATTAGACGGGGAATGATATGTTAAAATTGTGAATAAATGCAGAGTATGCAAAACGTAGCTATAAGTGCACACAATGCTATGAAAGTATTGTACACACATTATATGTATCTTTGCTTGAGGTATTCTCCAAAAGCCAGGAAATAACAGGAATCTCCACAGTCCTTGTAAAGAAAATATAAGGTTCACATCCAGATTAAAATGTTCTACACATTCTTTTGCCCATCAATAGCATTCAGCCCCTTGTTTCATATATTTTAGCTGCCCAAGAAATACTTTTGACTACATTTATAAGTATGATTAAGTACTGAGATTTAGTATTCCAAGATAATCCACAGTAGCCCTTCCTCCAAAAAAGCAAAGAATATGTTTCCTGAAGACTAATCACAAATCTCATATATGTTAAAACTTATCATGTTAAATCAATTTACTATTCCATCAAAAACTGTAAGAACTAGATTGCCAATGGAAACAGGAACTCAATATCCCTCAAGAGGAAATTTAATTCAATTAGTATTTGTTGAGAAATACATAAGATTTTTTTTAATCGTGGTTCATACAAGTGAAAGGGAAAATTACATATCGACATATATTAGTTTTTATTATAGTCAACATCATCTATTACATGGTCTGTTTTTATTATAGTCAAGGTCGTTTATTATAGTCAATGGTCACTCACTCAGAGGAACCACTGAGTATAATAATCATTGAGTTATCCATGGTCATTCATAATCCCCAAACACTCTTGTCCTTAAAATCTTGCTTGTGTGGCCTCAGCCTCAGCATCAGACTTTGCTTTAATACCGGTCTCCTATTTTATTCTAAGCCCACTGCACCATATCAGTCCCATTAACTCTCACGCCCAACAAAATTGCACTCATTAAAAAGGGCAGGTGTAACAAGTAAAAACTCCTCCATCACCAAC
This sequence comes from Homo sapiens, assembly GCF_000001405.40. NCBI lineage: Eukaryota > Metazoa > Chordata > Mammalia > Primates > Hominidae > Homo > Homo sapiens. The sequence continues at coordinate 106,012,680 of NC_000013.11, forward strand.
ATCACCTGCCTCCCCACAGCCCCGCCTTCACTGCCATCTACCCATCAAAGTTCCTTACACTGTGGGACTCTCATTCTCATCCTTACAGCACAATCTTTTGAAAGTCTTAAGAGTTTGCCTCCTCATCAACTCCAAGGACCACCTCCTAGTCCTCATGCTTCTCACTTCTCTGTGATGCTTGGTGTTCCCAACCCCTCATCCCTGAAACTCACACTTCCTGACTCCCATCTTTTCTATCTCCAGACTCCATCCACCTGGCACAGGCTCCTTGCTGAGTTTCTCTTCCTGAGACTTCGGATCTATAGTTGCCTTCCCTCCAGCTTCTGGCTTCAGCCCTATTTCCTTACACCAGCTGTCTCAGTGACTTACCATTCTTCCAGTCTTTTCTTTTTCATTGAAGAGCCACATACCCCTGTGTGTCAGATTGCTTTCAAAAGGACATTCTCCTGTATATTGTCTATTGGGTAATTTCTTTAAAATCTTTCAGGATAAACAGTGTTGAGTCCTTGTGTGTATACATTAATTTTAATTTATCTATTTGTGTTGCTTTGTTAGTCCTTGAAATATATTAACCAGTAATCCATAATCTATATAGTAGCTACAGCAAATGCTTTAAATGCCTTATCTAAATTACACAGGTTTATTTATATAAACTATGCCAGAAATAAATTTGCATTGGTGAAATGCATAGTATTTGTGAAACATTTTATAGAGCCTCCTGTCCTTACATGATGAGATAGAAAATATTGGAATACAGCGATCCTAGCAGCATGATAGCTTTAGGCAGCATGCCTACGGTTACCTTTAGCCTTTTTTGTGCCCCTAAAGCCCTCTCATCTTCTGTACTTCCCACTTCCCTCACCCTACCCCTCAACTCCAGCTACAAAGGGAGAACTCTCCTGACTCGGCCAATCCTAAAGTCAAACTACCATTGCATCAATCTGAGAATTAACCTTTCATGCAAAATGCTTCTCAGCATTTAAAAGACGGAGTGGAGATATTTCTGCACTTAAAAATCTCTCCTAGACATATCTTGTTTCCTTCCTGCTTGCTAATAATGTTTACCCTTTGGGAGGATTTCAGTCTGATAGTTACTTTAATCATAACTACCTCTGCTATAATAAGGATATAAATGCATAATGAGGTAGAGACAGTCAGGTTGTAATGAAGAATATATGTAGCCCTTACCTACAAGTGAATTCCTAAGGGTTCCCTTACCATTGTTGAATGTTGGAGTTGGCTTAGATCAGCTCGCAAATCCAATCAAAACTTCACTGGTACTGAGGTCACCTAGTATGAGATCATGCAATTTTCCTTCTCTGCCCCTTCCCCATGCCCGAATCTTAAGGTATCTTACCTTCTTACCTTCCTCTATGGTAGACCCAGTCTGGAAGCATTTTAGGCCTCCTCTCTCCCCAACTTCTAGGCTGTGGGGAACACATCTGCCTTGGCACTACCTTTGCCATTGGGCTCTGCCTTCCATTTGTTATGGGTTGAACCATCTTCCCCAAAGTGAAATATTGAAGTCCTAACCTCTTGTGCTTGTGAATGTGACCTTATTTGCAAATGAGGTCATTGCAGATGTCATCAAGTTAAGATTAGGTCATTAAGATGGGCCCTAATCCAGTATCACAGAAGTTCTTTTTTTTGTTTTTCATACTTTAAGTTCTAGGGTACATGAGCACAACGTGCAGGTTTGTTACATATGTATACATGTGCCATGTTGGTGTGCTGCACCCATTAACTTGTCATTTACATTAGATATATCTCCTAATACTATCCCCCCCCTCCCCCCACCCCACAACAGGCTCCAGTGTGTGATGTTCCCCTTCCTGTGTCCAAGTGTTCTCATTGTTCAATTCCCACCTATGAGTGAGAACATGAGGTGTTTGTTTTTTTGTCCTTGCGATAGTTTGCTGAAAATGATGGTTTCCAGCTTCATCCATGTCCCTACAAAGGATATGAACTCATCCCTTTTTATGGCTGCATAGTATTCCATGGTGTATATGTGCCACATTTTCTTAATCCAGTCTATTATTGTTGGACATTTGGCTTGGTTCCAAGTCTTTGCTATTGTGAATAGTGCCACAATAAACATACATGTGCATGTGTCTTTATAGCAGCATGATTTATAATCCTTTGGATTTATACCCAGTAATGGGATGGCTGGGTCAAATGGTATTTCTCGTTCTAGATCCCTGAGGAATCGCCACACTGACTTCCACAATGGTTGAACTAGTTTACAGTCCCACCAATAGTGTAAAAGTGTTCCTATTTCTCCACATCCTCTCCAGCACCTGTTGTTTCCTAACTTTTTAATGATCACCATTCTAACTGGTGTGAGATGATATCTCATTGTGGTTTTGATTTGCATTTCTCTGATGGCCAGTGATGATGAGCATTTTTTCATGTGTCTGTTGGCTGCATAAATATCTTCTTTTGAGAGGTGTCTGTTCATATCCTTTGCCCACTTTTTGATGGGGTTGTTTTTTTCTTGTAAATTTGTTTGAGTTCTTTGTAGATTCTGGATATTAGCCCTTTGTCAGATGAGTAGGTTGCAAAAATTTTCTCCCATTCTGTAGGTTGCCTGTTCACTCTGATGGTAGTTTATTTTGCTGTGCAGAAGTTCTTTAGTTTAATTAGATCCCATTTGTCAATTTTGGCTTTTGTTGCCATTGCTTTTGGTGTTTTAGACATGAAGTCCTTGCCCATGCCTATGTCCTGAATGGTATTGCCTAGGTTTTCTTCTAGTGTTTTTATGGTTTTAAGTCTAACATTTAAGTCTTTAATCCATCTTGAATTAATTTTTGTGTAAGGTGTAAGAAAGGGATCCAGTTTCAGCTTTTTACATACAGCTAGCCAGTTTTCCCAGCACCATTTATTAAATAGGGAATCCTTTCCCCATTTCTTGTTTTTGTCAGGTTTGTCAAAGATCAGATGGTTGTAGATGTGTGGTATTATTTCTGAGGGCTCCGTTCTGTTCCATTGGTCTGTATCTCTGTTTTGGTACCAGTACCATGCTGTTTTGGTTACTGTAGCCTTGTAGTATAGTTTGAAGTCAGGTAGCGTGATGTCTCCAGCTTTGTTCTTTTGGCTTAGGATTGACTTGGCAATGTGGGCTCTTTCTTGGTTCCACATGAACTTTAAAGTAGTTTTTTCCAATTCTGTGAAAAAAAGTCATTGGTAGCTTGATGGAGATGGCATTGAATCTATAAATTACCTTGGGCAGTATGGCCATTTTCACAATATTGATTCTTCCTATCCATGAGCATGGAATGTTCTTCCATTTGTTTGTATCCTCTTTTATTTCATTGAGCAGTGGTTTGTAGTTCTCCTTAAAGAGGTCCTTCACATCTCTTGTAAGTTAGATTCCTAGGTATTTTATTCTCTTTGAAGCAATTCTGAATGGGAGTTCACTCATGATTTGGCTCTCTGTCTGTTATTGGTGTATAAGAATGCTTGTGATTTTTGCACATTGATTTTGTATCCTAAGACTTTGCTGAAGTTGCTTATCAGCTTAAGGAGATTTTGGGCTGAGACTATGGGGTTTTCTAGATATACAATCGTGTCATCTGCAAACAGGAACAATTTGACTTCCTCTTTTCCTAACTGAATACCCTTTATTTCTTTCTCCTGCCTGATTGCCCTGGCCAGAACTTCCAACACTATGTTGAATAGGAGTGGTGAGAGAGGGTATCCCTGTCTTGTTCCAGTTTTCCAAGGGAATGCTTCCAGATTTTGCCCATTCAGTATGATATTGGCTGTGGGTTTGTCATAAATAGCTCTTATTATTTTGAGATAGGTCCCATCAATACCTAATTTATTGAGAGCTTTTAGCATGAAGGCTGTTGAATTTTGTCAAAGGCCTTTTCTGCATCTATTGAGATAATCATGTGGTTTTTGTCTTTGGTTCTGTTTATATGCTGGATTACGTTTATTGATTTGCGTATGTTGGACCAGCCTTGCATCCCAGGGATGAAGCCCACTTGATAGCTCTTATACGAAGAGCAGAAGAGACCCAGGGGAAAGACAATCATGAAAACAGAGGTAGACATGGAAGTTATGCTGCTGCAAACCAAGGAGTGCTTGGAGCCACAGAGCTGGCAGATGCAAGGAACGATCTTTCCCTAGAGGTTCTAGGGGGAGTGTGGTCCTGCCGACACCTTGATATCAGCCTTCTGGCCATCAGGACTAGGAGAGAATCCACTTTTGTTATTTTAAGCCACCCAGTGTCTACTACTTTTTCATGACATCCTGAGAAACTAATACAATTCCCAACATTGCTGTTCCTATTTAGCCCTCAGAACAAATCAGTGCTCAGTAATTGCTTGTTATAAAAACAACTAATGATTGGATGGCTCTGAGGCTGATCCTATCCACCTCCTCTCCATCTCTGATATTAAAATTAGATTAATTTTCTTACGGGAAAGCTTTGACTTTCATTGTCGTTCTCTTGCTCAAAATCCTTGTGGATTCTCCCCTGCATTTAAGAACAGAGTAAAAATTCTGAGCAAGGGTCTCCAAGGACCGACCTTCACTTCCAAGTGCATCTCCTACCTCAGACTTTTTCTTCCTTTCTTTTTCTTTCTTTCTTTGCTTTCTTTCTTTCTCTTTCTTTTTTCCTTTCTTTCCTTCTTTTTTTTTTTTTTTTTTTTTTTTTTGACAGAGTCCCGCTCTGTCACCTAGGCTGCAGTGCAGTGACAAAATCTCGGCTCACTTCAACCTCCACCTCCCAGGTTCAAGCGATTCTCCTGCCTCAGCCTCCCAAGTAGCTGGGATTACAGACACACACCACTATGCTTGGCTAGTTGTTTTGCAGTTTTAGTAGAGACAGGGTTTCACAATGTTGGCCAGGCTGGTCTTAAACTCCTGAACTCAAGGGATCCACCTTTCTCGGCCTCCAAAAGTGCTGGGATTACAGGCGTGAGCCATCACGCCTGGCCCTGACTTTTCCATGCATACTGTAGTCGACATTCCCAGAGTCCCCATCCTTCCCTCCAAAGCCTCTGCCTCCATACCTGTAACCATGCTGCCCCTGCCCCATCTGCCCTTTCTCCCTCTCCACAGGTCAGATCCAGTGCACATGCCAGTTTTTGAGTGATGGCTTTTATAATCTACTCTCCCAAATAGAAATTAGCATTTCCCTGCTTCCTGAGACCATCTGTATTTGCATTTGTACCTCTATTATAACACTTAACGTATTCTGTGGTGTATTATAGTGAATTATAAACAGATTCTATCGTCCTGACGAGACTCCAAGCTCCTTAAAGGTTTTCATTTTTGCATACCCTGAGTTATCTTGCGTAGAAACTGATATATTGCACAATATTGGTTGAACTGAATTGGCGAAAGATGAATTGAGGTTGTTTCAGTAAGATTCAACTGCCATATGATAATGAATTGGCATCAGTCTTCTTTATGAAAAGTTATCCATTGGCATCTGCACACTCAGTTCCAAGTAAGTTACCAAGTGTCAGATCAGATACGAGAGAGGGACAAACAACAACAACAACAAAACTCATGTAATTGTTTGCCTTTGGGAAGATAATACATTAGTCCATTGAGTGTGTGTGTGTGTGTGTGTGTGTGTGTGTGTCTATACCTCACCTGGATAGGGATCAATGTTTCTGCCTTTTGGTAACTGCTCTTCTCAGCTTGTGACTCCTTACTTTCCCCATTTCATACTCTGCCTTCTACCTTTATTTTCCATCGCTTAACTTTTCCAAATGAATATAGGGAATATATGAGTGTGCATATACACACACATTTGTATACATGCATATATTAACAAATATCCATTCACCATATGCCTAAAATGAGATATGCACAGCTTCTTCTTTCATTAGCAAAATAGTTATTCCTATCTAAAAATATTTAATAAGAAACTGAGTATTTATTATAACCTGATCTCTCTTTATAATCCTTGGAATTATTTTGCTATCATTCCACAGCACACAATCTGATATTTATTTTTGCAACTTATGGTAACAGTTCAGTAATGCTGGGTCCTGACTCAGTGATCGAATGCTGTTTTGTAAGAGCCTCTCAGTCCTTTCAGTGTTCAAGCTGGCCCAGTCACTGTGTGCAGCTGATTAACTGGAGTTCATATATTTTCCCCTTTATGCTCCGTGTGGCTTCTTGCTCTATGAATTTATCCTGGCTCAGCTAACCAACGCTCTTTCAAATGCTCCAAGCAAAAGGCTTTAATGTGAGAACTATGTTAGTATTTTTTTTTTTACAAAGTATGACAATTAAAAATAACTGTGGCAAGGTCCGGGAAATGAGTAGGAAGGAGGAAAAAAGAGTATTCACAAACATGCTTTCAAAAAATAAATTCTCAAACTAAGTACTTTTATTATGAAAGTCAGTGTTAAATGTGGACCAAATGACATCACTGGAAAAAAAGGGAAAACAATTCTCAAAAAAAGCAGTCAATCTAGTGTCCTTCTAGAAATATTAAATGCCATGTGAAAAAGGAACATTTACTGGGGTTTGCTGTAATAAAACCATGGACTGTAAATTATAATGACTAATTCAGAATGTCTTTTAAGTTTGTTTCTAATCACTGAGTGATTTGACTTGAAATGGTTGTAGCTTCTCCTTCTCAGCCATCTATACTTATCAGTTTAAAACTGCATCTATACTTGCCATATAAAGCTGCATTCCTCATATCTGTCTGACACTTGTGTATTTCCAAGAAAATTGAGAGTTTAGGAAGATTCAGCCTCGAAATTTCCACCAATGCTCTCAGAATACGTAAGTATTCAGAGTTCAGCCTATAACGTTGACTCTCCTACTTTGTAAATTATTATTGTTTTGTTTTTTTAAAATTGTAAATGTCTCTTACACTTAAACTCTTTGGTATATACCCTCGTATTGTGATATACCCTCAGATCACAATATAAGGGTATATACCAAATAATAAATAACATATGTTGAGTGGTCATTTATGCCTGTAGAATTGCTCATCAGGAATGTCACTAATAAGCTTTCCAGAATAAATAATAACAAATAATATCAGCAATGGACTCCCTCCCTCTTCAGCCCAGCTCTCTTGGCTAGGGACTCAAGGCAGAATCAGATCCTAGAGCTTCATATGAAGCCATATGCTTTATTTTCTTCAAGTACATTTCTTAGAGATGCAATACCAACTTGATATTTGTTAATTACAAAAACAAAATATGCTTCGATTGTATAATCTTTGCAAAAGAAATATTCTCATTTACCCTAGTTGAGTAGCTTAGGGATCATCATAGATCATCATGTCATCATAGATCCTAGAAAATTAGACCAATAATTTCCACAGATATCATTAAGTTTAACCATTTAATTATGTCCATTCTGTGATTTCCATCTTCAGTTTTTATCAATAATATTATAGTTTTATAAATGACAAGGATGTTGACACTAATAAAATGGTAGTAAAACATGGAAACAATGGTTAGACTTCAAATATTTTGATTTACCTACCAGTAGGATAAATCCAAATTCCTCAAAGATTTATCTGTCTACCAAACTAATTTTCAGAGATAATGAACATTTAGCTCGTGTTTTCTTAAATCTTTATGGGATTGGCTTTACAGGTCACCATAAACACATTGGTTTGGCCTCCACTTATATGCACCAATTTTTTCTGCTCCAAAGAGCATTTAAGAAGCAGAGCAGAACCCAGGTCTTTGCCTCCCCTTGAGAAGCTTAAGTCTAATTGAGAAATTGGAGTAAGAAAATGTAAAATGAAGAGATACAGAGATTTTTTTAAAGTTACATTCACATTTTAAAGGAAATTATTTTTTCAAAGACTGTTTTAGCATAAACATTTTCTATGGATTGTATTATTCTGGGAACATTATTAGTGACATTTCTGATGAGCAATTCTAAGGGTATAAATGACCACTCTAAGTATAATGGATAAAGTCACAGTAACAGGAGACAATGTTGGCAATCTCATTACTACACATCTTTTAAACTTCAATGGCACCATACTTATACTTGTACCTCTAAATTTAAATGTGAGTGGGGTCAATTAAATTTATTTTTTCTGTAGCAAATTCCATTTGAAAGTATTGCCTGGATAAAACTCACTCCTGAGTCTAAAATGTAAGTCAGTAAAAGTCAAACAAATCTATAAAGATAAGCAGTCACACTAGTGAATGGCCGTTAATCGACATGCCCTTTTAGCATCCAACTTCAAGGATTATCCCCAAAATGATACTGCTATCATCATAAGTGAGTGTGCTTGAAAAACCAGTTTTATGAGGGATTTCAATTCTACATAACAACTGGAAGTCCATGTTTTTTAAAAATGACTTATTCAGATATTTTGTATCATGTAGACCAATTCTCAAAAATGATTGTTTCATAACTTTGATTTGATTTCCATATTGACACATATTTTACATCTGCTATTTAGTACCTATCCAGGTGTACCTTGGTTTATAATTCTTTCCATTATATTACATTTTCATTCTCCTTTAATTAAACTGTTGGATAGCAATTCTTAATCCATTGGTGTGTTAGGACTCAACAATTCATGCCAAATTTCTTCAGTTATGCTTAAATACAAAAATTTCTGCTGCCTGCTTTTTCTTTGCAATGAGCATATATATATATATATATATATATATATATATATATATCTTTAGCAAAATCAAAAGTATAGAAAATAAAACTCTTTGAAATACAAAAATAAGTAAAAATGAAAAATGGCAAGGATACAAATTGTTGCAAGTTAATAGTAAATCATAAACTGCTTTGCAAATACTAAAATTGAAAATGAACAAAATGGAACTGATACTTCTGAAATGAACATATGGTATCTTACCCTTTAATAAATGGGTGTTAGTATCAACAGCAAAAATGTAGAGAACACTTAGTCAAAACTAAAGCCAAACTACACACTAGATAAAATAAATTAAAGCAGTGCAAAAACAAAGAAAAAACACTCAAAATTTGTTGTTGTTGTTTTTGTTCAGATAGTAAAAACAAGTGTAATTTAAGGACCTGTAAAATCAGACATGGGGAAGTATTATTAAAGTAGATATAATGTAAGAGGTAAATAGTTAAATGATAGATGTTCCCCTTTTTTTCTTAAAGAACATCACTTTCTAAGACATCTCATCAAATGAGTTCAACAAAACAGCCCACTGAGTGAGCTTTTTTGGGGAAACTCCAAGAATCCACAATCCCTCCAGTAGTCAAGACATGTTCCCCAGCAGAACCAGGAAGTTCACCAATCACCTGATAAAGAAAATTGATAACCTATTTAAAAATGTATCTTAATATACGCTTAGTCTGAAGGAACCCAGTAAACACCAGAATACACTTAAGGTATGCTTCTTTCACTCTAAACATGTATAACTGTAGTGATATCTGATTCTAGACGCACACTTCACTAAAAATATAGACTGTATTATTGTGTACAAATACAGTCAAGAAAACAAGCAGGAAATAGGACTAGAACTATAACATGCGTGTGGATGCATGTGTGTGTGCACACAAAGAACAAGAGAGATGATTTTCTTAAGGTCAGCAACATTGTCTATGGTTGATCAAAAAGTGATATTAATTTGCAAAATTAAAATTTGGTCAAACTTAGTATAGTAATTCCTAACAGTTTAATAATTAAGGATTTCCTCTATTCTCCTCTGAACTTCGTGGTTTAAAAGGTTTTCCATCTTCCTTCTGAGAAAAACTGAATATATTTAGAATTAATGCATTTTCCATTATATCAAAGACAAATTTAACTAAAACTACAGTAAACACAGAACATAGCCAATAAATGTTAAAAATGCTTGTTTAGTTAAGTGCTGTTTACACTGGAATATTTAAAGGAGTAGTGTGTATGTAGGATTCTGAAAACCAGTGTCAAACGCCATTTGATTTAGAATCAAGAGATCCTGCTATAAATCTTAGTTCTCAAATTTACTGGTTGTAATTTCTTAAAGAAACTATTCAGACCCTCTTCAGGAACTTCAGTCTCTGTGTCAGTAAAACTAAAGACACCATCGCACCAGTATCACAGGGCTATTGTAAAAAAAATTTCTTTAAAGAATGTTGTATATGTTTTACGACGTATATAAACAACAGACACATATTAGTATTATACTTTGAAGCACTTTGATTAATATTTTTGGCTTATAGAAATAAACTGCAAATGATTAGATTATTCAAATTAATGGTGAAAGGGATTTTGCAGTTTTTTCAGCAAAGGTCCTTGCAAAAGAATAACATATCATGTAGTACAGGGACAGTATAGAAGCACACAAACAGCATCATAATAAAAAAGTCAGCAAAGACCTACCCTTAAGAATCCAGAAACACAATAAGCAAATTACTGACCTCACCCATCTGTGTTCGCGTTTTGTGGCAATCCATGTGAAATAATGATGGCAAAAACACTGTCCTTACAAAATGCTGTTATTAGTAATTATCATAATAAAAGCAGTAGTAATGGAGATATACATGAGACAAGGGGTTAGAAAAATTTCAAAAATGTTCATATTCAAACCTACAAACAAATAGTAACATCGTATGAATTAAACTTAGATTCAAGTTCATAGTTATGAATTTACATTATGAATAAAGACTATGAATATCTATATAAATAAAGGAAAACTAGTATTAAGTAAAAGATGTAAAGAAAAATGTGCCTTCAAAATACCAAAGTGATTTACTTAGTCAACAAAGATTTATATACGAGTCTGTTTTAAGTACAGTAGGATCAAAGTATAGATAAGAAATAACATCCAGTTCTGGCAAGGATAAAGAGAAATTGCCCTCTCACATATTTCCAGTAAATAGGCAAATTACTACATCTTCTTTGGAAAATATTCTGGAAATATCTTCTAAAATTAATAAAACATACAAACTTTGACCTGTCCCGTGTTTGAAATCTAGCCTGAAGAGATGAAAGATATGTGAATAAGCATATATGCATAAGGATATTTACTGTAATATTGTTTATAGTTGCAAAATAACAACAGTAATAATTTTAGCAAATCTGAAAAAAGATATTAATCATGAGGGGAATATATTAAGAGTTTTTACTTTAAACATATTTAGTTAGGTCTATATATTCTGACCTGGAAAGAACTCCATGATATATTATTAAATAAAAAAGGAAGTGGATACAAAAGTCTACCCAAAATGAATTAAAGACTTAAATGTAAGATCTGAAACTATAAAATTAACAGAAAAAAAATATTGGGAAAACACCATAGGGCACTGGTCTGGGTAAAGATGTTTTAAGTAATGCCTCAAAAGCACAGGCAGCCAAAGTAAACATGGACAAAACGTGTTACATCTAGCAAATAAGCTTCTTCACAACAAAGAAAGCAATCAACAAAGTCAAGAGATAACCTACAAAATGAGATAATCCATCCAACAGGGATTAATAATCAGAATATATAAGGAACTCAAACAACTCAATAGCGAAATGATGTGGTTTGGCTCTGTGTCCCCACCCAAATCTCACCTTGAATTGTAATAATCCCCACAGGTCAAGGTGGGACCAGGTGGAGATAATTGAATCATAGGCGTGGTTTCCCCCATACCATTGTTTCGGTGGTGAATAAGTCTCATGAGATCTGATGGTTTTATAAATGGGAGTTCCCCTGCACAACCTCTCTTACCTGCCACCATGTTAGACGTGCCTTTGCTTCTCCTTTGCCTTCCACCATGATTGTGAGGCCTCCCCAGCAATGTAGAACTGTGAGTCCATTGAACCTGTTTTCTCTGTAAATTACCAGGCTTGGGTATGTCCTTATTAGCAGTGTGAGAACAGACTAATGCACAAAATAACCAATAATCTGATTTTTAAATGTGCAAAAGACTTGAATAGACATTTCTCAAAAGAAAACATACAGATTTATGAAAAAAAAAGCTCAACATCACTAATCATCAGAGAATTGCAAATCAAAACCACAGTGAGCTATCATCTCACCCCAATTAGAATGGCTATCATCAAAAGACCCAAAAAATAAATGCTGGGGAAAATGTGGATAAACGGAAACTCTTACATACATTGTTTGTGGATGTAAAGTAGTATAGTTATTATGGAAAAGAGTATGAAGGTTCCTCAAAAAATTAAAAATACAACTACCATATGATCCAGTAATCCCACTGCTGAGTATACCTGAAAGAAAGGAAATCAGTATATTAAAGAGATATCTGCACTCCTATGTTTATTACATCACAACCCACAATAGCCAAGATATGGAATTAATGTGTCCATCAGTAGATGAATGGTCAAAGAAAACACAGTATACATACACAATAAAATACTATCGAGTCTCACACACACACACACACACACACAAAACCCAATAAAATCCTGTCATTTGCAGCAACATAGATGGAACTGGAGGTCATTCCAGTAAAATAAGCCAGACCCAAAAAGACAGATAACTGCATGTTTTCACTTATATACAGAAGCTACAAAAATGGACCTCATGGAACTACAGAGTTGAATGGTGGTTACAAGAGGCTGGGAAGGAAAATGGGGTGGGGAAGATGAAGAAAAGTTGGTCAATGGGAACAAAAATACGGTTAGAGGGAAACAGTAAGTTCTAGGATTTGATGGTAGAGTAGAGAAATTATAATTAACATTATTTTATTGTATGTTTCAAAGTAGCTGGAGGAGAAGACATGTAGTGTTCACAATACAAAGAAAAGATAAATGTTTGAGGCAACGGACAACCCAATCACTCTATTTTGATCATTACACACTGTATACCTATATCAGAATATCATATGTACCCACAAAATATGTACAATTAGTAAATATCATTTTAAAACCTACAAAAAGATGTAAATTAGTGGGATGAGGAATATTTTTTCTTAGGTCTTAAGAGAATAAATATTAAAATGTTTAAAAAAAGGAGAAAAGTAGAAGACATTGAGTTCTGTTTAACATCTAATTATTAACTTTTTTACTTTATAAAACTTCATGGTACATAAACAACAGCTCCTTATTTTAATATTTTAATTGGATAAAAAAATTTTGAGGCTGGACACGGTGGCTCATGCCTGTAATCCCACCACTTTGGGAGGCCGAGGCAGGTGGATCACGTGGTCAGGAGTTCGAGACCAAGATGACCAACATGGTGAAACACCGTCTCTACTAAAAATACAAATCTTAGCCAGGTGTGGTGGCATGGGCCTGTAATCCCAGCTACTCAGGAGACTGAGGCAGTAGAATCACTTGAACTCGGGAAGCGGAGGTTGCAGTGAGCCGAGATCAAGTCATTGCCCTCCAGCCTGGGCGACAGAGGGAGACTCCATCTCAAATAATAATAATAATAATTTTGAATAATAATGGCATAGAAGGAATACAGATGACTAAGAGTTTGCGTTCAAATAGCTTAAAATACAATAGGTAGTGCAAACTCATAAACAACTCTAAGAGAAGTTAAAAGGGAAAGCACTCAATAGGAGACCTTCACTCTATCACCAAAGCACATTAGAAGTGTCATGGGAAGTTGAGTCGTGGTTAAAACTGAACTGGAAAGGATTTGGGTAGAATGAGTGAATTTTGTCATACCCTTCCAAGGGCATTCTAGCCCCAGGGAAGCTGAAGACAAAGGCTGGGAATAGCTGAGTAAGGCACAACGTGGTGGGGTGGAAAGCTCGGTGACTTCCCAATCACTCTGTCCAGGTGGCAAACACTGAGCGAGGCGAAGAGACACCATTCCCCACCCGACTTCCACTCTTGGAATTTAGCACATTAAAATGTTTAGTTATATCTAATTTGGTGAAGTTTTGTATATGCAGCTAGAGAGGACTAAAATAATCCAGAGAAGGTAATAGAGACTTTCACTAGCATTTCTAAATACATTACGCTGAGCTATAATCTCAGTCTAGTAACATTCTAAATATATTGAAAAGATAATTTAGTGACAGAAGAAAATGCTTATTAACAATCAATCTTGAAAAGATAGAACCTCCTCAAAACTCGTATATACAGATGGCACACTTATGGTGGGATCACAATAAAATGCTAAATAAGCCAATTTGGGTATGATCTTTGATAGAGTAATTGAATATTTGTCTTTGAAGGATTCGGATTTCCAAAATTACCCCCCATGCAGACCTGAACATCATTCAGGCAACTGCTTAGCACTTAAATAGCTTTCACAGAAACAGATGGCAATAATAAATAAATCTGCATATCAAATGCTTACTGGTAAAACTATAATGCTGTTATGAAAATTAAAATCTAAGCAAAATCGGTAAAAAAGAGAAAAAAGGTTAGCAGTTTCCCAAGTATAGTCCGAATGAACCAAAGCAACAGTTCTAAGCGTTGTGAAAGCATAAATTAAGACAAATATCTTCATGTTTAAATATCAAAAGAAGCTTATTAACCACGGATGGAGAGGAGAACTAGACATCCAAGTGTCCAAGATAGAATGCATATAGACGATGCCCATGTGGGACTCAACTTTGATGTCTTGATGACATCTACACATTCACTTAACCTAAAGTAGCTAATCAAACCACAGTTATCAAAGGAGGAATGGTTCTTTACTAAATGATACAGTAACATTTCCTACATAGTTTTGGTATCCCAGAAACTAAGAGAGTCACCATATTGGTTAGTCATTTCTTTTTCCACCAAGACAAACTCAAAAATATTTAGATCATCTTGCCCTTTCAAATGATGCTCTGTGAGTATGAGAATGTCATTTATTTATTACCTCTTTATTAAGCAAAATATGTGAACCAATTTTATTTTTAATATCAAGTAATGCTCAATACTTCATGTATGCATCCCACTTCGAAATACAAGAGCATAGAGACAATTAACAAAGACCTACACAACATAATATTCATTTCAACCTGGAGTGAGCCATTACTAGCATGAAAGTCACACACCTTTAGCTTTTGATCACTGGCAAAATAATGGCAAAAAATCCTCTTAGACTCTCTAAACGTGTGCAAATATTTGCAATGCAATTTTCACTGACAGTATGGCACTGGGTACTTGCTCCCTAGCATATACAAGAAATGTAAGATAACTTTATGGTTTCTATGCCAATTACATCTAAAAAGCAGGTAAACAAAGTCATTCTATCACATTTACCTTCATGCTAAAATACCATATCTACTGTCGCTGGAATTTGTGTATTTATCAACTAATGTCTATTTTGAACAATTCATTCTCGCAGTAAAACAAGTGTATAGGCAAATGTACCACAAGATACAAACAGGTTAGGAAGTATGCTTTTGGACATCTGGAAAACCTCACCAAGTTTTGTAGCTAAGAACACCATCAGAAGTTCTGGAAAGAGAAATCCAAATTTACTGCTTTCTGGTGACTTTGCTTCAGAAAGAACAACAATACAAATAACAAACAGTCACTTTTCTGGATGAGCAATATATTTATTGACTTTGGACGGAGCTCACATATCATCCTGCTCTATTTCAAGCCTGCGGAAGGTCACCATCTAGACACCAACCCACCTCACTAAATGTTTTCACAGTCAAGTTTCCTGAGAGAAGAGATGATTAGCTCACCCTTCGTCCATCCTCACTTCCATTCACCTCTCAACATCTGCTTTCTTGGAACCCTTCCTTTCAGGATTTCTGGGATGTCACTCTATAGAGATTTCTTCCCTTTCCCTTCACGTGACTTCTCTGCAGTCCTCTCTCTCTTTTCCTCTGCTCGGTCTTTCCAGGTAAATGATTCCTTAGTCCTCTGTCCTTGGTTCTCTTTTTCCCTTAGGTTACATAGACAGGCTTCACAGAGGAATCTCATTTACACCCCTTATGTACAGGTCACACCTAAATCTTTATTGCCAACTGAGATCTATTTCCTAGTCTCAAATTCTTCATAGCCAATTGCTGCTGGAAATATCCATCTGAGAACTTCAATCTCAGTGGTTTGGAAACTAATGTCATTAACTTCCTTGCCTTCCCCTGGCCCTCCACATCTTCTTAAGCTCTTAGATTTCTTGTTCTGGTTAATGGAAACCTTGTCTTGGCCAATGAGGTATATTCAGTGACTGAAGAGTTTGAAGTTAATGAAAAAAAAAAAGGATTCATTTTTCATTTATATTTGAATCCCCATCATTACATGGGAAAGAGTTGATGATCAATAATGGTTTTTTGAATGAATAACAAGTGAATTTTATAATGAAAAACATTGAGGCATAGACAACATTTTAAAATGAAACAAGAAGAAACAAATGTGGAACATGGAGACAAAAAAGAGCCAATTTGTTTTGCTTTGTTTTGTTTTGAGAAACCGGAAAATAAAAACTTGTGCCTATGTGACATTAATCTTATAGGGATTGCCCCTTAGGCCTGTTAGCAGCAGACACTCTGTGAATATTTCTGCGATGACTTCACGAATTTACTCACTTTTCAAGAAGCTACATTTTACGCTTTAACCCAGTAATTGAATGGCTAACATTTTCAGGCTCTCTGATATTTGTTAATTAATTAGTCACAGCTAAACAATGCAAAGGACAAAAGAGCCTATTGTAGTCAGAATAGCATGGGCTTTGGAATATGTCAGAATTGGACACATGTCCTGTTTCGGACAATGATGTCCACACAACCTTTGGTAGCGGTTTACCTTCTCCAGCCTAAGTTTCTCCATTTGTAAGCAGGTTTAATTATTCTCTTCTTGCATGTTCTGATCTCATCTCAGAAAATTTCAGAGGAGTATATGGAAACTGCCACACCAAATACAACACACAGCAATGGAGGAAAGATGTAGATTTTAGACTAGGAGACACCTTAACACAGAAGACTTTTACACCTGCTGGCAAAGCTCACCTGCATCAGAATCAGAATCTCTGGGAGTGGATCAAGCACCTACATTGTTACCAAGCTCTTGGGGTTCACCTGATGCACAAAAACTAAATGTATAGGGACCACTGCCTTAGACAAGGTCAGATATGTCTACTTTACCGCTATTTTTATTCTTTAAAGTGGCTTTCGAACATGCTCATTTCATCCAATTCTTCCAAGGCAGACATTGATTCATTCATTAGCCCAGGGATAATTGAGCATCAGACACTGTGCTAGGTGTTGAGGAGTAAAATGGAAAAAAAGACTAAACATTCCTTAGTAATGGAATAGATAATTTCTGTGGCAAGCCTTACTCAAAGACTAACTCGAATAAATCTAAAATGACGCCGTGCCATGTGTGAGGAAGGAGAGAGACACATGTCACTATGAAATATTCATCCTGGATGCATTGGCAAGGAAATTGTGGTTCACAAAGGCCAGCTACACCTTAAATCAGCCTCATCAGCCATGACCAAAAATAGTGAAAAACTGGATTTGTTTTACGATGAGCATTCCACCATCTGTGCAACTATTCTTATCAAATTCTGGCCTGTGCACAGACAACAGAGAGCAATAAGGTTCCCATAGAGCTCACATGTGATGAGCCGACCTCGAATTGCTGCAGTCTAGGAGTGCCAAAAGAAAAAAGGAAAAAAATCCCACGGATG
The DNA here is from genome assembly GCF_000001405.40 of Homo sapiens. Lineage (NCBI taxonomy): Eukaryota > Metazoa > Chordata > Mammalia > Primates > Hominidae > Homo > Homo sapiens. The sequence continues at coordinate 106,030,142 of NC_000013.11, forward strand.
TGCTGAAACACTATTTCAAAGCTGTGGCAGGGCCAAGGTCTGGAGGTAAACAGAAGGACAAACAGGCCAGAATCACACAGAGCAACCAGAAATAGACTCCTCTCAGATACTCTCATTCATTGTTGCCAGATTTGCCCTTCTTAAGAAATTCAGCAGGATAACATTGTATGGACTGAAAGTTGTACATATTTGTAGACCCAGAAACTATACTTTTAGGAATGAAATTTTTTAACATATGCTGAAAACATTTTAGGTAAATGGGTTTGATTTTGAAACGTTATTTATAATTTTTAAAAATCAGAAACAAATGTCTAACACTGAAAGAATATTTAAATAAACTCGTACTCCCCATAAACTTGAAAGTATGCAACTATAAATATTATAGAGTTTTTAAAGCATAATAACATACTTATCATATAAGAATAAATTAAAACTATGTAAATATGGATAGTTTGATCTGGCTTTGGACAAATGCAAGCACAACATCTGTGTCTGTGTGTGTGTGCGTGTGTGTGCTTCTGCCTGTTGCAGGTGTGTACAGGTATATGCAAAGAAACCTGAAAATATACAAATATTTATTAACTCTGCCTTTTAATTGTATTCTCTCTTCTGCTCCTCACCCATGAACATTCATTTGAAATAAAAAGAAGAAATTAAAAAAAAAACAGTGGCAGGTGTTTGTAAAAAGAACATAATTTTCCTGATGCACCACTTCTCCTCTGGCTGACCCAGAGGCTCAGGGGCTAAGACAAATACAACAACAGGCTTCTCAAAAAAGCAGCTGCAACTATGAAATTAATCAAGAGTAATTTTTACATGCAAACTGGTCAGTAAGACCTTAGAGCCACAAAACAGTCCCTGAAAAAGGCAGTTTCTTTCAGAAGCCTGCTAGCATAGTGCATATATTACAAACAAGACACTCATAGATCATTAAGACTATGTCAAATGGCTATAAAATCTTATTTTAAAAAATTAGGTCAAATGGTCATTAAAATGTGCACATATATATGAGAGAAGAATAAGCCTATTCCTTAAACGTCGAACTATGTCTAGGCTTTAGCCAGGGTGTATTTCTTTAAAGACTCACTATCTCTTCCCCCAACCTCCTCTGCATCCATCTATTCATTAATGTAACTCTTTGCTTTCCTGTGTGTCCTTTTAATTGGGAGCACTGGATTGTGTGGGGATACTAGCTACATTGCCTTATATCAAACCCCGTTGGGCTATCATGACATCAGAAAAACGCAACATAATAAGATCTCAAATTCATAAAAGAGGTCCCTCTAGAAGCCTTCGGGTGGTGACAAGTCAGTATCCAAGCTTGCCGGAAGGCCAGTGGTGTGCCGTGATGCCCTTTCACCTGGGGCTTGCTGAGCCCCATAGATCCGGGTGGGGGGACGCACAGGCTGCCCTCCCAGCTGGTAGCCATCTGCCTAAGTGACAACTGCCAGATGGGGAGAAAAAACTGAAATAGGGATTAAACATTAAATAAGAGAGGGTTTCTTGGAAAGCAGCATTGACATCGATCATTCATAAGACTTTTTAAAGTCTTGGAAATTTTTATTTGAAATATTTGGATAGGAATTTTTTAAAAAGACAAATAAAAAATTCCTGGATGAATATGTCCCATGTGCTAGACATGAAATGCCTCATGCTTCCTACAGAAAACACACTGAATTGATTTATAAATGTACTTGTTGTTCCGTTCTAACTTCAAACTCAGACAGATCAAAGAATCAATAAATATAGTGTTTTGCCTCTCCCCATGGGAGAGGAGGCTCTTAGACTCTCCCCTAATCGAATTCCCAGTTGTTGTTTAGGTTAGAATCTCCCAAAGCTATTCACACAGGAGTCTCTCACCTGTGGGTTGTCTAACTTTGGAAACTGAACCCTAAGCAAAAGAAAGGATGAGAAATGATGGGCGTTGCCTCACCTCTTGCCCCAGTTTGCAAGTCATTACTAGGAAGGAAAGCAGGTTGTGGAACTGACCAGAATCAAAAAAAATTCACTCAGCTACATTTTTTAACCCATTTTGAATTACATCAGAAAAAGCAGGGGTTTTTCTCTGTGTCATCACAATTTTCTTTTTATTGCAAGCTTTTAAAGTTTAGGAAAAAATTCCAGGCTCAACAAACCAAGTTTTAAAAGATTGGAATCATAGTAGGGACCATATGTGCTGTTATTTAAAAAGGAAAATAGTAATTAACATTCAGAAGAAGATTAAGTCAGGGAGGTAAATACATTTTATTTTTCCTTTAAAGAAATTTAAATCCTGGATAAAAGAAAGTATAAAAAAGACATTTCTTTCCTACCATTCATCTTCCTAATCAAATCCAGATCAAACCCATAGCATGAACATGGACTTAAAATGGAATTAAGGAGAGAAGTCAGAGTTAAAGGAATTAATTGACAGCCATGGGTTTACAAGCCTTTTATTATCACAAAATGGGCAGTGGAGTTGCTTCTCAAACCCTAGCAAATGAGATTCAGACCTGAGGGGTTATCTCTGGGACAAGTGCACCAGAAAGTCTTTTTGCTGCTCAGCGGCTTGCGTTTACAGTGATGCCAGTTAATGCACAGGATTTTGGACACATTTGTATGGGTATTTTTTTTTAAACCCCATTCAAGGACTGAGTCCATTTCTCCTCTTTTGGCCAGTAGTTGGCTCTATATAAGCACAAGCTTTATCTAAACTGAGGTGAAAACCTCTCATCAAAACTGACAAATGCAAACCCTCTAATTGGACATTTTCTGAAGTATTCAATTTGGCATCAACATAATTGCTAAAAGATAGTGTAACTTATTTTAACATATTTACATTTTTATAATGCAAAACTCTATAGTTCATTTTTTGTTCTGTAGCTTCTTGTCTTGTCTAATGTTTTTATAACAGAAATGCACAGACACACATACTCAAGCATGATACAAAGCAATCAGTGTTTATGTGGAAATTGTTTTTAAAGAGCTAAATCTGAACATTAATATTTGCCTATGTTTGAAATTTTACCATTAAAAAAAAACAAGTTCAATATAGGCTCAATGTTTGATCACCAGATATAGTCCTAAGAAAATAATGATTACCACAAGTCCCGGAAATCTCACACGATTCCTACTGAAACATAGTTATCCATCTTCTATAATGAGCAATGATTCTGGATTGGAAGTATATACAGATGTCTATATGTTATTGCAAAGCTAAGAAATATGTAGAACAGAAAAGATAGGGAAGAGTAATTTTATAAATGGCTAACTTTACTACTTTCTATATACCATATTGAGTAAACATAGGTCAGACAGCGTTGAACATTAAACAAACAATTGTATTCTACAATTATGGGCATAGAAATAAATTCTTAAAATGTGCTTTGGTAAGATAAAGAACCAGTGACATTACCCCCATGTAGTTGTCACTGATCTGGCTAAATCAAGTAAACAGTAACTCCTCCAAAAGTTTCCAAACCCTCAAAGCACCACACAGTGAACTCAACAAGTGGATTAACTAAGAAATATTGCGAGTGAGGCCTGTCTTTCTCTGTTGCCCAGCACACTTTCAGGACATCCATTTTCTCTTTCCACCCAGGGCAAGGGAAATACATTATTTTCACAAAAAGGAATTTGCTCAGAAAGTATAAATTTGTATGCAATTCCCCAAGTCACCACATAGCAGTTCAGTTCTGCAGATATCATCAACTCCACGTCCACCGGCTTTGTATGTCAACATTAGCAATTCTTACCTCATGTTGGGTAATCTGGGTGACTTATTTTGCCAATTTTCTCATAGCATGTCACATTTTCTAAAGTGCTATGCTTTAGAAAAGTATTTCCTATTTTCCTGTAGCCAAAAATTTTAACATTCAGAAAACAGTGTCAAGTTTCTGGTGTATATTCTGATTCTGAGATGAGCTTTTATTTCATACTGCAGCTGCTATAAATCCCAAAGGAATACAGATAACGCAGTACATTTCACTCTTTTAACCATTTCTCTTAGGTTTTTCAAAGATAGTTATGGTTTCATAGATGTCCCTGTTTCGGGGCTCTTTGAAAAGTGCTCAAGAATGTAGAATTGAGTATCAGAAAAAAATCTTTTGGGATCTTCATTCTGCCACTTGCTTAGCTAGAAGATCTGAAGCTAGAAACACCACTTCTCCAGCCTCAGTATCCTTATCTGAGAAATCGTGATTAAATGAGATAATTCATGTAAAGCGCCGAGCACAACGGCTGGCTCACTAAATGTTTCTTAGTAACAACAACATTCATGTCAATTGGCCATAAATCACGTCACCAAGGATCTCCTGCAGCTATGACTTGCCTAACTTTCTTATAAACCACAATTAGCATGCAGGTAGTGCCAGGGTTTGTGGTGGTGTCTGACTGAGTTCTCTCCCACACACCCATAGAATAACCCAGCAGTGAAGCGGCAAGGGATGGCAATACCAAGCATGTGTACCAACACAGCCACTCTATGTCCCTAGACAATGTTAAGGCACTTTGAAGATATGGCAATAAACTAAACATTTCCTAGTTCTCTGATAAAATTCTATATACATCTAGCAGTGCCCAGCTAAATGTTATCACTAAAGCTTTGTGAGTAAACCATCCTTCTAAAAATCTACAAATTCTTACCCCAACCACCGCAGGTTAGAGGAGAGCCTTTCCATGCTAACTATGGCAAACTTCCAACATCTATTTATATTTGTTCTTTCTCCCAGCCATTGTCGCACTTGGGGTGCCACGGTACAGAATGAGTTCCAGTTAGAGAACTTCTCCACAAGGCATTTAATTGTGCAACAGATCAGTTACAATCTGAGAAGTGCACAGGGAGTGCAGAAGGAAAGTACCTCAACTGAAATGCCGGCTGTGCGCAAATACTAATACTCAAGACAAAACACACCAAGCCATCGATAAAGTATTGCTAGAATAGAAAACATATTTTTAGGCCATGCATGGTGACTCACGCCTGTAATCCCAGCACTTCGGGAGGCCAAGTCAGGTGGGTTACTTGAGGTCAGGAGTTCGAGACGAGCCTGGCTAACAAAAATTAGCCAGATGTCAGGAGTGTGCCTGTGGTCTCAGCTCCTTGGGAAGCTGAGGCATGAGAATCACTTGAACCTGGGAGGTGGAGGTTGCAGTGAGATAAGATTGCACCACTGCACTCCAGCCTGGGCAACAGAGCCAGGCTCTATCAAAAAAAAAAAAATTAAAAATTTTGTACCACAAAAAAACATAATCAAGTTTAATTGACAAATAACCCAGAAAAGGATAGTTTTATTTTTTTAATATACAAAAAGCTCTTATAAACCAGAAGAAAAAATATCCCATAAGGGAAAAGGGGTCACAAAATATCTTTGAAAAGATATTCTGCTAAAGAAAGAGAATGCAAATGGCTAAGAAATATACCACAAAAAAGTTCAGCCCCAATATTCAGTGGGTCAAGATAGTAAAAATGGAGTATGATTTATTTACTTAGTAAAAAATAGGTAAAATATTGACCAGTATTAATGTGTGAGAAAAGCAACATCTATGTAAGTTGAAGTATAAATTGCTCAACCTCCCTGAAAGTCACATATAGACAAATGTTTTAGACGCACAATCTCTAACTTAAAAATTAGGAAACTTCTTAAGGATATATATACAAGGGTATGCATCAGAGTGTTACGTTAAACGCTAAAAAATGAAGACAATAGAGTTCTACCATTGGGTAATTGGTCAAAAAATATATTTATACGTGTTAAAATTCATTGTGTAATATATATTTATTTAAATGTAAAGTATCAATTGTTAATAGAAAATAAAATTACAAAATAATCAAGAATTTAATGCTGCTGTTTCTGTAAAATTATTTACAGCTAGACTAACATTTAGAATAATGACTGTCAAAGACATGGTGGAATCCACACCCAATTAAGGTGGTAGTTCAAATGATATTTAATTAACTTTTAAAATAATGTCCCAGGGCCAAGGGTGGTGGCTCGTGCCTGTAATCCCTGCACTTTGGCAGGCTGACATGGATGGATCACTTGAGGTCAGGAGTTTGAGACCAGCCTGGCCAACATGGTGAAACCCCATCTCTACTAAAAAAAAGAAAGAAAGAAAGAAAAATATATTAGCCGGGTGTGGTGGCACGTGCCTGTAATATCAGCTACTTGGGAGGGTGAGACAGGAGAATCACTTTGCTTGAACCTGGCAGGCAGAGGTTGCAGTGAGCCGAGATTGCACCACTGCACTCCAGACTGGGCAACAGAGCAAGACTCTGTCTCAAAACAAAACAAAACAAAAAGCAAAAATAAGGTAAAAGCCTGACTGTCATACAGGTATAAACTAAACTAAACAAATATTCCATACTGTTTACATATTGCTATGAATGTTGTACTATTTTAAAATAAACAAAGTTGTAGCTAGTTTTGTTTTGAAACAAAAATTACACTTCCTCACATGGGCCTGGGTGTTCCACAAGTCAGTGAGTTGTCTGCAGCTAGAATACAATTCACGGAGCGGGAAAAAATGTTCACGTATTAGGTTTTTCAGGCTGAGTTTCCCTCCGAAATGGAGGAAGTCTGAGTTCAAGGATGGTGGAGAGATGTGCCCACGGAAGAGGGCCCCTCGTGGTGGAGCAGCAACCATGATGGGAAAAGCAGCCAAGCGCTCACTGTCCCTCGTTGGGACGGTCCTCCTCTCTGGAATAAACCAGAACACCCAAGGAAGGCAAGGGCAGGAAGAGACAAGCTAGAGCTGCAAGATGAACCCCTTCCCAGGCTCTCCCAGCAGGGACAGAGCAACAGTCCATTGGGAAGGCAAAGATGAACGTGCTGGCCATGCTGGCAGTGCTGGCTCCATTCCGCAGGCTTCAGGCTGCAGCAAGCGGGGCCTGCAAAGAGGAATCACTGTCCCCTAGGCCTCGGTCAGTGGAGGGACTCAGGAATCAGGGGCACCCTCCAGTGGAGAAGCCTGGCAAGGGCCACCCAGCTGCTGGTGGCTCTCCCATCTCACTCAGGACAGTTTCCTAAGGACAGGGCTCCAGCACCGTGCACTGCCCCATATCGCCCTCTCTTTTACTGTGTCATTTCTGGCCCTTGCTCTATAATCAGCAAGCTTTCCTATGCCCTCAAACTCTTCTGGAAAACTTCATCCCCTGCTTGCTTCCCCTACCCCAACCAGACTCTGCTACCTTCTCCCTTTCTCTAAGGACAGCTGCCCTTCTACAGCTCCTACTGTTCCACTGGTCCACCCTTCCCCAGCCCTGATTTCAGAGCAGGCCTGGCAGCCTGCAGACCACACCTGCATCAGCAAGCGCCCAGCAATGGGCTCGGATCCTTCCCTCCATGTTGCCTAGGCTGGTCTCAAACTCCCAAGCTCAAGTGTTCCTCCCATGTCAGTGTCCCAAATTGCTAGGATTACAGGTGTGAGTCACCACGCCCAGCCCCATCTATGATAGACAAAGTTCTTAGTAGCAAAGAGCAGAAGCAGACTTTGATTGATTAAGCTAAAAAATTTTTTTAAAAAACAATTTGGGGAAGGAATATAAATCATTCTATTACAAAGATACATGCACACATATGTTCATCGCAGCACTATTCACAATACCAAAGATATGGAATTAACCCAAATGCCCATCAGTGATAGAATGGATAAAGAAAATGTGGCACGTATACACCATGGAATACTATGAAGCCATAAAAATGAATGAGATCATGTCCTTTGCAGGGATGTGAAGGGAGCTTGAAGCCATTATCTTCAGTAAACTAACGCAGGAACAGAAAACCAAACACTGAATGTTCTCGCTTATAAGTGGGAGCTGAAGAATGAGAACACATGAACACAGGGAGGGGAACGACACACACTGGGGCCTGTGGGGGGAGGGTGGGATGGGGAAAGCATCAGCAAAGATAGCTAATGCATGCTGGGCTTGATACTTAGGTGAAGGGTGGATAGGTGTAACAAACGCCATGGCACACGTTTACCTATTTAACAAACCTGGACATCCTGTACATGTGCCCCAGAACTTAAAATAAAATAACAATACAATTCCAAAAAGAAAAAAGTTTTGGGGAAGCTCACCAAATTATCAAGATGGCTGGGGAACCAGACTTAAAGCTAAGCTGCCAGGAGCAATACCCCAAACCAGCCATACAGCTGGGTTGGTGGAATATCACACCCTTTCTCCATTGTCCCTGCTGCCTCAGGGCTCAAAGTTTACTGCAACCACCACCAACACCACTGTACCTTCTGTACCCACAAAGTAACCCTGTAGCCACAATGATGGCTGATATGATTTTGCTCTGTGTCCCCACCCAAATCTCATCTCAAATTGTAATCCCCACATGTTGAGGGTGGGACCTGGTGGGAGGTGATTAGATCATGCAGGCAGTTTCCCCCATGCTGTTCTCATGATAATGAGTGAGTTCTCATGAGATGTGATGGTTTTAAAAGTGGCAGTTTCCCCACACTCTCTCTCCCCTGCCACCATGTAAGACCCGCCTTGCTTTTCCTTCACCTTCCGCCACATTGTAAGTTTCCTGAGGCCTCCAGAGCCATGCAGAACTGTGATTCAATTAAACTTCTCTTGTTTATAAATCACCCAGTCTCAGACAGTTCTTTACAGCAGTGTGTGAATGAACTAATACAACCTCTGATCCCCACCCAGAGCAAGAGCTCCCCAACTCTCCCCTCTTGGACCTCCAGCTCCTGAGTAAATGTCTAGAGTTGGTGAATCTGATTCACAGAGTCCAGAGCTGTGGCAGCAAGGAAGGCTGGGGATGTAGTAGGATCAATTCCTCTGGGGGAGGTATTTTTTACCCACACTATGACTCATAAAGTGGAGAATTACTGGAACATGGTCAGTGTATTATTGCATTCTCATACTGCTAATAAAGACATACCCAAAACTGGGTGATTCATAAAGGGAAGAGATTTAATGGACTCACAGTTCCACATGACTGGGGAGGCATCACAATCATGGTGGAAGACGAAGGAACAGCAAAGTTACGTCTTACACAGTGACAGATAAGAGAGCTTCTGCAGGAGAATGGCTCTTTATAAAACCATCAGATCACATGAAACTTATTCACTATCACAAGAATGGCACGGGATAAGACCTGCCCCCGATATTCAATTACCTCCCACTGGGTTCATCCCACAACACATGGGATTATTACAATTCAAGGTGAGATTTCGGTGGGGGGCACAGAGTCAAGCCATATCAGTCAGGAATTTGAATGTTGGACACTCAAAAAAAAAAAAAAAAGATGACAGCTATCTCTGCCCCAAGACCGTGTCATCTACGTGCCTCAAACTTTCATACCTCTATCTGTATTTCAGGATTATTCTCTGAGCTTATTTGATATCTCCTACTTCATAATTGAAACAAATCTCTGGATCCTCAGCCCTTGCCACCTCTTCTTGGCTGCATCTTTCACTTTTTAGCAAACCTCTTTACATTTGATCGTTCACACTGGGAACCTGAGTGGCTGGGTTCCTTCTTTCTTCCTCCATCCTGCATCCAGCCTAACACACACAACTGGCCATTTCAACTGAAAAGTGTGTCTCAGATCTGCCCATTTCCTTCCACTCTCTTTCTTATCCCTCTGTTGTGAGTAAGTACTAAAACCTCTGCCCTGGAATACCAGCCTGTCCTCTTGCCTGCCTCTAATCTATTTCTCAGTAATTTAGAAATTACTAAGTTCTTTAGCAACTCAGTAGTTACTAAATTACTAATAGAGTAATCTTTAAAACAGGTGTCGGTCCTACCTATGGCTTCCTTTTGGAATATGTCGGTCCTACCCATGGCTTCCTTTTTAAAAGATTACTAAATTATAAGGTGTCTTGAATAAAGTCAGGACCCGCAGAATTTGATCTTAGAAACTCAGTGTATCCTCATCCTCCTCCTAGTTTATTACACTCTGCCTCAGGACTATTTTCTGTTATTGCAGAGGTCAGTCTGTCTCTTGGTCCAGACTTTTCACACACATTGCCACCTCTGCCTGGAGTGTTATTCCCTCCCTTCCGCTTCTCTAGCCAACTCCAAACAAAGATATAGGTCTCCACTTCAATATCATTTCTCAGAGAAGCCTCCCTGATGCTCTGATGTAAGTTAGCTTACCCACTTTTCTCTTTTTTTGACATCGTCTTCTTTCCTGCCATTTATGATGATTTCTGATTGTACATTTGTCTGTGAGATTACATGTGACCATTTGACTCCTCCCACTTAGCCACGTGAAGTTGGAGGGTACCCCTGATTTCTCCACCACAGAAAACCTGGGGCCTTTCCAGTTGCCTGCCTGAGAGTCGGCATTTGGTTGAGCACAAAGATAACCTAAGCAACCAATCAAGGCAAACAAGATCCCACGCTCAGGAGACAGGTACAAATAATAGACTCTCCCTGCCCCTAGGAGACCAGATAAGAACTGATTGTGGAAGTATAATTTTTTTTGTTGAGTAGATCTGGTCAAGTTAGTACCTGAAAACATCAACTTCCAAACTCATTCTGAAAAACTGGCAGTAAAGGGAGGATGATGTCCCATGTAAGGAGGATTGGGACAACAGGCAGCTTCCTACTGCTTTGAAAAGAGGGTAAAAGAAGAGAAATGGCAGGATGAAAATCCCCAGTGCCAACAGTGCGTAAGGGTCTCCTCTCCTGTGTTCTCCCTCCTACCAAGGGCAGCTTCCCTGGTGCCTAATTCTTGCAGAGCGGAGGAGGGTCTCCACCCAGCGTCTTCTGTGAGTGTGTGAGTCCCTATGGTGTCCACGGCAAAAATCCCAACTCTTGCCCTTAGGAATGTAAAGCCCATTTAGAAATGAAGCAGGAAGGCTGGGCGCGGTGGCTCACGCCTGTAATCCCAGCACTTTGGGAGGCCGAGGCAGGTGGATCACGAGGTCAGGAGATCGAGACCATCCTGGCTAACACGATGAAACCCCGTCTCTACTAAAAATGCAAAAAATTAGCCGGGCGTGGTGGCAGATGCCTGTAGTCCCAGCTACTCGGGAGGCTGAGGCAGGAGAATGGCATGAACCCGGGAGGCGGAGCTTGCAGTGAGCTGAGATCGTGCCACTGCACTCCAGCCTGGGCAACAGAGACTCCGTCTCAAAAAAAAAAAAAAGAAATGAAGCAGGAACTTAATACTGATATCATCAATTAATGCTAGCTGCTTTGGGGTTGCACTTCAGAGTCTACATAGTGCTTTCATTCAAGGAAAATGTGTTCAGTGCTATAAGAGTAGCATAAACAAATCACTGTTGATACATATTATACAGAATACCTCATGTTTAAGTTAAAAAAACAGAATTTTTAAAAATGGTGAGTAAGGGCAGTGTCCAAACTACTCTACAAGGTTCTGGTCAGACCCTAAAGAGGAAAATGCTCCTGCAATTAGACATGTCTTTTCATTGAAACCATGCAGCATTTAGTCATCTCTCTCTCTGGGTAGGTAAGTTAGACAACATTTGCTTAAAGACAAAGTCTGTGCTTCAGAAACAGCTGGTCTGCCGTAGTAGGTGCTGACATGCCATGTCTTCTAAGACAGGAGATTTGAAAATTGGTTCCTTTCACTGCTCCCACGTTCTGAATAAATTGAGAACCTACATTTGCATCTTTCCATTTACAGCATAACTGTTTTATTTACTGGTAAAAATTTCTGAACAACTGATTATTTCAGAACGCACTCTCTTCTGATGGGTAGGTAGAGGCAGTTTCTCTTTACCTACATGACCGTAGCTGTAAATATGATAAAGAAGCATCCATTATCCCAGGGCCTTGAGGTTCAAATGTGCCACATGTTCTTCTAATCCATAGGTGTCATCCACATGAAATAATCCTGAAAGGTAATTTCTGGTGCTCTTGTTAATAAAGATACAATAATTTTTTTAAAAAAATTTCTTCCCAGGTATTTTTTTATATTTATTTTATAATAATCCAGAAATGTTGGATGCAGGTCTAATCTTATTGCATAAAAATAATTTCTATTCCCTAAACAAATAAACACACATATTCTTGTAAAAACTAATGAAACAAGTACTTCTAGAATCTGCTATACACTTACAAATTAGTTCAATTTGCTTTAAAATCAGAATGGCATAAAAATTTTCAAAAAATACAACTGATAAGTAAAACATAACGGTTTAACTTATTTGTTTTTCAATGGCAATAAATCTATTTACTCTTACATTCATTTGGAATGGCAGAGAAAGGGAAGGGAAGAGAAAGATTTATTTCATATCTTTAATGGACCAATCTTTATATTTAGATATCATATGTGTTTTCTTCTTCAATTATTACAATATCATGAGAAAGTAAGAATTATTTACATTTGGCCAGGCGCGGTGGCTCACGCCTGTAATCCCTGCACTTTGGGAGGCAGAGACGGGTGGATCACGAGGTCAGGAGATCCAGACCATCCTGGCTAACACGGTGAAACCCCATCTCTACTAAAAATACAAAAAATTAGCCGGGCGTGGTGGCGGGCGCCTGTAGTCCCAGCTACTCGGGAGGCTGAGGCAGGAGAATGGCTTGAACCCGGGAGGCGGAGCTTGCAGTGAGCCGAGATGGCGCCACTGCACTCCAGCCTGGGGGACAGAGCCAGACTCCATCTCAAAAAAAAAAAAAAAAAAAAAGAATTATTTACATTTACATTTTAGAGATAGTTAAACTAAGTCTCAAAGAGGGTAAAGGTCTAGAGGATGTCTGCCTAAAAAGTAGCACACCCAAGCACCCTCTTTAAATATGTTGTCCAAAGGCAGCAACACATAGACCAATCTCCATCAGCTCAGATGTTTTTATTAGGGAACATAATTTACCATAATTCTCTATACTTTGAACCCTCTTGAAATATTAAAATTGCAAAGTTCATTCACATGAAAACTTGCAACAGCTTTAACAAGTCAGCCTAATGTATTCAAAAAAATAAAATAAATAGTGCATCCTGTAAGCCATAAGAGCAGGTTTAAGGCAGCATTCTGGCCTGACAGTTTCACTGGAGGTTAGAAGGGACAGCTGTGCTCACATAAATCTGCTGACCCTCATGCACTTTCTATCAACAAGATTTTCTCATCCTCCCATTATTGCTGTTCAACAATTAATCAACAGCTGTTGAAACATTATAAGCATGCTTGTAATTTGGGGTAAAATTAATGATTGTCTATCTATTAAAATGCTGAGGGAGGCTTTGTTTTCCAGCCCCAGTGTGAACTTGCTGATTTATTCTTCAAATCAATTACCCTCCTGAACTCCCTGGACTCATGACTGTTGGCTAAGAGCATCCCACACCCTCTGCTTCCCAAAGTGAGCTTTGACATCCATAAGAGGGGCCATGTATTCCTGGCTGTGTGGTTCCACACTGCACAGAAATATGTTAGCAGAGTAAAATATAAGCATACTTAGAAAGATTTCGTTTTATTTTGTTTTACAATTATCTGAAAGTAATTGTTTAGAAATAATGATAATATCAAAATATAGTTTTGAAATTCCATGAATCAATGACTCAAACAATAGTGAATGAATACTATGTTTTATATAAAAATAAAATATAAGCAAGTCAATGAAACCACATGAAATGGGTGAATCGCTCGCTGGCTAGTATTTTTGAGGTTTTTTTGTGATTTACTTAATATCTGGATCCGTTCACAACCTAGTGCTTCATGAACACTTCGAGATGTCCAGCAGAAACTTCATTTCAGCAAAGTGGACATCTTGTCACTGGTCATGCTCTAAGTTCAGCCAAGACAAGCACTGGGTTTTCATTCTGAAGCCCAACAGCCTTGACCCAGTTCAGTCTCACTCACTGGACTCCCAGGTGGGGAGCAGGAAACCTCGTGCTCAGGTCCGTCAGGCATTTATCAGAGTTTTGTTTTATTTTGTTTCTTGCATTTTTCCAGTCATGACATGTAGTCGTCATCAAGGAATAAAGTAATTCTTTAACTTAAATTCAGAAACTTAACATGGGTAGAACATGGAGACAGATGCGAGTCACTACTACTTTTTCTTCACTCCTGTTCACACACTACCGCACTAATCTTAGTGTTACTGAATCAAGTCATGGTGAGTATTCGCTGTCACATGTCCAGCCTTAGAGCTCATACGCACCCTTCAAGTCAGTTACCCGGACAACCACCCATAAGGCAGACCTAAAGAAAACCACTGCTGTTCAAACAGATTTCAGCTCTGCTCCCACCTAAGCCAGTGAGAAGGCCATTTTACCTGTTTGCATTCTTTCACAATAATTCTATATAAGACAGAAAATAAAAGATTTAATATGCTAATATAAGCCAGCAACAGAAAAACTATATTTTGTAAATACAGATAATATAATAGAAACAGCCTTTGCTATGAGGATATTAAACACTTAATTAGGAATGAAAAAAGATTTTAATCACTTAATGTGTCACAGATTCCCATTGTCGTCTACCTGTGTTAAACAGTCCGGTTCTCAATCTGACTAGAGTCTGTTTGTTTTCCTTTAAAGTGTAATAACAATATCCAAAGCTTCTAACTCAAAATTTATTTCTCTTTCATGAGAAAGCAGTATTTTTCTATAAACTACATCTAACATATTAGTAATAATGGTGTGACTCTTGATACAAATTACAAACTAATGTTAGTGTGGTTCACCAAATAATAACTCCCCTCAGGCCAATTTGCATACAAAACGTAACATTTAAAGCCAAGTTACAATTAGCACTTTATTAAGGAACCTCATAATGGTAATATACTGCAACCTACTTATACTTGCTACGAGGACTTCACTTATGAAAAATTACACTATTAGAGTTACCATTACAACAAAGCAACCCACATTCAATACTAACAAACTCAAAGACCAAAAGTCATTGTTTACGCTTAAAGAGTTACACTTAAAGAGTTCAAAACTGAGTAATGTATATCCCTTCAGTGTGACAGTGGAAAATGTAAACAAGATAGATGGCTGGGTAACTTTACATTTAAATGACAAATATAGTGACACTACACCCACACGCACCCACAATATAAAACAAAAACCTATACTAAAAACCAAGCATGGATAAATATATTTAAGTAACCATTATCAAAAGTCAAGAATATTACTTGCTTTTTGAAATGAGGATTTAGTAATTAATAATATTGAAGATGTTGGATTTATTTCACAGATATTTACAAAACTAAATGACCACCAGTACTTCCATACAACTCACTGTTTAAAAACTGAAATCATATGGTATGTGTGTGTGCATATGGGTGTTTCTACCAGGACTGATTTTTTCACTATTCTCTCAAAATTTAAACTTTTAGTTTGCTAGAATCTATTCACCATTTTAAGTGGTAGAAGACTGGCTCTTAGTGGCAACTCATAAATTCTGTATTCCAGTTAAAGAGAAGCTGTTTCTCAAATGTTTCATCTCCTTTTTGTGAAACAGTGCTTATGGCATTTATAAACACCCATTTGTTGACTAAAATTGTAATTATGCCCTTCAAATTAACTTCAGGTTAATTATTTTTGGTTTCACCTAAATATAAAAAATAAACAATCTGATGTTGAGTGTGTTAACATTTATGGTCTGGTTTATATAATAAAGTGGCAGAGCAGCTTGATTTATTAAGATATTCCAAACAGCAAGAAAAGCCACAGAGGTGGGAACATAAACCAATGTACACAAACATCTTGTGTGCGTGTGCACACAGAGACACACATCCACACACACATATACATTTCTTTTGAATGAATCTTAAAGAGGACATTGCACGTGCAACTAAAATTCCATTGAACAATGATCTGAGTCTTTAAGCTTCTATTAACAATCAAAGTTCCATTCTTCTCCTTCCTCATTTCAGCTTGCCTTTTTGTGCACTAAGAATGATACAGTCCCTCAATCTTCCTCATTCTTTTCCAGCATAATTTCCCCCCCTTTTGACTAAAATTATTAGTCAAAGTACATGCGTAAGTGATGGAGGTTTGGAATTACCCGGCAATGGCAAATTCTATAGATACTGTGAGCAAAATTTTTTCTGAGATAAGTATGAAGAGTTACAGCTGCCATCAGCAAAAGATATGGAGACAGTGCACGAGAGGAAATGTACCCTAGTCATATTATTATTATTATTATTACTATTACTATTATTATTATTGAGACAGAGTCTCGCACTGTCGCCCAGGCTGGAGTGCAATGGCACGATCTCGGCTCACTCCACCTCTGCCTCCCGGGTTCAAGCGATTCTCCTGCCTCAGCCTCCAGGATAGCTGGGATTACAGGCGCACACCACCACACCCAGCTAATTTTTTGTATTTTTAGTAGAGACGGGGTTTCACTATGTTGGCCAGGCTGGTCTCGAACTCCTTGACCTTGTGATCCACCTGCCTCAGCCTCCCCAAGTGTCGGAATTACAGGCATGAGCCACCGTGCCTGGCCTCTTAGTCATATTTTTATAGTGAACATACATTACAAAGTAATAGGATAGCTTCCTGTGAAGAATAGTTAACACCAACTTGAGTATAGTCACTGCTCTTCCACTGATTTGGATTACAACCTTAGAAAAGTCATGAAACTGCTTTGACTCAACTTCTCAAATGCTACATTGGCAGAAATGCCATCTGACATTTTCCTATCAGGAACACAACGAATATTACAGAAATAATGTGAGTAAAGACATTTTGGATTTCAGAGTCAAAAGAATGATACACTCATCCAATGTTCACATACACTTTGTGTCGTGAAGTGGATGGACGCCAGTCTATCTATCATGACTTAAGAAATAGGGAACATTTTACTTCACAGGCTAAAAGAAACTAGCATTTTTAGTAATTCAAGTCTTTCTGTGCAGTATTTATATTTAGTGAGAACTGTCTGCTCCCCTTGACCACAAACGTATGTTAAAATATTTAATCCACCAATCTCAAAATTAATAGTCATCAGTTCACAAGTAAACAAACCATTACTTTGTGAATGATACAGTATTAAAGTTACCATTTTGTAAATTTCTTGTATGAAGATCTCCCAATTAACAAAAAAAAATTCAGAATTTTAGTTTTTTCTCCCTATTTTGTTGTGCACATTCACTCCAATAGAATATGATATGATTTGGCTCAGTGTCCTCACCCAAGTTTCATCTTGAATTGTAATCCCCACTTTTCAAAGGAGGGGCCTGGTGGGAGGTAATTGGTTCATGGGGGGTGGTTTCCTCCATGCTGTCCTCATGATAGTGAGGGAGTTCTCACAAGATCTGATGGTTTAAAAGTGGCAGTTACCCCTGCACTCTCTCTCTCACCTGCCAGCATGTAAGACGTGCCTTGCTTCCCCTTCACCTTCCGCCATGGTTGTAAGTTTCCTGAGGCCTCCCCAGCCATGCAGAACTCTGAGTCAATTAAATCTCCTTCTCTTATAAATTACCCAGTCTCAGGTAGTATCTTTGTAGCAGTGTGAGAATGGACTAATACAAATAGAATGAGAAAATGTGTAAAACTCATGCACTCAGCTGATGATAATATGCTTGCTGGTACTGGAATACTGCTGAGTAGGTGCTCTGGCCTCAATGTTTGAAGCCCCCCACATGCACATGTTAAAACCCAATCACCAATGAGATGGCATCTGGAGATGATAAGGCCATGAGAGTGGTCCCTCATGAGTGGGAGCAGCGCCCTTGCAAAAGAGGCCCAAAAGGCCTGCCTTGCCCCTTCCATCATGTGAGGACACAGAGAGAAGGTGCCGTCTATAAATCAGGAAGGGGCCCTCACCAGGCATCCAATCTGCTGTTGTCTTGATCTTGGACTTCCCGGTCTCCAAAACTGTGAGAAATAAATTTCCATCATTTACAGGTTGCCTGGTGTTAAATCTTCAGAGATCCTTGAGAAGATGCTTGCTTTACCAGAACAAAGATTTTTTTTTTTTTGACATAACTAGAAAAGCAGACATAGACATGGGAAAACTCCAGACAGGACTGAGGATTCTCTACCAACTTTTCCACCATTAGTCATAAAAAATATACTTATGATTCATTATCTGGTACTTTTTTGAATCCTTGGGAACTCTAAAGAACAAACTGCACTGCCAGTACAGAATTTATCATAGATTTTTGTACTCTAAAAACAATTCATAGGCAACAATCAATCAGCACTATGTCAAGGCCTGACAATTCAAAGATGAATCTCTGGAGTACAAAATTTTGAATATAAAGTTGTTCATCTTCACAGTCTAGCATAGTGCCTGGCCCATTTGTGAATGAATAAATGCACACTTGTGGGAATCCACGATCAAAAATGCAGTGTGTATGAGACAGCCCTCGCTGACACTGAAAAAGTCCAGAAAGCTGGGAGAAGCCTGAATCTTGGTGGTGATTCTATCATGACTTTATGTTCAGATTTTATCAACTCATTTCATGATCATTCGAGTCAATTTTCTATCCTCAAGAGTCTGCTAATCACTAAAGCACGAATGAAGATGACAAGACGTGATCTCTGTCCTCAAAGCACTAACTTCTACTGAAGAAATCACATATGTGACAGGACAGAGTGAGGTGCCTGACATCAATTCAGCACATGATAAATGTTCACAAGACAGGAAAGACGGGTAATTAACTACAAGGAAAGGCTGAAAAAAAAAAGTGCAGAATAAAGGTACAAGCAACTTTGAGGAAGTACAAAGAAAGAGTTGAATATTTTTATTTTGACACAAGAAAAAGTAACAGTTGAGTAGTAAAACATAAAAGAGCTTTAATTGGAAGAGAATGAAGCCAATATATGTATAAGGAACAGGATGGACAAACATGTGGACACGATACGAGGTTGTGGGACCTCTTGAGGTAAAGGAGCAAACCCCTGAGATGCAATGTAAGGGGCATGGCAAGATGTCACTCCCTCTGGACTCCCTCCAGCTTGCAGACCCACCCTCCAAACCTGCCAGATTGGCGATATCGGAGCTGCCACATCTTGCTCTACACTGCGTTTCTATTAAAATCACTCTATAAATGCATTAACTGGTTAAGCAGTCGTATTCTCTATTGCTTTATATTGAATTTGCAGTCAGCTAAAGCCTGCACGTCTGTCTTTCAGCAAATATTGTCAAGCTTGATTACACTTTCATTTTTAAAAATGATTTCTAACCCAGATGCAGAACCAGAGGCTACTGTTAAATTTTGGTTTTGTTATTGTGATTCATTATTTTAATCTGTCAATTTTTTTTTCATCCTGACTTTGTCATCCTCTGTAACAGCTACTCCTCCATGCATTGAGTAATGACAAAATTCATCATTCTACCACGCATTTTTGAGAGGATCAAAAGATGGGGGCAACGGCACACCGTCAGAGCTTTTCAGCCAGATGGAATAGTGTTCCTCAATCAACATGCTTAAATGTTGACTTGATGAGCTATTCATTTACATAACTCTTTGGTTACCCAGTCTGTATTTCTCTACCTTCTACACAAGTTCGTGAGGTTTTGGCTGAACTACAGTGACGAAGTCAAAACTCACACCTCACTCCCACCCAATAAATATCGGAGATTATGTTCTGCACATGGCCGTATTCTCTGGATACAAGCAAAAGTTACATTGAATATTTCAAAGTTGTCTTATAGAGCCATTTATTTATCCTTTAATTCAACCAACATTTATCACATGCACACATCAGTTCTTTTCAGTCTACCAGAATGACTTTCAGAATCACCTGTAGTGTGCCGTAGCCATCTTGTACCAGCTTGCCAGGGCCAACTGTGCACATCTCCTCCCTATGCTCCTGGCAGTGACTCTGACTGGCAGGTTAAATCAGTCTGCTGGGAATATTTACCCCATGGACATCCGCAACTGGTACATATCAAGGATTGTCTTTTTTGTTGAAAAAAAAAATGGTTGTTAAACATTTACCAGCACAAAATGGAGAATACTTCTCCTCATCCTCCAAGACTTTGAGCTTTTGACGATTCAAATAGTGTCAGCGGCAGATAATGCAAATAGTGTCATCTACAGGTTTGGGGGGAAGAGAAAGAAAAGAATCCTGCCAATACACGAAACATTTGCAGCGGTCTCAGCACAACAGTGAGAAGATATTCATCTTACAGGTAGTGATAAAGCAGTGAAGCTTAAGGAAGAGATAAAAGCCACAGAGCTACAGAGCAAATTTGGAAACCATCATCAATCTGTTGATATCAACACAGTTCTCAGACTGGACAAGACTTAAAATGGATAGTATGTACAAAGGGAAGATCAAAAACCTAAGAACTGAATCTTGTGGGACACCTGCTTTTAAGGAGAGAGACAACAGCACATGAGGAGGCTTTAAAAAAGGAGGAAGAAAAAAAGATCCATGATTCAGGGAGAACCAATGAAACGCCGCTGGTGCTCAAAAAGCAACAGCAGAGCGCAGGAAGGCACTGGACGCCAGAAACTGGGTTTCTCTTTGCCCTGGGAGCCACTCTGTGTCTTAGTTCATGATGCACCCCAATGCAGAACTTTGTTTTCCTGAATCAAAAAGAATCTTCAAATAAAATGGGGATTTAAAGCATTATTATAATTTTAGCCTGCAGGACACATTTGTTTATATCAACACATCATCAAGTATGATTATCTTTCATAAATTTTAGAATCTATTCTAATTTTTCTGAAATATTAGCAATCCGAAAACAAATCAGACATGTTTGTTTTTCCTTTATCTTCCTTGGCATATCCCTAGTTCATTTAGCATTACTAATAAACTAGCTGTTTTCTTTTCAAAACAGGACTGTTGGAGGAAAAGAGTAGGTAATGAACACAAGTAGTTCTTCCCAATATGCTGTGCTGGAACTACTGAAACTACTCTCCACTGCCACGTTGTCCAAGTAAGTTGGCCTCACCTTCTAGAATTATAGGCGCTCATACAATCTTCATAGGATTTGTAAGTCTTAAGAAAAATCTGACACAAGTGACAGATGTGAAACACGAACAGTCTTTCAGATGGGGACTTAGAAGGCACGTGCAGCTTTCCTTTTCTCTAGAAGCGTGTAATTTATCACCTGAAGCAGTCAATCTTAGGCCAATAGAAGGTAATAACTATTATCTAATTATCATCATTTATTTTAAAATATCACATATTAAATATTTTTATAATTAAATTCACTCCAAGTAATTTCTGCCCTTCTTATTTCTCTGAAATCTAACACCCTCATTCTGAGTTGTTGATGTCAGAGGGAGACCCAAGAGGTGGATTGAAAGCAAATTTTATTTCTCTCACTCCGTGTTTTAATGTTTTCCAAGTTTTCTACAGTGCACATTTAGATTGGTAATTTCTTAATTATACCTAATTCCAAAAAAAGAAATTAACATTTTTTATCAGGTGAGATTTTCATCTTGAGTCATCTTTATATCAATTTGCTTCATTTTAACAAAAATACAGCTAAGAAAAAATATTCATTAATAATAAACTGTTGTTTTAATAAACCATTAAAAGTAAAAATAAGTAAATAATAATAAAAATAAAATAAATTCTATGAATAAACTGAATTTATACACTAAAGTAACTTGGAAGATATTACTTTCAGATGTTTAGTTAATAAGGATTAAATCTTAATTTCACAGCAAATGTTGGAAGTTTTAAGAAATATAATAGTTAAGGGCAAATACTAAAATGTCATAAACACAAACTGCTCACAAATAGGGATGACTTCATGAAAAATGGGATAAATCATAGGGCCTCTAAAAGCTTATAAGGTCATGTAGAAGAGTGAACATACAGACTAAATTCTCAGCTTTAGCTGCCGTCTAGGAATGAGTTAGGAAGAGCTTTCAATCACTGTGTCCATTTGTGGGCAAGTGTTTAACTTCGTCCTGAAGCATATTTAACGTATGGAACAAGATTATTTTTCTCTTCTATGATTGATCTCTTCTTTTGCTTGGTTCAAAAATATATCACTCTTTTCTGCCAACAAAACCATTCTTCCAGCAACAGATGTTCTGTCCTAAAGAGAGACTTATGTACCCTGGTATAAATAACAAAGGTGTTAGCTGGAATTAACGGGAGACATTTCCTATTTATACACACACATACACATACACACACATCTTCAGTGATTACTAAGGGAGGGTACAAATTCACTATAAATAAATGTTACATAAACACATGTTTAAGGAACATTGGAAAGTTTGACTAAGAAAGATAATTTATCTTCAAATTAATGACTGTTTTGTTCACCCCATATAGAGTTTACATGACTGTTACTCACACACAGATTTTAAGAAATTCATTAATCACCAGCTTTGAACTGAATACCCATTTGGAGAGAGCACATGTGTTTCTGGTAGTGATTTTTATAAACACCAAGATGCCTTAACTCCCTCCCATGTTTTGGAATCAGTTATTCCTTTCAAAACTCTCCCCTGGAAAGAAAGCCCCAGGGGCCCGCGGCCCTCCCTGCTCCCTGTGCACCAGCCTTGGGCTGTGCTCAGGATCAGCCTTCCTGGTCCTGCGGACAGCAGGGCACCGGGTCGCATGCAGTGAGGTGTTCTGTGCTCACTCAGCAGCTCAGCCTTTCCCACAGCTGCTTTGTGACGCTTCCAGGAGGGT
This sequence comes from Homo sapiens, assembly GCF_000001405.40. Lineage (NCBI taxonomy): Eukaryota > Metazoa > Chordata > Mammalia > Primates > Hominidae > Homo > Homo sapiens. The sequence goes on from NC_000013.11 coordinate 106,052,626, forward strand.
ACAGGAAAGCTGAATTGCCAACAGCTGTGAGGCCACTGGCTCTAGAATAATGAATCTCCTATCAATTCCAGAGTGAGTCCTGGAGACTAGAGATTCTAGGAGCAGGGCGGGGTTCTCTTTCAAACACGTTTTTCAAGCTGTTGGGAGGTAACATATTAGAGCATCGTGAGGAAAAGAAACAGACAACAAACAAAATCCAAGAGCTCAACAGAGGGGTTCAGATCCAAGCTCTCCACACCGGCGGGGGGGCCTTGAGCAAGTCACTTAGCTTGCCGGTTCTCCACTTTTTTTTTTTTTTTTAGACGGAGTCTGGCTCTGTCGCCCGGGCTGGAGTGCAGTGGCGCGATCTCGGCTCACTGCAAGCTCCGCCTCCCGGGTTCACGCCATTCTCCTGCCTCAGCCTCCCGAGTAGCTGGGACTACAGGCGCCCGCCACCACGCCCGGCTAATTTTTTGTATTTTTAGTAGAGACGGGGTTTCACCGTGTTAGCCAGGATGGTCTCGATCTCCTGACCTCGTGATCCGCCCGCCTCGGCCTCCCAAAGTGCTGGGATTACAGGCGTGAGCCACTGCGCCCGGCCCACTTTTCCCTCTTATAAATTAGGCATGATGGTGACATTCTCACGCCCCATAGTGCTGTTATGAGCATTTAAGCATTACAATGTGTAAGGGATTTGGAAAAGTGTGTGGCACCGAGACTTTATTAAGGCCAAATAAGAAACAAAGAGGAGTCTTCATTGAGTCTTTCAGGTATGTTCTGTAACTTAATTTTCTGACAAACACATGAAATTGACATTATTACTCCCATTTTGCATGTTAGGAATCTGCGTGGTGGCTCACGCATGTAATCCCAGCACTTTGGGAGGCTGAGGCAGGCGGATCACCTGAGGTCAGGAGTTCGAGACCAGCTTGGCCAATGTGGTGAAACCCTGTCTTTACTAAAAATACGAAAATTAGCCAGGCGTGTTGGCGGGCTTCTGTAATTCCAGCTACTCAGGAGGCTGAGGCGGAGGTTGCAGTGAGCCGAGATCGTGCCACTGGGCTCCTGCCTAGGCGACAAGAGCGAAACTCCATCTAAAAAAAAAAAAAAAAAAAAATCTGAGGCTCAAGAGGCTAACCGAATTGCCAGGCATAAGCCCTTTAACTGGCCCACAGCTGTCTGTAGTAGAGAGCACGTTGTCTGCAGCCCTTGTTAAATAATGCTTGACGAATGCCCAGAAAAACAACTCCCAGCCTACTAATCGAAATATTCACCAAGGTACTTGTCCATTTATATTCCATGTTACTCCCGAATGGACTTGGGGAGGCTGATAAAAATGACAAACAATCACAAATAGTTGAAGAGGAGGAAACGATTTGCAATATTTTAAGATGTCACCATCCAGAACTAAATCAATGATTCTTAATATTTTGTGGGTCATGAACACTTGGAGATTCTGATGGAATTATGAATCTTATCTTTAGAAAAATGAACATATCATAACCTTTCATAAATACTCAAAAGTCTAACAGATACCATGCTCATCCTAAGAGTCCGTGATCACTCTTGGCTCTAAACTCTTTTGGAGTCTTATCAAGAAAGAAAAGAGAAACTGATAAACAGAAATGTCACTAATGGCATATCTTGTAATTGTGGAAATACAGTAACCGTTCTGGAACTCTGCTACCCTAAGCAAGCATGGGAAAGGAGGGCATTCATTAGCAGTTGGGAAACAAAGGAGAAAAGTTGTTAAGACATCTGAAACTGGACATCAATTCTGAGTGAGCAAAATTAACAGAAATGCATGTGAATATGTGTATGTACAAACAGGTATCTATATCTGCATTTATATTCTACCTGTCTATCAATACATACGTATGTATCTGATTCAAAAGGAGAAGAATTGGAGGAAATCTCAAATATTTGTTATATGAGGAAGTATGAATACAAAAAGAAACCGTAAACTATATTGTTGGAGGAAGATTGAGGAAGATTTTTCTCTTTAAAAAAAAGGCATCGAAGAGAGAACAGAAAATAATAAATATGAACAAGAGATTGCATTTCTTATCTTTTCTCCATGATTATTGAGAATGGTGACGAAAAACAGAGAGTGAGATGACAATCCAGTATAAAGAAGTCACTGGTGTGAAAAAGGGAATAATGTGGCTGGAGGAGACTTTTGTAAAATTAGAGGAGTTTGTTCCAAAGCCAGATTATCAGTTGGTGGATGTGTTATAAAGATAATTAAGGACAATTTTAGGGTCCTCATCAATTTTGTATTATTATGATCTCAGATTATACTCCTGAAACAGAATTTGTTAACGTCCTGGGTCAACAGACTACAGTCTTTCTAACTTTTAAATAGTCATTCAGACTTACATGGCTTTCAAAACTAGCCTTTAGGAATATAAAACCTACATAAGACTTTGTTCAATGCATTGTCCCAGAGATATTGGTGAAATCAGTACATAAACTTGAGACTTTGACAATAATTTATACATCTTTTAAACAATCTATAGACTTTATTAACATTCTTAATGTTTTCAGGAGTACTGTGAGACCACCAAGTTTTCTATCTTTATATACATTATCTGCCCCATTATAATAGCCACTTCACACTAGTCATCTATATGTATATAACTGAATTGTATTTAATTCTAAAACACATAGTAACTACTACATATAAAGAAAGCATTTTATGGAACAATTTTATCAAACTAAAGATTAAAAAGAAAATAAAATAATTGTTTACCAACAGAAGCAAAAATATGCCAAATAAAAATTATCACACATTTATTAATATGTTTGCATTGCATTCTCAACTCTAGTTTGTAAGTTCCATTCATGAAAACAGAAAGCACAGCAGTTTTATTTACCTGTTTTTACAGCAGGAGCACAGTTCTTACCACACAGCATCAGATGTATAGAATGGATTAATTAAAAACTGAATATAGAGTTTTGCAATATTTATTTACCTAACAAATACTGATTAAGCATATACCATATACCAGGTGCAGTTCTAAACCTAAGGTAGAACAGTGACTAAAACAGGCAATCCTTGATCATGTGGAATTTATATTCTAGTAGAAGAATTAATATACTGGTATTTCTCATCCCTGTGGTATGGGGGGAGAATGCTTATTCCCAAAAGATAGTGATGGAAGATTTCTTAGAATTAAGGACAAGTTGTTAAAATTCACTTTTCAATTTTTAATTGAGTCATCTCTATAAGGAAGAGTCATATAATATTGGAATTACAACAGTGCTTTCCAGTCCTTAGGCATTTTGACACATCTGAAGAACCTGACTTAGGGGCAGGCCCAGCAATCTGTGTTTTAATAAGCCCTCCAGGTGATTCTGATGCACATGAGAATATAAGAATAACAGTTCCAAATCAATGACACATAAATTTAACCGCATCTTAGAATCACCTTGGGGAGATTTTAAAATGCCCATACCTGGGTCTCATGCGCAGACATTCTGATTTAATTAGCCAAGAGTGGAGCCTGAACATAAGGAATTTTTGAAGTCCCCAGGTGATTCTTCTGTGCATCCATATTTAAAAGCTACTGCTGTACAACATCATCAGGATTTGCTACCTAACTGGTGTGTCTGTCCTTACTATTATTTCCCTGTGAAATTTCACCTATACTTTATCTCCATTCTTATTCATACAATAATGATTCCCTGGTCTATAAATCTTCCCCACATTGTAGGGTCTTTATGAGAATGCTTCTACCAGCATGTATTGCAGATACGTCAGGTTGAACACATTCAAAACTAAACATGTCTCCCTGCAATATGCTCCCTCCCCAGAGGCTGTCTGGGGCACCGTTGGTGAGTTCAGGCTCTGGACAGAGCTGCCTCACTCCTCAGCTCCAGAGACAACGTTCACGTCACCATCTCTGTGGATGGCACCTCTGGTGCTGGCTGCGCTGAGATAATCTGAAGCATGGGGGCTCTGCCCTGTTCTGCTGTGTTTGAACAGTGCAGGACAAAGGGGAACTGACTTAAACTCTTGTGCCTCAGTTTCCTCCCCTTTGAAATGGAAATAATAAAACCTACTCCTAGGGTTATGCTGATGATCAAAAGAACTGATTCATGTGGAACAGCACTGGCATGGAGCAAACAATCAACTGTAAACAGATGTGGTGGAAATAGATCAGAGCCATTGTTAAAAGTAAGAAAGTGAAAGGCCCAAGATATTGTCAGGGCAGTAGTTATCACCTCCTTAGACTAATGCTACCACAATTTACAAAAGCCATTGCCTATCCGTTCCTTTTTTTTACTTTCTTTATTCACTCAATAATTCCTTTGAGCTCATCTCCCTAATTTTTCTGTATGCATCTTCCCCTCCTTTCTCTTGCCACAGAGATATTTCAGGACTTACGTTTTCTTCTTTAATTGAAATGGTGGCTTCTGTTCTGATCTATCTATGTCCACCCCATCTGCTTGCAATCTTTCCCTCAGATTGCCAGCAGAGAATCCCTCTTAAGAGCAAATAACACTCAAAATAAAACACCCATCAGATTCCTTCTTTGACTAAAATACATCCACATCTCCCAGCTGCCTGCAGTTAGAGCCCCATCCTTTATAAAGCCAGGGTGACCTGTAACCACATGTGACTAATCACACAGGGTCACCATTGTTGTCTTCCTTGTCGGCCTCAGCATTAGATCATTTGCATCTTGAAGAGAGTGGTTGCATCTCTTTCATCTCTAAAGTCTCAGTGACTGAACAGTGTCTTGTGTACAGAGGTGTTCCGTAAATTCTTGAATGAATGGAAGAAAAGAAGATTCACATGCTGGCTTGCTGGAGGAATGGAGGTATCAATGGATAGAGGGGGTCATGGAGGATGGTGGAGTCATAATACAGTTTAATGTGGCCAGGCATCATGGTGAATGCCTGTAATTCCAGCATTTGGGGAGGCTGAGGAGGGAGGATCTCTTGAGCCCAGGAGTTCAAGACCAACCTGGGCAACATAGCAAGACCCTGTCTTTATAAAAAGTACAAAAAATTACATGATGAATGCCTATAGTCCCAACTACTCTGGAGGCTAAAGCATGAGGATTGCTTGAGCCCAGGGAATTCAAGGCTGCAGTGAGGTATGATTGTGTACTGCACTCTGGCCTGAATGACAAAGCGAGACGCTGTCTTTAACAACAAAAACAAAAATATAGTTTAATGTAAACTATTGCTCATATTTTAATGCTATTAATTACCAGAAATGTCATATATAAGAAATAACATTAGCAGAAACATAATTGACTACATAGAAAGCATACGGAGTATATATTGTGGTCAGATAAAATAAAATAAAGAAATTATCTTGTCTGTTTCACTGTTCAGAAAACAGGATCGATTAAGTACTCAGATGGATACATAGATAGATCCAAGGGTAAATGAGCTAAAATATTCTTATTATTAGGAAAATCAGGTTTAATTCTGGCCTAATGTGAAGCCTCTAATTTTCCTGAGTGAATAGTATTACACTGTTTTATAAGCCTGTCTTTCAATATGTGTAAAGAATATAATTAAAAAGAAATGAAAGTTTTCTTTGTGTTATCAATTCAGAAATGATTCAGCCAGTTCTGTGCTATTGTGTTTTTTTTCTTTGTCCATTTCCCTGTAAAGCTATCTTAAGATATTTTATTGATATTTCCAGATTATTCATTTCAGGAAGTTTAGGACTTCATTTCAAGAAGTTTAGGACATCTTGACTCATCCTGGGGAGGCTGAAATTATGGAAAAAGTAAAATACAGTTCCACTGGCTCAATTTCTCTAGTGTGGTGAAATCACATCAAGCTCTCCCTGAGCAGACCTGGCCACAGAAGGCACACTGAGGGCTGCAGGAGGCATCCTCCTGCATATGGCTGAATTTTACCTCCTGCAGTTTTTACCAGTCGTCAGTTCTTGCAAGGCTGACGAACATCATATTGGGAGTGGCTACAGTCATGGAGTTTTCACTGCTGCCTCATTACCCTGCCTTTCCTACCTCCACTTTGAACCTAAAAATAACTTTGGAGAAGAGGAGTAAATTACAGAAGTAATTTATAAATCTAGACTTTGGTTGCAAAATCCGTCCTGGACTTTCGATTCTGCATATAAACACTGCTGGTTAAAGTAGAACGTCCGAACCCACTCACAGAGACCATTCACATCGAAAACACGCAAAGGCCCGTGTTACATGAGGGTGTTCACGTAATATGACTATGGTTCTGGGAGTACTTTGCAAGGTGGATTTCATAGTCATATCCTGTGTGGTATTCACAATACTTAACAGTAAGTGTGACATAGCTACTGACCACTCACAGACTCACGATCCACCAGCATAAACTTGAGCTGTAAACACCAACTATAGCTACAAGATGTAAATCAGTGCACGATCAGCTGTGTTTATATCCAATTCCTGGATTAGCGGTTTTAAACTCTGCTGCACGTTAGAATCATCTGGGAACTTTAGATGATAATGATGTGCCAATGTATGTTCATTGATCGTAACAAATATACCGCTCTGGTGTAAGATGTTGATAGAGAGGCTGCACATGTTTGAGAGCGGGGTCAGATATGGAAATTCTGTGTACTTTCTGCCCAGCTTTGCTGTGGATTTCAAACTGCTCTTAAAAAAATGAAGACTATTAAAAAGAAAAGGACTGGTTATATTTGGACTTAATATTGGTTGTGACATGGATATGGGATTTTGGAGAGTGCTCAAGTAATTCTATAAGGCATAAAAATTTTAGAACTTTGTGTTGGATGAATTGAATTTTTAACACTATTAGGCTTCTTTTTAACTGCAGAGGGATGCCAATCATCATCATGCTTTACTGGTTTCACAGTTTAAAAAACACAGGTGAGTATTGATATAGGACGTGCAATTGCAGTCAATATTCAAATGTATAGCTCAAGAGTGTGCACCTTCAAATTCTAAGTTTATTCCAGACCTTGAAGAGTTAATTGATGCATCGCTAAGTCAATCAATTTCCTTCTCTGTCCTATCTGCCTTTGTAACAAAAGGAAATTCACATAAATTGAATATGCTTTCTTATAGGTTTCCTGTCATTCAATGTGTTTAGCTAACGTTCTAGTGCAGAAAATTTCTCCGCTGGTTGGAAAGTTGAACTTGACTTTTTGCATTTCTAAAAATGCTCAAATTCTATGATAGGTATTTTTTTCTTAATGACACCTAAAGTTTAAAGTAAAAAATCAAAACTGACAAACGAGAAAATAGAATACTATGCATGGTGAAAAAATAAATAAATAAATAAATAAGTTTAAATGTGTTACGCTACACTAAAATAAACAGTACAGTTGGAAAAGATTAATTCATTGAGTTGAATGAAATACAGGTAAAAATAGCAAAGTTCTCATCTTTGAAGAAAAATAATAAATGCAATTACTTCAATACTTGGTATGTTTATGAAAATACAATTTATATCCTATTGATGTATCATCTAAAAATAAATAATAACAATTGCTATCAAGACTGAAATATTGTAGAAAGGAGAATTACTTCTCCAAAAGCTATGGAAAACTCAGAATTCATAGTGTGACTACAAACTCAGTAAGTGCCCAATAAATATTTGCTGAAGATTTAAGAATTATAACAGGGTGACTTGAGATATACCAGTGCTAACCACTAACAGGAATGAAATGAGTACACATAACAATAGTTTTTTTTTTTTTTTTTCTGTTCCTGACTATATAGTGTAGGAAATTTCAATAAAATAGCAAGTGTTTCCTAACCTAGAGAGAGTTTATTTCTACTGCCTTTTTTGAAGGCTCATTCATTTGTAGCTTTTGTTCTTAACAAAGAGAACTGTACACTGACACAACTGACTTTCTAAAAAGTTAGAAAAGAATAATGGGCGATGTGAATACAACAAAAATTGCAAGGTACCTGCAGTCAATAGTATCAATAATGAAGAGGTGCAATGGTGACTGTATTAAAGAGCTGGGTGATTTGAATTATTAACAATCCACAAGTCTTGCCAATTCAAGGTGCAATTGCTCATGAGAAATGCACTTATATTCCTCCCACATTAAGAGCCTCACTTATGTATATATTTATAAAGCTGCTGTATGTGAGGTACAGAAATGTCAAGGAATCCTATTGGATCTGTGAAATATTTTAGCCATAATTTACAAATGCAGCGAATCCTGTGTCTAAACTTCTCCAGCTATCCCGTCCCAGCATGCCCCATCCCATTTTACTACACATAATCTGTCATTCTGCCCCTCTTCTTTCTTCTTTTTTCTGTGCCCTTCATTCCACCCCAACACACACACACACACACACACACACACACACACGATTTGTAACCTAGAAGTCGATAATATTTGTCACGTTCAGAACTGTGGCATTTAGACAACTCCATTCATGTCCTGCCACAAACTGGGAAGAGGTTGACTAATATTTGTACTTTCTTGGGCATTAATAATTATGAAAGGGTGCACAGAAAAATGCAGATCAATTATTAAATGATTGATGAAGACAAAATAAAAACTTACTTTGGTATCATGAGATATGTCTAATTGTTCCATGCTTCTCATGAAATCATATTGAAGAAAGAAAACCAAGTCTCCTTTGCTCTTTCTCTGAGAGGATAGGGATTATCCATTACCCCAGAGGGCTTCAGCAAATATAATTCACTTTCTACCAGCAGTTCCATCTCTTTCTATTCATTTCATTTTTGCAAATGGATTAATAAAGTTAAATAAAACATATTTTTTTAGGCCAAGCTCATCAAACTAGGCAAACTATAGCCTGTGGGCCCAAAGGAACCAGTGGCCCATCCTTCTGTTCTGCCCTCAAGCTAAGAATGGCTGATACAGATGAACATTTACAGTTGATTTGTGATGGGAACACTAACTTTAACTCCAGTGAAGAAAACGATATTCCCCTTAAGAAAAGAATCCCATTCTTCCATAAGACCTGCATTACAAAAATGTGTGCTCTATCATTATATTCTGAATTTCATCAATGAAAACTGCATGCAGATATGTTTCCTTGCTTGTTCTGTAAGGACCTGCAAAACATCCCTGATGCTGCCCTTGGCCAACAAAGCCTAAACTATTTCCTCTCTGGCCCTTGACAGAGTTTGCGGAGCTGTGATTTAGATAACCAGTATTTTCTTGGAAGGTAAAACCAGTATTTCAAAAGACCAGGACTCCCCAAAATACACGTGGAAAACGATGCTGATGCCCCTGCCCGCCGCCCCCTAAAATCCCACTCTGCCCCCGCTTCCTCCCTCCTGGCGTCTAAAGCAGGCTGGCAGGCAGGTCTCATCTGCGTCCTGACACTCAGATAATTGCTCTACTCTCCCCCACACAGTAACTCTCTCATTCCCATCAGTAAAAACCTCAGTCCCCCGCAACAGTCAGAACTCCCAGAACCCCTGCCTGCCTCAGGCTGTGCTCCCTGCCTCTCTGCCCGCCCACCCTGTGCCTCCCTGCCCTCCAAGGTGGAGGTGGGGTTGGGGAAGAAAAGGAAAAAAGGGAAAAGTCGTTATTTAGCAGTCGCTGGTGCAATCAAGCAGCTTCCAGAGGCAGCAACAAATGGTAAGTAACTCTTTGGTGTGTTTGAGGGGTTTGTCCAAGGCTAACCCCTATTTCCAGGAATCTCTCTCCTGAAGTCCCCTTAAATCACATCACTATGTTTTCACCTACCTGCAGCCATGCCCTTCCTTCTTTCAGCCCTGCCGTGCTGAGCTCCTCTTGGGAATGGATGGGAGGCACCCCCAGTCTGTCTGAGGACACCATCTAAGCCGGCCACTTCCCAGAGGCAGACTCTCCTGGAGGCATGGACACCCTCAGCAGCTCTAGCCAGGGGCCCTTTTGATAGAAGTGGTTCAGACACTTTTGCACTGTGCCCCTAAGCTGCAGGGACCCAAACCAAGCCTTCCAACTGGTGCATGCTCAGTCTCAAACACACAGAGCTTGTCTCATCTTGCGACACCTCCATTGCTGCTCTCCTGCAGGGACAGTCCACTCTGTCTTTCAAAGCCAGGTGGTGTTTGCATTCTTCGCTCTATAGCAATTCCACTCACACAAGTCTGCTTCATGTTATTCCATTTATTCCTTATTTGTTTACTTGTTTATTATTTATCTCTCTGTTATGGGCCAAATTTGTGTCCCTGAAAAATTCATATGATCTCACACCCAGTACCTCAGACTGTGACTGTGTTTGGAGATAGGTCCTTTGGAGAGGGAATTGGGGTAAAATGAGGTCATATGTGTAGCCCCTCTTCCAATACGACTGGTGTCCTTCTATGAAGAGATTAGCACACACATAAGCACATGGACATACACTCATAGAGGGAGGACCATGTGAAGACACAAGGGGAAGACAGCCATCTACAAGTCCAAGAGAGAGGCCTCAGATGAAGCAACCCTGCTGACACCTTGATCTCAAACTTCTGGCCTCCAGAATTGTAAAAAATAAAATTCTGTTATTTAAACCACCCAGTCTGCAGTGCTATGGCAGCCCTAGCAACCAATTATACTTCCCCGTTAGAATATAAGCTCCACAAAGCGTGCAGTTTGGGCGCCTGGGGCAGAGTTGAATGGATGGATGGCTGAAGGTAGCCCTGCATCTATATGTCCTAACGTGAATTTTTCTGGAGAACTTGCAGAATCACAGTGATGACAACAGTAGTCTTGATATCCCTAAATGCTAACTTTTGGGTTTTGTGCATTTATTGTTTCCATTTTTTTTTAAAGAAATACTGAGTTATGTATCGGTTTTACCATCTCGTGTTGCAAATGCAAAGTTAAACTACAGATGAATAACAAGATTTGCACAAGTTCATATAATTAAGTAGCAACACAGGTAGTACTAGAATCTGGAGGTCTTGACTTTGATTCTAGAGACATTCCTCTAGCCCTTTCTTGTCCCTCTTTGGCTTTACAAGTAGAAGAAAAAAAGTGGTTAGTAAAGATTGCTGAAGCATTAAGAATTTTGTAGTGTACACTTTGACCAGTCGTAATTCAGCACAGATAAGAATATCGGTTCAAACTCTGCATCCGAGTATTTGAGGACCTCCATGCTGTGGCCCCACCAGCTGGCCAGCTTTGTTTCTCACCATCTCAGTATTTTCCAAATCAGGACATCAGCACACTTGACTCCTTGCTCCCTCCTCAAGCACGAGCTGAGCTCTGTCCAGCCAGCCCTTTCTCTTCCAACAGCTGCGATGCCCTTCTCAGGCTGCTTGCTGGCCTTCAGGCCTCTCAGATTGCTCCTTCATGAAGCCCCCACCATGGCTCCCCTGTGATGTCAGGGCCTCTCCACTCCTGCACTTCCTGGTGGGACTGCTCCCACCATGTTTTAGGATTCATTTACATGATTTGCATTCATCATATGTGTTCAAGTAACTTTTTCTTGTCTCTTAAACCAAGAGAGAAGCTCTAGGAGATCATGGACTTGTCTTCTATTTCTTTGTCTTCACAACTCTGCCTGGTATTATGACTCACCTCTCAGTGACCAACGAACTGGCTGCTTCGTTTCAGTTCTACTCACATGTCAGTGACACACGTTATTCTGTTGGTATGTGGTGCTGGATGATAATCCTCAGTCTCTCCATTGTGGTCACTGTGCATAGAATTAGAATCTAATCATTATCATTTTCAGTGGTTGCTATCGATGATGATATTTGACTGGCATCTTCTAAATGAGAAGACTGTTAAAGTCAGACTAAAAATACAAATATGTTTTGAGGCTAAGATAATAATGATGAGAAATTGAGAGATATAATTTCTGATAGAATCATTAGGGGTGACATGAAAATGAACTTGATCTTATCAAGATAAATATTTTTCCAATATAGTGATCGGATCATGGGTAATTAGATCAATTATTCCTATATGTTTACACACAATGACTCCCCTAAACACTCATCCATCTCAGTTTTATAAATACAATTTTAAATGGCTTTAGATAAGTTCTTTTAGCCTCCAAGCAGTGACAAATAAATCATGAGATGTTCCTATGAGCTACAGGCATTTTATAATCACCTCCAAGCAATTTCTTATAATGTTGCTGTTATTTTTATGTCATCATTGAGCCAGATTCTTATTCTTGCTGAAGTACTTGGAGAATTCTAATCTTTATTATCATAAAAAAAAAAGCTTTGCTGATTTCCTAGTAATTTGTCTTTAAGATATTTCCCTAGGTTGTGTTATGCAGAAAAGTAATTATTGTGCATATTATTTAAATTTAATTTAAATCCTTACTTCATGTTGACATTATAACTTGAAAAGGCAGTTGAAATAAAGAAAAATGTAATTCCTTTCCCTGTGAAGTGTAAAATTTAGCTATATTGATTTGAAATCTTAACTGTCTCTGCTTCTGGATGTTTTCATTCCAGACTGCATAGATATGGATAAGGAATAATTTTAAATCTGCTCGTAATCAGCTCTTTTCCTTTCCATTCACAGTGATGTCATTTTTATCACTGAGGTAGAGGGAATCTTCCAGTAGATATCCTGGGATACAGATGAGATGGGTCATGATCAACAAAACCATAAAAAACCTAAACAATCTGTGTCAAGTGCAACTTTGTCATGATCAACAAAACCATAAAAAACCTAAACAACCTATGTAAAGAGCAGCTACTTGGATCCCGAGGAAGAAGTGAATGTAACATGCTCCACTGTTTTTATGAACATCTGAACCTGAGCTCCAATAGCCACCTCTTGTTATCTCCTATGGGCGGCCACTGCCCTTAATAGGGTTTGAGTTCACTGGGTAGAACTATGAGGAAAGAGAAAGGAGTTTCAAATATGGGGGTATGGGTGATACAGTAAATAGAGATTTGAATTTGATTATGTAAGTAGTATATTTGGAGAAAAATTCTTTCTCAAGCCTTATCAACTTTACAGCTCATCTTTTTTTTTTTTTCTGATGAGCTTTTTTATATATACACAGTAAGTCCTCACTTAACTCAATGGCTCACAGACCAACATATACAACCTAAAGCTATATAACACAGAAAAAATAACAGTGAGAATCTCTGTGATCCTGGACTAGGAGAAGATTTCTCCAATATGACACTAAACTCTCAGAACAAATTGATAAATTGGGTAGCATTTAAATTACTTATGGTCTTCAAAAGACACTGTTAAGAGCATGAAAAGACAAGCTACAGGCTGAAAAAAAAATTTGTACATGATGCCTCTGAAAAAAGAACATAAAAAAATTCTCAAAATTTAATAATAAAATCACTGAGTAAATAAATATGAAGAGATTTTAAAAGACACTACATTGAAAAAGATACATGCATATCAGTTAAGCACAAGAAAAGATGCTTGGCCGGGCGCGTGGCTCACGCCTGGAATCCCAGCACTTTGGGAGGCCGAGGCGGGCGGATCACGAGGTCAAGAGATCGAGACCGTCCTGGCTAACACGGTGAAACCCCGTCTCTACTCAAAATACAAAAAAATTATCCGGGCGTGGTGGCGGGCGTCTGCAGTTCCAGCTACTCGGGAGGCTGAGGCAGGAGAATGGCGTGAACCCGGGAGGCGGAGCTTGCAGTGAGCCGAGATCGCGCCACTGCACTCCAGCCTGGGAGACAGAGCGAGACTCTGTCTCAAAAAAATAAAAAAGAAAAACAGAAAAGAAAAGAAAAGATGCTTAGCATCGTAAGTCATTATGGAAATGCAAATCAACACCATAATGAAAAGGCACGACATGTATATTAGAATGCCTAAAATGAGTGACTGACAATAAACATGTGAATAAAATTGGGGAGGACCCACAACTCTTGTGCACTGCACTAGAGGTGTAAAATGATACAACTACTGTGGAAAACAGTTTAGCGATTTCTTAAATAGGTAAATGTGCACCAGCCATACAATCTAGCCATTTAACTCCTATTTACTAAAAAGAAATGATGAATTTGTCCATATGCAAAGTGTGCACTAATGTTCACAGCAGCTTTATTTGTAATAGTCAGAAACAGGAAACAGTCCAAATGGCCATCACAGGTGAATGAATAAACAAATTTGCTATATCCATACAACGCTATACCATATAGCAATAAAAAAAAATATATTGACACATGCTACAACATGAATATTCTCAAAAATAATTACACTTACTGAAAGAAGCCAGATCAAAACAAAGTACACATTGCATGATTGCATTTATATAAAATTATAGGGAATGTAAACCAATGTATAGTGACAGAAAGGAGATCAGTGGTTGCCTGAGGACAGGAAGGAGAAATAGGAATTATCAAAGTTCAGGAAGAAAGTTTTGTGGGTGGTGGATATATTCATTTTCTTGATTGTGGTGAAGTTTTCATGGTGGTATACATGTGCCTAAACATCAATCTGTATATATAGCAAATATGTACAGTTTATTTTATATCAAGTACACCTAAATAATGCTGTTTGAAAACACAAAGTAAAGAATATGTGTATGTACTGACTTGGAGGGCATGCTAAGATATGTTAAATGAAAAGTTTCATACAGGAGTATATATAGGGTGCTATATTTGGCATAAAAAAGAAAGGAAAATAAGAATGTTTGTTTGTATTTCTTGATTTTGCATAAAGGACAAGCAAAAAGTAATGAAAGGATTATTGATGCAGAGTGAGTGGGGACAGAAATGGGAGTGAGAATTTTCAGTGTGTGACTTCTTGTTTCATTTTAATTTTTACCATGTAAATATGCTATTTCAAAACAGTATAATCAAAATATTGCTACAACTCAAATATCTATCAACTGATGATTGGATAAATAAAAGGTAATATAACCATTCAATGAGTGATCATTCAAAAATAAAAAGATGCCGGGTGCAGTGGCTCATGCCTGTAATCCCAGCACTTTGGGAGGCCATGGTGGGTAAATTACCTGAGGTCAGGAGTTTGAGACCAGCCTGGCCAACATGGTAAAACCCCGTGTCTACTAAAAATACAAAACTTAGCTGGGTGTGGTGGCATATGCCTATAGTTCCGGCTACTCAGGAGGCTGAGGCATAAGAATCGCTTGAACCTCGGAGGCAGAGGTTGCAGTGGGCCAAGATCATGCCACTGCACTCCAGCCTGGGAGACAGAGCAAAACTCTGTCTCAAAAAAAAATAAAAAATAAAAATAAATAAAGTACTGCTACCTGCTACAACATGGATGAACCTTGAAAACATTATACTAAGTGAAAAGAAGCCAGTCACAAATGGCCACATATTGTATGATTCAATTCATATGCAATGTCCAGAATAGGCAAATCCATAGAGACAAAAATTAGATCAGTGATGGCCACGTGCTCAAAGGGGATTGGCATAACTGCAAATAAATTTGAAGTTTGTTTTTAGAGTGATAAAAATGGTCTATAATCGGGTTGCGGTGATGATTGCATATATCTATAGATGAACTAAAAACCATTGAATCATACGCTTTAAATGGCAAATGGTGTATTGTGTGGATTGTAATCTGAATAAGGTTGTTAAAAATGCTGTTTCATAAATACTCACTGAAATTCACATTCTATTTGGAAACTTCTGTGTATATTATTTATTTGTATTTTTTTAATAGCCACTCATTGAGGAAAATGGATATTTTCCTCAATAATGCATTACTTCTTTCCATATCTAACAGCAAATGAGTCAAGAGTAGAAGCATTTGAAAACCTAAACTGATATACTTCCACCTATGCAGGATCATCAATAACCCCACCCACGCATACATACATGTGCAGTTTCATATGTGGTTCCACCACGGCTCCCATGCACACTGCCGTGAGATAAGCTTTTTCACAAATAGGAACTGACCAGCTGATGGACTCAGAAATTTTTGCCAAACCAACTCCTGCTGACAAGTGTAAAATAATCAAATATTGAATGATCCTTGGAGGGAATGGGAGGTCGTTCTAGGGTTCATTTAAGTATATTTGAACTGATCAATTAAGGAGGCAAACTTAATATCATGTGACTTATCAATTAAATGTCCATTCAAGTTTCCTAGTCTGTGTTATGAAAAGAAACTAAAACTTTAAATTCAGATGGGTGGTCTGGAGACAAGACCAGCTGTGCAGAGAAAATGACAGGACAAAAAGACACAAAGTCCAAGGTAGATAAGCCTGTGACGGCAAAAGTTACAGAATCAGGTCAATAAAGTGTCAGCATTTCAGTGCAGAAAAAGTACAAATTAGGAGCTTAGAAATAACTTAACTTGATTAAATTAGAAGGCTACAGGATAAGAAGACCACACACAGCAAGTAAAAAATAAACCTACATCTAATTATTGTTCTTTCAAATTATTTAGAGAATCATTATAATTGGAAACAAAAATTCCATGCTGACAGAGGTGACAGCGTGCTTCAGGAACTGCCACCCTAATGCAAAACCACAGAATTAAATAGAACTTCTATTTATCATCACACTTGAAGACAAGCATGGATGCAAAAACTTACAACTTGAGAGAATTCAAGAACAAAGCAGAAAATAAGTATAAGTGAAGCCGATCACTTAACCTGAACTTAATAGAGAATAAAAAGCAGACAATTTGCCCCAAAGCTATGCACATTTTAGCCATCCGTAAGTGGTCTTGCTACTACTTTTCCAAGTATTTTACTCTTAATTTAGGCATCTAGTAAAAACTGTGACATTTTCCTGTTTAAAATGAGGGGGGAAAACATTCTGAATATTTTAAATGCCTGGATTATGTCTATTTCCGAATCAGCTTCCTTTGCTTTCTTTACACAAATATTAGAATTAAGAAATATATTTATACATAGGGAAGAAGAAAGGAAAAGTTTAGAGTTTCCTTCTTGGATATAAACAAAAAGAAAATCCTTCTCCCTCGCTTCCAGAGCCAAGGGGGACAATGAATATATTGTAATATTTGGAAAAATGTAGCTAACGCTTCTGAACTTGAGAAAATCTGCAAGACTAGACTCCCAGGAATTCGTTGTTGTCTGAACATATGCCTTGGCCAAAGGCTTGCTCTCACCCTAGGTACATAAATCATTACCAGTTTTAAGAAAAAAAAAAAAAGCTGTATTTAAAATTCCACTTTTGTTGTAATCATGATGCCACAAAGCCCAAGGCCAATGAATGCTTTTGGAAAAAATGCTCCAGGTAAAGCCATTTCCCAAATACTCTCCTACCCTATGTTCCTCCACATCTGAAAGTTTTCACAATTCAAGCTCTACACATTATATATAGTTGAAGACAATTGATGAACAGCCTGTGAGCATCCCTTACAAATTAGAAACCATGTGAGAAAAGAAAGACTAGTCCAGCCATGAGGTCCTATCAGGGTCAGGTTGGCTGACTGTCCTTCCATCCCCTCCAAAGCCACTTTGGACCTCCTTTGCTCTGACACTTGTCTTTTCCAGCTGCCTCCACATCACGTTCCGTTGGGCCCTCGATCTCGCCCCTCCATCCTTGTCCCATTTCTCACATTACTTAATGTTGCTTTAGAGGAAGGGCTGCAGTGGGAAGGACACACGGTGGAGATAAAAGACCTTTTTCTTCCTTCTCTCCCTCCTGCCCCCACATCTCCTCCAGGGCCATTTCAACAACCCAGCACAATGCTCATGGGAAACAGTATCAAGAATCAGGAAGCCTCTGAGCATTTGCTCTACATTTAAACTAGCACATTAGTCGGCGACAGTCAGGAATGCTGGCAAAACAGACAAGATTTGTGGGACCAGGAAGGACAGTCTAGTATTCACACTAACAGCTGTAGCCAGAGGATCAGCATTTGTATGCATACGCCTCAGTACTCCAAAGGGAGTGTAAATACGGCCAGGTGATGCCTGCCCAGCCAGTGAGCTATGTTAATAGCATAGAAATTCTGAGCTGAGGGAACCCAAATCTTTTATAAAACCTTCAGAATTGGAGGTATACCAGAGGGGAGCATTATCTTTATTATACAGAACAGTAAGCATGCCTGTTTTTGCTCCGAGGGAGACACCATCTCTATTTTCCAAGACTGTTCCCTGTACAGACCATTGAAAAGACAGTCAACAATGGGCAGTCAGGGCTTTTCTCAGAAGATGAGCAGAAACCAAGAAGCCCAGGGAGGATGATCTCCCAGCACATCACTGTGCCATTGCCACTAGTGAGAAAACAAGTCAACCCTGGCAAGAATGCCTTTGCCGCCTAGGAGAGCTTCATGGGAATCTGATTGAAAGCAAATAAAGAAATGAATCAAAACAAAGCCCTCTGTAATTTCCCAGGGACCACTGACTGCCCTTAGGGACGGAAAGGGAGGAGGAGCAGGCACCCTGAAGAATGCCTGATCTTCTCGTGAATCTGCACGGACACAATACCTGTCAGCAGCCAAAACTAAAGCAAACCACCTTGGCTTTACTGAACAAGATAAAAAGGAAAAGAAAAAATAAGTGGTCATTAAAGTCCTGCAGAGAAAACCAAGAAGTGAGTGGCTTTCTCTGAGGGTTTACAAACTCGGTCTTTCTCCTCCTTTTTCATGGCCTACCCCACCTCTCCAACCCCTTCATGCTGAAGTCCCTGCTTTAAAACAGCACAAGTGATTTCTGGGATTTTAGTCAGCTTTTCCATCACCACTCAGAGAAGGGACGAGGAGGGAGAACACTTGAACTCATGAGCACTGGTGCAACTGCGGCAGAGTTTTCAGGTTGGAGGAATGAACACAACCACAAGCAATCACTTCTAAAGGAAGATGTTTTCTAAGCAACTTTTCTGAAAGGTTTTAAAATATAGCCATTTGCTGGTGAATGATTATCTTTATACATCAGGCGAAGACATTTACAGGTTGATTAATCTGGCGACTTTTTGCAAAGATTTTCCTAAGGTTTTGAATGAACATAGTCACTCATCGTACAAACATCCCACTCTACGGAAAAAAAAAAAGTAAGTGGCAATCATGCAACAAAATCCAGCTACCAAAAGGAAAAATGTGTATGACACTTTCACACCTTCTTTTCCTTTTTTTTTTTTTGTTTTTTTTTTGTTTGTTTTTGAAACAGAGTTTCACTCTTGTCGCCCAGGCTGCAGTGCAATGGCGCAATCTTGGCTCACCACAACCTCCGCCTCCCGGTTTCAAGCAATTCTCCTGTCTCAGCCTCCCAAGTAGCTGGGATTACAGGCATGAGCCACCACGCCTGTCTAATTTCATACTTTTAGTAGTAGAGACGGGGTTTCTCCATGTTGGTCAGGCTGGTCTCGAACTCCCGACCTCAGGTGATCCACCCACCTCGGCCTCCCAAAGTGCCGATATTACAGGTGTGAGCCACCGCACCGGGTGTGTATGACATTTTCAATGTTTACTTACTAATGCTCAGTGGAACATGCTGAAAAAAAAAAATGAAACGAAAGGAAATATCATTTGATTTCCTTTTCTAAGGCATGAACCTGAAAAGCTTCTTTAAGTACTGTATCTATTCTACAACTGCCAGCAAACATTGTCCCAGGAAACAAGAACTACCAGGTATAGTTTGCAGTAATAGAAAGTGAGGGAGAACTTCTCAACTTTCTCTATAAAGTGAGTAGTGATTGAAATGGGTTACAAACCCATAAACACTTTATACAATGAAGATTAGAAGTTGCAAAAACCAAAACAAACAAACAAAAAAACCTCCAAAATCTAATGAAATTTCCACTGACCAAGGTCCTGATCCACCTAAGAGAGAGCAGCGGTAACCATCTGGTGCATAGAAACCATAAGTCAAGGAATTTATAATTCTGTCTGCTCTCTGGTTCTGCTAAATTGCAATGCCATGTAGACAAGTAAGTCTAAAAGCTTACATCCTCTTTCCCCCACTTCTGATGGTGGCTAACTTTTTATTTCCTGGGTGTGAGTAAATTAGAACACTCTTATCAGTTAGGGTGTTCTCCTCTGGCAAGAAATCTGAATGAACATATGTAGTTTTTTTTCTGGCCAGTATTAGGTTGTGCTTGAGGTTTGAAACCCATTACGGACCTCATGTTATAGGATAAAGTTCTTACTTACTTCCCCATAGATAAGCGGTTGCAAATGGTTGTATCAACAAAGGTAATTCTATCTAGTCCAGGAATCAGATGTGAACTGTTTCAAGCGAGAGAAAGAGGGGAGGGGAGAGAATATGAGTACCCATAGTCCCTGACTTAAATGGTTCAACTTAGTGAATTTTCAACTTTTTGATGGTGCAAAAGAGAGACAAATTCAGTAGGAACTATGTTACAAATACCCATAAACCATTTACAACCATTCTGCTTTTCACTTTCATTACAGTACTCAATAAATTACATGAGCCATTCAATACTGTATTATCAAATAGGCTTTGTGTGAGATGATTTTGACCAACTGGAGGCTAATGTAAGCGTTCTCAGCATGTTCAAGGAAGGCGAGGCTGAGCTATGATGTTGAGTAGATCAGGTGTACTCAATGTATTTCTGACACATAATCTTTTAAACTTACAATACGTTTACGAGAATGTCGCCCCTCTTCATTGAGGAAAATCTGTATTGCTTGCTTTAAAGAATAATAAAGCAAGTGACGATTACAGGATATGGAAACCTTGATTGACTTTTCTATGTAGTTTGCTCATTGTAGAATATTACTGATAAATATTAATAAATCTATATTCTTATGGTAATCCCATACACAATTTGATTTTTTACTTTTTCTGTTTTATAGCTGGTTGATTTCTTAACATCCTATCTGTTTAATCCTAAAGAATAAAAGGAAAATAAAATGGCTAAATACCAGATAGGTTATTTGATGAGGATATATGGAAAATATTACAGACACATAATTTATTTTTAGAAAGAAATCCTCATACTGTCAAACTCAGTTCAGAATAAGCTGTCATCTTTGCTACTTTTCCTGTCACAGGAAGACCAGGTGAGAGTCAGCCGAGACCAGGGGCAGCCTCCTGAGAAGTATTACCTCAAGCAGCTTAATAAAGACAAATTATTTAAAAGTAAAGTTAATGATGACTCTGTAACAAAGAGTTGAACTCTGATGAAATGTGGGACAGATCGCGCTTTGAAATGATCACTAAATTCCCTAATACCAAGAAGATACTCTGGGAAGAGAGAGGGAGAGCTAGTTTTTGGAGTGACATCTGGGGAAAGGGGTCATCAGTCCCTGGAGAGGATGGACTGGGAGCAGTCACACAACTGCAGTGCAGAGTGGCTGTGCTAACTTGACTGTGTAGTTATGCTTAAGGGAATAGATCACAAGATATGTAGACCCATAGGATGAGTTCATTGTCTGCTAATAGTTCTGCTGCCTTCCCAAAGTCCCAAATTTTAGAAGTCTTTTGTATATCAAATGTAATTATTTGGAACAGGTACACCTCCCCTAAGGAAACCAACTGATATTGGTGCACAGGACTGCTGCATTCCCTGGAGAATATCAACTTGGCCAAGCTCTTTCCTCTCACAGCCTTTGCTACACTGTGTACTTGAACCACGCAAGAGAATACACTTACCACAGTCACAACCTGAATGTTTCACGGGGAAGATAAATCTGAGTGCTGAGTATTTTTGTAAACATGCCAAGAGTTCTGACATTGTCTGAATCAAAAGAAACTTTGGTGAATGAGAAAATTAGTAGCTGTTCATAGAACTGTACCTTATGTGGAAGGTGCATCACACAGAAGATAACAGGAAGAATATACAAACTAATTTAATGTATTTTATTTCTCTAATTTTTCTTTTAAAAACAACAAAAATTCCATTTATTTCTTGTTTCATTTGGTTTTGTTCTTTTCCCTGAAACAGACGTATACTCGATTCCAAACTCCCGTCTGACTTCACTGGCAGGAAACTTCATCCTAGTTATTCCTGGGAATCCCCTCTCAAGGATTTGCTAAGATCCCAGGTTTCCATGCATGGCCAAAGATCTAAAGACCAGTCTTGAAAAGGGTTATGAATCCACCGTCCTTATCACCGATCCACAGACTCTCTCACTGGGCCTGGGCCTGGCCCTTAAGTTCTGGCAGCTCTGCCACCTCCACGCAGTGGCTGGGGCACAAGAAGCCTGGGGAACCCGGGAGGCATGTGTCCAGGAACCCAGCTGCTTGCAGCAGCACCCACTTATCTCACACGGGAATGGCTACCCACTGGCTGTACCCAGGGGACTCCCTTTGATGTCTCTCCAGTCTGAAGGAAACACCCCACCCTCTCCTCAAAAGCATTTCTCCCTAACGTCCTCACTTTAATAAATTTTAGCCTCACAAAAGCTAGAAATATTACTGTTGCATCATGAGGTCCAAAATAAAATGAAATAAAATAGCTAGAGAGAGTTGTTGTGTTTAACCAGTGTTTGTTCTGAAGCCTATAAGAATCTGAGGTAAGATGAAAACCTAAGCCACAAAAGGAATCTAGTTGCCTTGAGGGTTTCGAGAAGGGCAGGCAGAAGATGTGCCACACAGAGAAAATGCCAATTAACTTATTGACAAATTATCCCCTCCGTTGTATCCTGCTCTGCTCCTGGCTATGTGACTCACTGATATTATCTGCACCTCCATTTTCTTATTTGGTATAAGTGGAAATTAAAATTCCTCTTCCCTCCTTCTTTGGAATGTAATGTCTTTTCCTTGTCTGTCTGTCTGTTGGTTTTATTTACTCCAACTAGATATCTTATTTAAAAAGTTATTACTCAAATCTATAGTTTTACACAGCATTGATAAGTCAAATATTGTATGTAGAGGTGGGGATGGATTGCTGTATACTGCTTTCATAGTTTTGATTATTTACTTCATTCTTGAGTACTTACTATGAGCTGGACACTGTGCTGTCTACATATAAATCATGATCAGACAGTCTTTTGGGGTCATCTTCTATGTTTTCCATTTCAATCTATCCCCAACACATTCATGGAGAATTAGGAATGATCACTGCAAATCTGTTTCTAGAGAGATGATTTAATATCGCGTTATTAACAACACAATGAAAAATGAAGTTAAGGCAAGAATTTTTAAAACATGAAAACACGGTTAAAGTTACATCACTCTTTAAGCAGAAGACTGCTTATTTATTAAAGGAAATGTGTCTTCAAGCAGTAGAAAAAGCATGTTTTAAAACACAACTCAATATAAAAGAAATAAATGTATTAAGAAATATTAAGGTGGAGTTGATAATACGATGCTTGATATTTATAACAAAAATGCATAAAGTGGACATTCTCAAAACTTAAAAATCTGCTCATAATTCTAAGAAGTGAAATGCAGGGTGAGGGAAGAGAAGCAAAAACACCTAATCAAAGAGAGTTAGTGGCAGAAGACTCCTGAAAGCAATTAAGAGAGGAAATTGGGAGATCAAAGATCGAAGAGGGAAAAAGTGCAATGATAGTATGGATGCAAAGGTGGTCTTCCATATGGAGAGAGGGCAAGATGCCGACATGGGGTAGGAAGGAACAGAAAGATGAGATGTCAAACACAGCCCTGGGAGGTCCCGTTACGTGGCCCAGCTGCAATAGCAAACACATCAAGAATGAGAGCGCACCAATGAACCAGCAAACATTTTCACTCAGGTAAGTGGAGGCATGGAATTAAAAAGACGAAGGTTCCTACAGATGGGAAGTACAAGAAAAACTAGAGCAGAAGAAAGAAAGAGTCTCATACATTAAAACTTGACAAATTCTTTGCTAGTTCAAATAGGTTTGTTTTTGCCTAGGATGTTAGTTTGTAAATGTCCTGGTCATAAAATAAAGCTATAACGTATACAGTGATTAAAATGAGATAGGGTTAAGTGAAATAATACATATTCTGTGCTCATTTTGTTTAAATCATTTTATAATTATGTGAAATTCCTCCAAAATCTTCTAAAAATTTTGCTTAGAAAGGATGACACATGAAAAAATGCTTGACATTTTCAAGAAAAAAAGGAACATACAGTAATCAGAATATTATTGTTATATACATTTACTGTGGAATTTATTTCAAATTAGTCTAAAACTTCTAAGAAAATGTTCTTTTTCTTATAATTCTACAGTATTTTAAGATAACATATCACCTTTTAAATAACTAAGTAATCTGGCCGGGTGCGGTGGCTCATCCCAGCACTTCGGGAGGCTGAGGTGGGCGGATCACTTGAGGTCAAGAGTTTGAGACCAGCCTGGCCAACATGGTGAAACCCTGTCTCTACTAAAAATACAAAAATTAGCCAGGCATGGTGGCAGGTGCCTGTAATCCCAGCTACTCAGGAGGCTGAGGTAGAAGAATCACTTGAACGCGGGAGGAGGAGGTTGCAGTGAGCCGAGATCACGCCACTGCACTCCAGCCTGGGAGACAGAGTGAGACCCCATCTCAAAAATATAAATAAGTAATCACATTTAAAAATGTAGATACTCTTTAAAATATTTTTATTATTTTAAAATATTTGATTACTACCTATCCAAGAATAAAACCAAGCCACATAAAAATATATATTGTTTCTATTTCCTCATAAAGTGGTAGACTTTTGAACTTTATTCTGCTTTTCAGATAAAGATTTACTAGATTTAAAATATGTTAAAGACAAGAATTTGTCAGGAGTTACATCACTGATTATCAAGAAACTCTCACAATTCATAAACTAGCAATGAAATTGACATATGTTCCCCCCCAGAGACATAATCCATGGAAATATTGAGCATTCTTGATTGAAAACAGTAGAGTTAGAATAGGCACATAAGCCAGTATTCTTCACAAATGCAATGTCAGCAATCCTTCCATTCTTTTAGAGAACCTTATGAAAATTAAACAGAAAAAAGAAAAAGAAAATTATAGATAGTCTGGTATGTATATTTTCCAGGATTAGAGAGAGCAGTCAATAGAGAAATAGTTCTCAATTTCATTTTACTACTTGTCGCTGTTCATTCAAAAAAGAATTTTCCTAAATCTAATACCTATTTTGAGTAGCTTTACAGTACTCTTTTTCTTTTTTTTTTTTTTTTTTTTAAGAGTCTTGCTCTGTCACCCAGGCTGGAGTGCAGTGGTGCCATCTCAGCTCACTGCAAGCTCCGCCTCCTGGGTTCACACCATTCTCTTGCCTCAGCCTCCCGAGTACCTGGGACTACAAGCGCCCACCACCATGCCCAGCTAATTTTTTTTGTATTTTTAGTAGAGATGGGGTTTCACCTTGTTAGCCAGGAGGGTCTCAACCTCCTGACCTCGTGATCCGCCCGCCTCGGCCTCCCTATAGCACTCTTTTAAATAACATTTTTTTTTCTCAAAGCAAGAATAAAGAACAGCCTTGTAGACTCAGGAATATTGCAAGAGAGTATCGAATGGCAAATCAATAGGGTAGTGACTGCTCAACAGGCAGAATGTGAAGTGAAAGGGATTCTGAACACAGCATCAGTATATTGAATATTTTGTAAGATTATTCATACTCATATGCTAAGAAAGGGATGATAAATGTGGGGTCAAATTTTCATTCTTAAGCAGTTATGCTACTGATCTGAAGCTTTTACATAGAGGATGTTTAGAATGACAATTATTTTAAACTGCATCAGAGTTAACAGTTAAGTGTCCCTGAAAATTCTAAACATACTCAAATGATTTAAGGAATTATTAGCTTCTTCCATAAAATGAGCCTAAGTATTAAATATGTGTCTTGAAGTAATGTATGGGATCAAATACTGATTTAATCTAATAAAGTCAAATTACACAAAAAATAACCTTCACTATTCTTCCTTCACTTATGTGTTTAAACACACAGGAGAAACTTGCAGGGCTGCTGATACCCATCCTAAGGCACATTCTACAGATAACAGAAGACTTTGTTCACTGGATCTTTTCATTCAGAGCCTTTCATGAGCTGTGAATTCCCTCTAAAAGCACCTATCAGCATGAATAAACTGATAAAAGCAAATGTGTGGAATGCCTTTCACTTAACTAACAGGCATGACTCCAAATTCTGGAACTCACACTGCTTTCATCTGAAACTCTACCCCATGATGATAGCAAACACGATTGGATGGAAGGTCCTTCACTAAAGTTACAAGATCTTTGGACTATTGTGAAGTGATAGCTAATGGAAAGCTTTGTCAGGCATAATCCATTCCTGGACAGTGTTTCCAATGATCTCCTGTGACTGTGGTATTCCCATTTCATACACAAAGTCAGATTAATAAATTCCTTCAGCCTTCTCAGAACATCCATGTATTCATCTGTTCATTCAACAGCTGGCACCCTGGGGAATACCAGGGTGACAAAGTTATACCCTGTGCCTCCAGTAAAGACATCATGCCTATAGCCAAGTTGATTTAAAAAAAAAAAAAAAGTAGGAAAAACTGATAGAACTGTGGAGAGATATTGACAAATTCACAACAGTTGGATATCACAATTATTGACATATAGAGGACAAAAATATTAGTCAATAGAGAAAAAAATTCTAAAACCTTGATTTAATGAACATACCTAGCACCTTGATCACAGAGAGTATGTATTTTTCTCAAGCACATATAGAAATTTTTTAAATTGTCACATACTTATAAAAAGTCTCAAAAAAGTCAAAGAATTTATATCATAAGGTAAAAATAAGATAAATAACTAATAAAAAAGTAAACTTAAAATTCTCATATGTTTGGGAAATCTAAGATACCTCTAAATAATTGAATAAAAACCACAATGGAATTTTTTTTAATACTGAAAACTCAACAATAAGGAAACTACATATTAATACTTGTGGAGTTCAGCAAAGCAGTATTTCAAAGAATATTAGATTCTTGCATTTGTACAACTGAAAAGAGATGATAGGATAGATATCTTAATTAACAAGCTAGAAATAGTACAACAGAACCAATTTAAATAAATTAGAAAAAAGAGGCAATACATAAATTATTAAAATTGAAATGAATATACGAGACAGATAACTCACAAAATCAAAAATTGGCTTCTCAAGGAAATAAGTAAACTGCTGGTGAGAATGACAACCATCAACATGAAGGATGGATAAACACCCCAGGCCATGAATGAAAAGGGAGAGGAAACCACTGATGAAGAGGAGCCTAAGTGAGTAATAAGAGAATACTATGAATAAATCTATGCCAAGAGATTAGAAAAGAGAGTCAACGGACAAGTTTCTAGAGAAATATGATCTTAAAAAAGAGAAAGCCTGAGTTCTAACTTATTTTTTAAAACGTACATAAGTAGTTTAAAATCTTCCCACAAGAAAAACATCTGGCCCAAGTAGATTTATGGGACTTTTCCACTTTCATATAAACTCCTAAAAAATAGAGAAAGAGGAATGACTCCCAAGCTCACACCATGAGGCTTGTATAACTTTTTTTTTCTTTCTTTCTTTTTTGAGATGGAGTCCTGCTCTGTCATCCAGGCTGGCGTGCAGTGGCACGATCTCGGCTCGCTGCAACCTCTACCTCCTAGGTGGGAGCGATTCTCCTGCCTCAGCCTCCCAAGTAGCTGGGATTATAGGCACCCACCAACATGCTCAGCTAATTTTTGTATTTTTAGTAGAGACAGGGTTTTACCATGTTGGTCAGGCTAGTCTTGAACTCCTGACCTCAAACAATCCACCCTCCTCGGCCTCCCAAAGTGCTGGGATTACAAGGTGTGAGCCAGCACACCTGGCTGAGGCTTGTATAACTTTGATCCCCAGGCAGACAGCCTAGGATATAAAAGAAGTTCAGAACAACCTCACTCAGGAATAAGAAGCAAAATTCCTAAATAATGTATTAGCAGATCCTATTCAACCAAGCCATGTTAAAATAAATAAATAAATAATAAATGACAAAGTTGGGTTAATCCCAGGAAAGCAAAAGAGGCGGAAAGTTTAAATAGCAAAAACTTATACTTCACCACATTAAAAAATCCAGGAGAAAAACCACAGACTCATCTCAATAGTTCCAGAAAATATACTTGATAAAATAACATTCATTCCTAACAAAAATCTTAAAAGAGAAGATCCTTAGCAAGATGAATACACTTATAAGAAAAGAGAGAGAGCAAATGTGATTTCTCATGACAAACGTTTTGAAGCATTCCATTTAAACTTGCCCTATAGTAAAATTAAGACTTCTGATATCAAGATACTAGAAATAATACGAAAGACAGGAAATAAACTGAGAGATGGTATTAGCTACACATGTAACAACAACAACAAAAGTTTCCAGAATACATAGTAGAATCTCTCTCAATCCATTTGGGCTACTATAACAAAATCTATTAAATTGGGTAATTTATAAACAACAGAAACGTATTGCTCATACTTCTGGAGGCCAGAAAGTCCAAGATCAAAGCACCAGAAGATTCAGTGTCTGGTGAAGGCCCCATCTCTGCTTCAGAAATGGTGCCTTTTTGATGCATTTTTACATGATGCAGGGAACAAGCAAAATCCCTTGGTTCTGTTTTGTAAGGGCGCTAATCCTATTCATGAGGGCTCCATCCTCCTGACCTTATCACCCCCTAAATGACACACCGGTTAATATTAATGCAGTGGTAATTAGGTTTCAACACATGAATTTTGGAGAACGCACATATTCAGATCCCAGCAGAATCATACATATCATTAAGAAGAAAACAATCTTACAGAAATATTGGCAATGCACAAAAATGGCCATTCATACAAATGGCCCAAAACCATGTGAAAATATTCTCCACCTCATTAGTAATCATCCAAATGTAAATTAAGACCAAGATAAAAATATTTTATATCCCTTAGATTGCAAAAATTATGAACTCTGACAATATTAAATTTTGGAGTGTTTGGACCCATTGAAACACTAGCACAGTTTTGTTAGATGTAAAATTTAGTACACCACCTTTGGAAAACCATGTTGACATTGACTTTTAATATCTGCTTATCCTGGCCAACATGGCGAAACCCTGTCTCTACTAAAAATACAAAAATTAGCCAGGTGCGGTGGCGTGTGTCTGTGGTCCCAGCTACTCAGGAGGAGAATCGCTTGAACCTGGGAGGCGGCAGTTGCAGTGAGCCAAGATCATGCCATTGCACTCCAGCCTGGGTGACAGAGCGAGACTCCAACTCAAGACAAAAAAAAAAAAAAAAATTTTGCTTATCCAACAACTCAGCCTTGGTGGGGTAGAAACAACCCACCAAGTTGTCCTACATGTGTACCTATAACCTGAAGAAATGCTTTCCACATATGAGGAGATAGGTACACAATCTTTACAATTATTTCTGATAACAAAGAAAAAAAGTGGAAATCAACTGCATGTTTATTAACAACAAAATGGATAACCTGTAGTATATTCAAGAAATATAAGCTATTACATTATTTTTAAAAAGTTTTTTAAAAAAGACTTTTTTATGAACTATAATTCTTCTCCTCCTGGAAGTGTTAGCCCTGACCTGCAGATGCAGAGCAATGAGAGGCTCAGCAGGAAACCCACGGGCTTTGCTCATCAAAGTGTAGGCCCAGAACCAGCACTGGATCACCTGGGAGCTTGTTAAAAATGCAAAACCTGTAGCCCCATCCCAGACCTACTGGGTCAGAATCTACTTTTTAACAAGATTTATACACACATTAAAACTGGACAAGTATTGTCCTAGAGTCACTGTACTCATTATTCAGTACAGCATCAGCTAGTTAGATCTTCTATTGCATTCAAATATTGTTTTCAGAGATTCTACCATTATTCGCTCAAACGTGCATGAATGCATTAAACACTCCCTGAGTTCCTTGTACAGGCAAGCACCTTCTTAAGTGATAGGGATACAAATAAAATACTCTCGGGCCCTAGTCTGAAAAAGCTCACAGATGCATATATATATACACACACACACACACACACACACACACAAACATACACACACACACATATACACACACACAAATATACTTGTGTGTGTGTATATATGGAAAATTGTGAGTATATACTTATATGTATGCACAAACATATACATACAACTTGCACAAGGTATGTAACACACATGACCAAAGCGAATCTTTTCATTCATACTTTTCCCAATGTTATGGTAATGTTACACATTGTTTACATAATTATGTGCACATACCCGTTTTATTCTCACCTTCTGTCTTAACGTATCCCTATCATGGGTAGTGATCATGGCTCCTTCTAGTGATACAACAGTTTCACTTCGTTTTTACCAATTTTCTGGGCCACATCACACATTACCTTCACGAAATTTAAGAACCCAGACAATAAGCTGAGCTCTGGTTACCTTTTGTCCTTAAGCTTGGAACAGAGAGCACAATTTTCAGCTAAATCTCCTGGGCTGCCCCAGACCCAATTGACCTTTGAGTTGATTTTAGAATGACCAGCTCAGGCACTAATTCAGATAAAGTTTGAGAGGGGTCAGTAATAGCCCTAGCATAAATTCTACTGTGGTATACAATACTTTTTTTACCATCCCAAAATAAAATTCCTTATATATCTTACGTATATACTACGCTTAAAAATGTGGCTGGGCTCAGTGGCTCATGCCTGCAATCCCAGCACTTCAGGAGGCTGAGGCGGGTGGATTACCTGAGATCAACAGTTTGAGACCAGCCTGGCCAACGTGATGAAACCCCATCTCTACTAAAATATACAAAAATTAGCCGGGTGTGGTGGCGGGTGCCTGTAAGCCCAGCTACTTAGGAGGCTGAAGCAGGAGAATTGCTTGGATCCGGGAGGCGGTGGTTGCAGTGAGCTGAGATCGCACCATTGCACTCCAGCCTGGGCGACAAGAGTGAAACTCTGTCTCAAAAAAAGAAATAAAAGTATATACTGTTTACATATGAAAGAGAAACTAAGTGATAAATTATAACAAAATAATGTGTATTTCAATTTTAAATGCTCAGACATAACTACAGTAGAAGACCTAAAATATAAAAAAAAGACTAAAAAAAAATTCAGGTGTTTTTGCTCTACGTGGAAACATGGCACAACATTTGCCAATTGCAAATGCTGTCTGAGACAGGTGTGTTATATTAGACTCAAATCCAGTGAGTCCTGTTGCTATCCTGGACTTGGATGGTAAACAGTTCTTGGTATGATTTTGAACCAAAAAATGCAAATATACCTCAACTTTTACAGTAGCTGTATTCCTATAAGATCCATTACCTATATTAAACTCATGCCA
The DNA here is from genome assembly GCF_000001405.40 of Homo sapiens. Lineage (NCBI taxonomy): Eukaryota > Metazoa > Chordata > Mammalia > Primates > Hominidae > Homo > Homo sapiens. Next base: position 106,083,571 of record NC_000013.11, read on the forward strand.
AAGAAATACTATACATAAAGCAGAGTTATTTAATGCTTTTTTTTTTTAACCTGGAAGATTATTTGTTGAGACTTTAGAATTTTGTGCAGAACTCAGGATAACATTCTGCTTTTCAGTACAAACCTGGCATTTGGAGGATGTCTAATATCCTTGGCCCCTGTCCAGTGATCATTCTGACCCCCAGTCCATTGTGACAACAAAAGTTGCCCCCAGGAATTTCCCTGGAATAGAAATCCTCTAGGAGGCAGCACTGCCCCATTGAGACTGCTGCTCTAAACAGGCTTTGTGGTGGGGAAGTCCCCAACTTTGACACCCACATAGCCTTAGGAAAATAGCCAATTGTCTCTGTCTAGAATTTTGTTAAGTGAACGTTTACCTGCATGACTTTCGTGTTTCCTTTTTTCCAAACACAATGGTGTGGTCCTATCAGCTACCAAGAGCCCTTTATTAAATATTTAGAAATTCTGCAAGCCAATTGATATTATATTGGCAGTTTAAATAGACCATGATGGGAATATGAATACAACAGAAATTGGCAAGTGCTACAAATCAGGGCTTGATTTGCAGGGGGAGGAGCCAGCTGGTAAATATTTAATAGCACAGCTTGGCTTTCACTAGGTCCATCAACGTGAAGGACCTTTGGCCACTTCCTCTTAGTCTCAGTTTTCCATTTTCAAGTTGCCCCTTTTGTAGCAGAGTGATTTACTCCTGCACATGTCACCTTATTTTTTCAATGTCAGAAGGCACCACACACCTATGAGAACTTCATGATTGGAAAACTTACTCTTAATTGCAAGATATTAAATTGCCTGTTGCTCACTTTCTTTATAAGGCACTAACATTCTAACACAAACACACACACACACACACACACACACACACATTGGGCTCCATCATTTGCCCAAAAAAAAAAGCTTTTCTTTTTGTTTGATCTGTGAGTGGTGACGAGTAGGAATTTTAGTGAAGGTAGAACTTAAAAAAAAAAAAAAAGAGTGGAAATAAAATGGCGAGCCTGGAAGGCCTTGTCCACGTTCAGCCCTGTGGCCAGGGTTGAATCACCCCTTGGTTACGAGGGCCACATGCTGTCAACCAGACAAAGCATAAATGACCCAGATTGTGAGTTTGGTTCAGGGAGCTGAAGGAAACTCTTCTCGGGCCTTTATCCAAACCAGCACCCTGAGAATGGGAAGCCTGCATGCCTCTGTCCCCTTACCTGGAACATTGGAATATCCGTGTTTGGGTGGAGTAGACGTTACAGAAGCAGGGGAGAGAGCAAGCAGGAGAGGCAGTGGGCAAATGGCCATCTCAGGAGGACCCCGTCTGTGGGCTGTTGGTGGGTGTCTGCTAGGAAGTACTTTGGGGGCTTCCAGAAACAGTCCAAACTTACTTTAAGAAAAAACGAAGCTTGAGGGAGTCTGTGAATTCATCAGACGTTGGGGTTACCCTTCATCTTCAAACATCCCTTATTGGAACTATTTTGATATCTAGCTCTGACTTGATAAGTTACTGTGAAACTGGGGGTTCCCAAACTTTAATGTATGTAACTGTCTGTTGAGGAATTTAATTAAAATGCAGAGTCCCAAGCCCTCCTCCCGAGTTCATCATGCTCAGGGCTGGATGGATCTGAGAAGCTTCATTTTTAACAACCACTCCTCTAACGCAGACAGCTTTAAATGTAACTGGGTAATTCCTTGCTTTTATTTCTGAGCAAAAACAGTTGCTTCTATTGATAAAAAAAAAAAAAAAAAAAAAAAAATTTACCTTCACATGATCTAATCAGGTTCATACATTAATTCTGAAAAAAAAATTATAGAATTTATATACTTTACAATTACTCTTCTCAAATAGTTCTTAAGAATCTTCTTAAAGAATATTCTTCAAGATTGAGTAAATCAGATTTTAAGGACAGAATTTTGCAGAACTATTCAGCTATAAAAAAGGATGAGATCTAGTCATTTGCAACAACATGGATGGAACTGGAGATCATTATGTTAAGTGAAATAAGCCAGGCCCAGAAAGACAAACATTGATGTTCTCACTTATTTGTGGGATCTAAAATCAAAACAATTGAACTCACGGACATAGAGAGTAGAAGGACGGTTACCAGAGGGTGGGAAGGGTAGTGGGACTGTGTGTGTGGGGGGTGGGGAGGGGGGGCGGGGGGGGAGGAGATAAGGATGGTTAATAGGTACAAAAAATTAGAAAGAATGAATAAAATCTACTATTTGATAGCACAACGGGGTGACTACAGTCAATAATAATTTAATTGTACATTTAAAATTACTAAAAGAATATAACTGGATTGTTTGAGACAGAAAGGATAAATGCTTGATGGAATGGAGACCCCATTCTTCATGATGTGATTATTACACACTGCATGCCTGTATCAAAACATCTCATGTACCCCATAAATACATACACCTACTATGTCCCCACAAAAATTAAAAATACATGTTTTTAAAAAAATATTGCAAAGAGAAATGTCACACCATAGCAGGAAGAATGAGCACATATCTAATCAACAATATAATACAAATGATTTCCATTTGTAATCAGTAAACCAACAAATTCATTACAGCCAGATTAGCTAATAATGAATATAATGAGCTAAATCCTTCACCATTTTGAAGGGCATATTAATTCAGGTAGAATGAAATCTGAGAAAGATGATGTAAACCTATGCTCCCACTCTGTATTCCTTTCTCTTCACCAAAAACCCACAGATCTGATCATCAAATTCTGTCTACATGACAGCAACATAATCCAATGAAAAAAGTCAAGCAATGTTTTAGTTTGTTTAAACCTAGAACAAAACAATAGTTTATTTATCTAGTCATTCATTCACTCACTTACTGAATAGATCAGTTCTGGCATTGTTTCCAAACAATAAGAGCAGATTTGGAGTAACAAAGCATCGTGTTCATTACTGAACTTGCAATACAAAACATAATGCACTAATATTATATAAAAGTTTATTGGTCTCACACCAAAAGAAAGCGTCACAAAAATTCCCAATATCACATTTCTGAGGTCTTGAGTCTCAATTCTGCTTTTTAGTTTTCCAAACCTAGTTTTTCCCAAGGTTTCCAAATTGTGTTCTTCCAAAAAGAGCATACTGTGATTCTTTTTAAATTTTTTTCAACTTCATTTATTTGAAGCAGGTGAATTTTTCATTTATTTAAAGTGTATGGATGAGCCACATCCTTGATCAAACGGGCAATTAGATGAAAGGAATAGTGTGTGATACATGGTAGAGCAGCTTCAAAGAGAGTGGAGAAGGTCCCAACTGAAATGTCAGTAGGTTACCAGGTCATCATAATGATTACAAAGGATATGAATTAAGTGACATTTTATGTCAATCATGGCTATAATTTCAATATTCATATTATACTACCTTGCGTCCTATAGCCAAAACTGCATTTCCCAGTTCCACTAGAATCATACTTTGTGACTGCCTAAAAATAAAAAATAAAAATACACAAGGGATGCCTGACATTCTAAATGCTTATACTGAAAATAATAATCTGTTCATTTTCTTATGATTATTACTAACTTCCTGAACATTTAAATCATTCAGATAAACTCATTCATTTAAATAAACTAAAAATTTTCTGAGGTTATAACTGGAAGTTAAAAGTACAAATCATATGTGATATGTTAACATGATACGGACAATCACTTACTGGTGCAGAAAGGTATGACTTTGGGGTATGTAGGTCTGTGGAAGAAAGAGAAATAAAACTGTGTTGTCTAACCAACATGGTGTTCAACCGATTGTCCCTGTAATGGCCAACCACACGGTGCTGTGGATGCCCTCATACCTTGGCTCTGGAAACAGCTAGCGTTGGGCTATTCAGTATCACCGACTTAACAACTGTGATATTACTTTAATGCCATAATTCCCGTGCTATAAAGGTTTATATTGCGTTACTGTACAAAGAGTAACATGATATCATTCTAGGCAGTTTTTTTGCTAAACAAAAACTAAAGCGAAATTAAGCAGTCGTAGATGACGCCTTTAATTCATGTGTCTGGAACAAATGAAATCAGTTTACAAAAGGATGATGCCTACAGGTACAAACTGCAGGCCAACATGAAAGACGTGTCTTTACAAAAATCCTTTGTAATTAGCATAAATGGTACATCATAAAAAGACTTTTTAAAATTTGATAATTTCATACAGTACCGTCCCTCATTATCATATCCTATGGCCTGGAAGAAATTGTACACACAGCGAAGAAGTGAAAGAAAATTAACAAATTAAGAGGGAGGTAGCCTGCCATGCTTCATATGAACAGTAAAACAGCAAAGCGTTTTCCTAGCGTAGTGCAAAAGGCCCATTTGGTATTTTCTGCACGTCGGGGAGGGAACAGCATTTTCTCCGAAGCATATTATGATAACAATTTGCACAAAATTAACTTGACCATAATGCAGGAGATCTTTCTTTCTAGACATAAACTATTTATTATTTTGCTAAAAATTTTATAGGTGGCTATCTTTTGTTTTATTTTAAGAATAAAAATTTAAACATTATACAAAAAACTCGACAAGTATAGCACACTGGGGAGATACAAAGATGGAGTAGCTGCACCCCTTCCCCAGGTGCTCACTGTCTGGGGAAGAGAGAGACAATGACTCAGGCAGACAGTGGAAGGGGCTTGCGTAGAAGCAGAGATAGTATTTCTGGAAATAATTAATTCTGCCTTACAGCAGCAGGGACCACTGCATTTGAATGAGTCACAGAAAGGAAAGAACAATTTTGCCAGGTGATGATGCATGAAGGCTTTGGAATCGAAGAAAACAAGAGGAGAAAAGGCATAGAGGCCCCGCAACACGGGGCAATCGGCTGAGTTAGGATGGAAGAATCTAAGTGATGAGGAGAGGGACCTGAGAAACCACTGGTGGATGCAGGCAATAAAGATCCGTAAAGCTGCATTTAGAAGTTTGCATTTATACCATAGTCTATAGGAAGCCGTTCTTGAAGGGACAGCAATGAATTTTACACAGGAAATGAAGAGAATATGATCTGCTTCCTGAGATAAAGCAGGGGTTGGTCTGAGAGTTAGGATGAGGCTCAAGATGGGTAAAGGATGGGATGGGATGGTCAGAGGTGTCATAAGTACCAAGGACAGGTAGAGCTCAGGTTGACATCAGGGTGTCTGCTAAAAGCAATCGGAAGGAAGGAAGGGAGGGAGGGAGGGAGGATGGGTTGGTTTTGATTTGTAACCTTATCAAATAACCTTAACCTTCTCCATATCAAAGTAACTGCATCCAACGAATCTTTTCATCATATTATCAGTGTCAAGATGACTGCATTAAATTAAAATGTAATATGTAAAAATACATATAAAAAAACTTTGCTTATTAAGTAGAGAATAGATTGAATAAGACACTACCTACCAAAACATTTAACCTTGTTACCTGTGAATATTAACTCATCCTGTAGCTCCTGTTCTCATAATTTTCTCAGATAATTCTTTCTCAACCCCATTCCCAGTTTCCTTTGTCATATATTTTCATGAAACTGCATTTCTCTCCTTGAAAGCAACGTTTGCAGTTTGTAACTGTACATTCAACAGTGATATTATTTGCCATTAGCCTCCAAACCTTGTGAGTCTAGGGATGTATCTGTTTAGTTTTTCAATTTATCTCTAGCACATAGCATAGAGCAGGTGTTCAATCAACCTTTTGAGTAGTGAGTCAATTAGTGAAAAAAACAAATATCATAGAAGACACGCCTCCTTTGAACATGATTTTGGCCTCACCATTAGGAAAAGCTCTCCCATTGCCGAATTTCCCTCCGCCTTTATGGACGAAGGAGCATCGGCTCCTCTTGCCCTGACTGAAGCTTGGCTGTGTTACAAGAGACACTGGGGAGCTGTCACTGGTTGCTGTCTTTGCTATCCAGGAGGAATCATGCCAGCTTCAGGATGCCAGCTCTGATTAAATTCTTTTGATTCTGGGCTTCCCTCGGATAGAGAAAGGAGGGAAGGGGTTTGCTGGTTCATCCTACCACTGTGGAACATGAAAATAAATACAGTTTTCATTTATTAGAGACCACATCTACCAAACAGCACTTCAGAAACTCTGTGATATGGTCTCATTACAACCTAACAACGTGGTTTAAAGAGAATCCGTCACTCTTTCCCACTTCATTTGGCTCCTACCATGACCACACAGCATTTCAAAACTCCAGGGTTCTGGTTTCCAAAATCCACTTGGAACTCATCACAGCCTCCCCCTCCTGGAAGTTCCAACCTTCAGCTTCAGAATTAAGGCATGAAGCACATGGAAATACAATGTTCCAATCCATCTAATTAATGCATTAAGTCCCTCATTTACATAGTACAAATTTCCCTTTATGCTTTCAGTTGCTTGGCAATTGCTTGCCTCAAGAAAACATATTAGCAGTTAAAATGCAGCTTAACAATAAGAGAAATAACAAAGACATCAGCCATATTTCAAAAAGGAAATTTCAGAAAGAAAAGGAAAAATTCATCATGTAAAAGGATTTCAAATCTTCAAGTAGCTGAATCACTCGATTTTGAAAAATAATTTAGCCATAGCAAGTAAAGTAACATATATTACTCTGGCAGGCAGAAGCAGCATCCATTAAAGTCTGTGGAGCAGATGCTACTGTCAAATCTGCAGAGCGTCTCAGCAAATGCATCTCTGTTAGGAAGGGCACAGAGTGAGTGAAGCCCTCCCTGACTTTATAGGGCAGAAGGACAACCAGGATCCCTCTCTTGAGTGATGTTATCATCAAGAACAGTGGCACTTTCAGGAGAACCAAAATGTTCCCAAATAGGGGGAAATTTTGAACCAAATATAAAACAATGAACCAACAAAGCCCTACTAAAATGTACTGAATCACTGGGAAGAGACAGATGGAGGGACAACTTTGATCCTAAATTAATCCCAGCTTGTGTCAAAATACCTTGTGCTCCTCCAGCTTCCTGGGAGGGGTGTGGCTGGGCGGAGGGCGAGCTGGGCATGCACTTCCGGGAACGGCACCCGGTTGGACGGGCAGTCAATGTCCCTCATTTTAGAAGTGGTCTCCTTCCTCCTCGCAGTGTGTGCAGAACGGTGCTGCAGACGTCAAGGTCGAAGGGGCAGCGTGACCTTCTCCAGGTCGGATTTAAAATGAGAACAGTAAAGGCAAAGCAGCAAACTTTCCGTACCATTGCCAGTGATACAGCAACTGTCAGTCCAGCTCAGAGAAACCTAAAAAGAACATTCCAAAATGCAAGCTCAAAAAATGTTAATATGTTGAGCCGGGCGCGGTGGCTCATGTCTGTAATCCCAGCACTTTGGGAGGCCGAGGCGGGCGGATCACGAGGTCAGGAGATCGAGACCATCCTGGCTAACACGGTGAAACCCCGTCTCTACTAAAAATACAAAAAATTAGCCGGGCGTGGTAGCGGGCGCCTGTAGTCCCAGCTACTCGGGAGGCTGAGGCAGGAGAATGGCGTGAACCCGGGAGGCGGAGCTTGCAGTGAGCAGAGATCGTGCCACTGCACACCAGCCTGGGCGACAGACCCAGACTCTGTCTCAAAAAATGTTATGTTGAAAAGCTGCCTCCGCGGATGGCTCACATTCCTTCAAATGTTATCAAGGTTCAAAACTGCATTTCAACAATATTGCTTTCTTACTATGAAATTATTTATAGCATCCAACGCTCTTATATAACACATTAAAATATACCGAAGACTTTCTATATAAAATTTCTTTTAATATTTAAAAACACACTGGGAAACACGAATTTTGGTATATTCCCATTTTTTAGATGAGTTCACTGAGTTTCAGAGTACTGAAACTATTATTTTTCCAAGATATCAAAACAAGAAATGTGCAGAGTTGTAACAAATCCAGATTTTGTGATTCCAAATCCAAGCTCAAGAGGAGGAATAAATTAACACATTATATCAAATTATACTAAATCTAAAGCGCTTATACTGTACTTCCGGTACATGATCTGATGTGTAGTATATGAAAATCGGTATGACATGGCCTATTTTTCTACCATGTCACTAAATTGGAGTGGAAACTTTCTCAGAATGTTGCTTTTTAGCACGTTTATGCAACTATTAATAAAACAAAGAAGTGAGTGTGAGATGAGAGAGTGAAAAAAAGTTATGATGCCCCAATAAGAAAAATAAGCCAAAGAAAACCAACCAAACGAACAAAAACAAACTGGAAGAATGTCAGTAGCCAGTTCCTGATTAGTTACCCTGATTGAAAGCCACCAATTCAGAGTCAGATGTTCCTAGGGCATCTAATAAATCGTCTTTTCTTTTGCGTAATGATGAGCAGCTGTTCTCTAAGATGGCCTCATTGCCTGGGACCGCTGCGAAGGACAGCTCTGGACTCCTAAAATCAGGCGTTAAGTTGTCTGAAGGTTCAACGGGAGGTTGGCAGGATCTGGTTTAAGTTTCCCAGATGCTAATTTCAGAGTCATCTTCAGCCTTATTCTGACTCTTCACATCTCAGCAATCACCCCACATCCACTTCAGGGAGTCTCTTACAGTCTCCTGATCACAACAACCAAAAATGTTGTCCCCTCCTTATACTGACTCCCTAATACCAGAATAGTCTCCAACTGGGTATCCCTGCTTTCATTCACCTCTGCTCCGCGATCACACAAAGCTCTGACTTTGTCATTCTCTAATCAAGTTTCTTCAAAGGCCTGAGGAAGGACCCTCCTTAGCCCATCACAGGGCCTTTCACTGTGCTGCCTGATCTTACCTTCCCCGCAGGCTTCATGCATCCCCCTGCCAAACTGTACTGTCTCCTTTGCACACCACATGCTTTTCGTTTTCTTTTGTTTTGTGGTGGGTTTTTTTGAGACGGAGTTTCGCTCTCGTCACCCAGGCTGGAATGCAACGGCACCGTCTCGGCTCACTGCAACCTCTGCCTCTCAGGTTCAAGTGATTCGCCTGCTTCAGCCTCCTGAGTAGCTGGGATTACAGGCACCTGCCACCACACCCGCTGACTTTTGTATTTTTACTAGAGGCGGAGATTCACCATGTTAGCCAGACTGGTCTTGAACTCATGACTTCAGGTGATCTGCCCACCTCTGTCTCCCAAAGTGCTGGGATTACAGGCGTGAGCCACCACGCCCGGCCCACACCCCATGTTTTATCCTCCTTCTTCTTTCATTTCTGGTTCTTCCCTCTACCTTATTCTTTCACAGACATTGTCACATGACTGAATTCAACTTTTCTTTCAAAACCAAAAGCGAATTATGTCTTCTCCATCGAACTGCCTCTGAACCTCTTTTTGCTGCCTATATCTTAGCCTGCTGCGAAGTTACATAAAACTTTATGTAGCACTTTATGTGTACAAATGTGTGAGGCCAGGAGAGTGAGATCACCAGTAGAGGTATTCTTACCCGCCCTCCACCAGCAGACCGGGATTTGTGGCTAGCAGACCTACATGGAAATTTGGTGGCGTGCTGGTAAATGCTTAACAACCAGCTCTTCAGGGAAGAAAACAGCCTGATATGTAATGTTTGTCAATTTCTATAGTGTAAATACTGCTGTCATAGCCAATTCCAAGCAGCCAACTTGATGTCACTGAATGAGAAAATGCAAGTAAGAACACACCACTATGCAGCATTTTCATCATACAGATAAAATAACAGTAAATAACTTCAAAAGCAAACATAATCATAAAATGTAGTACAATAATTAGAAAGTAATGAATTCTGAGAAAGTTTAAAATCTTTTTTATTTTTAATTTATGGATTTTTTTGTAGAGACAGGGGTCTCTCTTTGTTCTGCAGGCTTCTCTCAAACTCCTGGGCTCAAGTTATTCACTCTCCTCGGTCTCTCAAAGTGCTGGGATTATAGTCAGTAGCAACTGCAACGAGGCTAAATTCTTTTTAAAATATAGTTTATACAAATATATATCATTTACATTATAAAAATAGCTGTGTTTATAAGCCAGCTAAAAAACTTCTTGGAAATTTAAAAATCTGTTCTTGTGAGCTAGTACTGAGCAGCTCCAGTTACAGAAACCCCTTTTCTACCCTGAGCAGCTTCTGCGTGATCTTGAAGGAGTGACTTTACTGCTGAAGCTTTAGTTTTCTCATCTGAAATATAGTTATACATTGTAAAGCTTTGGAAAGGATAAAGTATTTAAGAAAATTCCTCAGATATGGTTGGATCTAAAAAAAATGGTAATTCTCATTGTAGTAGTAGCTCCTTTATGTAGATCCCCCAGCCCTTAGCCTGTATTTTGTTTACAACAAGGATTGAATATATATATATATTTGCGGGGTATATTAAGTTGCACAAATTACAAATTTTATTTCTGGACATCTCTTCCTCTGTACCTAAGGGATGATAATAGCAGGAAAATAATTGTCACTAGGCATGAAGGGTGCCTTCTTTTTTATTTATTTTTATCTTATTTTATTTTATTTTATTTTATTTTATTTTTTGACACGCAGTCTTGCTCTGTTGCCCAGGATGGAGTGCAGTGGTGCAATCTCAGCTCACTGGAACCTCTGCCTCCTGGGTTCAAGTGATTCTCCTGCCTCAGCCTCCTGAGTAGTTGGGATTACAGGCACCCTCCACCAAGCCCGGCTGATTTTTGTGTTTTTAGTAGAGACAGGGTTTCACCATGTTGGCCAGGCTGGTCTGAAACTCCTGACCTCGTGATCCGCCAGCCCTGGCCTCCCAAAGTGCTGGGATTACAGGCGTGAGCCACTGCGCCCGGCCTGTTGCCTTTTTCAAAAAAACCATCAGTGCCCACAGTGGAGCACACAAATCTAATCTGTGCAACTACTGTGTTAAATTCAATGACATTTGTTTATGGAACCAATACAATGTTGGTTCAATGCCATGATAAGAGTTTTATTTTGAGACTGAATAAATACTTTATATTCAATTTTTTTTTTAATCTGTAGGATGCTTTGTGGCCTAGTCATCAAACACAAACATGAAGAAGTGTACTAAGTAGATGCCCTGTGTTAATGAAAACCAACTTGATATGATTTCTCTTTGCACTCAACAAAATTTGATGTGGTAACATATGTCCAATTTAAACAAGCTATTGTCTTGCCACGAAGTTGCTTATTGTTAGTTCAGTCACAATTTTCTTCTACTAGAGGCACAGAGATATACAATGAGTCTTGGCCCTTGACTTTTTGAAATAAGTCTCCACAACTTGGAAAAGTTCACAGGTTTTTCTTGTTCTTCATCTATTTGTATCCATTTTTTTCAGAGTGCTTACATATTTCCCTACGATCTTTCTTCATCAATTTTCCTATCTCTTTTCTCCTATCTCCAGTTTCTCCTCCGCTGCCTTTTTTTTTTTTTTTTTTAAGACAGATTCTCACTCTGTCACCCAGGCTGGAGTGCAGTGGCCCCGTCTCGGCTCACTGCAACCTCTGCCTCCTGTGTTCAAGCAATTCTCCTGCCTCAGCCTCCCGAGTAGTTGGGATTACAGGTGCACACCACCACACCCAGCTAATTTTTTTGTATTTTTAATAGAAACGGGGTTTCACCATGTTGGCCAGGCTGGTCTTGAACTCCTGACCTCAAATGGTTTGCCCGCCTCAGCCTCTCAATGTGCTGGGATTACAGGCATGAGCCACTGCGCCCGGCCTTGCTGACTTTTTCCTGTCAACCTAAGACAAGTTCAAAATCTCCTTTATCCTAGCCCTGAACGACACACACCTAATCTCACTGGTCTCTGTGTTACTGTTCTTCCCTTTACAACTAAAATTTTAAAAGACTTATTCACTCTCTTTACTTGCTGACTTCTTCATCATCGCTAAATTCCATGAAGTCTGTATTTTGGCTTGCAATTCTACTGGAACTTTTCCAGTAAAGTAAACCAATGCCTTCCGAATCATCTAACACACTGGCCAGCCTTCCCTTCTCACCCAGGTGAACCTCTGCAGTATTTGACACCCTCTGGCCTAGTCTCCTTCTTTTTTTAGTCATCTTTTAAAATTTTGTGCGTTCTATGACTCTACTATCACCAGTTTGCAAACAACTTCCCTGCCCATGTTGCAAGCCATATTGCAAGCCCTCATCTTCCCACACTCACGTTTCCAACTGTGGATGACACCTTTCCACAGGAATCCTAAAAGCATGCTCAAAATAGAACACAGCGCCTCCTCTCAAAAAAAAAAAAATTTACACATTAACTCTATTCCACCCTTTAATTAATGGCATCATGAACTCTCCAGGAAACTAAAGTTAAAAATTGGCAATGATCTTTAATTTACCTTTTTATTTTACACGCACATCCAATCATACATGGAATCTTGGCAAACCCCTCTAAGGAAGTCTGCCCCCTCTCTTTCTGCTCCGTGGATATACTCTCATAAAGCTCGCCATCTTGCCCCACTCGAGGACTTCAATGTAGTCTTCTGTATTATAGATTGTTCTAGTCTTTTCCTCCTCTGATGCATCTGACATACTGCTGTCAAAACCATGTTTCCAAACAAGACTCTGATCATATTATGTTAGACTCAGTTTCAGTGACTTCCGACCACATATGGAGTAAAGTACAAATGCCCAGCCCAGTACTCAAATATTTATCTGGCTTCTACCTATCCTTCCGCGATTGTTCTCCATTAGACTCCACTCCCTGGAAAGAAACACTTAGGTCCTCTGTAATCCTCCACTGCCTGTCCCAAAGACTGTGCTCTTCTCCTTCCACTTATAACAAATCTCTTTTGTCTGCAGTGCCTCTCCCTTTTTCATTCTTTCTCAGTTTGTCTATTGAAGAATAAGCTTAAACCCCAGCTTTTCCAGAAACCCTTCCAAATCTCGCGGTTGTAATCAATCTTCCCTTCTTTTCTCCCGAATGCTCCCATGACCATTTGAAGTGAATCTCTACCAATCTTTTTAAAAATGATATGTGTGTGTGAGAGGGCACACATGCTTATGTGTGTATATGTGTGAATATGTATATGTATATGTATACATCACACACATACACACACACATATATATATATACTTAGACTCCTTGAGAGCAGAGATCTGTGTCTTAACTTTGTTTTTTATCACGTACAGCACCACCAAAGGGTTTTTCTCAAGATGCCGTACTTAAGAGTTTGGTGGAGAATCTTGTTAAATGTCTGTGTCTACTGTGCCAATCCAGATTCACTTGTCCTTCTGAGACCTCAAGCGATTTGGAGCAATAAAACCTGTACTCTCTGTACTTTTCTTTGCAGGCTTAGTCACTTTTATGGTACCTATTTCCTGGTGACACATATTTACTTTGTGGTCAGATGTTTTACGATAAATTAGGTGCAAATTGGGACTCAGCTATCCAGGTTCCTGAAACATCTCAGGACACTTTCAGACAGTGCCCCTTGAAAATCTCATAAAGCTTACCCCTCACCACAGTCAAAGGCACATAAGTAAATCCACATAGGTTTACATGCAACTGCAGAAGGTTTGTAAACACTCTCTCCTCCCTGAAAATCTATTGATGGTGGCGGGGGACAGGAGTGTGGTCATTGGATCCTAGGTTAAAAGTCGTGGAACTGGGAGGATTTTTACAGTTACTAGAAATGTAAATGCAAACAAAATTTCTAACGTCACTTAACACTGGTAGAATGACTACAAAAATTTAAGAAGTTAGAGCCACTTAGAAAGTTCCTAAAATATCAGGGAGAGCATGTCTCACTCTTACATCAGAATTCTAGAAAATTCAGGAAGCAAATTTATTTTAAATACTTTTTGTTACAAGGCATATAACATGTTTGAACTAGTATGCTATTTCAGCTTTTAACACATTTTCTCAATTATCTGCTAGTATGTTAACTAAATAATTTCCAAATGCAGATTAAAAAGTATACTAGATCTGAAAAATTAGAATTAGAATCGTCCTTGAAGCATTTTACCTTTTTCAGAGCTAGCCTTTTGAATCAGAGGGATACACTTAAAAGAAGTTATAGCAACAGCAATAAAAACCGTTTGAAGATAATGTACTGTGATATAATTTAGTTATCACCAGCAAATTGTAAAGTAAAATTCTACTTAGAAATTAGATTATATTTCAGCAAAAACATAAGAATTCTGTCAGTCTCTTTTTTGGTTGTTTGTTTATAAATTTGTTCCTCAGTTTTTGTTTGTTGTAGGACCTCGAGAAAAATATGTTTTCAATTTCCTTATTCATTTATTTTTTTCATTTAATCATCCTTTCGACAATGCTTATGGTGAGCACACTCCGTTGACACAGCACAGTCGGCCCTCAGTATCTGTGGGTTCCACATCTGTGGCTTCAATCAACTTCAGATCTAAAATATTTGGGGAAAAAATGTGTCTGCACTGAACATGTACAGTTTTTTTTTTCTTGTCATTTTCCCCTAAGAAATAGAGTATAATATGCATTTACATTGTAGTTGGCATTATAAGTAACCTAGAGGCAATTTAAAGTAGATGGGTGGATGTACATAGGTTATATGCAAATACTCTGAGACCTTATATCAGGAACTTGGGCATTCTTGAATTTCGGTATCTGAGAGAAGTTGAACCAATACTTCATGAATACCGAGAGATGAATGTTCTTGCTCCTAGAAGGGCAAGATTGAGGAAGGTGAGTTGACTCTTGTTTTCACAAAGTTTATTCTCTAGAAGGTAACAGACTAATAAGCAATTATTTCAAAGTAGAGAAATGGCTCTGAGATCATAAAAGGCAGGCTTCCGGGTAGATGGAGGTATTAGGGAGGTCCTTGTACAGGAAGCGGTTTCTAGGGAGACCTGGGGGAAGAGTACTGCCGGGTGGCAGATAGGAATGAGCAGGCCCCCTGAAAGGTCAGCCATGGGAGAAGGCTTAGAGATGAGAGGAAAAGGACGTTTAGAGCAGGAAATGTAAAAAGAGGAATGGGAAGAGATGAGATGAGAAAGTGGGCAAGAATCTGATCAAAGAGCATCATGTGGTTCATGTTAACAATTAGGCATTTTCCTAGGGACAGTGGGGAGCCTCTGAAGTATTTTATGAGTCTGTTTGGCATTTTAGAAAAATTACCCTGACTCAATGTAAAAAGGGGATTGGATAAAACAGGCAAATGTGTTAGCTCACTGCTGGGTTGAACTACTCTGTTGGGGTATAGCCCTGAACTTACAGTTAGGGACATAGTTAGCTCTCCTAATTATGGTGTACTTTAGTTCTAGTGGTTCTCAAACCTGATCAGTAGAGCCAACCAGTGAGCTTTTAAAAAGGCACATTCCTGCCATCCCCCTGCCTCACCTAATTCAGAGAATCTGGAGAAATGACCACACACCGTGCTATGTCCTTGCACCATTCATAGGTGACTTACGTACTGGTGAGTATATCTTTGAGGGGACCACCAGCTCATCATTGTCCACTCTGGACCATTCCAACTTTGGAATCCAGGAGGCTGTCTCACAATGGGAGATGCCACATAGCAGCCTACAAACACATTCCTCTCACAGCCATGCCCAGCAGGAGCCCTAAGTTATCCATATTGCCTCTTACAACATCCGTAATAGGCTTATTCCAAATGTGTCTTCTGCAATAAAGTTGTTCTTGATCATTCTAATCAGACATGATTTCTCATTCCTTTGCATTCCCATAGGACTTTGCACTGTATGATAACCTTTATCATTTTGCACATTATAATCTCATTTCTTAAATCCTGAGACTTGGTTGGTTTTTGGTTTTGCCTAGGGTAATAACTTGTCAATACCTATTTAATTGACCCGCTTACAGATATAATAGGGGGAGGATGGCTTCAAAGAGAAAACATACAAACTCATTTTTTAAAAGCCTGTATCTTTGAACACAAAGATGAAAAGTAAAATAAACATTAGCTCAAGAGGAGACCAGAGGTTGTAGAATATTGTATTGTCATGCCTGGAGAAAAATAAACACTCGATTTCCAGATTTTTTCACTGGGATTCTAAAGCATCAGAATAAAGCAAATCGACTTTAGGGGAAAATAGAGGTAGAAAGATAATGGGGTTCTTGCAAGTAATCCCCTGGAGGGTACAGGCAAAAAAGAAAGGTCCTTTAAGGAAACAGAACTTCGTAACAGTTATGGGTGTAATATTTACCATATGTCCCATATGTTTTCAAATTACAAAAGTGCAACTCTTTCCCACAGCGCATTTGCAAGTGGACCTGACAACCCCAGGCCACAGAAATCAAAGACGGTAATCTACCATAAATTCTGCCACGCTAGATGGAACGAATATCTGTCAGATTTTTTAACTTAAACTTCTCTTCCTTTAAGAAGGCAGCATCTGGCTCTAAACTGCACATTTAATTTAAAAATCCTTTAATAACAGCATTAATTCTCATCGTTTTGCATTCTAGCAGTCTGTGACAAGCAAGCATGCGCTGCGTGCGTCAGGCAACCAGACTGCAAAGAGGAGAGGAGGCTGGGGAAGCCGAGGCGAGAGTTCAGGGAGGAGGCCGGGGAAGCCGAGGCGAGAGTTCAGGGGGCACTGTTTGCCTGGAGCCCTGCTCCGAGATCAAATCAGGGGCCGAGGACGTGTGATAACGAAGGAATAAAAGTTAGAATTCTTTTTGTCTAAGCAGAAGATATCTTTCAAATAGGACAATGCACTTGAAGCTTATAAAAAGCAAACTGGGCCCTTAAGAAGGAGAACTCAGCAGTGGTGACAAAGGCCAAGAATCCTGATCTTTGGACACGAAGTTAGACTTGGCTTCAATTGCAATTTCTAATGATCTTATTTTTGTGCTCTCCCTTAACCCTGGCTCAGTGCTTATCTTTTTAAATGACTTGTTCCCTTTCGTTGAAAAAGCAAAACTGGGAACCTCTCACAAAGTAAAGGCCACACACCCTCTGTCCCCACCCTAGGGCAGGGCGTGCAAGGAGGGAGGTGCCCTACTAAGAACTGAGAATTTACTAAGAGTAAATTCCTCCCTAACGCTTAGCAGCCTGACTTAGGAAAGAGGGCAGGGTGGCTGTGATCCAGAAGCTGAGGGTGTCCCCAGAGATATAAGGAAGGGGATGTGCTGCAGTGACACACCTGGCTTAGGGGGAGAAGGCAGGAAGGGCAGAAACTAGCTGGGTTGGGGGGTGGGGAGGCAGGAAGGGAAACCGAGTTTGGAAGAAAGGGCCCCTTCTAGTGAGACTGAGTAAGCACAGAAAAAAAAAAAAGCCCCTGCTTTGTGTGGCCTCCCTAGAGCCTGGGGAATTTGCAGGAGATAAAAGGCCAGACATTTCCCCCTGAAGACTGCAGGGTAGCACCTTTGTTTGTGAATGGCACACACCCTGGGGTGGGGATTCCTTTGCGGTTGCCATGACGGCCTGTCACACAAAGTTACATGTCCTGCTCTCTCCTCCCTGCCGCCCCAGCTGTCTTAAAATGGCCTGGATTTTAACTTCTGCATTCAGAATGGAGGAACTTTGCTTCTTAGGGTTTCTAACGCAAATGACCTAATTTTAAAGTCCATTTCCCTCCGCCGGCCGAGCAAATCTACATGAAGGGTACCCTGAGAATATTTTATTTTTGTATTCAGTGCCTTTTCAAATTTTCTGTTTTATGTAAAGCTGTGTTTGGGGCATTAACAATGCATAACGATAACCACTTAACAAACACTGCGAAGGGAATCTGAAGTAGGTGGCCTCTAGGGTGGGGGAAGAAAGAATAGAAAGATAATTCTCTGAGACCGAAGAAATATTTCCCTAACTATGATTTCACAGTAAAAGTTTCCTAATAAAAAAATGTTGTAAAGGAGGGTCTTTTAAAAAGTGGTCTGTGGTCTGACCCCTCTTCAAATTTACTTTTATGACTAATGTTGGGTGACCAAGCAATTATTATACTACTGAAAAATCTCATTAACTGCCTGAAAAATCAGCCAGTAAAGTGGGCCATGTCTGGTTTCTGCTCAACCTCATAAAACCTTTGAAGTCCCATAAGCGACCACATAATGACAGTAGAACTGGGGATGCCTCGACAACCTTCTTTCCTTCAGTCCCTCAGCTCGGCTCTAGAAGGCAGGCCCTGAACACCAGGGATTTTTGCCCACTCTATTCACAGTGTCCCTGGCACGTAAGAGGTGCTCAGGAAATATTTGTTAAGTAAGAGAAATTTAATTATTGTGATATCTGAGGGATTAAAGCCAAAAGTTAACCATAATAATATCCTAGATGATTTGAGGAAAATAAAACATTTATGCTGGGAACTTTTTTTAGATAAGATGTTAACTTGTATTTTCTTTCCCTGCATATTAGATCCCTTTTCTTCTCTCTGTTGAAGCCAGTAGCATGGGCTGAGCCTGTTTCCTCAAGGGCTCCATAAAGTCATATCCCAGCAAAAAGCCTAGTATGGTGTTTCTAAAATTACCTAACCTTTGTTGCAGACAAAATATCCTTGCAATAATCACGAAGAGAGAAAGATTTTCTCAAGCCAAGAAAGAGATGGTCAAGGCTGGTTGGAGGCACGCTGGTAAGAATGGAGTTCTGTGGATCTTGGAGCAATGAATATTTGTCAGAAGCAGATCTTTGGGGCTGGCAAGAGCTCAGATTGGGGATGGTTACAGTTGGAGGAACCATGAGCAGCCTAGAGAAGACCCTTATGCACCAAGTGTGGTAGGGGAGCCCCAGAGTCAGGAGCGCCTGTCCTGTGGGCACAGTGAGCTTGAGACAGCTGTCTTGGAAGAAACATTTGAACAGGGCTTCACACTTCCAAGGTCTTGACCTTCCTCAGACCCCCTGAACACAGGTCTCAGAGGAGGGAAGGGGAAAGTCAAGATACACTGAGGTCAAATGGTCCTGCAAGGGTATTAGTCTGTTCTTATACTGCTGTAAAGAATTTATCGAGACTGGGTAATTTATAAAGGAAAGAGGTTTAATTGATTCGCAGTTCAGCATGGCTGGGGAGGCCTCAGGAAACTTACAATCATGGCAGAAGGGGAAGCAAACACGTTCTTCTTCACACGGTGGCAGGAATGACAAGTGCCACGCAAAAAAGGGAAACCGTCTTATAAAACCATCAGATCTCACGAGAACACGCTCACTATCACAAGAAAAGCATGAGGTGACTGCCCCCACAATCTCATCGCCTCTCACAAGGTTCCTCCCCCAACACATGGGGATTACAATTTGGATTACAATTCAAGATGAGATTTGGGTGAGGACACAGAACCAGACCATATCAGCCAGCTATGCAGGAAGGGGTCCCAAAATACCATTTAAATTAGCTCATAGAAAATATATTGCTCTTTCTTCTGGTACAACGTGAGTTTTTGAATGGAGATTTGCACGGAGTATACATTATTTTAAAGCAATGCATTTTAGAGCAAACACAGATATACTTCGTATTCATATGAATTTATAAAAGCAAATTCATACTTCAAAGAAACATCATGCTCCCTTGGGCTGTGACTTCTGTCTCACTCAACTATCGGTTCGATGAAGCAGAAACTGTGTTTTGCCTGTAATGTCTTCCCAGGGCCTGACACATCACCTCACTCAGAGGAGGTACCAAATATTTGTTGAAATAATAAATGAATGCATGACCTCCTCTGCATGCATTCAATAGAAAATTTTCAGATATTCTCAAGATGATGCAAAATATATGTACACACCAGGCACTATACCACTGTCTATTTTTAAAAACATGGTTTTCTTAGGCAGATGTGTATCATTAGCAGGTGTAACTACGAATGATCCTATGGGTCTGATGATATGAGCAGATTAAACACCCTCTCACATTCGTTTGCATTCTCTCTTGGAGCCAGACTCTGAATAAAACAAATATTAGCTCTCTGCCTTTTATATGTTGTTTTCTTCTTTAGGTTCTTTCCAGCCATTCTGTGTCCAAATGGCTTTACAGTAGTGTATCTTCAAGATGCCTATTCTTTATACTTTTACTTTCCAACCATTCCCAATCTGAGAAACTTTTTCTCATCCAGTGCATGTCAGTACCCGGTGAGATAGATATATTTGGTACGTATCAGTAGAGGCATATTCTGTTGCTTTCTTCTCAGCACAAATCATAATTAACACCTGTCAGACTGGAGACAGTGATATGTGTACTTTGAGCATGGCTGAAGGAAAGGGAAGACGTGGGTATAGTCAGGGATAGCATCAAAACTTTGTACTCCCTGCAAGGGCAGGGGCATCCCCAATCAGAGCAGCGACCACAGCAAAAAGCACAGCCTCCCCTTAAACTACCAGCACAGCCTCACTGGTGTGCACCACCTGAGCATCCCGCCAGGTACCCGTCATCAACCCAACTCATCACCTCCAACGGAACAACCAAGAGGTGCGGTGTTATCACGGGTACGGATCTGCTTCCCACCTTTCACCAGAATACCTCCATGGCCTCTCCCTCAGCCCATGTGTTGACTTTGCCTGTCTTCAGCTTTGCTGCTATTTTAAACTTGGCTTTCCTGGTCAGCCTGGTGCAATCAGACCACAGGCACGAACCCTTTTACGACGTACCTTCCGCCCAGCCCTTCCCCTTCATTCTCCTGCCTCCACCCCAATCCACGTCCTATCTCCTTGCACAAGAATGACTGTAACAGCTTCCATACCCTTGGTCTCTCTGCCCCTGGTGAGTCCATTCTTCACACCTCTTGGCGTTAGTCTAATTAAAACCCTGTCTGTTCTGTCCCTCTACTATTCAAAAGATTGTAGTGGCACTAATTGCTCTAAGGAAAAATTCCAAATTCTTTGGAAACTTTCAAAGCTCCATCTTCCATTCATTCAGGCAACAAGTTTTAATTGAGCAGCCACTGTGTTGCACATACACTTTTAGGTACTGGGGATTCAGAGAGGAAAAAGGACAAAGATCCTTCCCCGTTTTATGGAGCTTTATCTACTCAGTCAGGCCCTCACTGGGACAGAAACACATACCAAGCCCATGACTGTTTGGGGCTTTTGTTTGTCTTGTTCCCCTTTCTTTCTGACTCACTTTTAATACTTTAGAATTCATCAGTATCCTTGGAGCAGTGTGCCAACCTCCCCTGTGGAGCAGCTGCCATTCCCATGGGCTCCCTCCTCACAACAGACCTGTCCTACCAGGACCAGAAAAGAATGTGACCCTCCAGCTGACACTTTTTACCCCTTTTTCTTATTGTACTTAGGTTTTCATATTGCTTGTTGCTCCACTAAAGTATAAGCCTCTGCCCATGGGACACGGCTCTGTTGGGCTTGTTCTCTGCTCTGTATCCAGCAGCGAAAACAGTGCACAGCATGTAGTGTGTGTCAACAGATATCTGTTGAATAAGTCAGGGAAGGAAGAATAAATGCATTGCCATTCTTAAATGGCTTTTCTTGCATTAAATGATTGTATTCTAGTTTTCTGTAGGAATATCTATAGGTCATAATAATGATAGCTGATATTTATGGCATGCTTACTAAGTACCAGCCATTGTTCTAAGCAATTTTACCCATACTATTTTACTTCATCCTCACTACAATCCTTTGATGTGGGTTTTGTTATTATACCCATTGTAAAGAAGAGAACACTGAGGCACAGTGAGCAATTCACCTAGTCTAAGATTAAAATGCAATTGGTTCACCCACAATACAAGCTGTTCCCAGTATAATGGCATGTATATTCATAACCACCTTGTCTTAATTACCTTGGTGTATCATAACAAAATACCATGTATGGGTGGCTTAGAAAACAGAAATATATTTCTCACAGTTCTGGAGGATGAGAAGTCCAAGATCAAGGTCTTGGGCAACCTTATTCACATCCTGATGAGGGCCCTCTTCCTGGCTGGTGGATAGCCACTTGGCAAAGACAGAGAAAGAGAGAGACAGAGAGAGAGAGAGAGAGAGAGAGAGAGCACTCTGTTATTTCTCTTTATAAGAGCACTAATCCTAACACATTAGCACATCACCCTATGACTTCATCTTACCTTAATCACCTCCTGAGGTCCTAACCTCAAATCCAGTCACATTGGTGATTAGGGCTTCAGCATATACATTCTTTTGTAGAGGGTGAGCACAAACATTCAGTTCATAACACCGGTTCTCCCTTCAGCCCATAAACATTTCTCAAGCACCTTCAGTGGGTTGGCACTTGAGAAGAGGAATAAATCAAGCTAACTCTCCACCTTCAAAGATATCTCTTCCTAGGGGAGAAGACACATGAGCAAAATTTCAGTATAATGACAGAAGTTCTCTAATAAAATTATGAACCTATGTTCATAGCTATGAGCACAGAGGTGGAAGCACACCACCTGCAAAGGTCAGAGAAGTCTTTGCAGGGAGCCACATTTAGACTCTGTCTAGGGCAAGTGTGCCCAACCCGTGTCCTGCAGGTCACATGCGGCCCAGGGTGGCTTTGAATGTGGCCCAACACAAATCTGTAAACTTCCTTAAAACATTATGAGATTTTTTTTTTCTTTTAGTTCACTTACTATTGTTAGTGTCAGTGGATTTTATGTGTGTCCCAAGACAATTTTTCTTCTTACAATATGGCCCAGGGGAGCCAAAAGATTGGGCTCCCAGGTCTAGAGTAACATAGAACAGTGCCATGCAGTTGATAGGAAGTTAGAGATCCCAGACTTTAGGAGCAACGTTTGAAAAGCCTCAAGGCCCTGGTAGCATGAACCTTTTAGAACATTTACCATTAGTTTGGTAATGCTTGAGCTGGGAGACCCATGTGAAGGGATTAGGCCAGAATTCCAAGCGAGGGGCCCACATGGACATCTGTATGCCATAGAAAGCATGGACTTCTTCCTGGTGCATTTTAAACAGGAGAGGGATGTAGTAGTGAGGTTGGGAACACGGATGGATGGAAACAGCAGGAGTAAGTGACAACAGAGAACAGGCCAGGTGGAAGTGCTACATATTCACAGAAGAAATGGTGCCTTAGGAGGCTGAATGGTTTGAATAAGGGACTAAATGCCTTGCCAGAAAGGAAGGAGCAAGAGAGCACCCAAGGTTTCTGGTTTGAATGCTGAATAAGTGAGGGCTCCTTTAACTGACTTGGAAAATATCTTTCAGCTGAGAAATGCTACCATCAAGATAGCGATGGCTTGGAGACAATTATCTCGACTCCACCCGGAGTTTAGCAGTGACTTTTGGAATCAGAATATAGATTTTGGAGTCGTCAGCTAATAAATTGGCCATTTATTAGCAGCCCTAGACAGTGACAATAGAGGGTTAGGGAAGCACCAGGTCATTCTGGGAGTAGGGGCCCCACGTGCCTGGAGGAGTCACCTTCTCACGAAGCCTGCCCTGATGGGGAGAAGCGAGGGAGACAGAGAAATGGAGATTTGGGGAACACGGAGGGCAAAGGCAATGCTCTGGTGGATGCCGAAGAAACGATTGCAGTGAACTCACAGGCAAACAAGAGTCTGCAAATACAAGTCACATGCTGGAAGAAAAGTTTAGTCTATTAAATATGGGCATTTTCTCCCTTGAGATTATTTTTAACAAAACCCTGCATTAGATTAGGAAGTTTATTAAATTCCATGTCAAAACGAACATCAGACCCATTATCTGAGCCTCCCAGGGAGGGTAAGCAATTTGTGCTATAACAATAGCTAGTAAAAGTGAAAACTAAATGCTGGGCCACCACCTCACAGTGATGCGTGGTTATTGCCGCGAAGACTCAGGCCAGCAGCCCAGCTCCCCAAGGCCCCGTGCAGCATTACAGAGCTGAAGGATTTGCCAGGGTCCCAGGGCTGGCCCCACTTTACAAGCTGCTACTCAGGGGCAGAGGCACATTTTCTGAGCTCATTAGACTAAAGTGTAAAGCAAGAATGCCAGTGTAATAAGTTCAGAGAAATAAAGCTGTCACACAGCCTCAATTAGCAAGACCAAGACATTCTGTCCCGAAGGTTAAGCCATTGGACAAATCGAATCACCGTCAGGAGCCTCTTTGTTGAGATACCCCAAAGATTGACTGCATAAGGACCTGATATTCAAAGTAGTGTGTGCAGCTCTTTCTCCCTGTATACCAAGCCAACTTATTCATTAACTATGAGAATTTACTGTGGCAGGAACCAAAACACTTTAAATTCACAGACCTTCCCAGGGGAAGCCGATCCACAATCAGAATCTTCTTGTGAGCACAGACTAATCACCAAGGGGTGAGAGTACTGGGTATTTAAATGGCATCAGGCAAAGGTGTGCTGAGCTGCGCATCTCACGGAAGGGACAGCTTCTGCTACTAGGAGATTATTTGGCGAAGCTCCGCCCATTGCCATTGCACTTGAGAGGTTCTTACCAAGGGAGCCAGGTGCTCAGGAGTCCCTCGGCCAGTGTGCCTCTCTTCTCTAGAGGGATGGTAGCAACACATGCCTGTGAGACTCTTCTTCATGTCCATTGCAGACACTGGGTGCCTAATGGAAACATTTTGTTTTTCTCCAGATATGGAAATGAATGTAAGCTGCACTGCAGTCTCACAAGCCCTGTGGGTCTGTTAGAGGGTCGTTTTGCACATCTGTACTTGCTGCTTTAGGTGTTGATGTTGCAGCTGAACCTGCAATAGGCAAGCTTATTTCCTTCCTAAGAGAATGTGGGGATGTCTTGCTGTGTCTCTTAACTTTGCAAAATTGTAAAGTGCAGGAGTCCAGGCTGAAAGCCTGGTGTGCTGGATCCTAGTCCCTGGTTCTTTCCAAAACTCGAGTCCCTCATCTGCTCTCTCCGGAGCAGGCTCGCTCAAATGTTTTGCTCAGTTGTCCTTTCCAGCTCTGAGTCTCTGGTCTATAGTTCTGCAGTATTCACTGAGCAGCAGCCTTAAGTATGAATGATTATGAGGAAGAGATTAAAAGAAGAGGAACTATTCTCAAGAGCCTATAGTTTTAAAAATCTGCACCCTTCAATTCTGATTTAGATTTAAATCTAGCTCTTGGTGTGAATCTTATTTTAAATTTCATGAAAATTGGAAACGGCACGCGCACCGGACGGTGATGATGCTGCCCATGACTTTCCCTCTTTCTCCTTGCTGTAGTCCACCCCAGCGCTTCTTGTAGGGTGTTCCCTGGACCAGCAGCCTCAGCATCAACTGGGAACTGCTTAGAAATGCAAAGCCTTGGCCCCACCCCATGCACACAAAATTGGAAAGGCTGGGGCGGGACCAGTAGTCTTGTTTTAATCACATAGAGCTGCTCTCTACTCTGATTCAATGCGTGACTTCAATGCACACTCAGTCTGAGAACCACCATTCTAGCTTTGAATACTTTAGTAAATATCAGGACTTTAAAAGAATAAAGAAAAATCAAACGAGAGCAGTTACAATAATTCTTTGGCTCTTAGGTGAAGGCGTGGCCATCTTTATGTATACTAGGTCATAGTTGGTTAAAATTAGAGTTTAACTGAAATCATCTGCTTGTTTTCACTTAGCTAAAGAATTCCTGACCCACATGATCTCGGGCTGCAAAATTAATATTCTGGAAAAGTCAACTGACATTATTTGCAAAGGCTCAGATCACTTTCTGATAGGTTTATTTTAAATCCATTGACCTGTTTTATCTGACTAGATAGACCAAACAAACATGAAATAATTGAACTTCCTCCAGTGCCACTTTCTAGCATCCCTTCTCTCAAACCCTGGAGTAAATACACGGATATACATAATTTTATATAAAGATCAAACTCCAATTAAACACAATGAGATTTCTTGTCTCAGTGTCATAGTTGCACACTTCATAGAGAGGAAGTAAGACAAAGGTCCTCAGAAAATAAAAAATGTGAATGACATAAAAAGGAGTAATTTAATATCATGTTAACTCATTCTATATGATACCAGGTAATGCTGCGTCACGGCAACGACATGGTGTAAAGTATTCCCATATGATTTTGGAACCATTAATATGAGAATTCCATATTTCATAACATCAACAAACCAGATGAACCTCATCCACTTAAAGTAGAGAACAGTGGAAAGAACAAATGTCTTGTGAAGAGTGGAAATGAGAACAATGTGTCTGAGGTTAAACAATGGAAAGAAGTTAACGGATGTTGTGCATGAAATAATTATTTCTACAGTGCCATTTCTGCATTTAGTTTATGAGCATGTCAGGGTGTACGATCCAGGCATACTTGAAGAAAAGAAATGCCAATCCACATGACGTGTGGAGAAAGTCACTGCAGAAATAGCAAGTTCCATAAAAGCCTTATTAAAATTGAATCTCTGAAAAAACAAAGCTTATCTGGCCAGAGTATACATATATGAGATGGGCCTGTGACTCATTTAAGCCCACTATGAGCTTTTATGAATGAAATATTTCTTCAACTATTTGATAATCTAAAGGGATTAGGAGATAGGAATTTATATAAAAACCAAACCAAACCAAACCAAACCAAAAAAACCTCATAACATTTAAATTGCTACCACGATGAACAACAGTGTCCTAATTTTTATCTAGGCTGATTTTACACATTCTGGATAGTTATTGTGTAGGCAAATGACGTGTTAGATGCAGTATTAAAGTTAAAAGTCTCTGTTTTTAACCTCACATAAATTTCCAAAATAATGGGCAACAGTATGAAGACTCATTAGGCACTTAATCTTACAGAGAGAATATAATAACATTGCAAAAGTAAAACAAGTCTAGAATTATTTTGCACGTTAAAAATTAAGGGACTGTGACTCAGACAGGTCTAGTGATTTATTCAAAGTCACAAAACCACATATAGTTGGATTTAGGACATTGCCCCTCAATCTAGTACCCATTCTTAGTAGGTGGTAGATTTGATAGAGACGGGTCCGTACCGTTCCGTTCCAAGGGATATTTAGGACACAGCTCATAGGGAGGTAAACTGCTGAAGGCCAACTCCTTTCAGACTGGCCTCTTCAAGAGGCCCATGGAAGTCATTATGGACTAGTGCTTAGGCATTCAATATGGGTCAAGGTGTGAGCTTGCAGCTGAAACCAGTTTCTGCCACAAGTCCTTGGCTCCAGTATCCTGATCACACCAGTAGAGGGACTGGGGCAGCTCAAGTGACGCTGTCCAGTGCGGGGATCCCGGCTGCAGAATCTCAGGGCTGGAGTCCGACATCTGGCCACACTAGGTATCCAGACACTGGCCTAGAGAGTAGTGTGCAACAAGCCCCTGAACTCTGCTTTTCCACTCTCCCTATTTGGAGAATTCACCCGCACATACACACATAATCCAGAATGCCCGGCATGTGGCTGCTTGCTCCTTCACACTATGGCTTCGTGACAATATCATTCCTGTGACGCTGCCATCACTCAAACACTTCCATGTTTGAAATTCCTTTTGTGAATCATTTTCTAAGCTTTTCTTTGGAATTTTGTCATTGGTAAACAATCTTCAGACTTTGTATGTGGCCTTCATTTCTGGATAGGGGGGAAAAGGCAATGGCTATTCAGAGCCAAGTTTGGTGAATAAGGGTGAATAATCCACCTGCATAATGTTATTTGGTCAAAATAAGTGCTGTGCCCAGAAGAAATAGATGGATTATGTTTTTGGTTCCTAAACTGACTCCAAGAGTAATTCCAAGAGAAGAGTTGTAAGCACATTTGAGTAACATCAATCATTAAACAAATTCGTAATATTAAGGAAGGTATTTGAAGAATAGTACTTATCGTCTGAATAAGTTTTAGGGTTTTGTTAAAAAAATGTAATAGATTCTATCCATATTGCAAAGGCACAACACACGTAATTGCTCAACTCTTGTCTTCAACTCAATCATTCATGTCCTCCTCATCCCCCTAGGAGAAGTTCTATACACATACCTGCTTAGCAAACTGAAAAATTTGAAACCTTGAAACGTTAAAATAAGACTCAACATAGTGTTTCTATGCCAAAAAAAGAAGTACATTAGGAATATTACTCTTACTGAGTCAAAATGTTTAACAAGTCCAGATAATACCCTCTGAATCAGTGCCTCAGTAAATCCAAATGCACGCATGTGACAACACAGTCAATAGCATTAGGTTGGTACAAAAGTAATTGTGGTTTTTGCCATTACTTTTGCACCATGTTAATATTTATAAAGGATTGTCAATCAGTCATTTGTTGAGCTACATTGCACACTGAGGTTGATGAAGCGAGCTGGTTGACCTGTTGCCTGGTGATGGCTGAGCGAGAGGACGTCAGCATGTCTTTGCATCTGGGGTTCCCAGATCAGAGCCCTGAAAAGCAGCCACAGTTGTTCCTGACCCAGTTGTTCGCAAGTTCTCCATTGAGTTTTCCCTTCTGTGGTTTTCAAAGAAACTGAACCGGGAGGAACTGATAACAAGAATGAGAAGACACAGGCAAGACACCACATATTGCACACGTGGATTGCAGTATGGTTAATAACAATAATAAAAGTCACCTGAATCAAAAGTGGTATTAATAGAAGTGGCTAAATATCAGACATCAACTAAGTAAATATAGTAAATATTAAGATTCCCTTTCTCAGGGAAATAAAACATAGAAAAATAGAGAAAGCTTAATGGAATTTAAGTTCTAGCACCTTCAAAATCCCTAACCTACCAATTAATATTCAGCGATGCCTTCCTCATTCTTTCTTTTTTTTCTAATTTCTTTCATATCATTTTTACGTTTACTTTCTCTTCGTAAAAATTTCCATGTCTATTTTGTATATATCAAAACCATTTATCATTTAGTTTGTGGTATTTTTGCACCTTCTCTTTTCACAGTAATATAATACCTCTCTCTGTATATTTGTACCTTTATCAATCAAAATTATATATACTAATTAAATACAATTTTATATAGGTCAATATAATAAAATTATATGAATATGCATATATATATATATATATATATATATATATATATAACTGTGTCAATTAAAAACACATAATTACTCTCAGAAATGCTGACACTCATGCTAAATTGTTCCTTCTCACTCATCCTCTGCAGATGGCGGCCATCAATGTTGATTCAGAAGTGAAGCCAAAACATAATTTCCTGGCACTATTCTGGAAGGAAAATAAGTGAGATAAAGTAAAAATGACTACATAGCCAATTAGAAAAAGCAACTACCACCTCCACTCCAAAAAAGTCATGTAAATAAGTTCTAGTCTGTGACTCGTCTTCACCATTCTGTGCACTGGCTTTAAAGGAGCGTTTTACACTCAAATTAAATATTCTCTTTGCTCAAAACTCTATGATTTTAATTTCTAAACATGCATCTTAAAGCAAAGAATTTTGCTGATTTGTTTTTTCTGTATGAGATCTTAAAATGTCTATTTTTCACAAACTGATAAAAATTAATCCTCCATGAAATTAAAAAGATTCAGTCACACACCATTATAATACTGAATCTTCTTTTTTTTCTCATTTTTATTTCTACTTGGTCCTTCTTTAAATTTGTAATACGTCTTTTTCCAAGATATTGTTTGATTCTAAACCCATACACTGATATCAAAATTAATTACTTAACAAAATCCCAAGAATGAATCTTACATCCTTAAGGAGAAGAACATTAATCTGACTCAGACTGACTGAATTTAAAATTTATTTGCAGTTAACATAAAACATTCAGTTTTAAGATCATTGTTACATTTTCAAACAGGCAAATCTTGAAAGACTTGCCTAGATTTGCTCTCAGCATAATTTATATATTTTTTTCTCTAAGAAATAGTTTAGCTTCCACTTAAAATGCATGATGTACATATCTGCCATATTTTGTTTTATTTTAGAGATCTAAATTCTACATTAAGTAGAATATGCAGTTTTAGATTAAAAAAACAGAAAACCTTTTAAATGACTTGGTGTCTTTTTTTATGTCCTTTCAACAAAGTGGGCTTTAGTCAGTGGGATGAAAGTAGTAAAAAAAAAAAAAAAATTTAAGAAAGGAAGAAATAAAAATGTTAAAAGGACAAGGTGAATTAAAATCATGGTAGCACAAGTTCGTGGTCTACAGGGTAAAATGTGAAGACAAGGCCAGGCATGGGGACTCACGCCTCTAATCCCAGCACTTTGCGAGGCTGAGGCCAGGAGTTTGAGACCAGCCTGAGCAACATGGTGAAACCCCATATCTACTAAAAGTACAAAAATTAGCCAGGCATTGTGGTGCGTGCCTTTAATGACAGTTACTTGGGAGGCTGAGGCAGGAGAACTGCTTGAACCTGGGAGGTGGAGGTTGCAGTCAGCTGAGATTTTGCCACTGCTCTCCAGCCTGGGTGACAGAGCAAGACTCTGCCTTTGGGAAAAAAAATTGAAGACGATCACAGTCATACACGTTACAGGACAGTCTTCCCTACTATTTGACAAAGGCATAAGAAGCCCTCCATTGTCAGTTTTCTGTAAGGTTAGATTTGAATCAGAGATCCAACTTTCTATGACCATGTTCCCCTGAATTCATTGCATCAGGTTTTAGTGGTCACCATAGGAAGCAGAATCTTGAGAGAATGGAACCTAGAACAGGCACCTTGTTGATGGGGGTGAAAAAGAAACAAAGAAATTGGAAATATGTGGAGTTTACGTCCAGAGGGGAGAGAGGAAGAATGACTATGTGAGGAGAAACATAATTGGTCAGTGCATTAAAGAAAAATTTCATCATATGACCATTTTTTCCCAAGGCCAAGTCAAGAGAAGTCATGATTCAGCACAGAGAGTAAGGCTGGAAAAGACTTACAAGAAATGAGAATTATTTGAGTTGCTCATTCCAGTGTCTTGGCCTTTTTCATAGCCATTTTTGCTATTTTCCTATCCTTGCATTTCTCTCCTTTTCTTAACATACTTTTGACAAGACAAAAAAACAAAATGACCTGCAGTCAAATCACTGTTTCAAGTAAGAAAGTATAGAATGATAACAATATTTTAGATATATTGGTTTCAATAAAATATATTATAAAATTTTTTTTAAAAAGAAAGTATAGAGAAATCTCTTCTAGCAAATAGTCGACTTCCTTTTTTAATTCCTTAGGATAGGCCCAAACATATTAAGTTCAATGTCTGTCTGGGACATACCATATTTACTCGTGCAGTTCTTAAGTTCATAAGGGATTCCCAATCACAGCTACTGAAATCTTACCCATTCCTTCCCACCTGTCAGTGGTTTTAAACCTTGGAAAAATTGGGGCAGGGGTGGGAGAATTTCAAAAGAGAAAACAGAAAAATCAAAGAGAACAAAAGACGAAGGGAAGCTGAGAAGAGAAACGTCAGATTGGGAGAGTGGGTATCTGTGGGAGATGCTGCATTCACTCAGGAGGAAGGAAGAAGAATGGACATCACCAAAAATCTATCAGCCAGGCTCTCTCATTTCTTCTCTCCTTTCGTTCGTTCCAAACGTCACACAGGGAGCACAGATCCAAAGTACTTCCATTTTTTTCTCACAGTAGAATAACTTCATAGAATAAAATTCTACACTGTTACAATGAAATCCAGCACAAAATATTTTATTTTGTGACTAACATTTGAAATGATCCCAAGAAGATAACTTCAGCCAGAGAGGAGATCTCCCTCTCCAATCTTGGATCTGGGAAAAGCACCTACCCTTTTGGCTCAAGATAGGACATAAGAATGGAGGTTTTTAAACTCTCCTTCTCAGTTTTTTCTTTTCTATATTTCCTGGAACAATTCCTGGGACTAGACATTTGAAAAGGTGAGATAAATTATACCAACCTTTTCAGGATCACATATCTACTGTATGTACAAATAATAAACTCATCTGTCGTGCTTAAAGCATTCCAATAACTAAGGGTTTGCAATGTCTGACTGGGATGATTCAGAAAATACATGTCTTCCACAACTATTTTTATGGATCCCTAATTTGGATTGTTATAGCTCATCTCCCTCTCCTGATTCTTTTAAACTATATCCAAGCCACATAAAATAATATATTCTACCAGACATTCCTTATTTCCTTCAACACCTTCACTGAATTAAAATCAGAAGCTAAAGAATGCAATGTTTCTTTTCTGTACCCTAGGCATAATTCCAGTTTTGACTCATATGTATATAAAGTACGTAAGCATCTTGATTCTTCCAGATCATTTCCTGACCTAACTTCTTTGAAAACTACATAGAAGAGGTAAAAGAACAGTATTGACCCTTTTATTCTACATGGTAGGGCCCTTCAGAAGTCTAAACAGTCTTTTCTGCAGTTTGTGGTGAAGATTCCTCCTTAATTGCAGTCCTTAAAAACATCTATCAGAAGACTAATAGTTTTGTTAATTGAATTTTTTTCTTTATTCATCTATGTTTCCAATAAATATTTTGTCACTATTATAGTTAGAGAGCCTTTGACCACTTAATGTCCAAAACCAGTCCAAGCCTGTCTTCAAAGCATTCCAACAGTATCATAATCTACACAATTATGTCTACAAAAATTGGGTTTAAAAACCACTACTTTTTAGGTGACTTCTCTTTTTACATTTTTATTTATATTTTAAGTTCCGGTACACGTGCAGGATGTGGAGGTTTTTTACTTAGGTAAACGTGTGCTATGGTGGTTTGCTGCACCTATCAACCCATCACCTAGGTATTAAGCCCAGCATGCATTACCTATTTTTCCTAATGCTCTCCCTCCCCACACCCTACCCCCGACAAGCCCCAGTGTGCATTTTTCCCCTACCTGTGTCCATGTGTTCTCATTGTTCAGCTCCCACTTATAAGTGAGAACATACAGTGTTTGGTTTTCTGTTCCTGCTTTAGTTTGCTAAGGATAATGGCTTCTGGCTCCATCCATGTCCCTGCAAAGGACATGATCTCATTCCTTTTTATGGCTGCATAGTATTCCATCATGCATATGTACCACAAACAACCCCATTAAAAAGTGGGCAAAGGACATGAACAGACACTTCTCAAAAGAAGACATTCACACGACCAACAAACATATAAAAAAAAAAAGCTCAACATTACTGGTCATTAGAGAAATGCAAATCAAAACCAAAATGAGATACCATCTCATGCCAGTCAGAATGGCAATTATTAAAAACTCAAGAAACAACAGACGCTGACAAGGTTGTGAAGAAATAGAAACATTTTTATACTGTTGGTAGGAATGTTAATTAGTTCATCCATTGTGGAAGATGGCGTGGTGTTTCCTCTAAAATCTAGAACCAGAAATACCATTTGACTCAGCAATCTCATTACTGGGTATGTACCCAAAGGAATATAAATCATTCTATTACAAAGATACATGCACATGTATGTTCATAGGTGACTTCTTTTTTAATGAAAACTGGGATATGTGTATGAATTTCAATAATGGAATGGGGCTAGGGAGCACCTGAGAAGCTTTAGGATGAAAGTAGGGCAAATACATTTACAGGGTTGAATACAGAATAAGGTAGTTTATGTTATAAAAATAAGAGTTATATGGAATATGCCTGTTTAAACTGTATGTAACCCTTCCTCCACCTTCAGAAGGGTATGCTGTTCTGTTCCTCATTTAATCCCAGGTACACAATCAGGAGAATGCTCTTATAACCAGGATAAGCCTGTAATGAACAGTCTCCTAGCTATTTACTTGAAATCTGTAGCTCATTCTTTGTTTTCAGGCAAAAACACATAATAGCAATCAACTTTTGAAGGAAATAGGAGATCCAAGACAATGCAAGCATTTGAATCTCAATTTGGACATCTCTGGATTGTGATCCAGTTAAATAATGCCTCCCACTGTAGTTCCTCAGTCCAGTGCAAAGTCAAGCCCCAAATGGCTGAATGAAAATCTGAAAGGCTTGGAGAAAATAAATGGACTGTCTGCTTTTCATTATGTTCCAGTCTCAGGATGAGGATACATCTGGTTTTCTGATTACACTTTCCTGTAGTAAAGAAAATTTTAGCCTAGCAGGTCAAACCAGCTGATGACTAGCCAGCTCCAATTACTGACCTGACCTGCTTCTAACCTCAAAGGGGAAAAAAGAAAACCCTTTTTACTCATTCTTAGAAACCGAAATATGGGTGTAGAAGGTTGTTGGTTTTTTTCCCTTGATTAATTAAAGTTGCTTATTCAAATTGTGCTTTAGTACATAGTCTTTAATTATAAACAAAATAATGCCTGACTTCCTTTATAAAACAACACTCTAAGGAAAAGAGAAAGAGAGGCTAGACCCTTTTATTCTTGTAATAAAAAACAACAAAAGCACAGCAATTTCAATATGGCATTTGGAACTTGATTTGTTCTATTTAATGAATAAAAGATAATAGTATTTCTGAAAGGAGACAGTGTCTCTTTAGATAAGGCTTTTCAAACACTTTTTTGTTTGTTTGTTTTTGTTTTTGTTTTTTGTAAATGGGCATCATTCTAAGAGCCATTTCCAACTTACAAATAAATATCACCATGGGTTTCAACTAACTCAACTAACTCAACCAGCTTTGCTGGTATATTCGAAATATGTTCACCAGATCTACCTATAGCTCCACCTGAAAAAATTCCGCACCGCTTCCCAATTTATGAAGGGATTGCACAATAATTTAACACAAATTCTGTCAAGCATTTTAAAGCAACAGGAAAAATCCTTAGCTCCATGTTGAGAGAAAGCTAATTCAAGCCAATCCCTTGCAGGAGAATGCACATAAACCCGCCACTTCTGTTTGCATGTTATGATTTGAAATGTAGTTTGTTTCTTAGGTGAATGTAGCTTTTGTATTAGGTTGAACCATCTGAAATTGCCAATATTTGACTTTTTGGACCTATGAAAATGACAATTTCAGATGGCTCAAACTAATTTTAAAAAGATACTGTATGTAATGAAATAATTATATTCAATATGTCTAAATAGTCATTTCTTTAAGTCTGTAACCAGACTTTTAAAGATAATTATTTTCCAACTTAGTGGGATGATGAATCACCAGCAACATTCCTAAACTCTATTGATATGAAGAAACAGTCTCTGTAGTGTGTTTCTGCAACGATACTTTACAAAAAAGCAAACTTCATCCCTCACTTCAGAAGAAACACACAAATATTCATTTTGATTTACATTTTGTACCATCCTTGTAAAGCAGGTAGCGGTTTGCCCATTTTAGCCATAAACTAATTAAGAGAGAGAATATAAGTAACAGGGCAAGAATTACTCTGAGTCTGCTTCCAAATCCATCCCCAGAACCTGGACTTAACTCTCTTCTTTGGAGTATTTAAATCTCACTCAGCAAATGAATGCTGATTCTCTGGACACTTTTAATGAGTATAGATCTGAATAGTCCATAGATGCTTGCTTTAAAGGCTTTTAATTAAATCATGCAAGTAAAAATACAAATAAAAAGTATGTGTGCATTCATGTTATCATGTCTGATTGCTTCTCCTCTTTTTTATTCCATATTCTAATGAACATATTTAAGTTTCAATCAACATTTTTGCTGATTTTTATGTGTCAAACTCGTCAATGGCTTCTGTTAAGTCTGAAAAGTTACTGGGTTAGGAAGAACATTGCATTATTAACTAGAATCTGAAAAATCAGTAGAAGAATATTAACGGATCTAATGAACATAATGAACAGCATAGCCTTATAGAATGGTTGGCAAAAAAATACACTGCAGAGGACCACGCAACATTCTCTTTAACGTGTGCACGTTGAGCACATGACTGCAAAGCCCACTTCTCTTTCACTTAAGGTGAAGATGCTTCCGCTGAACCTCCTATCTGACAGCATTCCCACAGCCGAGCAAACGTTTATAATTAAAAGTTTTTAGCATGCCAAGGCAGGAAGTTGCTCTCTGGGCTGCGCTCCTGCTTTTCATTCTGTTCATTTGCCGGTTTTAAAATGACGTCCTTTCCATTTTGCCGCCTGCAGTGCAATTCAGAGCTGACCTCTTTGTCTCTCTGTGTTCCCCCACGCAAAACAAACTGCACCCACACATTGCTCAGCTGCTTGTCTGCAACCATGAACTACTTTCACACCCGAGGGAGGAATGTCCCTTTTGTTTTAAAGAAACTGAAATGTTGAATGTTTTCAACCAAGTCTACATCCTTTCGTGCTTTTGGTATTGTGTCTACCAGAGGTTGATGGTTCAATACAGTCTTGGTAACAATTATAATCTATCAAAAATAACAATATCAGCAACCATAAATGCTCAGAGGAAATCATAAAACACTACCTGCCTTGCGTGCTCAACAGATAATCATGCCCACTCTAATCCCAGCTTTAAACATCAGCATTTTCCCCTCTAGCACTCTCCATTTTAGGACAAGGCTTCTTAAAGAGCTCGCTGCACTCCCTGCCTCACATCCTCACCCTCCCAAGAGTCTCCTTATCCCACTGCCTTCTGACAGGCCCTGCCACCATCCTTTTTTTAGGGATTCCCAGTGACCTCTATGTAGCCCAACCCAATGGCTCTAAGAAAGTTACCTACTATCTTTCTTTGACACTGATGAGAATACCACTCCTGAAACTGCCTTAACCAGAACCCCTGACACTATTTTTTTTCTTTCCTTTTTTTTTTTTTTTTTTCTTTGAGACAGGGTCTTGCTCTGTCACTTGGGCCGGAGTGCAGTGGAGCAATCGCAGCTTACTGTAGACTCAACCTTCTGGGCTGAAGCAATCCTCCCACATCAGCCTCCCAGGTAGCTGGGAGCACAAGTGCATGACACCACTGCTGGCCAATTATTTTTATTTTTTGTAAAGTCAGGTTCTCACTATGTTTCCTAGGCTGGTCTCAAACTCCAGGGCTCAAGCAATCCTCCCACCTCAGCCTCCCAAAGTGTAGGGATTACAGGTGTGTGCCACTGCACCTGGCCAGCTTTTCGATTGCCTTTTTTTTTTCCTATCAGTCCTCAGTTTCCTGCATGGCCCCGCCTGGCCTGCCTGCTCCTTGAGTTTTGGTGTTCCTAAGATTCCTGACACGGAATCTCCTTCCTTTTACATGTATTCAATTACCCTGAGCATTCTCAAGGTCAACCACAGTGTCCTTCCCTTCCCCAGAACTTCTTCTCTTCCTGACCAGATGACCCACAGGTAGCACTGCCAAGCCCAAACCTAAATTCACCATCTTTCTCAGCATGGATTTCTTATTTCACATGAAGACACCAGTATCCACTCAGCATCTTAAGCCAAAAACATCAGCATTGTTTCTGACTGTCCCCTCTTCCTCACTCATCACAGTGAATTTGTAAAAGGCCTGTCATTTCTACCTTCAAAATGTCTTCAAACATCCTCAACCATCTCATCATGTCTGACCTGTTCCAGTCAATTAACTGGTCCTGACTGTCCTAGTTCCAAGCTATACTCCACACGACTGTGTGAAGGGCGTAGCATGCAATGCACCCATGCTGCCACCCTATTTATCACCCCTCAATGGCTCTCCCCTGGTGCTGGAGATGGTTCAATATCTTTTCCACCTACTCCAGGCTTTTCACCATCATATCCCTCAACTCGATTCAAAGCCTTCTTTCTCATGACTCTCGCATGGATCTAAACCCCAGCTATCCTAACTGTGCCGTACCCCAATCATTCCAGGATGATGCTTGCTTCTGTGAATTTGCATATGAGGTTCCCTCCACTAGAAAACCCACCTCTCTTCATCTGCCAGATTAATTCCTCCCCAGCCTTCAAGCATCAACGGAGAGGACACTTTATTCAGGGAGTTTCCCACACACAACCCACATCCATCCACCATTGTCAAGGCTGGGTGCTTCCTTCTCTGAGCTATGAGAGAGCACTGTGTGTGAGAGCTTTATTTTTGGACTTATTTTATAGAATTGTAACTGTGAGCGATATGCTCCCTCTAGACCAGGGTTTCTCAACACTGGAATTATTGGCAATAGGACTGGATAATTATTTGTCGTGTGGACCTCTCCTGTGCCTTGTAGGATGCCAGTAAAAACTTCCCCCAACCCAAGTCATGACAATCACAAATATCTTGGGCCATTGCCCAATGCCCCCGGGATAATCACCCCCAGTTGAGAAACTCTGCTGCAGACTGTAGGTTTGTTTCTCTTACCTTATCATCCTTAATATCAAGCACAGGATGTGGAAATGCAAATGCTCAATGCATGTTTATTGAATAATGTTTATTGAATACATAATGAGGTAATGTTCTATGCCTTAAGAATCAGCTACTTGAAAACATAAATCTCAAAGTGGCACTTTGAAATAACTATGAATAGGTTATTCTTTATGTATGTATTATAGACTCATGAAAGGAAATAAAATGATGATGGTATCTTAGTTGATTTGCAAAAGATGACTCAGAGTTTCTGCTCTAAAAGGACAATAACTCATTATATAAACTAATAATAATAAAGGACATTTCTTTATGGGAGTATGTTATTTATTTTGTGGGAAAATGGGCAATTAGAATCGGGATATTTCAGTATGTCATTTCCATTTTCATGCAAAGGAAAGAACACCTTAGCTGAATGTATTATGTTTCAATTGATATTTTTTCCCGCATTCAGTTAACATTAAATCTGGCTAAAGCAAAGAACTCCAAAGATAATGTGTCACACTTGACATACATTCTCTGAACAACGTTATAACCAATCATTGGCCATGACCCTTATGTTTTACAAGATCTGTGCTTGATTAAATCTTCATTTTAAATCTTAAATGAAGCCCACCAATTTTAAATCTCTTTCCTCTTCATCCAAACCACACAGCCAATTACATATACATTTTCCTCCGAAAGCCTCATCTCTCAAAAGAATCCTGCCTTCCTTTATCCAAAAATTATGATGAGAGGCAAAGAAACATGAGTTTGATTCTCTTCTGAGGGAACTACCACGTAATTAGAAGTTTCATGAATAAAGTATCCACCTATTAGTTTGGGACAAAGTTTGGCTTCAAGCAAAGACCCAAATTAAATTAAAACCCACAGGTAATTGGTAGTAAATGTGTATTTATTCAATCTTATCCCTGGTTTTTATTCTTTATGATCAATGATAACAGTCGTTTATGTTCTTTAGAACGGATTAACCAATTAAACCAAGCCCCCACACCCCACCCCGCCCAACTTTTTTTTTCAGTTTCTCAACTGAAAGTTTTTTTGAAATAAAGTTCTGTATGGTCTAGTGGAACACAGTAATATAAAGCTGTCTAATTTAGACATTGGTTAACCACTACTCAGAGAAGATCAAAGTAGTCACTATGAGGCTCTGACACTTTGAGGGTGTGTGTAGTTTTCAAACATCATTAGTAGTTTCAAGTTTGAGGCATATAAAGTTTCAAGCTTTTAAAATCATACATTTATTCCTCTAGTAAAGAATAATTTATTGCCCGGCATGGTGGCTCACACCTGTAATCTCAGCACTTTGGGAGGTTGAGGAGGAAGAATCAGTTGTACTCAGGAGTCTGAGACCAAACTCCCAGCCTGGGCACCACAGGGCGACCCTATCACTACTAAAAATAAAGAAGAATGAGCTAGGCATGGTGGTGCACCCCTGCAGTCCCAGCTACTCAGAAGGCTGAGGCGGGAGGATCACTTGAGCCTGGGAGATGGGGGCTTCGCCGTGTGCCATGATTGTGCCACTGCACTCCAGCCTGGGAAACAGAGTGAGACCCTGTCTCAACAACAAAAAAAATAGTTTCTTTTTAGCATTCGTGATCATAATATCACCTTAAAAAGTAACTTAAATGTCAGGTTTAATTTTATTCAAATAAGTAGGAATCTTATAAAAGAAGATTGAAAGACCTCTCACATTTTGATAATTCTTCTGCAATAAACAAACAACATTGACATAGCAATTGACTTGGGAGACAGAGATAGATGTATTATAAAATGTAAAATTTGAAAGTTAGGACAAGTAGAAAAATAAAGAAAGGATCTGAAGAAATCCAAAACATAAATGAGCTATTTAATAAAATTTAAAAATAATGAAAGTACTTGCACTTGATAAAATAAAAAAAGCATATAATCTCATCTCTGTGTATTTCAGAGGCAATAGCAAGATCCATGAAACCCTCAAGTTCAAGCACTTCTTATAAGGTTATCAAGACTTCGCTGGGATGTGGCCCACATTGAGCAGCTTTCTCCAACACTGTTCCCTTGCCCCATTGTGCTGGGGTTATATTCTATTCCTATGCAGGTCCACGCCATCTGCATGTCTCGAATACCACTCATCACACTACAGCATTTGGAACACTGAAACTGTGCTTGAGACCTGAATGTGATCCTCCACAGGCAGGTCAGTTTGAGGAACCCACCTTTAAGCAGCACCTTTGACCTCTCCACCTGTCTCTGACAGCCCGTCTTGAAAATTCCTTTACCGCCACCAGGAACTACAGTCTCCCGGTCTCACCACTGCTCACTCCTCAGTCCCTGCAGCCATCACTTGTCTCCTTCTTCAGCTCAGTTTCCAGCTCCTCCATGACAGGCACTTCTTTACATACACCCTTCCCTCGCTGTCCTCCTTCTTCTGACTTGGCCAAACCTCAACCCCAGGTCAATCCAAATTCCCATTCTTTGCCAGGATAGTGAAGGCAAGTGGAGAAAACACACAAGGAAGGTGGCTGGTCTGAGTTTTCATTGACGACCACTAAGATCAAGGGGACCCTCAGTGCTGTCAGTATCCTCAACATTTCCCGGGCCCATCTCTTATCCCAACTCCTAAAGGACAATTCTCACCTTCTCTGTCCTCAAACGCCTAACATTGCACCTCCTCCATCCTTTCAGTGCATCCTTGATTTCTATTTCAATGAGAAAATAAAACAAGCAGAAAAGTACTTCCACTTGCTATCAACCAAATTTACAACCCACTTCATCTATGCCCACATACTTGCCTTCATTTTTGTAACAAAGGATGAGCATTTCTAGCAATGTGAGGCCAAGTCTTCCATGTGGGTCCCAGATCCCACGCCTCTCACCTACTCAAAAACATCACCCTAGGAGGCCTTTTCTCTCCTGCATCATCGTTTCCCTACTAGACATTTTCTATCAGGAGAAAAATGCACAGGTATGGTATCAACCTAAAAACAAATCAAAACTCCAGCATTCCCACACTCCCTTCAGCTACTGGGTTATTTCCATGATCGTTTTCACAGCAAATGTCTTTTTAGCATTCCTTGCTTTTCATCCATATCTCCCTGATATCTAAATGGTCAAGAGAACCAGGACCCAGTCCTCAGTCCTCTTCTTCACCTATATTCACCCCCTATGAGGAGGCTCAGTGCCTTAAATACATCTATAAGACCAGCTTTCTTTCCATAATTCCAAACCTCTTGTCCAAGTGCCTATTTACACATCTCCTGGAGTCTCTAACAAGCAACTCAAATTTCATAAGTCAAAAATGAAACTCCCAATTTCCCCTGACACCCCAAAGTAACTCTTTCTCTTAATATGTCCCCATCTCAAGTGATTAGCAAGTACATCCTACCAGTTGCTCAAACCAAAAAAAGAATGCATACATATATACATAAATAGAGAGAGAGAAATCAGCTATTCGTTCTTTGATTATTTATGAGAATATCCCTATTCTTAGGAAATATGATATATTTAGGAGTGAAGAGCCATAATAAACGTAATTTATCCATTAATGATTCAGAATTATATGCATGTGTGTTCATCTGTGTGTGTCTGCATTGCATAAACACACATATATATGTATAGCTGTGTGTGTGTGTGTGTGTGTGTGTGTGTGTGTGTGTGTGTGTGTGTAGAGCTCTAGTGACAGAGAAATGATGAAGCAACTGGGGTAAAACGTCCTCAGGTGAATCTAGGAAAGGGTATAACTGACGTTCCTTGAACTATTTTGGCAGCTTTTGTAAGTTTGAAATTATTTCCTTATAAAAACCATCTTAAAGAGGAATTACACCTGACTCCCCTCTCTCACCTGCACCCAGGTCATCAGGAAATCATGTTGACTCTGTTTTCAGGTGGAACCCAGGGTCTCGCCACTTCCTGTCGTGTTCTCCACGATGACATCCTAGCCAGAGCCCCACTTTTGCAACAGATTCTCATCTGCCCTTCTTCCTCCTTCCCCTCCAGCAGTGAATGGGATTGCGTCCCTGCTGAAAGCCTGCCTGTGGCTCCTCACCTCACCCTGCCAAGGCCAGGGCTCTCTTCTGGGCCTGGCAATGCCCTGTGTGATGGGCCTCCTCTCCTATGACTTACTCCAGGGCTCACTGCCCGGGCACCTTCTGGAGCACACCAAGCCGAATCCCTCCCCGGGCGCTTTGCCTTTGCTTTTCTCTTCCTGCCTAGAGTGGTCTTCCCCCAGGTGCCCACAGGGCTGCTCCTGCAATTCCCCAGGTCTCTATTCAAATGTTACCCCATCAGCACAGCTTCTTCTGATCAACCTCTCTAAAGACAAATCGGTCCTCCTGCCCCTCCCCAGGGCTCACCACTCCTCCCTTGCCTGCTTTATTCTTCTAGACTGGGGCTAGCAAACTTTTCCTTAAAGGGCCAGAAAGCAAATGTTTTCACCTTTGCAGGCCACATGGCTTCTGCATGCAATTATTCAAGGCTGTCACTATAGCGTATAAACGGCCGTAGGTGATACATAAACAAATGAGCGTGGCTGTGTTCCAGTAAATCTGTTTACATAAAAAGGTGGCAGGCCAGATTTTGCCAATAAGCCATAGTTTGTAGACCCCTGTTTCAAATAAAGGCTATTCCATGTTTACTTGCTATCTGGGTTTGGTTTTGTTGGTTTTTTCCGATCTCTCATTATGGAATCGAAGCTCCACTAGAGAATGCACACACTTTTCTTCACTACTGTAACTTCAGTGCTCACAAGAGCAATGGGCCATGAATTCAATATTCATTGGATGAATGAATGAATTCACCAACATGATACACTTTATTTCTACTATCCTTCATATATCTCCTTCCTCCAATGCAATAGATACTCCTTCTGATCAA
Organism: Homo sapiens; assembly: GCF_000001405.40. Lineage (NCBI taxonomy): Eukaryota > Metazoa > Chordata > Mammalia > Primates > Hominidae > Homo > Homo sapiens. Next base: position 106,126,173 of record NC_000013.11, read on the forward strand.
TCTATCCCCTCAATATTGTTTGCTTATATTTTATTCTAACCAGACTTTGCTCTCCTTGATGGCAGAGGTGAGCTTATTCCCTTCCTTAGGTCCAATACGCATCAGATGACCTAACAGATAGAACCTACCCAACAGATTTGTACTGAATGAAGGAATCTATCAAGAAAACAAGATCGAGGTAAGAGAAGGGAAGCCTAAGCTGAGGTTGGTGACAGGAGCTTACAGGAAAAAGGGTATCTTAGGAGGGTAATTGCTAGCAATTCTCACTGATTATAGAAAATGGAGATGATATTCTGTTCTACTTTTTGCTGCTCAAACAATACCTGGAAGGCTTTTTTCCAACCCAAGTCCCCATACTTAAACAAACAAACAAAAAAATTGTGGCAGCATATGATGTTTTAGAGAAATCCAGCCAGGATAGTGAAAGGAAGGAAACCTGACACGCGAAGAACAGTTGAAAAACTGGTGATGGTAAAAAAATTGAGACTGCTTAGCCTAGAAAAGAAGAGACTTAGAGAGGTACATGCGAGCTGCCTTCCAATACTGAAAAGGTTGTCAGATTTAAGAGGGATTAAATTCTCTACGAATTCTCTAGAAATCGAATAACCTTGTAAAATTTACAGGGAGGTAGGTTTTAGTTCAATATAAGAAAGAAATTTCTAGGGATTGGAGCCATCCGAAAACAGAGTGAGCTGTCATCAGAAGATGTATTTTCCAACACCAGAAATTTTCAAAATGAGATGGACAACTTGACCCGGGCAACCAGGAAGAGCCTGGAAGGATGTGGGCTTGAGGTCAAGGTCTTTGCCCAGGTAACAAGTGTTATTTTCCAACTGAGATTATATGATTCTCCAGAAAGCTACGGAGAGGAAGAAATGCATCCAAAAGTGGAAGTGATGACCCAACATGCTAGCCATTGTCTCAAAAGGTCTTTGGGGTCATGATACAGGGCTTCAAACTGGCCCAGATTTAGGCACTTTATTACCAGCTGACATATCCCCATCAGAGAAAATTTTTCAATGGATCATCTCAAAGCTAAAACAAAGAGCTGGGTAGTTTAAGAAAAAGGGACCTGGGCCAGGCGCGGTAGCTCACGCCTGTAATCCCAGCACTTTGGAAGGCCAAGGAGGGCGGATCACATGAGGTTGGGAGTTCGAGACCAGACTGACCAACATGGACAAACCCTGTCTCTACTAAAATTACAAAATTAGCCGGGTGTGGTGGCGCATGCCTGTAATCCCAGCTATTCGGGAGGCTGAGGCAGGAGAATCACTTGAACCCAGGAGGCAGAGGTTGCGGTGAGCCGAGATTGCACTATTGCACTCCAGCCTGGGCAACAAGAGCAAAACTCGTTCTAAAAAAAAAAGAATAAGGGACCTATTCCAGTCATAAGAAATAAAGTGTTCAAGAGGCCCAACATTCGCTGCAGCCTTCACAGCTGCCTGTTAATTCCTCTGTTTTCACTGTGAACAGAAATTCTAACTCCTACTCACAGATGATGCAAACTTAATTTTCTTCCTTAGAATTTCCACTTCACACCTCTAACCCACTATTTTTCAATAGATGACTTTACCTCCTACTTCTCAGAGAATTAAGTGGCCATCAGAAAAAAACACCATCTACTTTCTACCAGTGTTTTGCAAATCTCATTCCTACCTACTACTGTGTATCTTATATCAGTGAATTTTCCATCATGTGCCAACTCTTCAGTCAAGAACCTAGCTTACATTCTTGATGTTGCCCTTTCTTCCTCCCCAACAGATAAACACTCAGCAAATTGCGCTGATTCAGATTAATTAAAATTCCCAAGTCAATGCATTTCCTCCTGACAGTCTCCGAACTCTTTGTAGCCTCGAGTCCTTCCTATTTCCTGAGTGACATTTCTAAAACACAAAAGCATATCACTCCCCTGCCTAAACCCATCCAGGGCTCCCCATGACTATCAGGATAAAACCCACACTGCAGAGCAGGGCATAAAGTGTTCTCCTCGCCTGCCTCTCCAGTCTCACTGCTACTGTCACTGCACTTTCAATACGTTCTTCCTGTGTATTAATTTTCTGTTGTTGCTGTCACAAATTACCACAAACTGAGTGGTTTAAAACATCATACATTTATCTTCGGGTTTCGAAGGTCAGATGCCCAACCCAGTCTCCCTAGGTTAAAATTCAGGTGTTGGTAGGGACATGTGCTACTCTGGAGGCTCCAGGGGGGAATCGATTAGGTTGGTGCAAAAGTAATTGTGGTTTTTGCCATTAAAAGTAATAGCAAAAACTGCAATTACTTTTGCACCAATCTAATATTTCTTTGCCTTTTCCAGCTACTAGTTGCTGCCTGCATTCCTTGGCTCCTGGCCCCTTCCTCCATCTCCAAAGCCAGAATCAACAGGATGAGTCCTCACATCACATCCCCCTGACCTCCTCTTCTGCCTCCATATTCCACTCTTAAGGGCTCTTGTGATCATATTGAGCTCACCTGAATAATCCAGGAAAATCTCACTATTTTCAGGTCAGCTGCTTAGCAAACATTCCATCTGTGACATAAATCTGCTTTTGCCTAATATGTAACCTAATATAGTCACAGGATTTTTTCTGTGACCATGATTCTGCCAAACACACAATTCACACCTAACTTGTAGTCCCACATCCATCCATGGGCTATTTCACATACTGGTCCCCTACCTGGAGAGCACCTTCTCTCTTACATAAGCCCACCCCACTCCCATTGTTTGACTAATTCCTATGGCCCTTCAGGATCCAGCTATCACATCCTTCCTTCTCTGGCAAGCCTCCTATAAGCCTGTGAGGTTGGGATGAGTACTTCCATTCTGCATTCCAATGAGCCCTCCATGCTTACCTGTAAGGGATGCATAGTAAGCCATTACTTATTGTACTCTCCTAGAGAAACATTGTCCCATTTAACTCTATATCCAGAGTGACTAGCCCAATTCCTCGCATCTAGTACGTCCTCAACACAGACCTAGCCATTCAGATCCATTCCAGTCTGCTGTATTTAACTCCTGGGTTAAACTGCACTCCCAGGACCTCCATAATCAACCCAAAGGTTCTTTTTCTTTTCTATTTTTCTAAACCACTTCTCATTTTGTCTCCACTTCCTTGTTTGCCTTTTATGTAAGCATATGTGTATACGGTAATGATTTTTTTCCTCTTACTTCAAGTGATTTATCTTTAAAGGCTAACTTCACATATTCTCTGTGGATTCCTAGCAATAACCTAGAAAGCAGATAGGCAATCCCTTCAGAGTGTCAATATTTATTTATGTCTACATTTTGTTGACTAAATGATACAGATTCTAAGCCTTCAGGGCAGAGCTCTTGGATAATGTGCTTTGTTTACCTATTAGTGCACCAGTGACAGTCTACAAAGAGCTACAATGATCACAATATATTATTTGTACAGGCCAATGCATGCCTTTATTATTATCACATTTGTGGCAAATGTGATATTTGCCAGAGTGGTTAGCACTTAAGTCTAATGATCTAGAAACAAGGTCATGTTATCAAGTTTCAGAATATCTTGTTAAACATATGATTCAGTTTGGAATCATTCTTTTCTTTTCCCTCCTCCTCCCAATATTGTAATACTTCACTGAACTCAATTTATTAATGATGTATGAATTAATAAATTCTGAGAAATATAAACAATTAACATTAATAACAATGTTACATTCCTCAAAATATCACTATTCTGTATTTTATTCCTCACAAAATCAAGCAAGAGTATAAAGAGATTATAAAGCTACAGATCAACAAATGTAAAACATTGTAGAACAATCCAGAAAATAAATGCAATGATTAATGTCAGCCATGTTTAAAATGAACATATAATTGTAAGTATGCTGAAGAAAATTGGGAATAATCGTATTAGAATAGAATTACATCTAGAAATTTTTTCTCAAAGAAAAAATGTTCCTCAGGAGGTAGAGTTGTGGAGTAGGGCTGTGGGGTTGAGCTGGGTATTATATTATTTAATGACCAGAGAAATAAAAAAAAAAGAGAAGGAGCTAACTCCATGCATGAATCACATGTCTATAAAGTTGGAAAATAAACAAAAGCACCATAGGTACAGAGAAGGACTCTGAGAAACTCTCTTATGAAATGCAAATGCATATTATTGAAGAGCGTAAAGAAATAATGTTAAAGAAGTATTAGAAAACCTATTATTTAGATGTTTGCATTAGTCCATTTTCATACTGCCATAAAGAACTACCCAAGACTGGGTAATTTACAAAGGAAAAAGGTTTAATTGACTCACAGTTCAGCATGGCTGGGGAGGCCTCAGGAAACTTACAATCATGGTGGAAGGCAAAGAGAACCAATGCACCTTCTTCACAAGGCAGCAGGAAGGAGAAGGAACGCAGGAGGAACTACCAAACACTTATAAGACCATCAGATCTCATGAAAACTCACTCACTATCATGAGAAGAGCTCGAGGAACCACCCCCATGATTCAGTTACCTCTACCTGGTCTCTCCCTTGACATGTGGGGATCATGGGGATTATAGGGATTACAATTAAAGATAAGATTTTGGGTGGAGACACAGCCAAACCATATCAATGTTGTATTTAATTTTTATGTAAATGTTTATTGAACATCTACTAATTGTCCTCATCCTATGACAAGGCAACCCCTCTTCCTATTCCATGCCTATAGTGTTGACTTCACAGGGCAAACTATAATGAGAGCCTCATATTATGTAATTGATTTGTAGAAGTTGAATTACAAGACATTACACTTAATGCCATTAAATTTTATATTTCTGATTTTGACCTATCACTGTACCTATTTATACATCTTTTCCACCTTCTGATTTAGCTATCCACTGGATTAGCACCTCCCTGCTTTGCGCAACCCACAAATGTAAGCGTGCCTTCTTTGGCTTTGTTCAAATATCAGTGAGAACATGAAATAGCACGTGGCTTCTAGTGCAGGCTCTAATCAGGAGGAGAAACACACGATGGTCTCCACTGCCAGTGAAGCCCTCAGAAACAAACAGTTGCCTATTCTGCTGAAACGAGCAAAAAGAAGGCCCAAAGAGGCAGCAGTCACTGAAGAAAGAGGTCAGTGCACCCGCAAACACAGGCACTCTTTTTTTTTTTTTTTTCTTTGAGACGGAGTCTCGCTCTGTCGCCCAGGCTGGAGTGCAGTGGCGCGATCTCGGCTCACTGCAAGCTCCACCTCCCGGGTTCACGCCATTCTCCTGCCTCAGCCTCCCAAGTAGCTGGGACTACAGGCGTCCGCCACCACACCCAGCTAATTTTTTTGTATTTTTAGTAGAGACAGGGTTTCACCGTGCTAGCCAGGATGGTCTCGATCTCCTGACCTCGTGATCCGCCCACCTCGGCCTCCCAAAGTGCTGGGATTACAAGCTTGAGCCACTGCGCCCAGCCCACTCTTTTCTTTTCTGAGAGACAATCACTCATTTAGGACCCCTTCCCTCAGGAGAAACTGTTCCCTCCTTCTGGGATAACATTCCTTAGGCCAGTATGTTTAAGGCTCAATAACAAGTTCCTTGCTGCAGGACTGACATTCCTAGATTATCTTGCACATACTTTCCAATATGGGTTGAAAAGCTTGGGATTCTATTGTTCTTTAGTAGACGACACATTTTCTATAAGCCACAGAGCTCAGATCTCAGCAGGACCAATCATGCTTCTGTCCTGAGCACCCGAGGACTCCTCAGTTTGACGTCAGGTAAGAATGGATCCCAGAACGGGATCCAAACCTGGAGGAATTTCTGAATTTCCTTGCTCCTCAGCTATAAATTTAATACCTGTTAACTCAGAACCCTTGAAAAGGTCTAAAACGGACTTGATTTTTTTCTTACAGCTCCTCAAACCAAGGAGAGAGGTGAAGCATCTCACCTCTGAATTATAACTGGCTGTTCAGAGAGAAGGAATACAGGGTTACATTACTATCACTAGGTCTGCATAGATCTATTTTGCCCCAAAGAGTATCTTAAGAACTTTCTTAAACATGGTCCAAAAATTACAATATGCAAATTCAACATGTTAAAAATATAATTTGTCTTCAGGCAAGACAACAACTAAACCATTATTGAAGACCTCCAGAGAAGAGTTCACCATCTCCTTCAATAAGTAGTTTCAGCATTTCATAGCCTTACCATTAGCCAACTTTTCAATCTAACTTCAATCCTGCTTCCTGGTGTTTATGTTGGGGAATATCCTTCTATGAAGCAATTTTAAAGTTAGAGTGTTACTCATTAACCCAGGTATGACTGCCAGTGATTAACGACACACAGAAATAGCTAAAGCTTGATGGTTTCAAAAATATGATTCCACTACTCACATCTTCTACAGCCAAAGACATAGATAGCCACAAGATATTATTGTAATGTACTGAGGAGACCAATCTGGCTCTCAGATCCAACCATGAGACCTAACTCCAACTTCATACTAATCTCAGCTCAGCCAGCATGTTTCAGAAAAGCAATCTCTACGTTACCGTATAGAATACAGTGTTCCTTACTTTATGAATCCCTCAGTGTGGTGGTGAGATGCTTACACATGCCAACTCTTTGAAGCTCAACAGAGCACTGTGTGCATGGTTATTTAGCACAGAGTCACCAGAATTTCTCCTGGGAAGCCTTTGGAATTAGAGTCCAGCTCACTATTTGTTTTCAGTTCATCTAAATGGGCCTGTGCAAGGAATATTATTCTGTTTGCTTCAAAGTACCCTGGTGTAAACCAGGATAGCATCATCAGCTGGTTGTTTTCACAGTGAGAATATTCTTAGCTGGTGTTCTTCACAAAATTCTGAAAGAATTAATATCTATAAACCAGCATTGCAGTGTTCAGCAACCATCCTATTGGCAAATAAATACCACTTGTAATGTTTGGTTCTACAGCTGTAATAACAGGGGCATTTTTATATCAATGTATTTATAAGGGAGTCTTTGCATATTTCCATGCAACTCTGCAAGCAAGAAAATTGCACAAACCCTTTCAGTAGGTGCTAAATACCATCAACATGTGAATCATCTTTAAATCATTTCCTTAACAGTAGTACGTTTTGAATGCTACAAATTACTTGGCTAAAAGACACAAGGAGCAAGGCAGCCAGCATACTGGTAAACTTACAAACTCAAAAGAAGTCAGTGTGACTGTCACTTCATATATGCTCAGCAGGGGGATGCTTACACTTATTTCTGGGGTAAAATTACAGGTCGAAGTTGACAGGACTGCTTATTGAGAAGGCTCCTCAAACCAGAGAGTCCAATATTCCTCTGCAGGAGCAGGCCTGTTCAGATGGTCTCTCCCCACCCTACCACTCATCATGGTTGGCATAGACAGAATAACGCTCCCCAAAATGTGGCCTAAGCCACAGAACCCTTGGATATGTTCTTACAGGAAGAAGAGACTTTGCAGATGGAATTAAGGGAAGAATTTTGAGAAGGGAAGAATATCCTCAATTACCCAGGTGAACCCAATGTAATTACAAAGGTTCTTTAAAAAGAAGGAAGGAGATCAAAGTCAGGTGAGCTGTGACAATGGAAGCAGTGGTTGGACTGATGAGAGGAAGGGGCCATGAGCCAAGTGATGCGGGCGGCCTGTGATGCTGGAAAAGGCGAGGAAACAGTGTTTCCCTGGAGCCTCCAGAGAAAGCACAGCCCTGCTGACACTTTGATCTTAGTCCACTGAGACTTCTGACTTCCAGAACTGATATGGTTTGGCTGTGTCCCCATGCACATCTTGAACTGTAGCTCCCATAATTCCCATGTGTCATTGGAGGGACCCAGTGGGAGGTAACTGAATCATGAGGGTGGGTATTTTCCATGCTGTTCTCATGATAAAGTCTCAGGAGATCTGATGGTTTTATAAAGCGGAGTTCCCCGGCACATGCTCTCTCTCTTGCCTGCTGCCATGTAAGATGTGACTTTGCTCCTCATTCGCCTTCCACTGTGATTGTGAGGCCTCCTCAGCCATGTGGAACTGTGAATCAATTAAACCTCTTTCCTTTATAAATTACCCAGTCTCAGATATGTCTTTATTAGCAACGTGAGAACAGACTAATACAAGAACTGCAAGGCAATAAGTTTGCATTTTTTAAGCCACTAAGTGTATGATAATGTATTACAGCAGCAACAGGAAGGTAATACAATTGGTAAGATGAAGTGCTCACAGAATAAAAACACAAACTGGACATTCATACAGACAGAGACCGGAATAGTGTCTTTTTCAGAACCGGAATAGTGTCTTTTTCAGAAAATTAAAAGTTATCACATGACCTAACTTTTATTTCCATGTTTTCACTTTTCTTCCTTGTGTTCAGCTAACTCAGTGTTCTGTGATCTTAGACCTACCCACATTATCTAAGATGACGATTTGCCCATCTTCTCACACTCCACAAACAGGAGGCAGTAACACAAAATTTTATTCAATGTCAATTTATTAAAGTTGCATTAAAATTTCCCAATGGACCACGTTAAAATCTTCCACTTATCCAATAACTTTAAAATGCTAAAAGACACCTCCCTTCCCCATTAAAAGGAGCAGTATAGTTTAGAGTAGGGGGAGGCAAACTGTAGTCTACAGGCCACATCTCCTTGTTTTTATAAATGAAATTTTATTGAAGCACAGCTGCCCCTCTCATTTCCATGCAGTCTATGACTGCTTTCATGCTACAAGCACAAAGCTGAGTAATTGTGACAGAGACACTGTGATACATCAGTACCTGTACAACAGCCTTTATTTTGCCTTACAGACAACAAAGCCCATAATATTTACTATCAGGCACTTTACAGAAAAAGTTGCCTGACTCCTACATCATAGGACTAATTTTGGAGTCAGACATAAAATCTAGTAACAACTCAACCACTTATGAGCTATGCTATCTGGCCAAAGTTTTTCTTTGTGGTGAGCCTCACTTTTCCCTATTTGTAAAATGGAGATATGAGCACCTACCTTCAAGAAGATTGAAGCCTAGAACTTAGTACATGGAACATCTGTCAAAATAGAACAAATATTTCCTCATTTATATCTTCTCACATATTATCTTGCAATTCTGTTAAATATTAAATGCCATCAAAAATTAGTTTACAAAACATAAAGGTACATAACAGATGAGTGTTTCTAATAATAACATGCTAGGCAGTAGATGCTCAATAAACATTTTTTGAATGAATAGTCTGAATTTTCAAGCCATGAAATGAAATCATGCAAATATTAAATTATGTTGCGACATTAAAAGTCATCTGCCCTAGATCTTCACCCGGCAATATCAACATTCAGGAACTCGTCCAGTATCAGCAAATAACAATCTATCAGTAAGTATCAACATTCAGCAATATAACCCAGCAATAGCAACTTTCAGAAACTCCTCCAGGATCAGCAAGAAACTCTTGATAATGAACGGCAACAGACTGCAGTAATGTCAAGGGTCAGGAACTTTCTTAGGCAGATCATCTGAGAGAGTTGCAGGGATAACTGAAGGCATTAACTGCCCTACATGAAGTAGCACTATACACCAGCAATTTCTTCATGATTTATTTATAGATGCCCCTCAACTTACAATAGGGTCATGTCTGATAAATACACAAATACATTGTAAGCTAAAAATATTGTATATTGGTTTCAACTTACAATATGCTCAATGTATAATGGGTTTGTCAGAACATGACCCCATTGTAATTGAAGACATACTGAATGCGTATTGCTGTGGCCCCGTCATAAAGTCAGAAAATCATTAAGTCGAACTGTCTTAAGTCGAACCATGTAAAGTCAGGGACCAACTGTGTATCATTTTAAGAAAGCACAGAGTGTTCATGAGTGAGAAGGCTAATTATGCCAACATTATATGGGGAAGGCAACCATTTCATTTTAATTCCAAGAAATCACTTATTGAATTTTTTAATACTGAAATGTGGCCTGATTGGTAAAAACTGTTTTTTCTCAATTAGAAATTTTTTCAGATTGATTGGGCATTAACCATGACTCTTTCCAATGTTTAATTGCAATGTTATCATTTTCTGGGCATGCCCTTGATCATCGCCGGTGAATAGGGTCACTTGGGCTTGCAGTCAGAACATCGCAGTCTAAAATTCATTCCTTAACTGTCTACTGTAGTTGCCTTAGGCAAGTCCCTACATTTTCTTAAATTTCAACTTTTTCATCTGCGAAATGGAGCTAAAATACTTAAATCTTGGAATTGTTGTAAATGCGGTAGTGTATATTAAAACATTGATAAAGCACTGTTTTGCATGTCTACTATTAGAATAATTTTATGGTGGAAATTAAATGAGGGAAAAATCAAATACACTCTGTAAACTCTAAAGGTCAACTCAAAAGAGGTTTCAAAATGTTCGTGAAAAATGAAATTAAAAGATTAAAATATAAAATATAAACACAACATATGCTCCATCAAGTTCAAGACACTTCTGTAAGTGCTGATACCAGCCATTTAGTCCATCCCTAAAGAACTGAGGATCTTGGGAATTTAACCATGTCAATGCAGTCTTAGTTACACTATTACCTGAAGAAAAATAGGTGTCCTTCACAGATTTTTTTAAGATTAAGAAACAAAAAGAAGTCAGAAGGAGCCAAATCAGGATTGTAAAATGAATGCCTAATGATTTCCCATGGAAACTCCTGCAAAATGGCCCTTGTTTTTGAAGCCATTTTGGCCTCAAAGAGAGGAATGAGCAGGAACATTGTCTGGATGGAAAAAGACTCTTTGGTGAAGCTTTCTCAGGCATTTTTCTGCCAAAGCTTTGGCTAACCTTCTCAAAACACTCTCATAGTAGGCAGTTGTCATCTTTCTTTGTCCCACCAGAAAGTCGACAAGCAAAATGCTTTGACCATCCCAAAAAACCGTTTCTGTGACCTTTGCTCTTGACCAGTTTGATTTGGCTTTGATTGGCCCACTTCCACCTCTCAGTAGTCATTCCTTTGATTGTTCTTTGTCTTCGGGATTGTACTGCTAAAGCCATGTTTCATCTTCTGTTACAGTTCTTTAAAGAAATGCATCAGGACCTTGATCCTGCTTGTTTAAAATTTCCACTGAAAGCTCTGCTCTTCTCTGCAGTTGATCTAGGCATAATGGTTTTGGCACCCATCAAATGGAGAGTTTGTTCAACTTTAATTTTCATTCAGAATTGTGTAAGCCAAAACAATTGAGATGTCTGTGGTATTGGCTATTGTTTCTGCTGTTAATTATTGGTCCTCTTCAATTAGGGAACAAATGAGAACTTTTTCCTCACAAATTGAAGTGAGTGGTCTGCCACTGGGGACTTCAACTTCAACATCATCTTTTCCCCTCTTAAAATGAGTTATCCATTTATAAACTGATGTTTGCGGGGGGGAGGTCATTGTCTTTATCAACTTTTTATGAAGCATTAGTGATGTCACCAATCTTCCATATAAGTCTCACCATAAATTTGATGTTTGTTCTTGCTTCAATTTTAGCAGAACTCATGTTGCTCTGATAGGGGCTCTTTTCAAACTGATATCCTTCCTAGTGCACCAAACTAGTTCCTCTTCAGACATAGTATAACAACTTAGAACAAGTTTATTTTGGTGCCAAAAAATTGAAATCCATGCACAGTTTTTTCATAATACACATTTTCCACAAACTTTTTGAAGATGCCCCATATAAACATTAGCCATTTGTATGTAGCAGTATATAGAGTAGAAGTGATAATACTTTAATGTGAGTCAAAAAGTCATATTAGAAGTCATCTGATTGTCATAGTTCATAGAAGCATTTCTCATATGAGATGAAAACTAGGAAAAAACCCAGAGACTCATCAACTGGTTAAGTGGATAGATCAGTGTGGGATAGTCACACTATGGAATGCAACTCAACAATATAAAGGGATAAAGGGCTAATAATACATGCAATAGCAGGAATAAAGATCCTAAACATTACGCTAAAGTGAATGAAATTGAACACAGAAATGTTGTATGATAGGTAATTTCATGTGTCAACTTGACTAGGCTATGGTGCCTGGTTGTTTGGTCAAACACCCATCTAAATGTTTCTGTGAAAAATTCTTTATAGATATGATTCACATTTCAATCAGTAGACTTAGAATGAAGAAGATTGCCATCCATAATGTGGGAAGAGTCAGCCAAACATTTGAAGGCCTTAAGAGAAAAGAATGAGGTCCTCCAAAAAAGCAGGAATACTGCTTCCACCTGCCTTTGGTTTCAGAAGTGCACTGTACCATGAATACCTGCCAGAATTTCCAGCCTGTTGGTCTACCCTGTGGATTTCGGACTTGCCAGCCACCATCAAATAAATCTATTCCTTAAAATATACATATGCACACACACACATATATATATATATATATATATATATATATATACACACACACACACACATATATACATATATACATATATATACACACATATATACATATATACATATATGTACATATATATATACCCACACATTTTGTCTTAATTCTCTAAGAACCCTGAATAATACAGGCTTTATATTGTATAATTTCATTTACATGAAATTCTAAAAAAAAAGGAGATTAGCAGTGACAGAAAGCATATCAGTGGTTCCCTGAGGCAAGGGCAGGAGAAACTTTCTAGGATAATGGAAATGTTCCATGTGTTTGTTGTGGTGAGGATTAACTGACTGTATCAGTCACCAAAATTTATCAAACTGTACATGTATATGCATGCTTAAAATGAATCAATTTTATTGTATTTTAAATTAGCACAATAAAAGTTGGGAGGAGGAAGTCACACTACAAACCATATAGCAATCTCTAATATGATTCTCTTACACATCATGGAAAAACTTAACTGAAAGTTATTTTGCAGGTAAGTTTATTTTTTCATGAATATGGGAATACTGGAGTTCACTGAATTGGGATTATTGATATTTATCGAACGTGCTCAAGGTGAGCAAGCACTGACTAATGTATCTGTCAGGCAGAACCAAGAGTAACTCACATATTTATTATTATGAACAAGTTAATTAAAGTCATAATACTAATAAATTATAGCCACTAAGACCATTATTGTATTCATTTCTGATTTATATACAGTCCCTCTCTTGAGTAAATGGGAATTTTTATGTGGCTATAAAAACTTAATAACTAATGCATCAATTCATAGTAAACATCATTCAAAGGCAACTGTGACGAAATTTAGTCCCTAAAATATCAGGGAAGGGCAATAATATCAAAAATAAAAGTGTTTATAACTTCAAACATAGCAACTGCATTATCAGTTCTGACACAATTCCTTTCATCTGTGGCTCTGAAAGCATTTTACAGCAGTTCACAAGTTATCATCAAGAAATCATACACTCAGGACAAAGTATTTGACGAATGTATTAGAGCAGCGAATAAACAGCCCTAAGCCTTTGCTCAGGAGTTTCACCTCTGCTCCCTCAAATGACCTTTTGTCTCAACAATTCCACGAGAAACAAATTGATCTACCCTTAGCTTGCCCTCATGTTTCCTAGATATGAGTCAACTAGCAAAATCTCTAAGTGCTACCATGAATAATATTGCAAGAAAACATGATCACCCTGTGACTCAAGACACTGCGGGTCTTTCTGCTATCAATACAGGGAAGCCCATCTAAAGCTATTAAATAGTTCATTATTACTATTGAGGTTTACTCAGAACATAAGAAAATACCAGAAATAGGGAACAAACTCCATGTCTAAAAACATCCAGCTACGGGCAATATAGAATGATGGGGAACACACAGGTTTTAGAGACACATTTTGATTGTAACACCAATTTTGGCACTTTCAATCTGTAGAGTTCTAGATTCTTTCATCTTTCTGAAACACAGCCTCCTAATCTGTAAAATAAGAATGATTATACCCACCATTCATGACTGTTCTAATGTTCAAATAACGTTTGTAAAGGCTCTCTTCTAATACCCAACATACTGCAAGATCTCAATAATAATGAGAGATATTATTTCTATTATTATTATTATTTATTTCTATTATTTCTATTATTATTATTATATATTTCTATTATTTATTTCTATTATTATTATTATTATTTGAGATGGAGTCTCTGTCTCCCAGACTGGAGTGCAGTGGCACAATCTTGGCTCACTGCAACCTCTGCCTCCCAGGTTCAAGCGATTCTCCTGCCTCAGTCTCTCAAGTAGCTGGGATTACAGCCGTCCACCACCATGCCCAGCTAATTTTTGTATTTTTAGTAGAGACAGGGTTTCGCCATGTTGGTCAGGCTGGTCTTGAGCTCCTGACTTTAGGTGATCCACCCACCTCGGCCTCCCAAAGTGCTGGGATTACAGGCGTGAGCTACCGCACCCGGCCTATTATTGTTATTATTTTCTTTCTTAGTCCATTCCTGCTGCTATAGCAAATTACTTTAGGCTAGGTAATGTATAAATAATAAAAATTTATTTCTAACAGTCCTGGAGCCTAGGAAGTCCAGGATCAAGGCTCCAGAGATTTCATTTCTGTTCAGGGCTGGCTCTCTGCTCTGGATGTGATGCCTGGTTGTTGCATCATTCAATCGAAATGAACACTGTGTCCTCACTTGGTGGAAAGACCTAAAAGGGAAAAACTCACTCCTTCAAACTCCTTCATAAGGCTTTTATAATCCCATTCATCAGGGTAGGGCTTTCATTGCCTAATCACCTTTCAAGGGTCCCACCTCTCAGTATCATCACCTTAGGGGTTAAGTTCCAAGTTATGAATTTTGGAGGGACACATGCATTTAAACCACAACATTTTCTAAAAAGCTAAATTAGAAAATTGGGGCTGGTATTTGATTCCTGACACAACTTCTGTTCTCCTAAAACAGTGGACTTACACCTTATAGATCCTAACAGGTTCCTATTAAAGTCACTGGAATATTGGCTGGGCGTGGTGGCTCACACCTCTAATCCCAGCACTTTGGGAGGCCGACACGGGTGAGTTTCTTGAGGCCAGGAGTTCGAGACTGGCCTGGCCAACAAGGCGAAACCTCATTTCTACTAAAAATACAAAAATCAGTCTGATATGGTGGCATGGATCTATAATTCCAGCTGCTTGGGAGGCTGAGGCATGAGAATCACTTGAACTCGGGAGGTAGAGGTTTCAGTGAGCTGAGACGGCACCATTGCACTCCAGCCTGGGCGACAGAGTGAGACTCTGTCTATAAACAAAATAATACAATAAAATAAAACAAAACACCAGTGACCTAAATCTACACCAAACCCACAATTAAAATAAATAAATAAGTAAAGTCATTGGAATATTGAACCAACTTTATATGGAGTTGTGCCAGAGAATGCTCTTTCCTCTGAAGGAGGCCAACATGAATCTCCTCAAGTGCAGGGCTTTATTTTACATATAGAACCAACCATCTCACACGCCTCTCAACACCGGTTCCCCAACATGCCAATTTAAACTTTCATTTTCAAAGACACTAAATCAATAGATGCCCACTGAGCTTGTGACTGAACTAACTCCTAATAGAAGAAAACTTAAAAGGGTTGACAGGTGTCAATAGGTGCTGATTGACTTTTAAGAGATATATTAAAAAATGAGGGTGCCAATTTATTTTCTCTGCCAGTGACAAATAAGTTTCAATTCCCTTACAATACAGTTGCATCCCTTTCATACACCTTTTTGATTATTCAGGGTTTCTGTACCTCTCTCTTCTTCTGCTATTCTTTTTCTCTAGAACATCATAACTTCCCCAATGGATAAGAGTTATGTCTTTATCTTCTGCACTGAAGCCCACTTCTTGGAACTAAACAACATACCATGAGTTAACTTACTTATCTGGCAATATCTATTATGTTAAGTGTGAGAGCAAATCAAAATATTAAAAGTCTTCTTTATAAAGATAGTAAGTCACCTGGTGAAGGTTATATCTAAAACTATGCATAATAATGCGTGAATGTGACTCATATTAACATTTATAAATTTCTACCCTCTGAATGCCTATGTCTCCCCGAAATTTATAGGTTGGAATTCTAACCCTAAAGGTGATGGTATTAAGAAGTGATTAGGTCATGAGGGCAGAGTCCTCAGAAAGCTCCTTTGTCCCTTACACCAGGCCCCGAGGACTCCGCAAGAATGCACTTTCTACAAACCAGGAAGCAGGCCCTCGCCAGACACTAAATCTGCTGGCACCTTGATTTTGGAGTTCCCAGCCTCTAGAACTATAAAAAATAAATTTCTATTGTTTATAAGCCACCCAATTATAAAACAGCATCCAATTGGGATGCTGTTTTGTTACAGCATCCCAAACAGACTAAGATATAAATATACTATAAGCTCTTTCAGGGTGAGCGTATTATCTTTATTTGGGTTCGTGGAATTAAAAAAATACCTGGCACAGAGTAAGCGTTCAATCAACATTTGATTAAAAAAATAAATCAGCCATGTCTCCCACTATATGTTAAAGAATGACAGAGAATGAAATAACTTTTTTTCTGTCAAAGGGAAGATTTTTGAAGAATGTACAGCGGAAAAATCAGTGACAATATGAGCACAGAGCTGCTTGGCCTCTCTCTCATACTTGTCCAATTCCTCTGAAGATCCCCCAAGGGTCAGAGAGAAGTACTAAAGCTAGTTTGTATCTTGGGTGACTAAATTAATGGGCTATATGTACAGAGAACCAAAAAATAACATTTGAGATAGAAGTAGAAAATGTATAATAATTGCAGCTCTCTGCGATCATGGAAAACAATTGATTCAATCTTTGAAACGACTGATATTCATGACTTCTTTTCAAAGTAATTATTAAGGTCAGTTTCCTATAAATTATTTATGTAGTGAAATTCACAGGCACTGAAGTAATATGGAACTTAGAAACAATCCTATCATTTGCTACAGCTAAATTGCACCTTTTTAGTAAGTTCTTATATTTCCCCAATATTTAGAATTTGAACATCTTAGGGTGAATTATATATAATTAGGTGTGTCTATGTGCCTTCATTTTTAACCCATCACAGGCACATCCACTGATTGGCCTGTGATGTCTTAGACTGCATGTCACATCAAAAACCCTAGTTGAATTTGCCTCAACTGGAGAGAAAAGGAAAACCATTGTGTCCCATCAAGATGGTGCACCTTTTATCTTATGTCTTAGCCAATGACTCCCCTATTCTCAAATTAAGAGATCCTGACAAATTTGGGGTACAAACCTAAACATAGGTAAAATTTAAATTACAAATACTTCTACCTGGGGTCTTCAGTATTTTATAATTCCTTCTTAGAGCTAAGCATAATTTTAAGTGCTAATAATGAACAAAATTATCCTTATTGCTATTTTTATCCTTTTTTCTAATATCCAACTTCTAGCTGTGGGTTTTACATATCTGGCCAACAAAAAGTTTGAAGACTAATCACAAAAGCATGTATAAACACCAAGAGGTTTTAGCATGTGTATAGAATATGAATTTGGAAATGTTTACATATGCAAATATTTTGAGAGCTAGAATTTTATTCTTGGCATAGAAACTAAGGGTTTTTTTCTAAGCACATTGCTACAGAAAACCGATATCCTGGAGGGATTGTTTACTCGGAAGAGGCTTTGGGATAAGAGTTACACTAGCATTTAATGATGTTGATCTAATGTTATTTTATGGTTAAAGGAGCTGCAGAATTTTACCCTAAACTTTTACCTTTTATCTAACTGTCTTTTTTTTTCCACTTCTTTAATAGTAAAAAAAAAAAAAAAAAAAAAAAATTAAATTGTGGTATTATAACACAGAGTGCACTTCTTTCTCAGTTTCATTGATGCCAATGAAGGCAAAATGGAATGAAATGTCATACTGACTTGAGTCATTAAAAAAAACATGTAATTTTAGTGTTTAGTCAGTAAATGAATTCAATAATATTCACACACGAATCTTTGAAAGAGTCATTTGGATTGCTTTTTAATAAAATAGAGCTAAAGCCTCCAGCCCCAATGGCCACAGGTAAACCTCAAGGTTGCCATCAAAATGGGCTGCAGTCTCCAGCCATTGGGTTCTGTCATGAGATTTACCATCACTGTGTTTCCCTGTTTTGACTGATCACTAAATACCTGAGGTATTTTGTTTTATTCCCAGGCACTAATTTAATGCTACCTTTGAATGTTCAAAAAAAATTTGCTGGTTATGTATTTGATGTTTACCTACTCATATGTGAAAATAAATACTTGAGATTACATTTGTGAGCTACTGTTTGAACTGGGTTTTTCTGCAGGAAAACCTGCTCAACCGGTTTTACCAAATCCCTAGAAGAATGTTTTCTGATACAAAGAATGGATTGTTACACAGGACAAGATAGGTAATTATGAGATCATGAATAAGTTTGTCTTTCATTGTGAAAGTACATAAAATAGGAATAGAATGTGTGATTACTGATTACAGAAGTTCTTTTACTATGGAACTTATAAGAAAAAAAAAGGAAGTTACCTAAGAGGGCATTCAAAAAATGCTCAGCTTGTTGTAACCCAAGCTAATGAAAACAAGGAAATTTATAGTTAAGGCTGACTTCCAATACCTAGGCACCACAGGGTGTCTTTTAAACCACTTCCTTCATGTGGCCCTTTGAGTCCATGGATGGGAGGTCGGCTTAAACTGTGAATTTCTTTATTATTAGTTTCTAACACAACCTTAAAGTACTTTGAGTGTACTCTGAGACTTTCTGGTTAGTGCGTTTAACTTCCTCTCTTTAACAACATTGGTATCACCTTGATGGGCTAAGCTACCACAACTGAGATTCAATGATTGCCAAATGGAGATATTGCTCTAGTTTTAGTTCCAAGCCTGGTGGGTTTTCCTTCACTATGCAACACCACTGATCACCATGCATGGGGTTTTTCAGAAGTGACATCTTCATAAAATTTTTTTCCTGATATTAACTAACACACAATTTATTTCATAATGTTAACAAAACTTTTGGAAGGCTTTCAATATCCTTATTGTTTCAAAAACAAGTTCAAGAAAGATACCTTCTGTGTAAAATTACTGCTATGATTTACAAGAAAAGATCTTCTGCAGTCTTCTTTGTTAAGTTGAGAGGGTGAGATTCCATTGGTGACAGGGAGGAAACAACAAGGCTCCCCTTTCTCATTACTGTCCATTTGAAACCTCTCTCTACAGACTTTGATCCTTAGGTGGCTGCTCAAATAGGTCACATGGTGTTTCTGGTTAGATAAGGGAAGTCCTCCAGTCATTTTTAATAGTCCAGTTTCAGCAATTTTATTGTCCAACCAACGCAACTGTCAGAATCCTAAACTTAACTTGGAGTTCTTGTTTCCCTCCTTCTCCCTCCCACCCCTTGGGCCTGCTTTGTGGAGACCTACAGTGTATTGGAGCTGGGAAACCAATACCACCAAACTGTGGTCTTCATACATGCTGAACTGACAAAGAAGCCTCAAGGTCTCTCTGACCTTCCTCCATCCCCAACTATCTCTCCCAAAGCATAGGATGAAGTCATTCTCTGAAGCTCCCTTATCTGACTAAAGTCCAGACCTACCAAAGAAGAAAAAATTACCTCTGGTCCTCTCCATAAGTTTTCATTAACTGAACTAATTTCACAGGAAAGAGGACTAAAGTCTCTCAAACTTGAACAGACTTGTGTCACAAACCATTGTTCACTCTGTGGGCCCAACAGACTTTGATTCAGACCATCATAGGTTCTTCAAACTCATTGAATTCTCCCTAGGAATTATGTATTGCCCCTCAACAGAATTCCTCTTCTCCCCTCTCCTATAACCTGTTTTGCCAAGATCCAAGCCCCCATTCATTCTGTAACTTCAAGATGGTTTATAAGCTTCTGCACCCCAATGGGAGGTGGCTTCTTCATTCTGAATGCCCCTGTCACCCAAAACTATGATCAAATAAATTTCTGTGGCTCTTCTCCCATTAATCTGTCCTTGATGAGTTGATTTTCTAGCAAACCTCCTGAGGGTGAAAGGGGAACTTTCCATTTGCCTCTTATAAGTGGAAGCTTCTTCCTTTCAAAAACTTCTCCTTTTCTCACTTTACCCTGTCCCCACTAGGCGGCCTTCTGGCTCTTCCTGGATTGGAGTGGGCTTGGGGAAGAAGGAGAGGGGAGTGGACAGAAAACCTCTATGTTCTCTGGACTTTGCTCTCTGAACTTTGGGGCTCTTCCAGGATAACTCTTTTTGTCTTCGGATGCATTTGTGAGTTCTCTGGAGACACCACCTCAATGCATGTGTCCCATTATGTTCCTTTAATGAGGTCAACATTCTTTCTCTGGCTGCCACTTAACATACCACTCAGGTTCTGTATCAGTGACACCCCTCCAAGCTCTTTCTGCTCTTTCTGCTATCAGTAAGTGTGTGCTTCCAGATGGGGTCACTGTGACAATGACCTTCCAGCTGGTGCCTTCCCCAGGGCTCACCTCTGTTATTCTAGCTCCCCATGTAGCTATGGCCTTCAATGGGACAGGCTGCATGATTTGTAAGGCCCACTGCAAAATAAAAATGCAGGGCCTCTTGTTCAAACACTATTAAGAATTTCTAGGTGGTGACAAGAGACCATTAAACCAGGTGTGGCCCTTCTGGGTGTGGAGCAGTGTGTGACTGCACAGTCTCAGGCCTAGCTCTTCATGCTGTGACTGGTAGGGCTTCAACACCACTCCACAATGTCTCCTAAGACCTAAGTAGCTCCTTTGGAGCCCTGTTCAGTAAGCAGAGAGCCAGGAGAAACCCCCATGCCCTCTCTTTGGATTGAGGAGGCAAATGGTAAGTACTAACTTTCCTTAAGAAGAATGTGTTGAGCATACCAGCATCACTCTTTGCTACTGTAGGAGAGAAACAGTATTTTTCTCACCCATCTCAAGGTTCATGACTGAGGCCTTTACAATAAAATACAGATTAATAAGGGAAAAGCATAACACATTGATTTAATATAAATTTTACATGTGTGGCAGCCTTCAGAAATGAAGACTCCAAAGAAACAGGGCAACCTGTGTTTGTTTCTGCTTAGGTTGGAGGAAGAGGACAGAGTCGTGCAGAAGTAGGATTAGACAGAGGGGGATATGAGCTACCTGTAATAAACTGGGGGAGCTTAGCAAGGCCTGTTTGTTTAGAATCTTTGTATTAGTCCATTCTAGCACTGCTATTAAAAAACAAATAAACAAAAAACCCTGAGACTGGGTAAATGTGTAAAGAAAAGAGGTTTAATTGGCTCATGGTTCTGCAGGCCGTACAGGAAGCATACTGGCTTCTGCTATGCAGAGGCCTCAGGAAACTTAAAATCATGGCAGAAGGTGAAGGGGACGCATGCACATCTTATATGGCCAGGGCACAAGGAAGAGAGAGAAGAGGCAGGTGCTACATGCTTTTAAATGACTAGATCTCATTAGAACTTAATATTGCAACCAAGGGGGGTGGTGCAGAACCATTAGAAATGACCCCTGTGATGCAATCACCTCCCACCAGCCCCCACCTCTAGCATTGGGGATTACAATTTGAAGTAAGATTTGGGTGGGGACACAGACCCAAACCCTCAGTCTCCTTGGCATCTCCGTGTCTTCATTCCTTTCCTCCAAGTGTAGACAGGAGAGGACCCCAATGGAATAAGGGTCTTATGGGCAATGCTTCAGGAACAAAGGTCGAGGAGAAGGTGGGCTTCCTGTTTGTGCTGTTTCCTCATATGACAAGGTGCCCTATTTGGGAATAGCATGTCCTAAACCTTGTCACTACCTTCAAGGTGAGCCTTGAATCAGAGGTTGTCAAAAATCTTCTAAGCACTTGCCTAGTCTACACAGCCAGAGCTGTCTTCTAGCAGCTGCACCCAGATTCCTCTCCGGGAATCCCCCAGTGCACCACCCCCAGGCCACTTCCCTCCAGTGGCCATCCACCTGGCTCCCTATGGAGCATGCAGCCCAGCCCCCAAGCCCCAGCTCCAGCATGCTGCCTTCCACGACAGGGGCACTACAGGCTGTGGGAGCTTTGAGAGGGAGTACCAGGAAGGGGACCCTTGTTCTCTTCCCACTGAGAAAAAGCAATTATGTGACCTGCTTTAGAATCTAGATGCCACCATGTTGTGACTACAGAAGTGAAATCAAGGCCTAGAAGTAGGAAAAAAAGGCTGAAAGCTGATGATCTCTTCCGATCCGCTGCACCCAGACCACACAGCTCACAGTCAAACGAGTCAGAGGATCCCCTTTTTGCTTAAGCCAGTTTGAATTAGGTTTCCTTTAATTTACAGAAAGGATCTTAACTATTACATTTATCAATACTACCCTTTTGTATTTCATCATTTCTGTTTTATTCCTAAGTGATAATAACTGTAAATATGAACTTTAAAATATATTAAAATACCATGAGCCTGGGTGACATGGAGAAACCGTGTCTCTACAAAAAAAAAAAAAAATACAAAAGTTAGTCGGGCATGGTGGCATGCACCTGTAGATCCAGCTACTCAAGAGGCTGAGGCGGGTGGATTGATTTGATTATGATCATGTCCCTGCACTCCAGCCTGGGTGACAAAAGGAGACCCTGTCTCAAAAAAAAAAAAAAAAAAAAAAAAAAAGTCACGTATTTTTACCATTATCCCATCTATATCTTCCCAATGTTTTGTTATTGTTCCAGGCCAGGTGACCACACTGCTTTTTCATACACAGGCGAAAGGAAACCAACATTACATACATAACTACAACACAAGGGCACATATTGGAAGCATGACATTTTGGAGGCAATGGTAACAAAATGTCTAAGGTCCTTGAGCCCCTCAGAGACCTATTCTAGAAAATACCAATTTATTAATGTGAACAGTGATTACAATTCATTATTTGATGTTAATGAACAAAATAGAATGTCATCATGTATATAACATTTAATGTTTTCGTAGAACTTTAATAATATATATAACTTTTCTAAAAGAATGGTATTTAATGTCTCTTGAATTGTAGCTATGTCATTAATAACTGTCATTTTGAAGTAAGCAAAAGATAAAGGACATAGAGAAAAAATTATTAGCAAAAGCAACAAAAAGAACATTTGAAAGCTTGACCTTCTATTTCCTCCAAATCAGTGTAACTCATAATGAATGTTAAGGGAAAACTGTAATATATTTTCTTCCATATTTTCTATCTGTCAAAGACACTGATACCTATTTTTCCTCATCAACATGAACAGTTCACTGAATGACAGCAAATCAAGCCTTATACATATAACCGAAAAGCAAGGGAAAGCCTGTTCTTAGAAGAAACATGGTATAGATGGCCTTCTGTGTCTAGAAAAGCTACTGCCTTTACTATTTCTAACCACGGGCTGACATTGTTATTTTAAAGACAAAACTGGAGGAGACCACAGTGGTGGGGATAATATTTTCAACGTTCTGCAGCTGCATTCATAAAGTGAACTCTCTTTGAAGTATAAAATTAATAGTTGAATGACACACCTCAAAGAGTGCCCCCAAAAGGTGACCAGAGCCTAACTCTGCAATTTTAAAATGTGAACATTTCCAGAGATGGGAACCCATGGGTGCTGATAGCATCCCCATCTGGGGCCTATTTCTCCTGCCATCCATCTACACGTAGTCTTCTTTGAAGTCAAAAAAACCTCTGAGGGAAATTGTTCCAGGATAATAGGTTGGAGGTACTCTTGGCAAATTGCTCCAAAAATAAACAAACACAAACAAAAGACTGTGAATCACAACTGTATTGTAACTTAAATGCAGCATTTTCCCCATGGAAACCCTGAAAGACTCTCTACAGATAGATATAAATGATAGATATACACATGCAGAAAGAAAACTTGTATATATACACATACGTAGGTATATTGTCTTAACAAGAACAAGTTAATCCTCATGAATAAGGTATCAGTTTTGAAAGTATTTCTGGAAAAAAACAGAGGAAAGAATAAGTGCTATAGTTGGGTGCCGTCTGGGTGGAGTTATAAATAGTGGAATAATTTAAAGACAGTGACAGGATTAATGATCACGGGGCCTGAAGTCTCACAATTTCTTCACACCAGGCCACACATATACAAATTACCAAAAGGCTAGCTGGGTAACACATAGGTCTAAGTGGGTTACTCCTCTGGTTAAATCTGTAAGTTAGCTCCCCACAGCCTACAGAACAGAGGTAGAGGTATTTGGCATGGCATACAGCATCTATTTGAGGCCAGGCATAGTGGCTTACACCTGTAATCCCAGTATTTTGGGAGGCGGAGGCAGGCAAATCACCTAAGGTCAGGAGTTGAAGACCAGCCTGACCAACACAGTGAAACCACATCTCTATTAAATACAAAATTAATTAGCCAGATGTGGTGGTGCACGCCTATAATCCCAGTTACCTGGGAGGTTGAGGCAGGAGAATCGCTTGAACATGAGAGGCAGAGGTTGCAATGAGCCGAGATCGTGCCATTGCACTCCAGCCTCGGCAACAGTCTCCGTCTCAAAAACAAACAAACAAACAAACAAACATCAACAAAAATCTATTCAAGATTGCACCATGCCTTTTTAAAAGAAAATTCCTTTCCTTACATATCCCACCCTGCTTTGCACAAGCATGGCACACACACACACTCACACATTCACACAGGCTCACATACGTCTCACTCCAATCAAGCAAAACAGCTTGCAGTTGGGCCTTTGCACATGCTGTTTTCTCTAGCTCAGGGGTCAGCAAACTTCTATGTAAAGGGACAAATACCAAATATTTTCGGCTATTGAAGGATAAAGGTTCTGTTTCACTACGATGTTGTTGGACATAAATGAATACACATGGCTGTGTTCCGATAAAACTTTATTTATGGATGCTGAACTCCAAATTTCATATAATTTTCATGTGTCATGAAATACTTTTCTCCCTCTCGCCACCATTTAAATATATAAGACCATATTTAGATCCCATGTCACACAAAAACAGGCAGCAGCAGCGGGCCTGTTTGGGCCCACAGGTCACACTTTGCCACCCTGCTTCAGTCCTGCAGTCTTAGTTTATTTATCTCCAACATGTTCTTTAAAGCAGTCTTGGGAGCCTTCCATGCCCAAGCATAGTGTTGTCAAAGCCTCTTTAATACAGCTCTCTCAAATCATTTGTTTCAATATTTTAAATATGTTGTACTATCTTTCCTCCCAACCAGGCTCTGAGTTCTTTATCAGCAGGAAAAGCCTTTTGTAACTGTGTATCCCATCAAGCTCTCAACATGTGGCAAATAAATAAATAATCACGGAAAGTGAGAGGATAGTAATTTCTATACTCCTTCTTTCTCTTCTTCTGAAAAATATTTCTTATGAGTCATTCCTCTATGGATAAAAGGCATTCGGTACAGTGGTGCAGGGAGACAGTCTACTTGGCAAATCCAAGCCCTGTCAATGTCAAGTTCCAGGTTCTTTGTCAGTGATAATTGCTCATGTACCCTGGTTCAGGGTGTGGCTGATGGTATTCATCCCACAAACATTCTGTGGCTGCTGGGTATCAGGACTGCAGCTGGGAATGGGACAAAGAGCTTCCTTGCCCTCAGGAATGTACAGAGTGGTCAGGAAGAAAGCTTTCAAAAGTCAGTCTGAGGAGAGAGTGAAAAGAAAGAGCCACAGGAGCACAGAGCAGAGGAAGCCGTTCTGTGGGAGAGAAAGAGGTTAGGAAAGGATCCCTAGGGGGTAGTCTGCACACCAAGACCCAAAGGTAAACTGGAGTTGGCTAGGTAACAGAGAGAGAGAGAGAGAGAGGATAATGATATGGTTTGGCTCTGTGTCCCCACTGAAATCTCATCTCTAATTGTAATCCCCACATGTCAAGGGAGGGAGGTGATTGGATCATGGGGGCAGTTTCCCCCATGCTGTTCTCATGATAGTGAGGGAGATCTCACAAGATTTGATGGTTTTATAAGGGGCTTTTCCCCCTTAGCTTACACCTTTCTCTTGCCTGCTGCCTTGTAAGACATGCCTACTTCCCCTTCCACCATGATTGTAAGTTTCCTGAGGCCTCTACAGCCATGCAGAACTGTGAGTCAATTAAATCTCCTCTCTTTATAAATTACCCAGTCTCAGAAATGTCTTTATAACAGTGAAAACGGACTAAGACAGGTGTCTAAGCAGAAGGAACAGCTTGGACAAAGGCTCAGAGGTAGTAGAGCCAGAGAGGAAGAAGGTTGCTCAGCCACTCCCTTTAGCAGTGTTTGCATTGGGCCACATAAAAGGTGTTCTCAGGGAACTAGCTGCTGTCTGGCCTGAGTAAACCTTCATCACCTGCAAATGGAGAGCAGTGAGTTAAATACTGTGTATGGTCGTTCGTGAATACATTTTTTCTAGATGCTGCCCTTATTATTTCAGGACCCTTAGTGCTTTTTGTTTAATGAGATGTTCTGTGGGTTTGAACCCTTGTAGTCTTTCATTTGTGTTTCCTTCTCCCTCCCTTAGTTTACTGAGCACCTTAAGGGATGAGTTTGTTTGTTTTTTTTGTAGAACTTATTTGACTTTACATACCTATAAGATTTCATTCTTTCAAGAAATATCTACTACGCATCTTTTGTATTCCTGCACTGTTCTAGGTGCCTGGGATACATCAGAATAAAACAGACAATGATCCCTGCACTGGAGAATCTTTCACGGGAAAGAAGGACTGAGATAAAGTCAACAACACTCACAAAATAATAAATGAGCTAATGATATACTAGACGGTTGTGAGGAAAAAAGAATGTAAGGCAAGGTAGTGGAGAATGTGAGGCTGAGGGGTGCAATTTAAAGAGGAATTTAGGAAAGTCTTCATGGTGAAAGACACTTTGAGCATAGACGATGAAAGGGAGGGAATTGGCCATAGGAATATTTCCAGGAAGAGGGAGTAGTCAATGCAAAAGGCATTGGGCAGGAACAGGTATCATTCTATCATTCTGAAAACTTCAGGTAAGACCATGTGGAAAAGTAGTGAGGAGTTGCAGGAAGTGAGACCAGGCACAGGCTGTGGAGAGTCGGATCCTGAAGTGTCCTGGGGAATCCTGTACCCACTGTGGCTTTTATTACCGTCTCCAAAGAAGAGCCATTGCAAGGGTTTGAACAGAGGCATGACATCATAACCCCACCTGTGTGTTGGAGGAATAATTTTGGCTGTGGGTTGCAATGAGATGGTAGGAACAAGAGCAGATCTCGGGAGGTGGCGAGGAGTCCCTTGTAGCAATCCAGGTGAAGCATTGTGGGGGCTCAGACTGGGGCAGGAGAAGGACAGGTGCTGAGAAGCGTTTCTGGAGAGCTGCGGAAGCAAAGCCAGCGGTGCCTCCTCATTGGTTGAATGCAGCATGCGAGGGAAAGAGAAGAAAGAGTCAAGGATGAATCTAATTTTTTGCCCGGAGCAACTGGAAGGTCAGAGTCAGCACTGACAAAGATGAGGGAGTCTGCAGGGGAGCACATTTTGGAAACAGAGCAGAAGTTGGATTTGCTAAGAATTCATTGTCTCTTAGACTTTTATGTAGAGATATCGGAGGCAGCTGAATATGAGTCTGTAATTCCAAAGTGAGTTCTGAGCTGGGGATATAAACTTGGGAGTCCTCTGCATATAAACAGCAAGCAGTGCCAAGAGATGGGCTGTGGCCACAGAGGGGATAAATGAAGACAGAAGAGAAGAGCATCCTGAGAACTGAGTTCTGAGTCTCTGACATTAAGAGTGACTTACTGTCATTGTTGCTGAACTGATCCACTGGGTAACTCAGGTAAAAAAAATTCAACAGTTCAAGTAATACATTAGATATGTATGTCATTGCCTTTTTGATATTACCATAAATGATATTACGTATTATTGAGAATATGTTTTGGCTCATGCTACACTGGCAAAAATCAAAACAACCATCTTTCAGCAATGACTGTATACAAAGTAGAAATCACACACATCTATTTCAAAAATACATATATATTTCAAAATAGTGCAGAAAACGCTACTGAGTTACTCCATCTCTAAACTATAGCCTAACACAACAAGAACAAAATACCTAGGTACAAAAACAAAGGCTGAGTCAGACAAGCACTAACCTGCTGAAAATGATTTGCATTTGATGAACTCCAAAAGCTGAAGACTAGGAAGAGATCAAAATTCTTGAAGAACTTTGTCTCACTATAAAAATAGATCATACAGGAATCCTAACCTTCATAGCATCAGAAAAAGAAATTATGTAAAACTATTTGCAGGAAACATTTTCCATGCTCAAATAAGTAAGGCCCGATAGCAATGTGACAACACACACAAACACAACCCACTGCCAAAATGTGAGTATTTCAACCCATTATAAAGAGGGGGCACAATTCCAGGGCAGCAGAGAGCACTGGCTGCCTGGAGCCCAGGCTCAGCTCACCCTCTCCTAGATCAACTTCCTTCTCCTCTGGAAAGAACACTGCCCTTTCCACTAATGCACACTGCAGGATGAAAGGGCGAAAGAGGAAGAGAAAAGCTTGAATGTGAGTTCTCTATGCACTTAGAGAAAATTGCATGGTACTTCAGCAGAAATCTTTGAGCAGTACTCAAAGATATAAAAGCAGTATGTCCTGCTAGAATCCTAAACCTTTCAAATGAAAGTTGCCTTACTTTTTTTTTTCTTTTCTTTCCTTTTTTTTTTTCTTTTAAAGTATAACCCTGCAATTTACTGGAGCTGAAGGCCCTTTTTTTTTTCTGACATGGCAGATTACTTTTTTTTTTTTTTTGTAGTGGGATCGAGTGTTGTTGTTAGTTAGAATAAAGGCCTAGACACAAATTCTCAGGCTCCGTTCCTAGTTCTGACCATAGTAATGGGGAAACATCATGTCTTGGAGCAAATAAATAAACGCACATAAATGCATCAGTTCCACTTAAACCCTGTAGGAATGCTGCTATCTCTTGGGAGATACCATAACGACAATGCATACAAGGCCAGTTGTGATTTCCAAAATTCAAAGAAATACAATAGAAGTTGTAAGGGAAATGCCCCGAATGGGAGAAACTGTGTTCACTCTGGGAGTAATTGCTTAAACAACATTTATTTAATCAGCTCCATGACCACTCATAAGCTACAGTATCCTTCAGAATAAATTCCAAAGCTCCATATTGTATTACTACTTTCACTTCAATTTTGGAAAAAGAGGTATACCAGTAGATTTTAAGATGCATCCTTATTCAAATGAAATACAATATTATCCAAAAAATTCCTTGAATCAGTTGCTAATTAACTTGTCTACTTGATAATTTACTTTTGAGTAACAACCGCATACTCCTCTCTGCTTATACTTTTTTACAAATACTATTTTATTGTGTAACTGGTGCACACGTATCATAACATATGCACCAACAAAACGAGTACTTGCTGGAATTTTTCCCATCCAAGTACTAACGAGGCCCGACCCTGCTTAGCTTGTGAGATCAGATGAGATTGGGCACGTTCAGGGTGGTTTGGTGGTAGACACATGTCGGGGTTTCTATTTCAATCAGAAGACAGAAAAATAAGACAGGGAGCATGGGAAATCACCTCCAAAATGGAAAAGGATTCTCCTAGGGTGTCTTACTCATTGTCAATTTCAGGAAATTCCCCAAGGGATATTCCTGAATGTTGAGTCCGTCTAGCTTAAAATGACTCAAGTCATGTAGCAGTTCTCCCAGAATTCTGTTTCATAGACTATTTCTCATGTTCACTGGAATCACAAGAACTGTTTTTTCTTTAAGATATGAATTAATATCAACCAAAATTTAAATTAACCTAATACATTTCTTCCACGGTCTAGCCTCCAACATAACTTTCAAGCATAACTAAGACATTACTTTATTGAATTCCTTAAAAATTGAAAAATTAACTGATGCTATTTTTAATAAATGTCAAGTCATAAATGCAGTCTACATTGCAGACATTGAAAACAATTTGATTTAAAAGGCACAAACTAGCTTTGGTCTTTCTGTTTAATCCCTTTAGTGTAAAAAATGTCCTGTTCCTGACTCATTTCTACACTATATTCAACAAATAGCTTGGAAAATAAATTTTAATGACTCCTTTTGTGCTTGTATATTTTTCTTTAATATCTTCTTATTCATTTTTGAACAAAGAGAAATTGACAGAGTCAAAGACATGACCTTTAATTTTAAAGGAATTTTCTTTTCTTACAAATCTGCTATCATCGTAATCCTAAAAGCACAAAAGAAAGCTAAATTATCTATCCTTTTTTCTTTGACCACAGCAACTTTTAAAATTTAACTTTGATCCAGATTAAATGATAGTTCAGCCAAAAATGTCAAGAGGAGCCTTCTGGAGTTGGGTCCTATGTGTGAGTAGGTGGTTCATGCTGTTTAAAAGGCAGGACTGAACTGCAGCGTGGGGTTGCTATGTAAGGCAGTAAATAATGATTATAAAATGCTTTGTAAACATTTTTAATGTGACACATCAATGCTCTATGATAAAAACTAAAATTCTCCAGTAAAGTATAAGGGGACCCTGTGCTGGCAGAGGCGCTGGCCTCTGGATGAGTAATAGCCACTATTAGTAAAACCTCATAGCTCCTTTGAGAGGGAGGGATTGTGCCATCTTGCTACACTTGTTACCTCCAAATATGGGAAAGTTATTCCTTATTTCCTTTTCAAAGCTTGACTACTGATTGAGAACAGCGGTGTAAATACTTGTTCTCTTACACCAGCCCAGTGAGTCACAGCCACAGAAATTACAGGAGTTAAGAAAGTGCATCATCTCCTTCCTTGGAGAACACGGAGGGATGGTGACTTGCAGTATGGTCTGGTTCTCAAGCTCACAGTGCACCTCTTTTCCTCAGGGCGTCTTCTTCTGTCTATTCATTGCTTATTAAGCTGATACTCACTTAATGTATTTTCTGGTCTCAGTGTAACCTATTCTGCTAGGCCTCACGAAATAACTACCTTTAACGCCATGTTGCCTTTCTGAATGAAAGCAGCCATCTATTCTCACAAACAGTACCCTTAGACCACAACATCTCACCTAAAAAATATTTCTGTATTTTTTTTATCAATAGTTTAGCATTTATCCCTATCAAAATTACCTCTCTTCAATTTTATACAACCAAAGTTTGGACTAATTTTTGCTTAATATTCTAGATTGTGCCCTATTGGTAAATTTTAAAAGCCATTGTTCCCATATCATTGCCTCTATTTACATAAAGCCTAATATAACTTGTCCCATGATATATTGTGTATTACAGTGATGATATCTGCCGTAAACTTTAAACAAATGGTCTATCCACCCATATCCCATGCTGTTTATACCACATGTGCCCTGTTTTGTTGCTTCATATTTTTTCATAGAATCAGTGAACCTACTACACTACTATATTTCTTATTCAAACTCTGTCGTTATTGGGGTCAGTCTGCAATTAATACTCTCATATAGGTCCTGGGAAAGGGAAGAGAGGAAAAAGTGGAGGATGAGGGTAGGTGTATGATTCTTTGGGAGGCACAATATTTTGATTTTCTGGGACATGTTTTCAATACATGCACACACCACATAGATTTTGATATGCTCCCCATTTTGACTCATTTGTCAATTTGGGCAATATGTATCTAGCGTCTCCTATAATCCAGGCTCTGTCCTCCTTACAAGTGGACGTCATTAGCAGAAACTGGAACTACTGAGAGATACAGGCCATAGGTAAAAACCAGCGGAAGGCCCCCTGAGGCCAAGCCCCATCAATGTCATTGATTTTTATTTCAGTGTTTCTCTGCCAATTGTTCAACCTTCCTGAAATTTATTTTCCTAAAGAGAAGAGAGCTTGGATAAGCCATGTAAAATCTCTGGCCTTTGTTTTTCTTAGCTATATAATCAAGCAGTTGACTTGTGAAAAAATATTCAAATATGGACCACATAGGGTTGTATTTGCCAAACGCTTTTTTTTTTTTTTTTTTTTACATCAGGCTAATCAGTCAGTCTACATCGCTATCTTTAACACAGAGTAGCTAAATTATCAATGTGCCTCAAAAAGCAGTGCCAAGGAGGCAGCAGTGGTGAAATAGAGCCCCCCGCATGTGGCAGAGTTGGGTCAGACCACCTCCCAGGGTCTCTGCACAGTCATAGTTCCACATACACTGAAATGTTCTAAACACCCACCTAGCCTCTCACCTTTTACTTGCACTGGAAACGGATGAGCTATATTTTGGTCAGCTCTGGAAAAATTAAAACAAGTAACATTGTTGAGTGCTGGGAAGGATTTAGGGAAACAGAAGCCCCCAGGCAAACTGGCAGGGATGTATTAGTCATAGCCACTCTGGACAGCAATTTGGCAATATTTAGGACAGTTGAAAATGCGCATGATCAATGATCAGGAAACACGAGGGAAACACTTGGAAAATGCACGAGATTATTTACCGTGATGTCCTCTGGAAGAGCCAAAATCATAAATGAACATTTCAGAAGGGACTATCCAGAAAACATGCGGATTGTGCACACCATGTCTCACTGCATGATGGTGAAAAAGACCAAACTAGGCCGTGGGGGGTGGCTCACGCCTGTAATCCCAGTACTTTGGAAGGCTGAGGCGGGCAGATCACAAGGTCAGGAGATTGAGACTATCCTGGCTAACACGGTGAAACCTCGTCTCTACTAAATATACAAAAAATTAGCCGGGCGTGGTGGTGGGCGCCTGTAGTCCCACCTATTCGGGAGTCTGAGGCAGGAGAATTGCTTAAACCTGGGAGGCGGGGCTTGCAGTGAGCCGAGATCACGCCACTGCATTCCAGCCTGGGCGACAGAGCGAGACTCCATCTCAAAAACAAAACAAAACAAAACGAAACAAAAAAAACCCACCAAACTAAAGGGCTGTGTGTTTTGTCTCATCCAATGATGGTAAGTGAAGAAGTCAAGTGTCAGGATGACCCATCACACGTGACATTGAAACACATTTAAGACGACAGTGCACACTGTTTATGGATATCAGTGCACAGGTAATATTGAAAAAATTCTCATCAAACTCAAATTGATTGTTGTTTTGTTCTCAAGAGGAAAAGAAGGAGAGGAATAATATTGTAATGGTGGTCAAAAGGAGCTTGGCTTTATCTACAAGGTTTACTTCCTTTCTCCTTTCTGCCCTTTTGTTAAAAGAATAAATGCATTTGTTTTCCTTTTTTGTGCCTCCTTTTTCTCATAGGAAAAGCACACACATATACCTTTCCCGTGTAGCTTTGAAAAAATATAAGCAGAAAAAAAAAGCAGCAAATATTACATAAGGTATTCAGTTTTAAATGTGGGTGGTGAGAATATAGCTGATTGTTACATTATTGTCATTTTTCCGTGTTTTTCACATTTCTCCAAATGAAAAAAAAATCTACTCTAAAAGAAAGCAACCAACGCTCTAGTCTGTGTCACATTCACACAAACACACACGCACCTACACACACAGCCCTCCACTGTTCATTAGCTGTGAGATTTGGATCACTTAACCTCTCGAGGCCCTGGGTGCCTCTCGGGTGTAATGAAGCCTCACCCAGCTGAAAGCCAAGGGCTGGACTAGACAGCCTCTTGGGAGGGTTTAGTTCTCAGCGCTATAATATTGGCTTTACCTGCCTCTCCAGAGACAGAAGTCAAAAAGCGCATGAACCTCCTCTACCTTCATTTGCCTTTTAGTTCTGGGACCTGTCACGGTGTGCATCAGAGAGCCTGGAAATGCAGCCCTGTTCCAAACCGGCTGTGTCGCTGCTGCAATGACCCCTAGCCAAGCTCTTCTTGTCGACCTGGGAGGGGCGCTGGAGCCAGGGCTGTGCGCATGAGGACTAAGAAGGAACCTTCTCCACCAGACAGGCGCAACAGCAGGCAGTTGGTGGACAGCGGGTAACAGTCAGGGACAAAGGGGAGGTAAAGTCAGCACTGGGGGCAGATGGAAACCAGGGAGAGGGAACAGTGAGAGCAAAGGAACAGCTGTGGGACCAGCACAGATCCAGACGTCAGGAAACGGGGACGTCAAGCCAGAAAAAACACAGCTCTCTAGGTTGACATTCCAGCAAGCATGTCATCTCTGGATGGGAACACGATGGTTATAATAAAAGGGAGCTTGACTAGTTAGTGTCTGAGCAAAAGAGATAAGAACCGTCCAAAATGCATAGACACTATTCTTACTGGCACTGATTCTTTCACAAGAGCAAACACCTGCATGTTTTGTGCATCTTGGTGTGATGATATTACCAACTGACCAGTAAATGAACCATTCATCTCCTCTGTCTGTACTCTTCTCATTTCGCTCCAGTACCATGCCTTAAATTTAGGAGAGCAAAATATCCCCTGCTGTAGCTGTGGTACCTAACGCCACGATTAATTCCAATTGAGAAAATTAGCTCCTTCAGATCTTATGAACAGCTCTACATTTTTTTTTCACCCATTCCACAGAGTAGGGGAAAAACATGGAATAATCACTTTCTGTTACATGTTTTTAAAATATCATCCTTTTATATAAATATGAAAATTTGCTATTTCATACTTTTAAAAAAGCTAGAACATCAATCTCTTCCCACCCCACCCAAATAGGTGTGTTGGTTGCAGTGGCAATTGAGTCAATATGAATTTCTAATCACCTAGAATAAATTATTAGACTAAGCAAGTATTCAAAGAACTGTTTCTTAGCCAGACTTATACCAACCTCTCTTTAGCAGCAATCTCTCTTACTGTATAATATGTAACAGTAAGAACTAGACAGGAGTTATTTCAACAAATCCCAGGTGATTGGCCTCAAGTGACTGTTACAAGTGAAATTTCACAACATGGAAGCTTTGCTCTGTGAATTGGCTTTTCTACACTGATTTAAAAATTCTTTTACCAGATGTAGGTTTTAACTACACTTAGATATACCATTTTCATATATATAATTTTTCCCTTAGTTCTCAAATTCCATCATAAAATGGGAAGAGTGATACAGACACTGTTTCTCTATGTGGAATTTAATATGTAAGATAGAGGGTTTTTTTTTCCTTCTGGAAAAATGTGAATTCACATTGTTCCAACAGTTGGAAAATTATTCCTCTCATGCCAAACCTATAACAGGGCAATAAAATGTGTAGCAGTTGGGTGGAGCTCCCCAGATTCCAGAAGTCTGCGAAATTTAGGGGCCCCCAAGTTTAAAAAATAAATGCCTGTTTATTTTGTTCTTAACACATTTCTAATTTGTTTTTGCAGATTGTTCTTTATTAACAAGAGAAAGCTATTTTTGTATTGTTGCCAAGAGACTTCAGAAACCAACAGCCTGATCAAAATAGTAACTTCCTGTAATGAGCAGTCTTGCTGGTTCAAAGATATTTAATTCTATAATTTTTTTTTTCTGAAAATGTAAGTGAAGGGCTTTTAGCATTAGTGACACGACTTGCCGCTGTGGAAACCTGCCCGAAATCAGCCTGGCCTACTTTCATTGCTATATCAGGCAAGTTAAGAACAATGCTTTTCTCTTTAAAACACTATAGCACTTTTGAATATACTGACAGATTTATGTATTAGTTCCAAATGCTATTTGCTTGAAGTTTCTTTAAAAATGATAGGCTAACAGAAACTGTAATACAAAAAAAAAAAAAAAAAAAAACCCTGACTTATTGACAGTATAACGTAATTTACAATCCATTCTAAAATAAAGTTTGAAATTTAAATTTTCCTTCATTTTTTCCCCTGAAACTTCACATACGTAAAATACAAAATAAGTTACCAGTGACACAAGCTATGCTATTATTAATTCTTTTCTCACAAGAAAATAAAATACATTTCTTGTGGTAAGTTTTCTGCACTAAGTATGCTAGCTCTTCTAATATATACCAAGTTACTTTGTGAGGTACAATCGTTTATCTATTGTAATTGTAAATTGTATTGCGGTGAAGTTCTAAAAATACTTAACATAGAATTTTCTCTTTAATATTCAGATAGACTAATTTTGTGTGTTGTTTTACTGTACGTTTCTCTAAGTTTATTTGAAATATGCTCTTTGGCTCTGTATCAGTTGAGAGGCAGTGCTATGAGGCAGGAGAAAAAGGCAAATTATAGTGTAGAGTACCTTTCAATGTCAAATGATAAGTTAAAAGCTAAGCAATTGGAAAGACATAGTTTGGGGCTGGTGCAATATCAATATGCAATGATACCAGAGAAGGGATTTTATAACCTTAGGAACGGCTCACCTGGAATTACTGAGGCATGGAAAATGTAACAAAGTGACACTTGTTTCTCCACGGACAATCCCTGCACCCTGCCGTCACTTTGGTATTGAAGCAAAAAGGAACATTCACCCAAAGTATTTTTAAAATTACAGAAAAGTACTGTCATTAGAGGTTGAAGAAATAATTGAATTTATTTTTTTGATCCAGGAATCCCTTTCATTCAGAGGGTCTTTCTTTTATGAAGTCAATGAAAATTAATCCTTGGAAATTCATACTCTTTTTTTTTCTTTTGCAAACTTATTATATGAAATCACAACTTTATAGTCCGGATTAGACTATGTCTTATCCAAATGTCTGTGAAGTCAGAGCTGATGAATACATCTTCTCACCTCATTTTCTCTAAGAAGGTATTCCGGTCCCAATTCAAAGGGCCGTAACAAAAAGTTCTAGCAAATTGTCGCTATTTTTGAGAGTAGTGAGTAGCTCCACTGAGACCCAGTCTTGGAACAGTGATTCTCACGGCACCTGAGAGCTTTGCTCCTGCTCCTGCACTCAGAAAAATGACACTGACCAGCAAATTATTACAATCTAAAGGCATCATGTTTGTTCAGTATCTGAAGACACTAAATAATATTTAAAAGGAAAAATTTTACCATAGGGCCACCTTTCTTTTTCCAAAAAGTTTAAAAATTGACTTACCAGCCATAAGCCATGTCAAATAAAGGAGACACTGAAATCAATAACACTGGGGAGACTGGCTATTTGGAAACCAAATATGTTGAGCTCCTTATCCCTCATCATACATTAAAATTAATTACAGGTGGATTGGAGAGTTTAACATATATTTGTTTTCTAAATTAAAAAGCTGTAAGATATATTTTAATATTTTTCTGACCTCTACTGTAAAGAGAGGAAACTTTCTAAGCACAAAGGTGATGTAAGAAATTAAAAGAAATTAAAATTTTTGACATTTTAAAATAAATTTCAAAAAGATCACTAGCAAAATTGAAAGACTAACACACTAGAAACTACATGCACAATAAATATTCAAAAATTCATTATTTATAAATGGGTTAATATTTTGAATTTTTAAAGAAAGTTTATAAATCTTTAAAAAGAATCATAAGACCTCACGTGGAAAAACTGGCAAAATTACAAGCATGAAAGTTACAAAGGAGAAATACAAATGGATGATAAACAAACGTAAGCAAATGTTCAACTAATGAAGATGGAAGAAATAGGAAGTAAATTGCAATGCATTCTTTAGCTAGTAAATAAGCAAAGAGTTTGTTTGCATAATGACACTAAGCAATACTGGTGAATATTTACTGAAAATTATATGTTATGGCATTATTAGATAGAATGCACATTAGCAAAGTCCAAGTTTAATAACTGGGTTAGTATGAGCCTGACCAATCAGAATGGACACAGGCCACGGAGGTGGGGCGAAGGTCCCAGAACTCTTGCTATGATTCAGTTCCTGGCCATGGGGAAGTCTTATAATTCCCAGAAAGGAACAGGATGGCCTGGGGCACTGGAGGAGAGACTTGTCCAGCGGCTATTTACACACTGATAGAGAAGAATTTTGATTTTTGAAAATAAATATGGCCATCCCAGTGTGTAATAGCTGGAAATCAGTTCAAGCATATATTTTTTAACTTAATATCCATTTATTTAAAAGAGACAAAGCTTAAGTCACTGTTTGACATTGTAAATGTGTATGGGAATTCTTTTTTTTTTTTTTAAATACCTTTTTTATTATTATTATTATACTTTATGTTCTGGGATACATATGCAGAATGTGCAGGTTTGTTACATAGGTATACACGTGCCACAGTGGTTTGCTGCACCCATCAACTCGTCACCTACATTAGGTATTTCTCCTAATGCTATCCCTCCCCTAGCCCCCCACCCCCAACAGGATCCAGTGTGTGATGTTCCCCTCCCAGTGTCCATGTGTTCTCATTGTTCAATTCCCAGTTATGAGTGAGAACATGCAGTGTTTGGTTTTCTGGTTCTGTGTTAGTTTGCTGAGAATGATGGTTTCCACCTTCATCCATATCCCTGCAAAGGACATGAACTCATTCTTTTTTATGGTTGCATAGTATTCCATGGTCTATATGTGCCACATTTTCTTCATCCACTCTATCATTGATGGGTGTTTGGGTTGGTTCCAAGTCTTTGCTATTGTGAACAGTGCTGCAATAAATGTACATGTGCATGTGACTTTATAGCAGAATTATTTATTATTCTTTGGGCATATAACCAGTAATAGGATTCCTGGGTCAAATGGTATTTCCGGTTCTAGATCTTTGAGGAATCACCACACTGTCTTCCACAATGGTTGAACTAATTTACACTCCCACCACCAGTATAAAAGCATTCCTATTTCGCCGCATCCTCTCCAGCATCTGTTGTTTCCTGACTTTTCCATGATCGCCATTCTAACTGGTGTGAGATGGTATCTCATTGTGGTTTTGCTTTGCATTTCTCTAATGACAAGTGATGATGAGCTTTGTTTCATATGTTTGTTGGCCACATAAATAAGTGTCTGTTCATATCCTTTGCCCACCTTTTGATTTTTTTCCTTGTAAATTTGTTTAAGTTCCTTGCAGATTCTGGATATTAGCGCTTTGTCAGATGGATAGATTGCAAAATTTTCTCCCATTCTGCAGGTTGCCTGTTCACTCTGATGATAGTTTCTTTGCTGTGCAGAAGCTCTTTAGTTTAATTAGATCCCATTTGTCAATTTTGGCTTTTGTTGTCATTGCTTTTGGTGTTTTAGTCATGAAGTCTTTGCCCATGCCTATGACTCAAATGGTATTGCCTAGGTTTTCTTCTAGGATTTTTATGGTTTTAAGTCTTACATTTAAGTCTTTAATGTATCTTGAGTTAATTTTTGTATAAGGTGTAAGGAAGGGGTCCAGTTTCAGTTTTCTGCCTATGGCTAGCCAGTTTTCCCAACACTATTTATTAAATAGAGAATCCTTTTCCCATTGCTTGTTTTTGTCAGGTTTGTCAAAGATCAGATGGTTATAGATGTGTGGCATTATTTCTGAGGGCTCTGTTCTGTTCCATTGGTCTATACATCTGTTTTGGTACCATGCTGTTTTGGTTACTATAGCCTTGTGGTATAGTTTGAAGTCAGGTAGCATGATGCCTCCAGCTTTGTTCTTTTTGTTTAGGATTGTCTTGGCTATATAGGCTCTTTTGTGGTTCCATATAAAATTTAAAGTAGTTTTTTCTATTCTGTGAAGAAAGTCAATGGTAGCTTGATGGAGATAGCATTGAATCTGTAAACTACTTTGAGCAGTATGCCCATTTTCATAATATTGATTCTTCCTATCCATGAGCATGGAATTCACCAAGGTTGACACGAAGGAAAAACTGTTAACGGCAGTCAGACAGAAAGGTCAGGTTACACACAAAGGGAAGCCCATCAGACTAACAGTGGCTCGCTCTGCAGAAACCCTACAAGCCAGAAGAGAGTGGGGGCCAATATTCAACATTCTTAAAGAAAAGAATTTTCAACCCAGAATTTCATATCCAGCCAAACTAAGCTTCTTAAGTGAAGGAGAAATAAAATCCTTCACAGACAAGCAAATGCTGAGAGATTTTTGTCACCACCAGGCCTGCCTTATAAGAGCTGCTGAAAGAAGCACTAAATATGGAAAGGAAAAATCGGTACCAGCCACTGCAAAAACATACCAAATTGTAAAGACCATCAGCATCATGAAGAAACGGCATCAACTAATGGGCAAAATAACCAGCTACCATCATAATGACAGGATCAAATTCACGCACAACAATATTAACCTTAAATGTAAATGAGCTAAATGCCCCAATTAAAAGACACAGACTGGCAAATTGGATAAAGAGTCAAGACCCATCAGTGTGCTGTATTCAGGAGACCTATCTCACATACAAAGTATTCTTTTATTTAAATAAATAAATTGCAAAAACTGTAAACACAAAATGATGGTTGTACTCTTTGATCTAGTAATTCCAATGCTGTATATCTAATTTAGAAAAGTTGACAGAGATTTATGAAAATAGACTTATCATGGAATAATAATGACATAATAATAATAGCTTGATTTATGATGTGCTTAGTATAAGCCAGGTGTTCTGAGTGATATACAGGTCAGCTCTTTTCATCCTAGCAAGGATGCTGCAACATAGGTTTTATTGTATCCCTGTTTTATAGATGAGGAAACTGAGGTATGCAAAATGAAAGCAGTTTTCACAAGGTCCCACAGTTAATAAGTTAAAGAGCTAGAATTCACTGACCTTGAAGTCTGCATTTACCCACTAGTGTGGAGGTTAATACCATAATGCAATGTTGTGTGTGAATTAGCAGGCTTCATCACTTCTTAAATAAAAACTGATCACAATTAGTCTACCTAAATTATATAGAGTCCACTTAAATTTTCATTATTTGGCCGCATTTGCTAATGTTACCTCCTACTCACATTATTTTTATGCTATTCTCACACACTGTCTCACAGCTATTATCTATTAGAAAACATGATACTTTATCTATAAATTGTGATGTGGTTACAATTCAAACTAGCTGCCTACAATAATGCATTTCTTTTTGTTCCCAAGAAAATAGTAAACATATTACCATTAGATTTATAATGAAAGGGATCAGAATCAACAGTTTCACTAAAAGCAATAGCATAGACACCATTATACTTTTAAAAAAATGTTTTACATATACCATTGTGTTTGAAGCTACATTCACAAAATTGGCATTTCCTTTTCACTCAACATTTGTGTCACACTGTACCATTTTCAGCCCTGCACAGAGATAGGGAGGTACTCTGGCCTTTTATCTGTTAACTCATTTGTTTAGAAACCCCAACCGTAACAGTGATACAGTCTAAAATCAGATGGTTTTCCTACACCCTAACGTATGACATATGGTTTTCACTGAGATGGTCCATATGACCAATAATCTCCAGGGCACTAAATTAAATGGGCTCTTTTCAGTGTTTCAACGTTGTGAACCACCCAATGATTGGAAACACCTTTCTCCCTTGGATTCTGAAATGACCCTCCCCTGCCTCACCTCTTTCTTCTCTGCCCATTCTTTCCTACTTTCCTTCACCAGCCTATTTTCTTCAACACAGACTTTAGATAGTGAGGGGCCATTCTTGGCCCAGCCCCTTCTCTTCTCATCTTGTCCTGTCTCCCAGGCACCCTGTGACATTTCCCTTGCCATCTAGACCTTGAGTCCCTGATTTCCATCTCCAGCTGGTTATAGCTCAGAGCCCTGCTCCATATCACTACTCACACATTTCAAAGATGCTTCAAATGCACCAGGTCCCAACTAAACTGACTTCCCTCAGACCTGATAGTTCTCCAGTGTGCCTTCCACAAGGCACTGCTATCCCTCCAGACATGTGGGCCAAAGCCTATGCCATCGTCAACATCTCCCTCTGCCACACAACCTCACATACAAACAAATGTGCAGGCACTAAAACCTTTACCCCCAAAAGAGCTCAAAGTTTCTGTCCATCTCCGCTGCTGGCCCCAGCACAGGTGGTTGATGTCCTTCCCTGGACAACTGCACTCTTGATGCCTTTTACCACCACTCACACTGCCTGTTAGTTTACTCACACCATTGCTCTTCCCAGAACACCTGTGTGGCTAAGGCGGCCTCCACCCGCTACGTGATCTGGCCCTGCCTCCATCTGCCGGCTCACCTCGCACCCCTGTCCTCTTTGGTCCTTGAGTCCTGGCCATGCTTCATTCCTTCATTCTTCATTCCGTTTCCAGAGCACCAGATTCCCTTCGGCCTCAAGGAGGCCTTGAGCATATAGTTGC
Source organism: Homo sapiens (assembly GCF_000001405.40). Taxonomy (NCBI): domain Eukaryota; kingdom Metazoa; phylum Chordata; class Mammalia; order Primates; family Hominidae; genus Homo; species Homo sapiens. Next base: position 106,167,986 of record NC_000013.11, read on the forward strand.
TTCTTCCCCGAAATCTTTTACCCTCCCTCTCCCCATCTCCATGCCAGCCTTGCTCCTGAATGTCTTTCAGCTCTAACGTCATCGCCGCATAAGAAACCTCCCTGGTCTAGACGGTCCTGTTATGCTCTCTTAGATGCCCTGTCATTTTCCTCCAGAGGACCTGACAGAGTTTGCACTACACATTCCTGGGAATATTCCGTTTTCTTTCCCACTAGACTGTGAGCTCCACATCCACAACGATCATTGCCATATTCCCAGGACCAGTAGAGTGCATGACATATAGCACACATTTGATACACATTTGTTGAAACCATAACTTGATACTTGGAAAGGCAAGTTCAGTGAGCTTAAGGCTTCTTTACAAATCTTACTCCCTTCGTTGACACTGAGCGGTTTGTACCAGTTAAGGTGGCCTATTGCATGTATTACAAGTCCCCCGTACAAGTCCCTTGACCTGCAGCCCTCAGCATACCGGGGTGGGCCCCCAGTTCTCTGTCTTACCAGCCACTGGCTCCCGTCTGGCTCCCAGGCCTCCAGCTAATTTAACTACTTAGCACTCTCCTGCTGCCCTTGTCCTCTAACACTGCCAGATCTTCTTGGCAATCAAACCTAACCTGGGCGGAGCCCACATTGGCTATCTCATCTCAGGGGGCAGCCCACAGCCTGCTCGGCCTATCTTCCCCAGACAGGGTCCCTCTATAACACCCTGCCTGTGCACTCAGCCACCCAGCCCCTGACTTCCTAGCATTGCCTTAGGGTTGAGCTACTGTGGATTTCAAGAGTTGGTGGCATTCCTATTTTACTAATGAATTTCCAAAAGATTTTTCAACCTCAGATAACTTTAATAATTTACCTAACTTTCTTCTTGGTTTTAGGGGAAAATGCAGACAATACTATCTCTGTGTTAAACTACATCATATAGCAGAGTTCATGGTTTTACACCACTTAGGTAATCTTCATGCAGATTTGTTCTTAGCAGTGGCCATTTCTTTTTAAATCTCAAGTATATATAAATATATACATATGTTATCATATAAACCACATATATGTGTGTATATATTTAATATTTTCCAAAGATGTATATATATATATATGTGTGTGTGTATATATATATATATACATACATGCATATACATACATATAAATATCTGGAGAATTATTTATATACACATATAAATATCTGGAGAATTATTTTACTGAAATTATATTTTTCTTTTCCAAATTTTAAGCCAAAATTGTTTTTCACAATTGCAACCATAATTCAGTTTTTCTGAATGCTTATGATTGCAAAAATTTGTAGCAAGTCTCTTCAAATTCATCGTGGTCTTCTTTTATTCTCTGCCTTCACATAGCTAATGCAACTAATAATTCTATAATATGGAGAGGTCCCCTATGGGGAGTGCATTAGAAGAGCTAGCTTCTGCGTTAAAAAAAAAAAAAAAAAAAAAAAGTGGTTTATCAAGAGTCTCATCTGATATCCCCTGTGGGAATTTCCCTCATGAGAACTACTTAGTCCATTAATACACCCTTGAGAAAATGATACAAGGAACTCATGTCAATCTCATTCCACAGATTTTACAAAAAGTTCCCCAGGCTGGTTGTGTGTTTGTAGATGAAAAAGCTCAATGTCACAAACCTGGTTTTTCCCTCTTCCTTTGAGCCAATGAGTTCTGCAGCTGCTCCTGAGCAATGTGGGACCCATATATGGCCAAGAAGAGACACCACACTTAATCTACCACACTTAATCTCAGTCTCTTCCCATTTACTCTTTACTCAGCACCATCCAGAAAGTTTCCACACCCAAAATCACGTTGGAAAACTGCCCAGAAAGCTGATTGACAAGAGGCGGTGGGGTGTGGACCTCCAGGGAGTGATATGAATGCGGGCTCTCCACCACAGTCTGCATCAGACTGAGGAGAAGACTCAAAAACAAGGGAGAGAGATGGCCATGCCCTCAAAGGTGAGAGCCGTACTGAAAGAGGGTAAAGCTGACTGAAAAGTGGTGATGGTAGTGACGACGACAGCTCACCTGAGTGTTTGTTTACCAAGCATCAGGCACCCAAGAACTTGATGTGGACTGACACATTTAGGTCTCCCAGCAGCCCTGTACATACTAGGTACTGTTATTAGACTCATTGTATAAATCAGCATACATAGGCCCTAAATATTAAGTAACTCACAAACACTCAGGGCGCAGAGCCCAAGCTCCCAACCAGCCACGGAGCATGGATGCTCACCTTCCATCCCAGCGTCAGCTGTGTGGAGCCTGCTCAGCTCCATTAAGTGTGTGATTTGTGCAAGGACCTCCCAGTTCCCTCCAGAAAGCCCCAAAATTATCCCAGTGTTATCTCTGAAGAAAAAAGCACCAGGTCATAGCAGGATCCTGATAAGACTTGCAAGCAGGCTCAAAAATGGCCTTGCTCTTCCTGAACACCCCCGTTTCTTGCCTTAAACAAGAAAATAAAAGCCAATGTATGATAAAATTATAGGTGTTCAACTATCAAAATCCCTACTTCTTGAAGAGATGTATAGAGATGTACATCTCTATACAAATATCTCTATACACATGCCATGTATTTGTTTGGCAAGCATTTACCGAACACCTGCTATGTGCCAGGCCAATGCTAAAGGCTGTACACAAAGAATATCATCTCTAGTAGCTGATCGCAGGGTTTTTCTAATGTAGTGCAAGCCTCGGATAAGTAAACTGGCATTTATAGTACCATACTCCATGCGGATAAGCCCAGAGCATCAAGCAAGGATGGAGAAGTTCCTAGTCTAGACAAGGAAGATCAGGGAAGGCTTTTCAGGGAAGAAAGATAAGGACTGGGATAGGGAGAGGACGATGGGACAGCTGGATTGAGACCTGAAGGCACATCAGGAGTTCAGAAAGGTCTGGGAAGGGTGTTCCAGAAAAAAAGAAAGCATTCTTAGATGCCAGGGAGGGCCTGGCTTTCCATAAAAGGTTCCACATGGTAGGAGAGTACATTGAGAAGGAAGAACCCCGGAGGAAGATGGCTGGAGGCAGCCCAGTGGAGTTTGCAGAGCTAGGCATTTGGGCATTCCTGAAGGTTCTGAGGAAGTGACTTGAGCTTTTTTCCCCTTCAGAAGCATAGCAACATCAGGTTTGGTTTGTAACAAAGGCACACTGATGATGGCGAAATAGTTTTTAAAAGGATTTGAGAAGGTAAATTAAAGGAGATCTGTGAAAACCCACTTTGAGTTTTTCAGGCAAGAAATGATGAAAGCAAAGGTTGAATATTTTTTAATAAATAAGGACAGAACAAAAAGGCATTTTTTTGAATAGGAGCAAGTAATATTTCTCCTATTCACTGCATTAGGTAAGAATGATTACTTCTATACCTTGACTATAACCTTTGGTAAATTAAAGTGTTTGAATCCCACGAGTGTTTCTGTGTTACCACCCACTCATCCTCAAAATAAAGCCCTGACCCGTGAAATATTTTGATAGGAGAAAAAAGTGAGTTGTGTTTATGTTTGGTCTTCCATACCTAAAATTAACTAGATCTACCTTTTTATTCTAAACTGTTAACTTATCTCAATGTAGAAATGAATATCAGCCAGACAGATGCAACATGTAGTAGAAGAGTAAATAGAAAAGGTACAGGCACAGTGGCTCATGTCTGTAATCCCAGCACTTTGGGAGGCCGAGGTGGGAGGATCACTTAAGGCCAGGAGTTTGAGACCAGCCTGGCCCACACGACGAAACCCTGTCTGTACTAAAAATACAAAAATTAGCTGGGTGTGGTGGCGGGAGACGGTAATCCCAGCTACTTGGGAGGTTGAGGCAAGAGAATTGCTTGAAACTGGGAGGTGGAGGTTGCAGTGAGCCAAGATCATACCACTGCACTCCAGCCTGGGTGACAGAGCGACACCCTGTCTTAAAAAAACAAGAAAAGAAGAGGAGGTAACTTTTTGAGGAAAGACACTGGGCAAATTATAACCTGAAGATCCTATCAGAAATAAATATGCAAACAATAGTTCTCCAAAATTTTAAAGTAGCTTCTCTACATGCAAAAGATAGCTTTTGTATATGTACAGTAATCCCTGGTATTCAAAGCCCATATGAAATTCTTCTAGGCACATAACAAGTACTCCTAGAGTTAGTACATTTCTAGGCTTCTAAAATATTCATGAAATATTCTGCGAGTCCAGTGTTTCCTAATATGTTAAGAAAGTAGATTCTGTAAAGTGCTCATTAATGACAAGCAGTAAAAACTAAGATTCTTGGCCAGGAATTTATATGAGTTGCAATTTCAGAGACTCTATGTTTTTCTGTACTCTTTGCCAGAAACTCATTTTTAATATCTTCCTACCAAAGAGGAAAAAATAGAAACCTGAAATAATAGTCAAATTTATGGGGAACTGCTCTGTCAGCAACCCAGGCCTTTCCTACCATCCCTATCAACAGATGGGCATGAAATGAGCTTGTTTTCCCCTCAAATAACTTGAAAGCTTTGTATTCCCTCCTTGTTTCTGTGCAGGGGTATATTTGCATTCGTGGGCATTCAGGTTTGGGGAGTAGATTTAATCTTCTGTCCTCCAGTAACTCTCCCAAAGACTTGCCTTCTGCCCACTTCAGAAAATTCCCATCGTTCCCAGAAGTTCAAGTTCACAAATGTCCAATTTACCCGTGAGTATCAGGAGCATTTATGTAATGAGGCTTTTAAGATTTTCATCTTTCTTCCACATGATCTTAATCCGGAAAACTGTAAACTGTTTAGACTAAGAACTTCAACATAAGCTGCTTCCAACATAAAAGCTGAGATGCAGCAAGTAAGAATTCAGCTTTTTTTTTTTTTTCTGGTCTTTCCATTCAGAGACATAAAACAACTTGAAAAAATTTTATTAAATAAAAGCAATGTAATCACTTCAGATGACATAACGTAATAGACATCAAAGATACACACAAATAAGATACGGGTTGCCGTCGTTGAACAACATAAAAGCATGCATACTTGCATTTGGATTTTGTTTTACATGCACAGGCTATATACAACAGATTTGCTTATTTGAGTCAGATGTGGCTTTTGGCAAATGACTGATACATTTTAGGTGGCCCTTTTAAAAAAATAAGAAAGCATTCGCCTTTTGTACGCTGAGAAGGATTTGATTTAAATAAGGGTCAACTGGTTTTTTTTTTTTTCTTGTAAAAACTATTCCTAGCCCCTTACAATGCCCGAAGCCTTAACTTTTATATAGATCTCCCACCTGCTTGCAGAGAGGGAGGTAAGCAGACTGATTCAAGCTGCCTTTGCAAAGTGCAATTGTATACAGACAGTTATGGATCTGAGCGTGGGAATGAGTTCATGCTATCCTTTGGAAGATTCTTCGACTTCAAGAGTTATGGGCTACTCATCATTACTGGCCAGTCCCCTAGAAGAATGAAGTTGTGGAATAGTTCCTTTGAAACATCCCAACATACCAGCTCACCTTCTGGAACATGTACTACCTCATTATCAAATTTCCAGGGGCAGAACCCTTGAGAATTGCATTCCAAGGCAATGAGGCTTAACCAAAATTCTGTCACAGCTGATGCTTTCCACAATGCCTAGAGATCAAAGCCAGGGGACATGGGCCAGGGCAGCAGGTGGATGTGTGTCTGGGCACAAGGAGCGAGAAGAAGCTCTGCACCACCCCAGCAGGCTGCTGAGCCAGAGAGCAACAGGTGTGGCTTCCAGGTGGGATCAAAGAGTCATTCGGATAGGATTTTGAAAAAACAAGTTGGCCCATTTGTGAGAGACACACCACAGTGCCTCAAAGCCACAACTTAATTATCATTTACCAGGAATATTTATTAGGGACGTGGGAGGCAAATGAGGGAGCTCCTAATTGTACCCTGTGTGACTTGAGTATTAAGCCAGCACCCTTTCTCATATGCTAACCCTTTGAGATAACTCATCTGGGTTGACTCCGTTTAAATGAACATTTCTTGTGATGATTCTAACCCTTTCACATCAGAAAGAATGTGACAGAAGCTGGGAGAGAACCTATTTGGTAAATTATGCTTCATCCTACGGCACGTATATAAAAAAGAAAGGGTTATACAAGCAAACAATTGTGGGTTGTTTCACGTTTCAGTGAAAGGAGAGAAGACACAAGAATGCCACAAAAGACCCTGAGGTTCAAAATATTTAGAAACTTTCTTTACTCTCCAAACAAAACCAGAATGGTAAAGGGAGGTGCAGAAATTAGAAACAGCCTTACCAGAGAATTGGCTGACTTTGTGGTTCAGCAACTGGTATCTGGCACACAAAGAGACAACTGCAATTTAATTCCCATATTCTTTTAGGTGTCTGAGACCCAGAAAGGGAGGGCTATGTCCTGAGAGCATAAAACATAATTTATCTGCCTCGCACAGTTGAAAGGTCCCCAGATGGTGCCAAGAGCAGATTCCAGAAATCAGTGACGTTTCAGGAAGAAATCATTGTTTTGGTAAAGGTGTTGCCTGTGTCCCATCCTCAACTTAGTGCCAAACAGAAATGAGGCAAATAAAACAAGATAAAAACTACTGAAGCTGTCAGAATGCTTGATTCCAACAGCTAGACAGCTCATCTCTTATCAAGCCTTTTATATGGCACGTAACAATATCAGCAAGGATGCAAAAGGCGTGGGCCCAAACGTAAGGATGCTCTCGGGGAAACTTTACTGAGCAGCTTCTACGTGTCAGGCTCACTAATAGGTACCAGCGACACAAGGAATATGCTATGAACCCCTGCCCACGAGGGGCTCGCACTGCAGAACAGCCCTCAGCGGAGTAGCCCTGAGCCTGCTACTACGTTAAATAATTGAAAAGAAGCTGCAAAGGGGAACAAGTAGCAGTTGTGTTAAAAAAAATAAATAAATAAAAATAAAAATAAAAAATAAAAATAGGATTAAAAAAAAATAAAAAAACACCAAGAAGGGAAAGGTTCACAATACCATTGACCAGAAATGGAAAGACGCATGAGAAAAAGAAAAGTCCCTCAGGCAGGGGAATGGCCCGGATTACACTTGCTATTCCCTCTGCTTGGAATATTCCTCCCAGATCTTGCACAGTGGCTTCTTGTCTCAAAGGCTCAGGTCTCTGCTCAAATGGCCCTGCTCAGGGAGCCATTCCCTGGCCACCCTGTTTAAATACTTGCCCACTCCCAACCCTCTCCGGACCTCAACCTGCTTCATTTTCTTCATTGCGTTTATCACTCTAGGAATTTTAGATTTTTTATAAAATAATTACTTTTGTTATTTGTTCATTGTCATTCCTACTGATGTAGGTTCCATGAGGAAAGGCACTTGGCTTTTCCTACCTCAGTATCTTCAATATCCAATAAATGTTGGAATAATTAATAAAAAAAAGTCAGCCATATTCTATTAGTCTTGTTTTAGCAGGGCATTTGCTTCAATCACAGAAAAATAGAGCAATATTACTTGCCAGTAATAGAAGAGTGCTTCAATGCTAGCATTTTGAGCAAGTATGATCTCTGTCTTATATACTTATCACAAGTACCACATATGTTCTGAGAGTTAACTCCAGACTGAAAACTCCAAAGCTCAGGAGACCATCAGCCCCCTCGCATTCTTCCACCCACTTCCTGTAAAGGCAGTATCACCAGACACTTTTGCTGATGAAAATCACTGTCTGAACAGCTTTATTGTCAATATTTTATTTAGAAAACTTAGTATCTTTTTAGGGAAATAAAAGGCTTCTCCTCCCACAGTCTCAAAAAGCTTACTACATTCTAAGGTGATTTTACTATGTGCTTGATATCACCTGAAGGATAGAAACCAAAAGATTCAAATTCAAGTGCTGCCTGGATTATCATCTGTGATCTAATGCTGAGTAAATGTCTCTCTGTGTCAGTTTCCCTAGCTGCAAAATTAGGGTTATAACAACTTCTCTCCTCTATCTCAAAGAGATGTGAAAGGATTAAAAACGATCACCTTTTTAATTAGTTTAGAACACTGCAATGTTAAGGAAGGTGTGACGGTCACACTGAATTGTATTCATCTTAACTTTCCAGAATACTGTGATGAAAAGAAATTAGAAACGAAGCTGCCGAGAGAAAACGCAGCCAGAGAATCCTCTGTGTGATGGATGGGGCTGGGGAGAATCAATGATAATAGTATACACATTGGACTTGGCAGGGATTTTCCTTCTAAAGAAGTTAAGTATTTTATAAATATTATCTCTTTCATCCCTTTAAACTTCCAGTGATGTGGCATTTATTACTCTCAGCTTCCAGATGGACAACTAACCACAGAGAAATGTATGATCTTTCCAAAGGCACATGAGTGTCTGTGAGCTCAGTAAAATGGGCTTTGATTGATTCACTCATTCATTTGCTCGCTCACTCATTCATTCCACAGGAAATGCTGAGAATCCATTATGTCAGGCACTGCCCTCAGGACTTGGGGAGGAGATAGGGATGAATGAAACACGTCGTTGAGGCAAAGAGGCCAGCAGAGGCCAATATTGTAGGGAGAAGACGAAAGTGCTCAGATAAAGGGAAGTACATGGCTGTGACAGACAATAAATATATCATGCAGTCCTCAAAAATGATGACGATGATGTGTTTAACCTTACGGAGACACGAATATGCCTCTATTGACATGAAACCACGTACAGCCTACACCACACACCACTAACTAACACACAGATTAAAAAAAGGAGAGAAGGGTCTTCTGGGTGTGTGCCCTTCTGGTAAATATATATTTATGTGTGTATGCATCAGAAAATAAATAAAGCTAGTGTTAAGCCATTAAAAAGATATGTCTGTATATAGAATCATGATCATTTTCACTTTCTTTTTTATATCCATATATACTTTCTGAACATGTTTTCAGTAAGCATGTATTGAGCTTTAATGGAAATAGATTACTTTGCTGATTATAAAATAATGTAAGTTTACTGACAAATATATCAAATGGGATAAAACAAGTTACTAAAATGAAAAATAAAAGTTTTCTCTTACTCTAACTCTCAGAAATAACCAGTATAATTGATGTGATTTATTTAAACCCACAAGTTTTTATTCACATAGGTATATATTTTTAAAATGCGATTATGTCACAAAATACTATACACATCTTTCCAGGTCAATATGTGAGGCTTTTTAATGTTTTTAAGGAACAGACTAAAATATATTTAACCAAATTCTTATTATTGGATTTTATGTTGTTTCTTTCTTATTTTCATTTTTAAATTTAACTGGCAGGCTGGCATTGTCTACCCGGGCGCATACATTCTTTTGGAACTCATCAGATTAGTTCCTTAAGATAAAAATCCTGTAAGTGGGATTAATGAGTCAAAGAACATTTAAACCTTACTGATATGCATTGTCAAACAGTCATCTGAAAAGCTGTACAGAATACACACTGCTGCCTACTGTACACAAACGTACCTGACTACCACACCCTTTTTGTGTCCAGGATTATCATATTTTTCATTTATTCTCAGCTCTATGAAAAAACAGTCGTTGTTAGAATGTACATACACGTGCATCATTTGATCTGGGCATCCTTTCATAGGCTTACTTGTTGTTTCTTTCTGTTTCTTCTGGATATATTAGCCAATTCATTCATTTTACCCACTTAGCTTCTGAAAGTTCTTCTTAGTATTGATTTCCACTAGATTTTTATATATTAAGAATAGGAAATATTTGCTAATCACACACCTTGCAAATAATTCCTGGAAGGAATGTTAAAGAAAGAAACGGAAGAAATATTCAAAATAAGTACAATTATTATTCTCAGGCTTGGAAAGATATAGTATATGCAACTGTAATGTAAGTAAGCAGAAGCACATGAAACGGTGATTCTTCCAAAACACATTGAAAATATAAAATTATTTTTTGAGGGACATATTTAAGAACAAAAATATCACATCCAGGAGTTTAACCATACATCCAAGCGGTGTTCTAAAAGGAGAGAATGGGCGGAGACATGGAAAAAGAATTCTTATAAATAGAAAAAAATTATCTGAACTTAAGATCAGAGAACAAGGAATTCCTAAGCTAAATATGATAAAGGCAAACAGACAAGGAAATTAAAAGCAGTTTTTTCCATAAATTAATCTATAAAATCCAATGTAAATCTAATAATAATCACTATTTTAAAAACTTTTCATCATTTTCTTTTTACAAATTTTGGCAACTAATTTTAAAATTTATCAGGAAGAATAACTTTCAGTAAAGGCCACTGGAAGGGGTGATTTATTTAAAATCAAATGAAATATAAATCAATATAAACTTAAATAATATACTATTTGTACAGGAATAAGAAATCAATGGAGCAGAATAAGTGACAAACTAACCTACATGCAAAGGACTGTATCACATGAAAATCAAAATATTTTAAAACAGATTGCCTGTAAGTGATGTTGGATAATTTGTTACTTATTTGGAAAAATTAAATTGAATTTCTACTTTAAACCATACACAGAAACAAATTTCAAATGGATTAATGAGGTACAGAGTGAAAAATGGAATCCATGTATTAGTGAAAGCTGCAGGAGTATTTTTCTTTAGAATCTCAACATATGGATGAGTTCCTAAGAAAACACAAAATCCTGAAGCCATTTTTTAAAAAGACGGAATGCACACTTTGAGATTAAGTATTATTAATATTGGTGGCAGAGTAAAGATGACCAAAATTATTAGCACTTCTTCTACTGAAAGGCAAATTCTATGACCCCTTTTCCCATCCCCCAAATCCTGGACGGCTCTGTTATTACTTTGAAAACCAGGACACTTTAGAATATGTTATACCAGTTTGTCTGTCTAGGCCCTAAGACAATGGTAGCTTCCACTTCCTTAAGCTTAGAACAACTGCTATTGGAAATAAGTTAATATTGTGTGAGAAACCAAAGCCACATTAAAAAGTCACTTGCAGATGCCTTGGCCAACAGCCATAAAAGAGCCCACAGGCAACAGACAACGTCAATGCCAGCCACGGGATTAAGGCAGCCATGGGATTATGCCAGCCATGGGATTATGCCATCCTGACATCCAGCCCAGTCAAGCCTTCAGACAATTCCAATCCCAGCTGCTGACTACAAGGACCTCAATGAGAACTACCCATGTGAATCCAGGCAATCCAGAGAATTGTGAAATATAATAACTTGTGGTTAGAAACAACTACATTTTAGAATTTAGAACAAAAAAACAAACAAAAAAAAACAAGAAAAGATAAATGGAACAAGATATGGTACCAAGTATGAGATCCTGCGGTAACAAATTCTACGTCATGCTGCACTGGCTCTGGGGCCCAATGGACAGAAGATGGAAGATCCTGAGAAGACTGTTCATGAGGGCTTCAGTGAGAGTGAAAACATTTTATTGGAGGCTGAAGAAAGGGCAGCCCCTATTACAAAGAAGCAGAACGTTTGACAACACTGTCACCAGTGGTAATGTGAAAAACAGAAAACAGATCTAACAAACTGATGGTTTTGGCTAAGGGCATTTCTAGTTAGAACATGGAATGTACCAATTGCTTTTTTTTTTAATACTGTCATGTATGAAAAGCATAGGTAGCTGAGCTATTTTACTGTTCAGTTTTCAAGATAATTTTCAAGAAAGTAAATTGAAGGCAATATTTACTGGGATCAAAATTAAACTATTTCTCATTCCCAGTTGCTCCAGAGGGCAAAGGACCCACAAAATAAGAAATGATGTCAGGGCAAATGTCAAATCCCAAGCATGTTCAGTAGAGCATGGCTTCAGGGTGATGATTTTAAGAGTGTGGCTATACAAACTTTAACTGGAGGACATGATGTTAAGAATGTTTTAAGTGTGTGCCTAGTAGGGCTTCAAAGAATCTTAAGGTCATCACCTTTAGACCTTCTCTCTTAGATAATAGGTACCATAAGAATCTTAAGTGCATGCCTCAAGACTCTTCCAGCTAAACAAAAAAGCTTCTGAGGATCTTAAGGGTGTTGTCCCACAGTGCCCTGACTCTTGGCTTAAACAAAGAGCCTCTATAGGTAAACTGTGAATATGTCTTTTGTGTAATGAAGTATATTATAATCTGATAGACAAGGAATCTGTAAAGTTTTTAAAAGGATTATATCAGCTTGGACTGAAGTGGTCATAGTACAAAATAAAGTGTTTTGGATCCCTACCCACCCTCCTAAACTACAATAAGCAGTAAGAAAGTAGAGGAAACATTCAGATGCTAACAGCTTATATTTTACGGAAACAGAAAGATGACTTGGAAGAAACAAGAAACCAAGACACAAGCCAAAAACCATGAAAAACCCTTCCTCAGAAACAGAGTAATTCAAAGAGTTAGCAATGTGTGCCCAGCTGGATTTCATAATTGCTATGGACCAATGACTGCCACGTGTCTTCCATTTCCCTTGTTTTCGAGTGATCATGTCATTTGTGGTTTTTCTATGGCTGTCCAACACTGTATGTCAAGTGCCTGCATACAGATAACTTGTCTCTTTGGTTCACAGGTCATCAAATAGAGAAAACCCACCCCAGAGAAGGCTCATCTACACCTGGACCTGATTTAGACATTAAAACCCTGAACCATAGAACTTGAACTTAAAGCCGTAATGGTATGGAACTTCAGATGGAGGGTGTGTTAGGAAGTAAGGAGAGGCGGATAGGCAAGGTACATTTTGCATGGGGCAAATTATAAATAATTTGTGGTAAGAGAATGAATTCTAGTGAATTAAAGAGGGTCAATTTTTTTTTAACATTCTTCCTATTTCCTCCATTAAATTTGGAATGAGCTCTCTGACTGCTTTGAACAACAGATTATAAGAAGATGCTGTGCCATTTTCCATGCCCAGAATTTAGGAGCCTGCTAGCTTCTACAACCTGTTCCTTGGAAAACTTGCTCTAAAAAACCTGCCACCACCATTCTCTAAGAGCCCAAACCACATAGAGGGTCACATGTAGACACTCCAGCTGACAGCCCTAGCAGAGCCCCAGCTGAGCTCTCATGCAAAGAGAACATCCACGGCCACCACGTGCAGGAGCCCTCTTGGATTTTCAACCCAATGAAGCCTTCAGAAGACTACACCAGTGACCAACGGACTGTAGCTACATGAAAGACACTGAGCTAGAGCCTTACACTTGTGCCCAGCAACCCTCAGGGCTGTGTATAAGACATTTCTTTTTTGACTTAAGTCTCTAAGTTTGGGGGTAGTTTGTTACCCTACAATAGATCATTGATAAATACACACACACACACACACACACACAAACATTTCCATATATATTTTCACATATGTATGTAAGTGTGTATATATCTGAATATGAAACAGAAAGAATTAATATTCATATTATGTAGATGACTGCTGCAAGTCAATTAAAAAAACAAAAGAACTCAGGCTGGGCACAGTGGCTCAGCCACTTTGGGAGGCTGAGTTAGGTAGATCACCTGAGGTCAGGAGTTCGAGACTAGCCTGGCCAACATGGTGAAACCCCATCTGTACTAAAAATACAAAAATAGGCATAGTGGCTCATGCCTGTAATCCCAGCTACTCTGGAGGCTGAGGCAGGAGAATCGCTTGAACCCAGGAGGCGGAAGCTGCAGTGAGCCAAGATTGTGCCACTGCACTCCAGCCTGGGGGAAAGAGCAAGACTGTCTCAAAATAAAATAAAATAAAAAATAAATGAATAAATAAATACATACATACAGAGAAAAAATTAAAAAAGGAAAAAGAACTCAATACAAAAAAGTGAACAAGGAATATGAAGAGGCAAATCAAGGGAAAAATAAAAATAAACAAACATATAAAAAGAAGCTCTCACGCTACAGAGAAGTGCAAATTAAAACAAGACAACTGTTTTCTTCCATCTAATTGGCACAAATTAAGATGACTGATAAATCTAGTTCCAGAGGATGCTTGAAAAAAAAATCAATTCCATTGTCAACTAATAGTGGCAGTATAATTGGTATTTACTTTTATAGAGAGCAATTCGTGTGATTTTTAAATTTTAATTCCTATATCCTTCCATCTAGCAAATACGCTTCTAAGACCTTAGCCAAAAGAAATATTTGTGTATACATACACGCACATACCCATATGTATGTATACATACAGATGAACCAAGATGTTCTTTGTAGCATTGTTTGTAATAGTTAAAATTGGAAACAACCCTGACTTCGTAAGTAATAATGAAATATCCATAGTATATAAAGATTTAGAGAATGAACTGGATATACATTATTGACATGAAAAGATATCCATGATACATTTTTAAGTAAAAAAGACAGTTGTAGAACACTATGTATAAAGTCCATGGAGTCTTTAAAGTGTGCTTGCATTGATACACCTCTACGTACATTTGCAAGTTTTATGAAAGAAAAAGTCCATAATGATTTGCATGAAATATTGCCAGGAATGGGTACAGAGTAATGTTCAAAGACGAAGGGTGCATGCATTTCCATATGTTTAACATCTTTTACAATGAGCAGATAGTTATGGATTATATCTGAGACTTCAAAATGTGCCCACTTTCTCTCTCTCTCTCACACACACACACACACACAATGACAACTCTCAGGGCGGGAAGTGTCAGCAGCATTCAAACCTCATGGTATTGAGCAGACCGGCAGTAGTTGAAAAGGAAAACAGAATCAAGGAGAGGATTTCGCAAGTGAGAGACAATTAAACTTGTCTGAGTGCTGAGCAGGAGGACTCGGAGGAGGCAGGAAGTGGTGAAGTTGCGGGAGATGATTCACACTAGGAGGGAACAAGATCTGGAGCCCTCAGAGAGATGCTGGCCATAGTGTAACTGTGGGACTGGCCTCGGAAGGAGGTGGGAAACATCTTCCCAGTGGAGTGGCCTCTGATTTGTTCTGTTCATCTCGTCCACCTTCTCCAGAACAAAACCAAGCACAATAGGCTAAAACAAGTATACTAGGTTGTATTTACAGATAAAGTTTACCCCAGGTATAGCCATAACTAATTACAAAATACCTGATAACTTCCTCCCCTAGGTCCTCTTTGCCACCTTCCAGATTGTAGATCTCTATTTCCCTTTCCCCAGACTCCTTGCCTCCAACAGGCCCATGTGCTAAGCCATAATGCACATTCAGGAAGTAATTGCTGCAGCTCAGGGCAACTGCAATACTCCACAAAGGAACTGCACATCAAAACTTAGATCTTCACAAGAAGCTGTCCCTAGAAGGTGAGCCCTCGCTCCTACTCTAGTTCTTCCATTTTCAGGTCTGAACACTGATACCTCCCTTCACCCAGAGCATCCCATGGGAAATGGGATCTGGTCTGTGAGCAAAAGCTGGCTGCATCCTCTCCTTCTGGATCAGTTTTGTCACCAGTGACAGCTGGAAGCCTCTTGATCTCTTGATATTGGTAACCTATTTCTTAAAACATTAAAACCATGGAGGCAACACAATCTAATCCCACTTTGGGGAGAAAATGACGTATTTATGCTATTATCAAATCTCTGGCCTCAAGGAGTAATGAACTGCTCCTCGCTGTGAGGAACTCTGTTCTCTGTCCTATGCAGCCTGCAGCCTCACGACAAAGCCACACCAGCTTCGACTGGTTGCTCGTTTGCTACCTGGGGCGATGGCACCAACTTCCATTACATTGTATTTAGCCTGGGTCTGTCTCCAATGTCTTCTGGGAGTGGCTTGCCAGTTCCTCTCATCACGTGATTACCACAAAGCTCTCATGCGTTGTGACAAATGTGATTTCTCCCTGGCTACTACACGGCCTGTTCAGGCAATGACTACTTTTAGGCAGAGGTTCTAGTCCCTAGTTTTATTCCCAGAGCCGTCTTCTATTTTAATGCTCCATTTTGCTCTAAGAACCGAACCATGCCCATAGAAGTCCCACAGGATTTTTGTAGAAAGGCAAACTTCCTCCCACGCCGGAATTAATGAGCCCCTCTTGCTGTCAACTGTAGTTTAATGGATTTCACCATTCTGTGTATTTTCACACCCACAACAGAGAGTCATACAAAGGCAACTTAATTCAGGAGTGACCTTTGAGTTCCTCGCTTGGCAGTGTCGTAAATCTTGGGGTGTGGCAGGTTTATTCCTTTCTCTGTGATTTCCATAGGAGGCTTCGCCTTATGCGTGGCACAGACTTAAAATTGTTGCAAAAATGCTATCTCTGTCTCAAATGGCTGATAATCATTGCATTCTATCAACCCTGGTGATAATTTATCCCTATTTATTTCCCAAATTTAATTTTTTACTAGACTGTCTTTCAAAGATTGTGTCATCATGGTGCATAATATTACAACAAACTGAAAAGAAAAATGACTTCTGTTCTCTTCATTGCAGCATCTTCTTTTGTTATTTTCCTGCTGATGCTCAAACATTACCAAAGTTAGGGCTTCTCTTTACATTTTAATTTTTCTTCCTATTATCATAAGTCATTTTATCATCACCTTTCCTCCCCACCTTTAAATTAAATGCAAGCGCACCACATGAGTTCGAGGTGAAGAAACAGATCTCCAAAGTACAGCTGGTTAACTTGTATAAGCTTTGCAGTCAGATACAAATTAATATTAAATAATGAGTTCTAGACCTATCCCAACTTAATTCCCTTTCTCCACATGCCTTATTTATACTTAACTCTTTGTTGAGCATCAGGTAAACAGTGGTGCATAAAAGTGAGCAAAGCATTTTCTCCATCATTAAAGATGGCTCGATCTCACGGAAGAGAGAACCAAGTTTTAAAAGAATGACAGTATGTTTCTATAATAGTAATGAGAAAAATGCATATAGTGTTTTGAGAGCAAATGTGAGAGACAGCAGAACGTGCAGCAAACTGTTGCTGTGCCTCCAGTCTCGCTTCTCTCTTCCTGGAGGGTACACCCCTCTCTGCTTGCAGAGATACTCCTGCATCCCCGGGAGGTTCACGTCCACCTCTCCCTTTCCTGCCTAAAGAGGTGAGCATGTGACCCAAGAAAGGCCAATCACAAGACCCCCATCCTCCTGGTTGCAGTGACTGGTCCAGGATGAGCACATGACCCAAGGTGGGCCAATTACAAGGCCCCATCTTCCTGGCCACTGTTATTGGTGCAGAATGAGCACATGACCTAAGGTGGGCCAATCACAAGGCCTCATCATCCTGACCACTATGATTGGCCCAGAATGAGCACATGATCCAAGCTGGTCAATAAATATTCCTTGAGAATTTTTTCCACAGATGCTGAGAGAGAAAAGGTCCTGTGTTGACAAATAAAGGTAGACTTTGCTTAAGTTTATTTGAACCAGGTTTTGCTCACTCACAACTGAATGAGTCTTGACTAGCAGAGAAGGCATTCTAAAAAGGGAGCAACACTGATGGCGAGAATGTAACACAGTGAGGACACAGCAGCTATGAACAAGAGCCCTCGGGGTCCCACCAGTCAAGCCACCTTGCAGCCGTGCACTGCCGTTTTAACCCTGTCACTTGCTCTGTATTCTGCCAGAGCGAAGACTGCGAGTATGTGGTAGCCAAAATGGTAAGACATATACAAAAGAAATAGGTTGTCAATGCAGCAGATTATTCTAACCATTCTGGACAATCCTGGAATACCAAATAGAATTGCTTTTTATAATCTTCTGAAATAAGTAAAGATGCCTGTGATCGATTTTTCATCCAATTCATAAGAAATAATACTGTATTAAAAATACAGTGAACAAAATAAAAACCCTAATAAGGGCTAAAACTAGACATGGTAAAATTTTAATCCCCAAAATTTCACCCACAATGAAACAGGCTTGGTAGAAGTGACAGGTACAGTATAAATCTTAAAATGGAATAAAAATGAATTAAGAATGTTAATACTGTGAAATAATGCATTCAGTATTGATACGGTTTGGCTGTGTCCCCACCTATATCTCATCTTGAATTGTAGCTCCTATAATTCCCATGTGCTCTGGGAGGGACCCAGTGGGAGATAATTGAATCATGGGGGCGCTTCCCCCCATACTCTTCTCCTGGTAATGAATAAGTCACACGAGGTCTGATGGTTTGATAAGGGGAAAGCCCTTTCACTTGGTTCTCATTTTCTCTCTTGTCTGTCCCCATGTAAGACGTGCCTTTTGCCTTCCACCATGATTGTGAGGCCTCCCCAGCCACATGGAACTTATGAGTTCATTAAACCTCTTTTTCTTTACAAATTACCCAGTCTCGGGTGTGTCTTTATTAGCAGTGTGAACATGGACTAATACAATTATTATGATAGAAAGATGCTTAATTAATAAAATTAAAGTATAAAATTAACACAAAAATTTTTCTAATGATACTATTTCAATAACATTTCAAAATGCTAAATTGTATATAATGCAATTGTGCTACATAAGCATTTAGACAAGCAATAATTTGGTTTACCGTGTTGGGTAGAGAAAACATCCTCTCAATAAAAATCACCTTGAGGTTAACTTAGTAGGATTAGAACATATTGATTCCACATGTACATCAATTTGGCTGAAGTGCATATTTCAAGGGAAGAAGTTTCAAAAAATGAAAAAATGAAGGCCTAGGAGGGTACAGATTATGAAGGATGAAGCAAGCCATGCTAAAGGCTTTGGACTTTATCCTGAGGACTATTGGGAATCTATGAATCACTTTAAGAATGGGAGGAACCCAATCAAGTCAAATCCTAGCTCTGTGGAGGAATGAGATCAGAGGCCAGATTAATGAGAATCTGACCCGGTACTCCAGGAGTGGCATGATGAGTGTCTCAATTTAAGAGAGGTCCAAGGAATGGAGGGAAGGCAAGAGGTACTAGAGATACTATGTCAGTGACTGACAGGACTTCATGACTAACTGGATATTGGGAGGGGGGAGAATGAAAACTCACTCCCAGGATCCCAGTTTGTACATTTGGACACCTTTTGGCAAGAAAGAAAATAAAAGAGTATGGGCTCTGGTGAGGAAGGTGATGAGTTCACTTTGGATGACTGAATCTGAAGTGAATGCAGATGTCCATTAATCAGCTTGAATCTATTGTTCAGGAGAAGGATGCGGTCTGGAGAGAAGTGGCCTGGTGCATCAGTGTGTAGTTGATAGAAAAAGCCATCAGAGAAAATTAGTTCACCGAGAAATACTAGCAATGAAGGAAACAGAATTAAGTGGGGAAACCTGAGTTTTGTTTGTTTTGTTCTTAGGTTAATGGCCATGTAGAGCTCTGTATGCTTTATGTATATTAATTTGCTTAACCTTCATAACAAGCATATGAGATAAATACATCTTTATCACCTTTTTAAATATATAATTGAAGAAACTGAGGGCCAAATAAGTGAAGTATTCTGTCCAAGGTGACAGATATAGTAAGTGGCATGGTCAGCAGTCAGACTCATGTGATCTGGACTCAGAGGCTAAGCTTTAACCACAAGGCTGTACTATCCCTTATGTGTGCTGAACACCACACATAAGTAAGGGAGGGGCAGAAGAGAATCCAAGGGAGAAAATCAAAATAAAACATCAGAGAAGAGAGAGGGAAGGCAGAGGGTGTGGTATCACAAAAGAAGAGAAAGGATGGATTTTAAGGAGGACGTGGCCAAGAATGCAACATGACAGAGAGGGGCTGTGAGTGTCAAGGGCTGAAAAGTGGCCCCTGAGCAGTGATAGGTGGGTTCTGCCTGTCTTTTCTGTGCAAGGTTAGAGGCAAAAGCCACGAGAAAGTAGACAGAGGGGAGAAACGGAAGTGATGAAATGGAGATGACAAACACAGAAAACTCTGTTCTTCCCTTCACAGCCAAGTTTCTTTAACAAGATGGCAGTAGTTGAAGACTCATTCACATGTGACGGGAGGGAGGGATACAAGGAAACTTAAACAGGACAGCTCAGCTCAGAGGATGGGGAAGCAGGCGAAAGGAGCTTCAGCCAAGTAAATTTAGTTTCACACTTGAAGTTAGAGATGAGGCTATTTGCCAAAAATGACAAGGTGGACGAAGACCCAGGAGTTAAAAGAGCATGCCAAAGGATTGAAATAGCTATTGTGGGGTGTAAGAGAGAAAAACTGACTGGAAAATTTTTTTAAAGTGATATCATCACTGATCCTGGAAGGGCAGCTATAGGTCATGATGTGCTGACAGCAGTCCCAAATTATGGTTGTGTTGGTGTCATTGTTTCTCTTTCAAAAGGGTTCCTATTTGGAGGATTTGGTAACCCCCATTTTAGGAGATTTCATAAGAAAGGAACTTATAGCAGGGATCATTCTACACAGGTTTTCAAGAATGAAGTTCATTGTCTACAGTGTGGGCTCAGTGAGAACCCATGGGGGATATCATACCAATCTCAGTATCAAACAATTAATTATTTAAGTATGTGTACTGTGTATCTTGTAACTAATAGGACAACCCTCTAGGCATCCATTTCTAATAAATTTAGAGCAAAATTTATGGCACATCCCAAGCAAATATAGGAGTCTATAACACACATTTTGTGTTCTGACATTATTTTTGTGTCTAGTAGTATTTTACTTTTAAAGTATTACATTTCTTTGCCTGTCACTTTAATTTTTAACTTTATTATATAAAATACTGATATAGTTTGGATATTTGTCTCCACCCAAATCTCATGTAATCCCCAGTGTTGGAAGTGGGGTCTCATGGGAGGTATTTGGATCATGGGGGCGAATCCCTCTTGAATAGCTTGGGTCATCTCCTTGGTGATAAGTGAGCTCTGACTCCGAGTTCTCATGAGATCTGGTCATTTAAAAGTGTGTGGCACCTCCTCCCCTCCTTCCTGACTGTGTCTCTCACCTGTTCCTGCTTTTGTCATGTGATGTGCCTGCTGCCCCTTTGCCTTCCACCATGATTGTAAGCCACCTGAGGCCTCCCTGGAAGCTGAGCAGATGCCCACGCCATGCTCCTGGTAAAGGCTGCAGAACTGTGAGCCAATTAAACCTTTTTTCTTGATAAATTATACAGTCTCAGGTATTTCTTTGTACCAATGCAAGAATGACTTAATACAAATGCACACAGATTTTTTAAATACCTTAAATCTTTTCTGAAATAAGAGGTTCCCTTCAGTCTTTCAATCACTCATTCTTATTTTTTTAAATAATAAGTAGGACAGTTATAAAATGTAAAGCCATAAAGAAACAGATAATTGTTTTTTATAAGTTTCAGAAGATCTTTCTAATTTGTCAAGAAAAATCAACCAGGAAACTGAAATATGATCTTTATGATTAGGTAATGTGATAGGGACAGAAATCCTTACATGATTTTGATGCCCATTTCCTGAGCTGAAATGGTGAGATGTGGTAGGTACTATGAGTTTTCTATAAGGCTCACTTTTGTTCTTTTTTCTTTAGTTTAATGAAATCCAGTTGCAGGGGTGGCGGGGAGGATGTGTGCTCCTCTCATACCCTCAAAGCATGAAGGAAAAGTGACATAGCCAATTATGGTAATTCTTTATTACCTAACCAGTTATTGGTTTAGGATCAGGCATGTGATCCCATTTTGATCAATTTAAGCAGGTGTCATATGAGCATCTTCCTAGAAAAATATTACTTCCTAAAAAATGCTCAGTATCACTAGTAATCAGGGAAATGCTAAACAAAACCACAATGTGATACCACCTTACTCCTGCAAAAATGGCCACAATCAAAAAATCAGAAAATAATAGATGTTGGAGTGAATGTGATGAACAGGGAAAACTTCTACACTGCTGTAGGAATGTAAAGTAGTACAACCTCTATGGAAAACAGTATGGAGATTCCTTAAAGAACTAAAAGTAGACCTACCAATTGATCCAGCAATCCCACTACTCAGTATCTACCCAGAGGAAAAGAAGTCATTATATGAAAAAGATACTTGCACATGCAAGTTTATAACAACACAATTCACAAGTCCAAAGATATGGAACAAGCCCAAATGCCCATCAATCAACAAGTGGATAAAGAAATTGTGGTAAATATATATCATGGAATACTACTCAGCCATAAAAAGGAATTAAATAATGGCATTTGCAGCAGCCTGGAAGTGGAGACCATTACTCTACGTGAAGTAATTCAGGAATGGAAAACCAAACATTGTATGTTCTCGCTCATAAGTGAGAGCTAAGATATGAGGATGCAAAGACAAGAATGATACAATGGACTTTGGGGAGTCAGGTGAAAGGGTGAGAGAGGGGTGAGGGATAAAAGACTACACGTTGGGTACAGTGTACACTGCTTAGCTGATGGGTCCACCAAAATCTCAGAAATCACCACTAAAGAACTTATTCATGTAACCAAACACCACCTGTTTCCCAAAAACCTATTGAAATTAAAAAATAATAATAATAAAAAGAAAAATATTATTATCTAATAAAAAGAGACCCACAGGGTGAGGAACTTGCCATCCCATCCCAGAAACATCCCTTCCTGTACATCCCAATGATTTTCAGCCATTAGATACGAATATCAGAGTTTATGATGTTTGCATCAACTGCCATTTTAAGACCAAGAGAAGACTGAAAGAGAAGTCAGAAACCTGAAGCCATCAAACTGAAGATGAATAGCTGGTGAATAGCTGCCCTTCTCTTTATGTGAAGAAAAGTAAGCTGCCGTTGTCTACATTTCAATTAATCAAGTATTATTACTTGTAGTTAAAAGCAGTTTAACAAATACACAAACCTTCTAGATACAAAAACAAAACTCACCCCTCAGGGGTCAGCTCCAGATTCTAGAGGATTTGTCACACAGCTGGTCACCTTGGTGGGACCAGTGAAGAAATGGGATGCAATCTCTTATACCGAAGTTCCTTCACTGCCTCCATCACTGTTCTAAAGAGACAACATAGTAAACTCAAAGCAATACATTCTTAAAAGTATTATTTCATGTAAATTTATATGTAGATGAATTACAACAAGATGAAACCCTTGGTGGTGGGTTAGTGGTTGCATTTAATTTTCTTTTGCCATTGTCCGTTTTTAATTTATTGAATTTTCAGCGTATGCTACTTTCACAATCAGAAAATGACAAATATTATCTATAAAATAAAAGTATAGCTTCTGCCTTATCATTTCAACACCAATCAAGAACCAAAAGCAAGGTGGCACCAGTCAGCAAGCCTTAAATTAAAGGGTGTTTTCCCAGTTTCTGGTTAAGATAGGAATGCAAGACACAGTAAAGGTGACAGGTATGTATTTACACAGCACAGTCCCAACAACAATCATAGCTTTAAAGCAAAACCTCTCACTCTTCTTCTTCCCTGTTTTATAGTTTAATTTCTGCCTGCAGTTGTCTTCCTTTTTTCATCTGTCTTATTCTCACTAGTCAAGGCACAAAATGCAACACAACCCTTGGCTAGAGCCTATTATTATATTAAAAGGATAAAAGAAGTTTGTTTTGTCGTGGTATTATAAAATTGCATATCCCTTAAACACCTATCAAGTTGTTTCATGTGAAAATCTTTCCTTGCTGCCAATATAAGTCATATTTCAATTTATTTCATTTATTCATGTTCAGTCTTCTAAAATATATAGAGTAAGAGGTAGTCTATTTTTAATCTACTAGATTGATGATGAAATCACAATATGACTTTAGTGACCATTTGAAGTCTCATTAGGTGGCATTGTCTGAGGAATTTGTTATGACTATAATTTTAGAAGCAGAATATATGGTTCAAACAAGACCTAAGGACCCTTCAGAATTCATTGCCCTTTCAGTAGCAAATTTTTTTAAAGCAGTAGCTTTTAGAATTTTGCATACAATGTTTTTAGAAATGGTCTTTCCATAAAATCTCTGGGCCTAAAATATGTCTTCAATTTATATATAGGTAATCAATAAAATGCCACATTATTAATTCACCTTACAGGTACTTTAATGATTTTTAACATCGTAATATTCAACTAGTGAATAAAGGAGGTAGCCTTTCATTTAAATTGGTGGTTGAACTTTGTAATTACTTCAGATGTTATTGCTGATGTTTCAAAAGCTTTCCAGTGGAATTTTTCTCAAATTAGGTATCGGACTGATATGCTTAACCTTAGGCCTCATCTTGATGCCTCTAGACAGTAAGATGAAAGAATTAGTTTTATCTTACAATATGTACCAGACTTTCAACTAATAAGAAAACTAGAATTAAAAGACTGTTCTAGGACAAAGATCATGATATCCAGGATTAAATTTTAGATTATGGGAAGTTATTTCTTATTAAATTGGTTCACTTTTGCAAAACTCTTCTTTGGAAATACTTTAAGACAAAGAAAAATATCCATCCTGTTTGAAATACTTAAAAAAAAAAGAAAAACATAATCAAAGTCTGTTGTTATATTCATTAATTAATGGATACCATAATATACACATAACATTCATCAGTAAATACATTTAATTCTCTTGGTTAAAAGAGGTTTTGGATCATGCCACTGCTGTCACAAACTACAGCAGCCCAGACCACTGAGACAATCACAGACATTGCAGACAAAGATTACAACTGAACAATCTGCATGGAGACCATGCTACTGAGTCCACCCAGAACAAAAGCCAACATACCATTTCCAGTCAACACCCTACTCCCAATAGACACCCAACCAATACACCATTCCCAATCAACGCCCATTCCCATCTACAGAAAAAAGTCTCTTCCTGCAAAAGCTACTCCATAAAATGAGAAAAAATGACGGTTCCACTAGATGCATAGATATCAGTGTCAGGACACAAGAAACATGAAAAAACAAGGAAACATGAAATTTGCAAAGGAAGTCAATAATTCTCCAGTGACGACATCAAAGGAAAGAATGTTTATGAAATGCCTGAAAAGTAATTCAAAATAATGATCGTAAGAAAACTGAGTGAGGTACAAGAGAATACAGACAAGACAATAAAATCAGAAAAACAATTAATGATCTGAATTAGAAATTTAACAAATAGGTAGATATCATAAAGAAGAACCAAACAGAAATCTTGGAGCTGAGGAATTCAATGAATAAAATAAAAAATAATAATTAAGGTATTCAACAACAGACCAGATAAAGCAGAAGGAAGAATTTCTGAGCTTGAAGATGGGTTCTTTGGAAATAATCCAGTCAGAGAAAAAAAAAGAAATAAGAATAAGAATGAAGATACTGGGACTTATGAAATACCATCAAGCAAACAAATATTCGTGTTCCAGGAGTTAGAAATGGAGAAAGGCTCAAAAAACTTATTTAACATAATAATAGCTGAAAACTTCCCAAGTCTTGGGAGAGACATGAACATCCCGATTCAGGAAGCCTAAAAGTTCACAATAAAATTCAACCCAAGTAAATCCTCTCCAAGGCACATCATAATCAAACTGTCAAAAGTCAAAGAATTCTAAAAGCTGCAATAGAAAACCATCAAGTCACACATAAGAGAATCACCATTAGATGATTAGCATATATCTCAGAAGATTATTTCCAAAGACTATGACTTCACTCATAAGTGGGAGTTGAACAGTAAGAACACAGGGACACAGGGAGGGAAACATCACACACCGGGGCCTGTTGGGGGATGAGGGGCTAGGGAAAGGATAGCATTAGGAGAAATACCTAATGTAGATGACGGATTGATGGGTGCAGCAAACGACCATGGCACGTGTATACTTATATAACAAACCTGCACGTTCTGCACATGTATCCCAGAACTTAAAGTATAATAATAATAAACTAACCATGCACCTAAAGGAACTAGAAAAACAATAATAAACTGAACTAAAAATTGCTAAAAGGAAGGAAAGAATGAGGTTCAGAGAAAAAAATAAAATAGTGACTAAAAAATCAATAAAATGAAGAAATGTTTTTTGAAGTGGTAAACAAAACCAATAAATCTTTAGCTAGACTAAATAAGAAAAAAGAAAAAAGATCCAAACTAATAAAATTGGAGATGAAAAAGGAGACATAATACAGAGGATCATAAGAGACTATTATGAACAACTTTGAGAACATAGAAGAAATGGATAAATTTTGGATAGATACAAACCAACCAAGGTTAAATTATGAAGAAAGAGAACATCTGAACAGACCAGTAGGAGTAAAGAAATTTAATCAGTAATAAAAATCTTCCATCCAAAAAAAAAAATGAAGGACCTCATAACTTCACTGCTGAATTCTACCAAACATTTAAAGAACTAATACCAATTATTCTCCCAAATTCATTTAGCTAGGCCAGCATTCGCTAGGCCAGTAACTTCAAAACCAGACAAGGAAACGGGGAGAAAAATAACAATATAATTGATGAACATAGATGCAATAATTCTCAACAAGAAGCTAATGAACCTAATTCAACAGCACATTAGAAACATCATTTACTATGGTCAAATGGGATTCATCTCAGGAATGAGAAGATAGTACAACATATGCAAATTAATAGCTATGATACATCATATTAACAAAAAGACAAAAGCCATATGATCACTTAAATAAATGCAGAAAAAGAATTTGACAAAATTTAACATTCTTTTGTAATAAAAACTCTCAACAAATTAGTATAGAAGGTATGTACCTCAACACAATAAAGAACCCACATGACAAATTCACAGATAACATTATGCTGAACAAGAAAAAACTAAGAGCTTTTTCTCTAAAATCAGAAACAAGATATGAATGCACACTTTCACCACTCCTATTCAACACAGTACTGGAAATTCTAGATAGAGCAATTAGCCAAGAGAATCATATTAAAGGCAAATTAATTAGAAATGAGGGAGTCAAATTGTCCTTGTTTGTAGATGATGTGATCTTATAGATAGCAAATCCTAAAAATTCCACCAAAAACCTGTTAGAACTAATAAATTCAGTAAAAATTCAGGATATAATATCAAGATACAAAAATCAGCAGCATTTCTATATGGTAACAGAAGAAAACAATTCTATTTATAATAACTACAAAAAATTAAATACATAGTAATAACCTTAACCAAGACATAAAAGATTTGCACACTGAAAACTAGAAAACATTAATGAAAGAAATTGAAGAAGACACAAATAAATGGAAAGATATCCCATATTCATAGATTGAAAGAATTAATATTGATAAAATGGCCATACTACCCAAGGCAATCTACAGATTCAGTGTAATTCTATCAAAATTCACAGAAATAAAATCTTAAAATTCATATAGAATCAGAAAAGACCCCAAGTAACCAAAGTAATCCTGTACAAAAAGAATGAAGCTAGAGGAATCACACTACCTGAATTCAACATATGCTACAAGCTACAGTAACCAAAACAGCACAATACTGGCATAAAAACATACACATAGACCAGTAAGACAGAATAGAGAACCCAGAAGTAAATTCATGCTCCTACGGCTAACTGATTTTCAACAAAGATGCCAATAACACACACTGGGGAAAAGGCAGTCTCTTCAATATGTAGTGCTGAGAAAATTGGATGTACACATGGAGAAGAATAAAACTAGACCCCTTCCTCTCACCATATACTACAATTAACTCAAAATGGATTGAAGGCTTAAAAGTAAATCATGAAACTATAAAACTACTAGAAGAAAATATAGGGGAAATGACAATAGCGGGGTGGGCAAGAATTTTTTAAATAAGACTTATGGACAGCAAAAGCGAAAATAGACACATGGGATTACACCAGACAGAAAGCTTTTGCTCAGCAAAGAAAACAGAGTGAAAAGACAACCTGAAAAAATGGGAGAAAATATTTGCAAATAATGCACCTGACAAGGGGTAATATCAAGAATATATTAAAAACTTAATAGAAAAAGTAATAACTAGAATAATAAATGGCAAAACTCCTTAGTAGACATTTCTCAAAAAGACATGCAAATAATTAACAGGTATAGGAAAAATGCTCAATAGCACTAATCACAAGGGAACGACAAATTGCAATTGCAATGAGATACCACTTCACTCCAGTTACATGGCTGTTACCAAAAAGATAAAACAAGTGCTGATGAGGATGTGAAGAATGGGGAACACTTACACACTGTTGGTGGGAATGTAAATTAGTACAGCCACTATGGAAAAACAGTATGCAGTCTCCTCATAAAATCAAAAATAAAACTACCAAATGATTCTGTAATCACACCACTGGGTAGATGTCCAAAAGAATGAAATCAGTATGTCAAAGACATATCTGCACTCCCATGTTTATTGCAGCACTATTTATAATAGCCAAGATATGGAATCAATCCAAGTATCCCGAAAATGGATGAATGAATTTAAAAATGTGGTATATATACACAATGGAATACTATCCAGCCATAAAAAATAATGAAATCTTGTCATTCATGGCAATATGGATGAAACTAGAGGATATTATGTTCAGTGAAATAATTCAGGCACAGAAATGTAAATACTACATGTTGTCACTCTGTGTGGGAGTTAAGAAAAAAAGAGCTCATAGAAGTCGAGAGAGAAGCGACTGGGAAGGATAGGAAGGAGGGAAGGAGAGGGAGAGGATAATGGATATGAAGTTATAGCTGGATAAGAGGAATAAGTTATGGTGTTCTATAGCACTGTAGGATGAATACAGTTAATGATAATTTATCATATATGTTCAAAACCTAGGAGAGAGGATTTTGAATGTTCCCAACACAAAGGAATAGAAATGTTTGAGGTGATGGATATTGTAATTACCCTAATTTAATTATTGCATTTGTATACATGTATACCAATATCACATGTATCAAAATATCACGCTGTATCCCATAAACATATACAATTATTATATGTCAGTTAAAAAGAAAAAGATACAAAATAATTAAGATTAAAGAGGCTTTGGAATACATTTACTTAATATGTTTTAGTCCTCTTACATTTTAACATTAATATTTGTTGGCAATTTCTCCCATTTTAGTTGTTCATTATGACTTTGCAGGGCTTGAAAAGACAATTTTAAACTGAGCTCTATTTTATCTTTAATGGCCCCAATAGAAATGGGAAAAACACATTCCCATATAATGTGCTTTCATTGTTGTTGTTGTTTGTTTTCTTCCTGAGACAGAGTCTTGCTCTGTCACCCAGGCTGGAGTGCAGTGGTACAATCTTGGCTCATTGCAACTTGTACCTCCTGGGCTCAAGTGATCCTCCCACCTCAGCCTCCTGAATAGCTGAGATTACAGCTGTGTGCCACCATGCCCGGAAAATGTTTGTATTTTTAGTAGAGATGGGTTTCACTATATTGGCCAGGCTGGTCTCAAACTCCTGACCTCAAGTGATCTACCTGCCTCGGCCTCCTAAAGTGCTGGGATTACAGGTGTGAGCCATTGCACCCAGCTCCATATAATGTTAACAATCGATTTATAATATAATAATACCCAAACTATTCACTGAGTTTCAGAGTTATCTCTTATTAGAAAAGATTTCTTTCAATTAGCCTAAAGCACAAGAAAGTTTATGTTTGGTTTACTATATAATTCTGTCCAAAGAACCCAAATTAAGAACTAGTATTAGAAATCTGGAAATAAAATAGGACTGCCGAGAAAAGAAGAATGTGAAAGTTAAACTACTTTCTGGGCTATCACATCCCTCCAAATAGCAGAGCTACTGATGAATCCCAGATCTAACTGTAGGTATTAAATTCTCCCACAATTATACAATGTTACTTCATATTCTGAGGATAGAAACAATCTTGTGAAACATGACAAAGTACTGTAACAGAATATAGTAATACTTAATACCTATGTGTTCAGAAGGGTGTGTTTTAGAAATGTTGATAATAATGCAATCTGCTCAAAACTGTTAAAGTATGGATAATTTCACTCAATTTTCCAGTAAGTTTCTGCTTTGAATAAGTAAATAGTGGGTAATGGTTTGTGTCAAAGTCCTTGCAACACTCCATTAACCATAGAGCATGACAATCTGATCAGATGTCTCTTTTATAGTCAGAAGCTGACTTGTGACTTTGTGAGTTACTCAGTTACATCAGGTCACATCAAAAGCCTAGTTTTTCATCTTCCCCAAATTCCTGATAGTTTTACATCTGACACATGTTGAATCTCAGCCTTGTGACCTTACTCTTCAGCCTGCGTTTGATATAGTCTAAATACTATTGAACTAATACTAAGTTATTACTGAGGAAGTTAAATGAATAAGCAAATAACAGTCATTAGTAGAATTTCAAAATTTTATATTATTATCTATCAATGTCTAACCCAAATAAGTCACTATTACGCCTAGATGTATAACCAAATCATCAAAAACTTGAACCGATTGTTCAAATCTAGGAGGTAACTTAATTCAATGTTTGACATTGGTATTTGACTATATAACCTATTCCGAGTCTCATACATTGTAACTGACACTAGATAGTTCAAATTAGTCAAACCAACTTAAGTACTGCGTCAAACAAGCAGATATCCACTTTATAAATATCTAGCCTAACATTTTGGAAACTCTTTGCTGGTATGAACATTCAGGCAACATTTTCAGCCTTTAACTACGATTATGATACAATGATTATACCACTGGATTTTATCAATTATTAGAATTATATGTTCAAATGCTTGGTAATTCCTGAATGCGTAATGATGACTATCAAGCTTTACTGAATTTCCTCGAATTTTACAGATTTATTTTATATTCACACTTTAATACATATTTATTTAAAGATTACTATCTGCAAGACTTCAAGAGAGCTATTGCTGACTTTCTTCATAAGCCTGGGAGTCAGAGGTGTGTTACTATAATGCTCTTTCACACCTCAAACTGTGATTCAAATACCAAGGGTACCTTGAGGTTTTTCAAGAAAACAAAGTCCCCAGTAACATTTCTTACCATTCACGCCAATCACCAAAGAACCAGAGATTGCTAGAACTGAAAAGAATCGTAGTGATTCTCTCCATCTAAAGGGATCATTGGAAACTTGTTACTCTTAGTTTCTGGCCTCTCTTTGAATACTTGATTATTACCATGACATGTTTATACTCCCAACCCTTCTGACATCCAATGTGTGAGGTTCTTCCACACAAATAACCAATTCTCTAACTCTCTGGACACCATCTGGGTATTCAAAAATTTAATTAAGTTCTAAGACAAACTATCTGGAATTAGGACAGATCCCACAGGTTAAGGGGCCAGTCCCACCCATTTTCCCCAATTTCAGACGCCAAGTGGAAGTCTGGGCTACCTGTACTTCTGACGGACAGGTGGTGATGCCAGGGGCTTCCCACAACTCCCTCCTCAGGCTCAGTAATTTGCTATTAACAGCTCACAGAACACAGGAAATCACTTTTATTTTCATTTACCAGATATTGTGAAGGACCCAACTCAAAGATCAGCCAAAAAAAGAGATTCACAGAAAAAGTCTGTGAGAAAGTGCCGCAGATCTTCCATACCCTCTCTGGACTGCTCCCTCCCAGCACCTCAGTGTGTTCACCAAACTGAACGCTCTC
The DNA here is from genome assembly GCF_000001405.40 of Homo sapiens. Lineage (NCBI taxonomy): Eukaryota > Metazoa > Chordata > Mammalia > Primates > Hominidae > Homo > Homo sapiens. The sequence goes on from NC_000013.11 coordinate 106,199,224, forward strand.
CAAACCCCGTCATTTTGGGGGTTGTATAGAGGTTCCATTAAGTAGAAAACATTGATGAAGTCATTGGCCTTTGGTGAGTGGACTCAATCCCCAGCCCCTCTGCCCTCTCCAGAGGTCCAGGGATGGGGCTGAGAGGTTTCACCCTCTACTCACAGGGCTGGTTCTTTTAACAGCCAGTTCCCACCTCGCAGCTATCTAGGGGCCCCCAGCCACCAGTCATCTCAGCACACAAAAAGACACTTATCACCCTGGAGATTCCAAAGGTGTTAGAAGCTCTTGTACCATTAACTGGAGATTAAGACCAAATATTACAGCAAAAGATGCTCCTCTCACCCCTATCATGGAGAAATTACAAGGATTCTAGGAGCTCTTTGCCAGGAACTGAAGATGAGGACCAAATGTATACTTCTTGTTATTTCATTATATCATCATTACTTCGATAGAAAACCGACTTAGCATAAATTGTCATTTTTACGTTGCAATATGTTTGCCTGGGTCTTCAACATTAATTTTTTTCACCTGTTCTGCAAGACAACCTTTCAATTATTTTTGTAAATCATCCTGTAAACCTTGGTTCTTCTCCCTTTCTAATAAAATTTCTCTAGTTCTTGTCTTTTTACATCTGGTTTCATTTCCCAGTTCTCCTGCCATCCCTGTTGCTCTCTTCTGAAGGTTTTTCATCAAAGTTTGATTGTCCTTAACTTTTTTATTGATGTATAATATACATACAATAAAGCACAAAAACCTCAAGTGTGGCACTCAGTGAATATGTATACATCATTAAGATTTTTTTTAAATCTTATCAAACACATTCAGTATTCTATAGGTAGAAATGATTGTAATTGAGTTAACCATTTCTCTGTTGATGGAAAGGCAGGCTGTGTCTTTTGTTTTGCCTTTTCCCTCCCTCCTTCCCTCCCTCCCTCTGTCCCTCCATTCCTTCCTTCCTTCCTTCCTTCCTTCCTTCCTTCCTTCCTTCCTTCCTCCCTCTCTCCCTCCCTCCCTGCCTCCTTCCTTCCTTCCTTTCTTTGATTTCTATTAGAAACCAGTATTTTTAAAATCTATTTTCTTCTTATAATAATACATGCTCATTGTAAAAATTTCAACATTTTACAAATGTATGTTTAGAAAGAGAAAGTGTCTCATAAGCACTCTCTCCTGAGATTCTCTGAAAACTTAAGGGTAAAAAAAGTATATATTATTATCTCTATATATATTAATGAATCTTCTGAATGCCTCTAATTAGTTATTGTCAATCAAAACATTTCATGGTAATTTACAGAATCATATAAGCCCTAATGTAGTCTATACAATGGATGGAATTCAGGAAATGCAGGAAATTTTATGGGAAAATATAAAATTATGCCTTTCTTTTCACTTCCTTCAATGATGAATCTAAACAACGAGCCAAAGTTGTAGTAGCACTACCTGATACTTGTCATCAATTGAAATTACCTATATTTTCATATCTGACATCTCTAAATATTCATTTTGCTCATCAAATAGACCCACTATCAGATGTTGCTATTTAGTGTATATACAATGAAGCTTATATACTATGTCAAAATGTGCCTTTTAAAATTATTTTTATAATTATTTTAAAAGAGGATTTGTTTTCTTTGAAATGCTAAGTATTTTATTTTATGCATTTAATAATATTATTTTGAAAAGAGTATGCCAAAAGGGATGCATGGAAGAAAAATCGGTCAAAAACTCCCGATGCAGAATTTCTTTAGTGATTTAATATCTCATAAGTCTGTACATTCCCCAACAGCTTTCATGCTTTCATACATATGCCCTTAAATTGAACTGAAATCAGCCTTTTTGTAAATTCATTAGGGATGTTTTCAATTATTTCCTATTTCCTACAGAATCATCTATTATTCCTGTAGAATTATTTGTATATTATCTCACAGCCAATATGAGCTACCCCTGTGATCAAATCTCCTTGCTTCCCCAAACTACCACGCACCTTTGTGCCTCTTTGCCCATAACATATTTTACCCAAGATTTCATATTTTTGGCAAATATTCAGCTGCGGAGATAGGAAGCCAGTTTTTGTTATCCTGTAATTATGCCATTGTTTTTGTAACTTTACTAAATTTTAGCTAGTAATTCCAGACTAACAATATAGTTTTGAATTTTTCTAATGTCCTCTTACACAAAAACTGTCCCTCCTGCTTAAACAATATAGGTATGTTTTATACAGAAGAAGCACTCCTACCTAATATGATTGGCACCTGCACTTGGTGAGTTAATTGAAGAAGTTGATTTAAAAGGAGTAGGATGAAAACGACACATTCAGAACGGGCATGGGGGCTCACGCCTGTAATCCCAGCACTTTGAGAGGTCAAGGCGGGCGGAACACCTGAGGTCGGGAGTTCAAGACCAGCCTGACCAACATGGAGAAACCCCATCTCTACTAAAAATACAAAATTAGCCGGGTCTGGTGGCACATACCTGTAATCCCAGCTACTAGGGAGGCTGAGGCAGGAGAATCGCTTGAACCCAGTGGAGATTGTGCGAGCCGAGATTGTGCCATTGCCCTCCAGCCTGGGCAACAAGAGCGAAACTCTGTCTCAAAAAAAAAAAAAAAAAGGAAAAGAAAACGACACATTCTAACCATTGTAACTAAAAGCATACAAATGCATATTCATTTGCCAGTCAATGAATGTAGGGCCAAGACTCATTCTCTGAATATGGATCCTCTGGGTGGAATCCAACATCACCTTTCTCACTCAGAACTCCCTTTAACACAACACCTGTGATTTAGAGGTTTCCATTTCTTTAAAGTTAAGTGAGATTGCAAAGATAGTTGTGAAGACATCTAAATGCAGAATCTTTCTAGACTTTTATGACTTTCCTTTTTTATTTAACTTGTCTACAATGAATTGGCAAGAATTATTTTTAGTAACAAGTTTTTACCGAATTGCTGTAAAGCATTCAACTTAATTTGCATAACAACAATGCTCTTTCTTTCTGTACTTGTTTTTCATCATTTTATGTCCTACTTAATTATATTATTGAATTACAAACCAAGTACAACTAGCTTTACCAAATGTGGAGGATACCAAAAAACAACTCATTCTTAGTAAGGAGGTGCTAGCTGAACTGGCAAGACTGAAATGTACAAGGACCAACTAGGGTGAGACTCAGTATTGTTAGGTAGAAATTGGTACACCAAAAATATCTGTCAGTGGGTTTTGCAGAAAAAAAATGAATCTGGCAAGAAAATTGTGTGGTGCTCTGTTAGGAGAGCCACCACCACAAAAATAGTATGTATCTAGTTAGTGTCGCTTTTATTCACTTTTACATTCCTAGATTGCCTCCAACCCAGTCTTCTGTATAATTTCTATGAAAACATTCTTGGAAAAATCATTAGTTTATTATTCAAAGGCTTCAGAGGTATTAAAAATTTAAAAGAAAAAACAGACAGTGGAATCAATGACTCAGTGTTAGACACTGAAGTCTGAAGCCATTTCATTTCAATAGAGGAGGTGGTGAGGAATATCAAGAGAGAGTTTAGACTTAATTGGCACCTCCTACTCTCCACAGCCCTGCTCCAGTTGGACAGACAAATTTACATATGACTGGCCAGCACACTAAATGAGCTGACAAGTAGAAAAGTATATATGGAAATGTCCTGCATGCTCAACCTAAACAACTACTGTAAAAAGTATTTAAAACATATATGCTCCTGCCAGGCACGGTGGCTCATGCCTGTAGTCCCAGCACTTTGGGAGGCCAAGGTGGGTGGATCACCTGAGGTGATGAGTTTGAGACCAGCCTGGCCAACATGGTGAAACCCTGTGTCTACTAAAAATACAAAAAAATTAGCTGGGCGTGGTGGCACGTCCCTGTATTCCCAGCTACTTGGGAGGCTGAGGCACGAGAATTGCTTGAACTCGGGAGGCAGAGGTTGCAGTGAACAAAGATCACACCACTGCACTCCAGCCTGGGTGACAGAGTGAGACTTAGTCTGAAAATAAAATAAATAAATAAGTAAATAAATAAATAAGCAAACAAACAAATAAACATATATGCTCTAAGATTGATTATAAATGAGAAAGTTTTTTCTAAATTCTAATTTATTAGAGAATACCTAGATTAACCTTCTAGCAAATTTTTTTCAATTTTGTGCCAAATGTTACATGTTTAAAAACCTAAATGAAAAAAAATGCTCAGTACTTAAATCCACCTGATTCACTTCACAAAAAAACACTAAACTATCTTTTCCCTTAATGAGAGAAAATTTTGTGTAAAACAAGGCAGCATAACAGAAGCAGGAGAATGCAGTAAGAGTTTCTAGTAGATCTTTACAATGACACTCTTTGATGGACACGTACTTTCCAAGTAAAAAGTTCTACATACCTCAGTGGCCCCCAAAAGCACAACCACATTCAAATGCAAAATTGGAGTTTCTACAGCTTCTAAGGTTTTTTTAAAAAAATAATTTTTTAAATTTAAATTTAATTTTAATTTGAGGTACAAGCGGGTTTTGGTTACATGGATGAATTGTATACTGGTGAAGTTTGAGATTTTAATGCACCCATCACCTGAGTAGTGTACATTGTACCCAATATATAGTTTGTATATTTCAACGCTTTCCCTCCCTTCCCCCTCTGAGTCTCCAATGTCCATTTTATCACTGTCTATGCCATTGCATATCCATAGCTTAGTGCTCATTTATAACTGAGAACATACGGTATTTGGTTTTCCATTCCTGAGTTACTTCACTTATATTAAGGGCCTCCAGCTCCTTCCAAATTGCCGCAAAAAAATTATTATTCCATTCTTTTTAATAGCTGAGTACTATTCCATGGTGTATACATATAGATTACATTTTCTTTATCCACTCATTGGTCGCTGGGCGCTTAGGTTGGTTCCATATCTTTGCAATTGTGAATTGTGTTGTGATAAACATTTGCATGCAGGTGTCTTTTTGATAGAAAAACTTATTTTCCTTTGGGTAGATAGCTAGTAGTGGGATTGTTGGATCAAATGGTAGATCTATTTTTAGTTCTTTGAGAATTCTCCATTCAGTTTTCCATAGAAGTTGTGCTAATATACATTCCCACCAGAAATGTCTAAGAGTTCTATTTCACCACATCCATGCTGACATCTATTGTTTTTTTGACCTTTTAATAATGGTTATTCTGGCTGTGGTAAGGTGGTATCTCATTGTGGTTTTAATTTGCATGTCCCTGAGAATTAGTAAAGTTGAGCATTTTTTCATATTTTTTGGCCATTTGGTAATCTTCTTTTGAGGAGTGTCTATTCAAAGTATTCGCCCACTTTTTTAATGGGATTATTTGTTCTTTTCTTGCTGATTTGAGTTTCTTGTACATTCTGGATATTAGTCCTTTGTCAGATGCACAGTTTGTTAATATTTTTTTTCCCATTCTGTGGGTTGTTTTTTCACTCTATTATTTCTTTTGCTGTGCAGAAGCTTTTTAGTTTAATATGGTCCCATTTAATTATTTTTATTTTTGTCACATTTGCTATGGGGTCTTAATCACTAACTTTTTGCCTAGGGCAATGTCCAGAAGAGTTTTTCTTAGGTTTTCTTCTAGGATTTTTATGGTTTCAGCTCTTACATTTAAGCATTTAATCCATCTTGATTTGATTTTTGTATATGATGAGAGATAGGGATCTAGTTTCATTCTTCTACACAGGGCTAGCCAGTTTTCACAGCACCATTTATTGAATAGGGTGTCCTTTCCTCAATTTATGTTTTTGTATGATTTGTTGAAGACCAGTTTGTTGCAAGTATTTGGCTTTATTCCTGAGTTCTGTATTCTGTTTCATTGGTCTACGTATCTACTTTTAAACAAGTATCATGCTGTTTTGGTTACTATAGCCTTGTATAATTTGAAGTCAGGTAATGTGATACCTGCAGACTTGTTCTTTTTGCTTAAGATTGCTTTGGCTATTTGAACTCTTTTGGTTCCATATGAATTTTAGGTTTTTTTTTTTCTAAGTCTGTGAAAGATGATGTAGGTATTTAGATAGAAATTGCATTGAATCTGTAGATTGCCTTGGGCAGTATGGTCATTTTCACAATGTTGATTCTTTCAAGAGCTCAAAGGGTAATCAGAACCCTGATCCCACCCGCACAATGCTTGGCGGCCATCAGGGTTACACCTATTCACTTGCCTGACAGCTGTGGCCATCACGAGTAATGCCTGCACTCTACTGTGGATCATTCTTCTACCCACATAACCGCTGGACATTTGCACTGTGCCTTGCACAGAGTTCCTGTTGATCCAGCACTTCCTGTGCTGGAGAAGGGCTATAAGAGCTTTCCTTCTCTGGGGTTCCAGACTTTCTAATGCAGTTCTTTTATGGGTTGAATTGTGCCAGTCCCCTCAAGTCCATATGTGGAAGCTCTAATCACCAATGTGACTGTATTTGGAGATAGAGCATCTTAGGAGCTAATCTAGTTGAATGATGTTATATTTCTAATAAATAACCTTAGAAACACTTAGACTTTTTGTGTTGTTACAGAAGAACATCTGAGACTGAGTAATTTATAAAGAAAAAGAGGCTTATTTGACTCAATATTCTGCTGACTGGAAGATTGGGTGACTGGTAAAAGCCTCAGGCTGCTTCCACTCATGGAGGAAGGTGATAGGGAGCTGGCATGTGTGGAGATCACAGGGTGAGAGAGGAAGCTGCAAACAGAAGGAAGGGACCAGGCTCTTGGTAACACGCAGCTGTCAGGGAAACTTTCCCAAGAACAAATAGAACTAGAACCCACTAAGTACGCCCTCCCCAGGAGGGCATTAATCTATTCATGAAGGATCTGCCCCCACAACCCAAATGCCTTCCATTAAGCCCCACCTTCAACACTGGGGATCACATTTCAACAGGAGGTTTTGAAGACAAACATGCAAACCACAGCAAACACCCAAACCATAGCAAACACAAACACCAGTTTCTCCTCCCTGGAGAAGAAAATAAACATTTTCATTCTTCCTAATAAACATTTTCATTCTTCCTCAAAATGGGCAGAAGAACTTTTGCTGAAACCACAAAGAAAAACTTAGAATGAGTTTCTGAGTCTCTTTCTTGCTTCTTTGAGACAGGGTCTTGCTCTGTCGCTCAGACTGGAATGCAGTGGCATGATCGTAGCGCACTGTAACCTTGAACTCCTGGGTTCAAGTGATCTGCCCACCTTCACCTCCGAAGTAGCTGGAACCGCAGGCATAGGTCCATACCACCATGCCCAGCTTGAGTTCTGTATTCTGTTTCACCAGACTAATGAGATAACTGAATAATTTCCATAGATGTTCAGGTTTTCACTATATTTGTAACCATGACCTTGGCAAGTTAAAAACCAAGCTGTGCTCCATCTACTAAAGATGCTACAGAAGCATTAAATGCATTCAGAAAAACCTTTCCTAAAGATAATTAAAAGAAAAAGTGTTGATACTTTCAGTATCTGGAAAATTTCTTCTGTGGAGCACCTCATTCCTCTTCTATGCCAAATTAACCAAGTGTCATTATCCTTCCAGTGAGACATTCCAGTTGAAAACATACTCAGAATTCAGTGAATCACATTTTGCCAGCTTGTTTAGAAATGCAAATGTCGCTTGCTCCTGGAACATGTTTATCTGCCTCTGTGTGAGCGAATGTCATGATTTTTGACTGAGAGGCTTTCAGGGGGCATAGTATGACATAATTTCAGGTATATTAGAGATTTAAATCTGGAAAGAGACTTATTTTTATTTTCTAAAAATGTAATCTAAACCCTGATAGAACAAGGAAGAACCTGCTACACAGAGACCTTGGGTAGATTCCCTAACACAGGAGGAGATAAAATGTGAAATAGGTAACTATGACACAGCAGGAATGTTCATATGTGAGAATAAGATGGACCACTGATGGCTGGTGTGGGCTGTGCACCTCCGTGCCCGTCAGGTGACTATGAAAAGCAGCAAGTTCCTGTTTCTTCTCTGGAGCTTTTCCCTCTTCAAAAGCCAGAGGAACCACAAACTTCATGACCACTTTCTTTAAGAAAGACGAGGGAAAAGAACATTTAGAGTGGCATACACTCACTTTTGTCTATTCCTCTATTTGTTTCTGCACTGCTTGTTTACTGATTTAATAGTAAAATAAGTTGAAGACAACCGTCTTACATCTGAAACATTATTCTCACCCATCTTTGAATCATAACCAGCCTTTGTAGTCAAGCATAGCTCATTCATTTCATGACAGAATAAGAAACAGGCCCATTGAACAAATTGTGTCTTTCATTTTGTCAACTGCAAAATCCCTGGAAAACCAAATGGCTCGGTGTAGCAGGAAATAGTTCACCACTGGAAAGATGGGGCACAACATTGGTTAATCCAAAATTTTTGTGGTGGTCACCAAGACCACTTCTGGCACGAAAAATAAATTCACACCATGCTTTTCCCCTCAAACATAGAAATATTAACCAGACCTTCCTAATGAGGGTCTCTATAAGGGATGAGGAAACAAAACTCCACAGAGGAGCCTCTCACACATCTGAAGCTCTGTCCTGAAGCCACACAGCTTAAGTTTGGGGTTCAGCAAAGTTCCACATTACCCTTTCACACACAAAGAACCATGTGTTTTCAGAGAAATTTGAACCCATCTGCTTCTGATTCACTTGAGCAGCACTGCCCAAAGGATTTTACAAGTTTTTCTCAGGAATTTTTTTGTATTTCAAACTTGATAGTTGTATTTAACCAAAAATAAAGCAAATGTAAGCCCCTACCTATGGGGCATTAATTTGAATCAAAGACCACAGAACTGCCTTTTAAAATGAGAACAGTTGGTTTCTGGGACATGCTGGGCCAAGAGCTATTTTCTCTTCTGTACTTCTCTAGCTGAGCTTCATCTGCCACTGAAAGAAGCACTTTTTAATCAACTTGAGAGAATAAAGCTCTACACTAAATTCAAACTATCGTTTTTTGAAATCCCCACTCCAAATAGAAGATATTATCATTATTAAACTTTGTTTTTTAAAAAACTGTTTAAGAATGCACTTTGTTTTTCAAATGGTCAAGGACATGGTGTAATTCAGTTAACCTTTTAAGGTTAAGTCTGTGATATGAATTTAAAATTAAGGATTTTTATCTGAATTAAACCCTTTTCAAACATTCACAGATTTAATAGTAACCAATTGTACCCAGGGGATTTCAAATTCTTACTTCTAATATCCTCTGGATTTCAAAAGCAAATTCTAGACCAAATATTTGGAGTAACTTGAGTTTTGTCGATATACTATCTTCTTACTACTTTGAAGGAGGTTTACAGAAATTGGACCCTTGAGAGAAATGATTTCTTACCAACCATAAAACCAGGTGCACAGGAGTGTTCATTAACAATAAGCATTAAGCTGGGGGCTTTCCTGGTGAGTCTGAAAGTTGTTTGGATTTTCTCCAGCCGTAAAATGAAATACCAATCGGTTGTGTTACCAAGTACTGGTAAAATTCAATGAAGAATGATAATGAAGGTCAAAATTTCATTGTGGAATATATATATTCCAACATATAGCTATGTACATTGATAGCTATAGATATATAGAAATACATGTCTCCACAGAAAATTAAGTAAAAATTGAATAGGGGCAGTCAGTACCACGATAATAAAAAATTTATGAACCCCAGGGACAATTCCTTGTGGTATGAACCAGCACAATGTACTTGAAGGCCACGTGCTGCTGTTTGACATCAAACTGTGAGGAGATAGCTTTCAAAGAGTTTATTTATGCCTTCTTTTACCAATAACTCCCTACCCTATAATCCACTTGCATTTTAGGAGAAACTAAAAAGAAAGAAATAATGAAGAAATCAATTTTTCATTTTCACGTAATTCAAACTTTAAGGTCTCATAACTCACCCCCTCTGAATGGGAAAAGATAATATTTCTCAAATTATGAATATATTTACTCTGCTATAAAATGTAAGGGTTGGGATTGTCAATAATGGCATGCATTATTTTCCTTTAACTAAAAGGGATATCCCACAGCTTTTTAAAACAAAGATTATCTGTACGTCTCTATAGTCTTGTAACTCAAAGAAGATCGAAATGTTCTGCTGTTAGAACAGTCACCCCCTGCTATTGAAAAACTCCTGTAAATCCTCCTTCAAACTTATTTATTTTATGAAGCTTTTCATTTATGTCCTATCAACGATTCTTCACTCTTTTGCACAATGTGGTTGGAAGAAAGGTCAGAAGAAACGCAAAAGAAAGTAAACTGCAGAGTCAATTGTCTGTTGCCTCTGAGATCTATTAATCCTCAGGTGTTTTGTTTTGTTTTTTCACTTCATTTCTCTGTATGCTTCTATTTGTACCATAATCCACCAGCCAACAACTCTGTCCCTTTGAATGAAAAAGTTAACAAGGATGTCATAAAACTGGACAGTTGTCCTACAATCACATATGATCAAATCTAAGCTATCAAAATTATTGTACTAACACAACACAGCATTTTCCTCGAGGAATGGGCCGACCTCATATTTCACAGCATTAGAGATAATATATATTTAATTTAGGAAATTTATTTCTCCCACTTTATAGGGAGAAATTTATACATTATTCTTGGAAAATAAAAACACATATCCACTTATTTTGTGATGTGTTTTTTACTGTTCATTTGGTTAAATAAGAATGGTCAGGCGGATTCACCCTTTACAAATGTGTGAGATGATAGAGAGAGAGAGATAGACAGACAGATGGATAGATGATAGATTCTGTTTTCTCAGTACTGACAAAACCACCAGTTTTGGTAGATATTCAAAGCGTTGACATTACTTTCTGGACAAGAGATCGCTGGAAAGGAAACAGAGTCATAAGCATGTTTTAGGGTCTTCATCGTGAACCACTCTTTAACAGACTTTGATCTGTCAGAAATTACAATCTTGTTTATAGTGTCTCAGCTAAGGTGTTTAGGATTACAGGACTGGGCCTACAGAAATATAATTGGACATATATATATATATATATATATATATAGAGAGAGAGAGAGAGAGAGAGAGAGAGAGAGAGAGAGAATAGCCACCTTTATCATTTTCATTATAATTTACCCAAGAGATAAGTGTTTGAATGGTCCCAAATGAAGAAGACAGACTGATCATAAGTTCTGACCGGATTTCACTTTCTTAAGTAGATGTACCCCCAGTGTCAAAGAAAAGGGGCCCCTTAGATTTCATCCAGGACATTTTCCTACTTCCAGGGAAGTCAGTGAGGTGACAGTCCTGCTGACTGTTGAGGTCATCAGGCAAGGAAATTCCACTCCTCTGCCCAGCAATATATTCAGTGTCTAACAACTCCTACCACTATGATAAGAGAGGTTAGGAAAGAGCTGAGACTACCGTATCTGAAAGTATTACAATATAGATTGCTGCTGACAGCTAAAAATAACTTGCTCTGTCCTTTAAGGAAAGACTGAGCCATAAAACGTTTTCAAATTGCAAGACAAGTACCACAGACACATGAGATATATTTCTTAGACTTAAGACATCATACACATTAGGCAAGATAAAATGAGCACTCTCTATTTAACTTAGAGAATGAAATTATCACAAAATTTCCCTTGTTGAAAATAAGTACCCAGTTGGCAATTTGTCAACGCTTTTGTTCCTACTGAAATTGATTGTGAAAATAGGCTGAGGGATGTGGAAGGAAGGGCTAGAGGTGGTATTCAGTGATGAGTTCTGCCCCGCCTCATTTGTGAATAAATGAATGGAAGAGAAGGAAAGAGAAAGAGGGAAGGAGGGAGGGAAGAAGAAAAGGAAGAAGGAAGGAAGAAAGGAGGAAGGAAAGAAGGGGGGAGGGAGGGAGAGAGAGAAAAAAGGAGGGCGAATGGGAAGGAGAGAGAAAGGGAGGGAGGATGGGAGAGCAGGAGAGAGGGAAGGGCTTTGAAAAGTTTAATGGCAAGAACTGCAATTACTTTTGCACCAGCCTAATATTAAAAACAAAACCCAGAAACCTGATGCCCAAAGGATTGGTTCACTGGCACTGTATACCTTTCACTCCATTTTGCTGTGTTAAGATTCTCAGAACAGATAGTCAACAATAACAACAAATTATACTTCTTTCCGGACTCCTAACAGTAACAAGAGAAAAGTACTGATAGTTCTATCCAATTCCATGGCTACAGACATTAAGCAAACTGGTAAATGACCCTTGTATTATTGGATCAGATAATTAACATGACCAATACTTTTATAGACTTTACTTTCCCACTCTAGCAAAGAAAAGAATTAAAAATACTTCAGTCCCTTTGCCTTTTTTTCCCTCTGAATAACAATAATTCAATCCAACTTCTAGGGACTGAAAATTCACTTTCACCCTAAGTAACTGTTCAGCTACCTTTCACCAATGATTACTGTAATCTGCAACTCAAAAAAAAATTTTAAACCAAACTTCTTCCATATTTGTGTTTACGTATTCGGCTTAAGTTACACTCTTTTGCATTTATAAATATGCAGTGTTTTCATGTTATTGAGTTATTTGATGTTTCAATAATTGTATTATAAAAATATAAACTTCACCAGGTCAGGATTCCCTCATTTTACAGATTTCTACTGTGCTATGCATTTTATAGAGGTTGAATAAGCAACTGCAATTTGTTAATTGATTGATCATTCAGTGATTCCAAAAACAATAATAAAATACATCAAAGAGATGGAAAAGAACAGACAGGAAGCCAAGAAAGCGATGAGGTAATTTGCTTGAACAAGATGAGGCCTCTAAGAATAACATGCAGAGGGGCTGGCATCCCCATAGACAAGTGCGCTCTCACTCTCCCTCCCTCACTCCCTCCAACCTTGATGTCCACATGCAATGAAAACTTGTGTCACTCATTTAGATTGTATATCTAATACCAGGTATCTAGATATTTGGCATTAAGTGGAAATAAAAAAAAAAAACTGAGTGACACTTTTAAAAATATTTAGGTCTTAGCATTTCAGCTAGAAGGAACAAACAAAACATAACTTATTGGTGGGCTATTGTGATAAAATAGTGGGTAACTAAGTTATTTTGGAATCCATATTTTAAAATCCATATTTTGAATAGAGAATGTGGAAGAGAAAGAAGTGAGGTGAGATTCAAGGACGTGCAAGAGAAATGGTGTAGGTTAGTTATTTTATAGGTTGTCACATATTAAGATGACAAAGCGTTCACACTGAGAGTATAAAGTACTTCTTTTTTAAACAATGGTATATTTTAAAAAGAGAAAAGACAGTTTTAGAAGCACACATATCCTCACAATTTTCTAATAAATAGCAGCCCACAGCAGCTGGCATGACACTACACCAGCTTTTCTGTGTCTCAACTCACATAGTAAACTGAGCATTTGAGTTTGCCTCAAAAAACTCTTGCCTGCTAAAAATGGAGAGTTTGACAGGATTTCAGAAATGTTCCATGAATCCTAATTTATGAGCAACAGTTGGTAAGTGAGCATGCCAATTAAATCAAATAGTGAGTGTTAATTCATTGACATGGTATTTCCACATGGAAAGGAAAAATGGTTTGCAAAGGAATGATGGGAAAGTATTTACGGATTGAATATTGCATCATTTATAAGCTTGCATTTCTTGATTATTCACCAGTAATTGTTTACTGAAAACGTTCCTGGCATAGTAATTTACACTTCAGTTAGAGTCCACTCATCATGTGCTTCGACATTTATTTCATTTAGAATAACAATCAATAAAACAGGGTCATTCCCCAAGGAAAACTTTTCATGCAAGAAGCATGCAAAATTGTCAAATAAATGAAAATAGCCATCATGAATTGTTGAGCTCCACAGTGTCATTTCAAATTAATCTCTATAAGCCATTTTAAACCTTTCAACAATAGCTGTAATACTCAGCTTTCTTCTTTTCTACTCACAGTAGAAACTGAAAACTTTGGCATGGTAGGAACGTGAATACCAGGGTAGAAAACAAAAGTGAGCTACAGAGGGAGACAGCATGTATCGTAGTTCCCCATTGTTCATGTGAGAAACAGAGTGAGAATGCTACCTAATGCCCAGGCCCACAATTCTACCCGATAGGAAGGCCCTGCCCAACAGATAAGAAGAGGGTGCAATTGTACAGTGCTCAGCATAATCCTTCACAATTTGCTTTGTTTGTACAGAGCACTGTCTGTCTCAAGCACTGTCTAAGCAACAGCACTCTCAATATCTACTAAAACCTGATTCTCTTTTTCTTTTACCCTAATTAGCACAGAAAGCTAGAATAATTTTTAATAGAAAACTTACAGTGGAAAACCTTCTTTAGAGTGATTTATAGGTAAAGTTATTAATAGAGTGAGAGCTCTACTTAAAGAAAGAATGGGGGGAGGAGCCAAGATGGCCGAATAGGAACAGCTCCGGTCTACAGCTCCCAGCGTGAGCGACGCAGAAGACGGGTGATTTCTGCATTTCCATCTGAGGTACCGGGTTCATCTCACTAGGGAGTGCCAGACAGTGGGCGCAGGTCAGTGGGTGTGCGCCCTGTGCGCGAGCCGAAGCAGGGCGAGGCATTGCCTCACCCGGGAAGCGCAAGGGGTCAGGGAGCTCCTTTTCGGAGTCAAAGAAAGGGGTGACGGACTCACCTGGAAAATCGGGTCACTCCCACCCGAATATTGCGCTTTTCGGACCGGCTTAAAAAATGGCGCATCACGAGATTATATCCCGCACCTGGCTCGGAGGGTCCTACGCCCATGGAGTCTCGCTGATTGCTAGCACAGCAGTCTGAGATCAAACTGCAAGGCGGCAACGAGGCTGGGGGAGGGGCGCCCGCCATTGCCCAGGCTTGCTTAGGTAAACAAAGCGCCAGGAAGCTCGAACTGGGTGGAGCCCACCACAGCTCAAGGAGGCCTGCCTGCCTCTGTAGGCTCCACCTCTGGGGGCAGGGCACAGACAAACAAAAAGACAGCAGTAACCTCTGCAGACTTAAATGTCCCTGTCTGACAGCTTTGAAGAGAGCAGTGGTTCTCCCAGCACGCAGCTGGAGATCTGAGAACGGGCAGACTGCCTCCTCAAGTGGGTCCCTGACCCCTGACCCCTGAGCAGCCTAACTGGGAGGCACCCCCCAGTAGGGGCACACTGACACCTCACATGGCAGGGTATTCCAACAGACCTGCAGCTGAGGGTCCTGTCTGTTAGAAGGAAAACTAACAAACAGAAAGGACATCCACACCAAAAACCCATCTGTACATCACCATCATCAAAGACCAAAAGTAGATAAAACCACAAGGATGGGGAAAAAACAGAACAGAAAAACTGGAAACTCTAAAACGCAGAGCGCCTCTCCTCCTCCAAAGGAACGCAGTTCCTCACCAGCAACGGAACAAAGCTGGATGGAGAATGACTGATGAGCTGAGAGAAGAAGGCTTCAGACGATCAAATTACTCTGAGCTACGGGAGGACATTCAAACCAAAGGCAAAGAAGTTGAAAACTTTGAAAAAAATTTAGAAGAATGTATAACTAGAATAACCAATACAGAGAAGTGCTTAAAGGAGCTGATGGAGCTGAAAACCAAGGCTCAAGAACTACGTGAAGAATGTAGAAGCCTCAGGAGCCGATGCGATCAACTGGAAGAAAGGGTATCAGCAATGGAAGATGAAATGAATGAAATGAAGCGAGAAGGGAAGTTTAGAGAAAAAAGAATAAAAAGAAATGAGCAAAGCCTCCAAGAAATATGGGACTATGTGAAAAGACCAAATCTACGTCTGATTGGTGTACCTGAAAGTGATGGGGAGAATGGAACCAAGTTGGAAAACACTCTGCAGGATATTATCCAGGAGAACTTCCCCAATCTAGCAAGGCAGGCCAACGTTCAGATTCAGGAAATACAGAGAACACCACAAAGATACTCCTCGAGAAGAGCAACTCCAAGACACATAATTGTCAGATTCACCAAAGTTGAAATGAAGGAAAAAATGTTAAGGGCAGCCAGAGATAAAGGTCGGGTTACCCTCAAAGGGAAGCCCATCAGACTAACAGCGGATCTCTCGGCAGAAACCCTACAAGCCAGAAGAGAGTGGGGGCCTATATTCAACATTCTTAAAGAAAAGAATTTTCAACCCAGAATTTCATATCCAGCCAAACTAAGCTTCATAAGTGAAGGAGAAATAAAATCCTTTACAGACAAGCAAATGCTGAGAGATTTTGTCACCACCAGGCCTGCCCTAAAAGAGCTCCTGAAGGAAGCACTAAACAAGGAAAGGAACAACCGGTACCAGCTGCTGCAAAATCATGCCAAAATGTAAAGACCATCGAGACTAGGAAGAAACTGCATCAACTAACGAGCAAAATCACCAGCTAACATCATAATGACAGGATCAAATTCACACATAACAATATTAACTTTAAATGTAAATGGACTAAATGCTCCAATTAAAAGACACAGACTGGCAAATTGGATAAAGAGTCAAGACCCATCAGTGTGCTGTATTCAGGAAACCCATCTCACGTGCAGAGACACACATAGGCTCAAAATAAAAGGATGGAGGAAGATCTACCAAGCAAATGGAGAACAAAAAAAGGCAGGGGTTGCAACCCTAGTCTCTGATAAAACAGACTTTAAACCAACAAAGATCAAAAGAGACAAAGAAGGCCATTACATAACGGTAAAGGGATCAATTCAACAAGAAGAGCTAACTATCCTAAATATATATGCACCCAATACAGGAGCACCAAGATTCATAAAGCAAGTCCTGAGTGACCTACAAAGAGACTTAGACGCCCACACATTAATAATGGGAGATTTTAACACCCCACTGTCAACATTACACAGATCAACGAGACAGAAAGTCAACAAGGATACCCAGGAATTGAACTCAGGTCTGCACCAAGCGGACCTAATAGACATCTACAGAACTCTCCACCCCAAATCAACAGAATATACATTTTTTTCAGCACCACACCATACCTATTCCAAAATTGACCAAATACTTGGAAGTAAAGCTCTCCTCAGCAAATGTAAGAGAACAGAGATTATAACAAACTATCTCTCAGACCACAGTGCAATCAAACTAGAACTCAGGATTAAGAATCTCACTCAAAACTGCTCAACTACATGGAAACTGAACAACCTGCTCCTGAATGACTACTGGGTACATAACGAAATGAAGGCAGAAATAAAGATGTTCTTTGAAACCAAGGAGAACAAAGACACAACATACCAGAATCTCTGGGACACATTCAAAGCAGTGTGTAGAGGGAAATTTATAGCACTAAATGCCCACAAGAGAAAGCAGGAAAGATCCAAAATTGACACCCTAACATCACAATTAAAAGAACTAGAAAAGCAAGAGCAAACACATTCAAAAGCTAGCAGAAGGCAAGAAATAACTAAAATCAGAGCAGAACTGAAGGAAATAGAGACACAAAAAACCCTTCAAAAAATTAATGAATCCAGGAGCTGGTTTTTTGAAAGGATCAACAAAATTGATAGACCGCTAGCAAGACTAATAAAAAAAGAGAGAAGAATCAAATAGACACAATAAAAAATGATAAAGGGGATATCACCACCGATCCCACAGAAATACAAACTACCATCAGAGAATACTACAAACACCTCTACGCAAATAAACTAGAAAATCTAGAAGAAATGGATAAATTCCTCGACACATACACTCTCCCAAGACTAAACCAGGAAGAAGTTGAATCTCTGAATAGACCAATAACAGGCTCTGAAATTGTGGCAATAATCAATAGTTTACCAACCAAAAAGAGTCCAGGACCAGATGGATTCACAGCCGAATTCTACCAGAGGTACAAGGAGGAACTGGTACCATTCCTTCTGAAACTATTCCAATCAATAGAAAAAGAGGGAATCCTCCCTAACTCATTTTATGAGGCCAGCATCATGCTGATACCAAAGCCGGGCAGAGACACAACCAAAAAAGAGAATTTTAGCCCAATATCCTTGATGAACATTGATGCAAAAATCCTTAATAAAATACTGGCAAAACGAATCCAGCAGCACATCAAAAAGCTTATCCACCATGATCAAGTGGGCTTCATCCCTGGGATGCAAGGCTGGTTCAATATAGGCAAATCAATAAATGTAATCCAGCATATAAACAGAGCCAAAGACAAAAACCACATGATTATCTCAATAGATGCAGAAAAAGCCTTTGACAAAATTCATCAACCCTTCATGCTAAAAACTCTCAATAAATTAGGTATTGATGGGACGTATTTCAAAATAATAAGAGCTATCTATGACAAACCCACAGCCAATATCATACTGAATGGGCAAAAACTGGAAGCATTCCCTTTGAAAACTGGCACAAGACAGGGATGCCCTCTCTCACCACTCCTATTCAACATAGTGTTGGAAGTTCTGGCCAGGGCAATTAGGCAGGAGAAGGAAATAAAGGGTATTCAGTTAGGAAAAGAGGAAGTCAAATTGTCCCTGTTTGCAGACGACATGATTGTATATCTAGAAAACCCCATTGTCTCAGCCCAAAATCTCCTTAAGCTGATAAGCAACTTCAGCAAAGTCTCAGGATACAAAATCAATGCACAAAAATCACAAGCATTCTTATACACCAACAACAGACAAACAGAGAACCACATCATGAGTGAACTCCCATTCACAATTGCTTCAAAGAGAATAAAATACCTAGGAATCCAACTTACAAGAGATGTGAAGGACCTCTTCAAGGAGAACTACAAACCACTGCTCAAGGAAATGAAAGAGGATACAAACAAATGGAAGAACATTCCATGCTCATGGGTAGGAAGAATCAATATCGTGAAAATGGCCATACTGCCCAAGGTAATTTACAGATTCAATGCCATCCCCATCAAGCTACCAATGACTTTCTTCACAGAATTGGAAAAAACTACTTTAAAGTTCATATGGAACCAAAAAAGAGCCCGCATCGCCAAGGCAATCCTAAGCCAAAAGAACAAAGCTGGAGGCATCACGCTACCTGACTTCAAACTATACTACAAGGCTACAGTAACCAAAACAGCATGGTACTGGTACCAAAACAGAGATATAGATCAATGGAACAGAACAGAGCCCTTAGAAATAACGCCGCATATCTACAACTATCTGATCTTTGACAAACCTGAGAAAAACAAGCACTGGGGAAAGGATTCCCTATTTAATAAATGGTGCTGGGAAAACTGGCTAGCCATATGTAGAAAGCTGAAACTGGATCCCTTCCTTACACCTTATACAAAAATCAATTCAAGATGGATTAAAGACTTAAACGTTAGACCTAAAACCATAAAAACCCTAGAAGAAAACGTAGGCATTACCATTCAGGACATAGGCATGGGCAAGGACTTCATGTCCAAAACACCAAAAGCAATGGCAACAAAAGACAAAATTGACAAATGGGATCTAATTAAACTAAAGAGCTTCTGCACAGCAAAAGAAACTACCATCAGAGTGAACAGGTAACCTACAAAATGGGAGAAAATTTTTGCAATCTACTCATCTGACAAAGGGCTAATATCCAGAATCTACAATGAACTCAAACAAATTTACAAGAAAAAAACAAACAACCCCATCAAAAAGTGGGCAAAGGACATGAACAGACACTTCACAAAAGAAGATATTTATGCAGCCAAAAATCACATGAAAAAATGCTCATCATCACTGGCCATCAGAGAAATGCAAATCAAAACCACAATGAGGTACCATCTCACACCAGTTAGAATGGCAATCATTAAAAAGTCAGGAAACAACAGGTGCTGGAGAGGATGTGGAGAAATAGGAACACTTTTACACTGTTGGTGGGACTGTAAACTAGTCCAACCATTGTGGAAGTCAGTGTGGTGATTCCTCAGGGATCTCGAACTAGAAATACCATTTGACCCAGCCATCCCATTACTGGGTATATACCCAAAAGACTATAAACCATGCTGCTATAAAGACACATGCACACGTATGTTTATTGCGGCATTATTCACAATAGCAAAGACTTGGAACAAACCCAAATGTCCAACAATGATAGACTGGATTAAGAAAATGTGGCACATATACACCATGGAATACTATGCAGCCATAAAAAATGAGTTCATGTCCTTTGTAGGGACAAGGATGAAATTGGAAATCATCATTCTCAGTAAACTATCGCAAGAACAAAAAACCAAACACCATATATTCTCACTCATAGGTGGGAACTGAACAATGAGATCACATGGACACAGGAAGGGGAATATCACACTGTGGTGGGGTGGGGGGAGGGGGGAGGGATAGTATTGGGAGATATACCTAATGCTAGATGATGAGTTAGTGGGTGCAGTGCACCAGCATGGCACATGTATACATATGTAACTAACCTGCACAATGTGCACATGTACCCTAAAACTTAAAGTATAATTTAAAAACAAAAAAAGAAAGAATGCATAAGTATGTTTAAAATGAAAAGGCAAAAGTATATAGTAGTGAAAAGTAATCATTTTTGAGATTTATTGCTTCCTAAATAAATTCATTAATTGTAAATTGTCAACAAGTACATAGACACAGCAGCAGAACCACAAAAGTAACACTTTTAAGGCAGAACTCTCTCAAAGTTAATAAATTATACATCTGCTGAGCAAGTCATTACGTCATCACAAACGATAAGAAAGTGACTAGAGTTTCAAGATGTATTAAAGATTCCAGGAGGGAGAAAAGTAGCTGGCATTTTTGAAGGCCATACAGTGATACTTTTAGGAATGGCAGCTGTGGATATTAAAGTCAAAAAGTGGGAATGTTCTTCTGATTCTTTGTCAAGAATGTAATAGTAAAATTGTAAAATTAAAGGAAAAAATCTTCAGACTATTCTAAAATTTTACTATTAAAAACACTTTCTGAAACTCCCAGTAAAGACTGCTATCATTTTCCATCACAACTTCATCTGCTACCTCATGTTCCATTAACCACTGACTTGTATAACAAGCTAGAAATATCTTGTCCCAGGAAGTAAGCAGACATTCAATCACATTTCTTTCAACTACCAAATAAGTTAAAGTGAAAACAATTCAGTATTGATTATACAGGGGTCAAAAGGCAACAGAAGTTTAGAAAAAGCAACATTCGCGTCACATGGACTACAAAGATTTTTATACAGCCTTGACTATGGGGGTTTCTACTGACTGTAGATACAGTTTTGTGGCAAAAAAAAAAAAAAAAAAAAAAAGTGGATCTGGGTCAGAGTTGCTGAATGAGAAATATTTGTAAAGAAAACAGTAGAGAAAAGAGAGTTTCTGGGAAATGGCATGCAATATAAAAAGTTGGGAAATAAATAGACCAATGGGGAAAATGTAGGCAGACATATGCCAGGCATATGGAATTTCTGTGTTGCAAATCTCTGGGTTTTCATATTTCACCGTACCCCTAGCTAAATGATGATGTGATACTTTAAATTGGACTTGACCAAATTTTTTACCTTGTCCTCCCAAAATAAAAATTTGCAGACAAGGCAAAAACTCATTTTAAGATGCCCTATATTCTCTGTTTCAAATTATTACACAACCTGTATCTAAAAACTCTGCCACCCCAATTCTGAATGCATTCAAGTGAAACATAGAATTGTAATCACAAGTCCAAAACTCAAAACTGCAAACTCTCTGCTATGTGACAAAGAAATATTATGTCTTTGAAAGGAGAAATAGCACCCGACAATGAAAATTGAATCCCGGAAATAACCAGGTGATTTAAAGCTTTCTAGATAATCACCAGCAACTAGAATGATAATACTTTAATGACATATTATATTTAAATAACACCTTTCAAACTCCATCATGTTAATCTACACAACATGTTCACAAAGTAAGAAGGAATGGGTATTACTCCCATTTTAGATTAGAAAATTGAAGGGTAATAGAGGACGGCTTACCAAGGTCTCTTCTCTTCCTGGCAGTGGGTCCAGGATTGGATACTCAGATGTGTTTTTTATTAGATTTCAGTGCCTCCAAACCGATTTAGCTGGTAGACTGAGTTGGTCTCCTGTGAATTTTTTTCAGCATCCCCTGGTAGACACGAGAATTTCTCAGAAGTTTGAACAAATCTCAGGCTTTCTCCACTTCCTGCCACCACCTGGCAGATATCCTAAGATGGCTTCCTGGGACCTACAGAAATAACATCTGAATCTCCCTCAAACCCTTTCTTAGTTCTAAGGCTTTGCCACACACAGAATGCAGAAAATCAAGTATGCCATGGGTTACGGGCTTTTCAGGGTACACATCATTCTCCTTTTCCTCAGCACTAGACATATCCACCTAGTCATTAGAACCTAGCCTCTCCTTGGCCTTGCTCATTAAAAAATATCTATTTTAATTTTTATTTCTGCCCTCAGTCTAAGCTGACCTCTCTTCGGGCCATAGCCCACATTTATACAAAGCTCAGACTATTTTCCCTAGTTCAGGAAGAAGGCAGGCTTATCTTTCCAACATTTGGGGCCATGTGGCTAACTTGAATTCCAAGCTAAAAGCATTTCAAATTTGAACAGCAATGCAGCAGAGACAAAAAAAAAAAAAAAAAAAAAAAAAAAACAGGGAGACAAGTTTGCCTTCACACTTTAAAATATAGGCTGGCACCCAGAGCAAGGCAGTCTTCTCACATCAATGATTCCCCCAGCACCTGTGCCACTCTGCACAATCACAGCATTGAGTGCCAAGGTTCATAATGAGTGATGCTGCTGCCACTGGGAGTGTCTCACAGGTGAACAGTGTGGAGGCAGGAAAAGGGTACAGACCCCACTGGGCGACACTGCATCCCACTGCAGAATCTCCATGCACCTTGCTTCTAATGCACGCCCGTGCTTTCTTCTCCCGCACGCTGTTCTCAGAACAGCAAGGTCTCACCTTGTTTTTCATTTATTGCTCAGCAGGGTTCAAGTGCTCTTTAGACAAGTGATCCTTTTTTTTCACTAACTACAAAGAACTCTATATAAATACACTGTTGATCTTGTACAGTCAACAGATGACATGCTGTCTACCACAAAAGGACATTTTAATATGAATAATCAGAACGACTTTTCCCAAAGGGCTTTAGGGAGATGCTCTAAACTATGAGTAAAGTGCTAATAAGAATACCTTTGCACAGCACTTTGTCATATTGGAAGCACATTCACGTATATTATTACGTTTGTAGGTAAATTCTGAGCTTCATTTTCTCCACAGGTATAAGTATCACAAGTGTTATGCAATATGTAAACACATTTAGAAGTTTATAATTTAGTTGTGGAACTGACTTGAAAATTTAAACACCACTTAGATTACAAATTGTATTGGCAATGTGGTTTTAAAAATGAAAATGAGTGAGTTTTTGATTATCTGCCCCTCATTATGAGCAATTCCAGCTCTTGAGTCACTGTAAATATTAGCCATTTTCAGAATGTTAAGCACTTAGCAAACTTTTAAATATTCCATGATCCTTATTTACTTGGGATGAAAATTACACATTTTGAAGTCAATGACAGTGATATTTCCTTAAAGCTAGACCCATTTTGAGCCAGTCCACTTAACATTGGAGGATTGGTTCAATCTGACTTATGAAGTGGGGTCACCTGGCAGCATTCCTTCTGAATTATCTAATCCATTCACATGGCTCAAAATACCATTTACGTACCAGGGGCAACTCATGTCATATTTCTATCCCAGACTTCTCTGAATTTCTAGCTCATGCAACCAATGACACACTAGACATATCTACTCACAATCATTTTTTAGAATCATTTTAATAGCAACCGATAAGAAATTGATCTCCTGATTTGATTTTCATACAAAAAAATCAAGCTGGTAAAATAAAAATTATCTTTTGGGGTTTCCATTAATGGGATTTTATTATAGTCAAAACTGTTTTCTATAATAGGTTGCATTGGTTCCTAACAGTTTCTTTCAGAGTCTTTCTGCAATTAATAGGCACAAACACACACATACAAACATATATTTAAACAAAGGATGCTTATCAAAAGAGAAATGTTGTCAATTTAACAATTCTGAAGTTGAATTTTTAAATATTTAGAAAATGAGGCTTTTTGTTATTACAAGCTATTTCAATTATTGGGGGTAAAGGCATTTATTGTGTTACTGTGGATCCCAAGATGGAGCTGTGATGTTTGCTAGGTCAAATGCAACAGTAGCGGGAACACATTATCAGCTAACAACAGATTTCCCACTTGTGCATTTAGAAACTGGTGTGTGTGTGTTGGCTGACAGCCTCTAAGCAGGTCATTATTTTATTAATGAAAAAATAGAGGAAATAAGATCGTCCAATATACGTCCTAACAGTGGCTCTTAGCTTTATCATCACCCTTGCATAAGACGTCAAATCCCGTGCAACGCCAATGGCCCTTCACAGACTCCAAAACTTTCCCTAATCCTCTCAGTCTCTTCCAACTCTACATTTCTCCAGTTACTTGTGTCATATTTATTATGATTCATGTCCTATACCTCAATGAATTTTAGTGACTGATACATTTATATAATTTTCCTCATTTTTTTGCTCATTTACTTGTATAACTATATACCCTCCGAAAAAGTCTGTTAATCAAACATGACATTAAGTAATAGTTTTTTAAAAATGTACTCTGCAGTCAGTGTCTGGGTTCAAATCTTTGTTCTTTCATTTACTACATGTATGAACTTGCACAAATTAATTACTATCTTTATGCCTCAGTTTCCTCATCTGTAAAATGGTCAAAATAATAGTACCTATTTCATAGGCTTATTCTGGGAGTGAAATGAGCTAATACTTGTAAAACAATGGTAAGCAGTATAGATTTTTGAGAAGTAAATACTCGAATGAAGGGTAAGTTTAGCGGAATAACAGTTGGATGTTAGGTATGAACATTTTCACAAATAGAGAGTGGCACTCAAATTTCCTGGAATTCAGCTTTCCTGCAAAGGTAAATGAAATTAAATCAGGCATTTGACAGAAAGTTACATAGGCTTTGAGCATCATAAAAAAAAAGGGCAGGCACAAAGCATATGTGGTGCATGCCTCATGCAAGGTTTGCTGTACTTGTTAGTTATAGCATACTCTCTCTTGTTATATGAGATAAGACTTATGAGTTCAGATAGCTAACTATCTCTTGAGTTTTCATTGAGTGATAAAGAATAGAAGTTTAGAAGGAAGTAAAGGAATCAGTGTGAAGAGCAATCAACTGAAAATGACAGCTGATAGGGGAAAGAAAACAGGACACTGGTGGCTGCTTCTGGCATGGTGACCACAGACACCTTCAGCCTGAGAAAAATATTTGCAGGTGGTTTGGCAGATGCAGAGGAAAAGGCTATTTCATACGTATATACTTCCCAAATCTAAATCAATGCAACAATGATTATCATTCTTTCAAAAATCCTTTTAAGTTCTTTAGAATGAGCACATTTTTAACAGCTACATTCACACACACACACACACACACACACACACGTATATGGCACATATACTACAAAAATGGCCTCACTTAAATTATCTCAACTAATGTTGCATTATTATAAGCACATAATCTCATCTTAACATCTCATACCATTAGCAGATAAATTTTATATTTTTCAGACTTGCATTTAATTGTTACTATGGAAATGTATTTATTGAATGTATCAGTGGCTTAAACTAAAGTTGACAAGTACCAATAGAAGTAGAAACATCGGTTTTATAACTAAAAAAAATGTCATAAGCATAAAAGGTGAATAAATTCCAGTGGGAATATGAAGTATAAATTTCAATGTACTAGTACAAGTAAATCAACAGGTGGGATTTTATAAAAGCAGCTAAAAGGAAAGAGAGATTAAGGAGTGGGAATTTCTGTGGAATCATATCTTTACCCCACTACTTAGTATGTTACCTACTAAGAGACATTTAAAAGAAAGACATGAAATCGCTGAAACTTTTCCTGCTATTTTCAAAGGAGAAATAAATTCAGAGTGACATCTTGAGTAAGCCAGCCAAGGTTTTGCAGAACCAATATAAAATGATGCATATCTATATGAAACCAACTCATTTGCTAAAAGCAGAAAAGAGACCCAAATTACAGACATCCTTCAGATTTGCAGTTTTCTCCAAAAACAGAAAAAAATATGTAACTAAGGAGAAACACAAAGACCCAGTAACAAAGTTAATGATAAATATGCTCGGAGAGAAAGCAGAGGGAACTACTGCATATTTTCCCATTTACATAATATTGTTGAAAGTCACATGAGGCCAATAGCATTTAAGGCAAAAGAGTGACAATTTTCTCAGGACATGCTTGCATACCTTTTGCTTCATAGTTGGGTGAATACACGGATGTGTAGATCATGAATTATGTCATAGCCTATGTGTAGCAAATATATGAGAGAAAAGTGCTCAAAACTTTTTGTCACTTTTTCAGTGAATGCTCAAAGTGCATGAGAAGAGATATTTAATTTAGCTAATGCAGAGGAAAGCCACAAGATCTGATGGTTTTATAAATGGGAGTTCCCTTTATGGGCCAAGGTACAAATTAGAAAAAATATGCTATGATTACTACAACTGAATTCCAAACGTAAGTGTGTAAGGAAGATCAACGTTTCATGCATAGAAGTTTTGGACCAAATGCCACTCTACATAGTATTTACCATTCTCAAAGGACAGACAGTGATCCAAAAATAAATCTCAGTGTTGGAGAAAACAATAAAATTCAAAATACAATCTAGCCACTCAATGCACAGTTGTCCTTTGCTTTTTAATATATGAATAAATCAGCTACGAGAAATTCTGGTTTTAAGTAGATTTGCTATCTGCAATCAAGATGCTCACACCAATCTTTTAAGCAAATAATGAAACCAAAACATTTTTTCATTATCTTTTGTATGATGTCAAGCATTTGCTCCAGCAATATATTAAAGTAATGTATTCAGTGTCTTTAGTAGTCTGAACCTATCTCTTTAAAGTTGAAATATAACAAATACTGTCAAGGATGTAATATCAAGACTCCTGAAGATGACTTCACTGTGGTACAAACAGTCTAATAGCCAAGAGTCATGCTTTCTTGTGACATATTGAATTTCATGATTTATTAATGAAGTAAGTTGATTCTGTATTATTGACTTTTTTTTTAACTTCAAGAACAAACATGAAGGAGGACTTTTCAAGGCCAAATGCACAGAATGGACTCACATTCTTTTAGCCACCATCATCACTGGGACATGGTGAGCCTTCCTGTTTGTGAACACAACCTACTCCCCTGCTTAACTTCTTCAAATGTTAAACGCAACTTTAGAGAAAAATTTCCTCATGATATTAGGGTTCACTTTGAGTCCAAATACCTAGAACCTTTGGAAAGAGTCAAAAAACACTCAGCACCTTTTCTGAACAGCTGTAATGTGAGTCAATCTGACGCAGTCCAATAGACATAAAGTGTGAAGACAGAACACAACTGGATGAGGAAATGCTCTTAGGAATCACATTATCTCTTAGCAAGACAGATGCAGTAACCAGGTGAAATATTTCCTACAGTATAATCTACAACACATGGTAATGATATTGACTTTGAAATATTTTAATTTCAAAAAAATATTCTTACCTCCATATATTGACTCCAAGATTATCACATTCTAATAACCAGCTGTGGGATGTAGAAGGCTTGGAAAAGCATCAGCTTAGGGTAAAAATAAAGAGTTGTATATTTTTGTATTAATACACAATATCAAGAATGACCATTTTTTAAAACATAGACTCTCTTTAAGGCAATAACGCATGAATGCTTATTTCTAATACATTATAGGTTCAATCATAGAAGAGGAATAAAAACTTGTATTTTTTTAAATAATAAAAAATTTAATACAACACTATATAAAGTGAAAGGAAATGTCTATTCCCTATCTAAGCACTGAAGCTCATTTCCAAAGATGACCCCTGATTGGGTTGAATAAGGGTTGATCTTTCTTAAAACTCCCTTTTGCACATAAAGTTACCTTTCCTTACAATTTGCTTTTTAATTTCATTTACCATGCTGTGGGCAAATATATATTCAGTTCATACATGTTTATCACTTTTTGTTGTTGCATAATATTCCAATGGATAGACATGCTGGACTATACGTAACCAATGCCTTCCTTATAATAATGAAACAAAATTGAAACAATTTTGTAATTACAATCAATCTGGCTGTTAGAATATTTTACACACACCTTGCATAGTTGTACAGGAACACTTTTAGAATAATGTCTTAGAGTTTGAATTGTGGGTCAAAGAATTGTATTTATAAATGCTGTCAAATTATCCATCAATAATACCATCCCAGCCAAGAGCTCATCTATTTTCAATTCCATCTGGACTTTCTCTCTAGTGGGTGAAAAAATACATCTTTTTATTTGAATTTGAACTATTTGTTTATTTGTGAGGTTGAATAAACTTTTAAATGATTACCACATTTTATTTAGTTTCTAAATTACTTGTTTTTACTTTTTGCCTGGTAGGTTATTTATATTGTTGTTGTTGTTGCCATTGTTGATTTATAAAAATAAAAAATGTTGGGCCAGGCACAGTGGCTCATGCCTGTAATCTCAACACTTTTCGAGGCCGAGGCACGCGGATCACCTGAGGTTGGGAGTTCACGACCAGACCCACATGCAGGAACCCCGTCTCTAACATGGAGAAACCCCGTCTCTACTAAAAATACAAAATTAGCAGGGTGTGGTGGGGCATACTTGTAATCTCAGCTACTCAGGAGGCTGAGGCAGGAGAATCGCTTGAACCTGGGAGGCGGAGGTTCCAGTGAGCCGAGATCATGCCACTGCATTCCAGCCTGGGTGAGAGAGCGAGACTTCATCTCAAAAAGAAAAAAACAACAACAAAAAAAGTTAACAGTAACAATAAGGCCAGGAAGAGCTGGATAGTAAGCATGTAAAAAGTGCCTGGCACTATGCTAAGACTTTGCATGGAGGGGCATGACATCTTCAAATCAAGCATATGAAACAAGATGTATTACTGGG
Source organism: Homo sapiens (assembly GCF_000001405.40). Classification (NCBI taxonomy): domain Eukaryota; kingdom Metazoa; phylum Chordata; class Mammalia; order Primates; family Hominidae; genus Homo; species Homo sapiens. The sequence continues at coordinate 106,228,101 of NC_000013.11, forward strand.
CTCAATGCTGTGCACTGCATTTGGGATGGAAAAATGGCAGAACCCTGTGAATCAAGCTTGACTCCAGTCTGTATACTTATCCACTGTTATTCTGCCTTCCTATTTGTATGCATCAATTATTTTCTAGATTTTAAGCCACATAATGTCTTAGCACTCCACCCAACATTATTAAAATGTTTAAAGGTTTCGGTATCTAAAATGATGAGCTCCCATTACCTGGAATTTATTTATAGAAAACACCTCATTTTCCAATAGTGCCAGACAAATGTTGCTACATATCTTTAACACTACATTGATCTGTCAACCTCTGCTAGCTGGAGTGATATAGAAAAACAGGAATTAAAGAAAAACTGTGGCTCAGCCAACAAAAGAATTGCCATAAAGCCCAGGTACTAAGGTTTATTTATTTTGCCCCGAAGGAGGGAGCAGAAGCTCCCACTCAGAGAGCTTTACGCACACTTCTAATGCCCTCGGCCTTTGCTGCCCCAAAGGCTGAAAGCATCATGTTAGATAGCGGGGGTCACCCCAAGGGGTGGCACACTCACATCAACAAGTAGCTGGCTGATAGTAACAGAGGACAAAGAAAATTCCTGAAATAGAAGCAGGGCGTTCCTTCGGAGTAGGGGCAAATATGGAAGCCACTATGATCTGAGTAGTTTAATGTGGTCTACTGAAGTGCAGTGTAGTCTAATGACAGAACTGAAGGTAACAACAGAGAATATTTACTCACCAGCATTCCAGGGGGACCAAGAAAGAAAGTCCTCCTGGTTGGGTCTACTCTTCCAGAGGAAAACTCTCAGACAGAGGGAATCAATTACCCATTCAGGAACTACATGGATTAGCTAAGGCACATGTTGGCATGTGGGCCCTGGGAGAAGCAGAACATGAGTGGGAAGGAAGAAAGTCATGACCCACACAGTGTGGCACAATCCCTCTTCTGTGAACTTCCACATCTTCAGTAAAGGGACAATTTTATAAAAGGCTTGGCTCACTGCAAATGTGCAGAAGGTAAATGCAAGCCAAACAAGATGGTATCCATCAACAGAAGAGTAGAAACAGAGGCACCTTAAGGAGGGAGTGTAGGGTTGGGATAAAACAGGAATTAAGAGAAAAACTTCAGCTTCCCCCAGCTGTGGAATTAAATATTCAAACTAAATCCCCAAGAGGCAGAGAAGTTCCAAGTGACATCCAAATTATAATAGTAGTAATTATAATAAAAGCATCCAATAGCAATCCCACTTACATGTCAGGCATCCTACTGTTTTCACATGCACATTGTATCACTTAATTCTCACAACTTCCCAGTGAGATTGATACCAATCATTATTCTCTCCATTTTGCAGGTAAGGATGCTGTGGCTCAGAAAGACTAAACACTGTGGCCTACATCATGAAACTAATAAGTGATACAGCCACAACGTGAGCCCAGCTCTATCTCCAGAGACAGTACCATTCACAACTACATTCCGTTCATAGCAGAATATCCCTGAGATATCAAAAATAAGTAAGTTTGTTACTTTTTGATCTAAGAAACAAGGCAGAGAGTAATACTCTTAAAGGTATTTCCATAAATTATTTTACACTTTAAAAATCCTATTTGTTTAAATTTAGTAAGGCTGATTGGTTGTCAAAAGCTAAGTTCTTCTGCCTGAATCCCTTTAGACTCCAAGTTCCTCGTCTATCAAATGAATGATTAATTGCTAAGACCCCTTCTTGCTCTTGCTGTGATGAACTCAGAACATTTCAATGCCTAGCAGTGAGGTGGGAAAAGGCTTTGGTGAAAATATCACACTGTCCTCATCATGGGCATGTGACACAAGGCAGCCGTGGGAACACACACCTGGCTCCCAGGCTCTGGAAACCGTCTTGGCTTCACAGGGTTGCATCTTCCTTTCACTTGCTTGAAAGACAGGAAGTACCTTTTAAGGAACCTAGGGATCCCTAAAATTCCTTAAATGCTTTGTTGTACACAGAAGGACATTAAAACCTGGCAAGGTAAGGGCTGCGACTATAAGGCTGCACAGCTCAGGGTCACATCTTGCCTAAGACCTGGTTTTCTGAGAATCCAGGCAAGGGAGCCTCAGAAGTAGGAGGAACAGAACACCCACAACACCTCGCAGTGAGGCCAGTGCTCAGGATCAGGACCAGAGATATTGCTGAAGAGGCAGCTAATTCACAAGACAAGGGCTCTCACAGTTTCTTTTAAGATGGAGCCTGATGAGATGGTTGTCCTGAGCTTGGTGGATGATGACGGTGACCATGTGTATGAGGTGGTCATCCTACAAGCAATGGGAAATGTCTGCTTCTGAAAAGTAGACATTAGGACCCAGAAAATGGTTCTATAATGAAATCAAACAACTCCTGCATGAAGTCCAGGAGGGCAAGAATGTGTGTAACCCAACTTTTCTTCCCAGCACCTTGCCCAGTGCCCGCCATAGGCACTCAATTACATGTGTTGAGTGAAAGAAACAAGAAATTGTCATGACTATGTCCAACAAGTAGGCATGCCAAATGCATGTAGTGTAGAAAACCAACTCTCAGTATGTTTGTTTAAAGAATGACTCACAATTTGGCATCTTCTTGCATTTACTCTGAATTCCTGACATGTGTACATATAGATACATTGTATAACCATGCTAGCTTATATGTGTTTATAGATTCCTTTGGATTATTTTCTACTCTTTTAATTTTTTAAATTTATTAAGTTTATTCTATTCAAAATAAAGCATTCTTAATAATAGAAAGGGATTTTGCAATATTTTGGTGTGTCCTCAACATGAAAGGTAGTAATACGGTTGACTATAGTGAGATTATATACATTCATTCATTTTGTTTTGTTATATCACAGCTAATGTGTTTTAAGTTCAATTGACAGATGTATTCCCAGTACTCAGGAGAGTGCCAGAAACTCAGTAGGCTGTCAATAAATATTATTGTACTCATGAATACACAAAAGTATGCAAATCAGTACCACCAGTCATGAAAAACTTTCTAATAGTCTGTCTTTACACAAAGACCTTCCTTTAGAGAACTACTTCATAGTGAAAATTGTGACCACATTATGATAAGCTTCCAGCAACTGCGCATCAGATCACTCCCCTTCACACACACACAAAAATGTATACTTAAAAATACATGTGGGCCAGGCACGGTGGCTCACGCCTGTAATCCCAGCACTTTAGGAGGCCGAGGCCGGCGGATCACGAGGTCAGGAGATCAAGACCATCCTGGCTAAAATGGTGAAACCCCATCTCTACTAAAAATACAAAAAATTAGCCGGGCGTGGTGGTGGGCGCCTGTAGTCCCAGCTGCTTGGGAGGCTGAGGCAGGAGAATGGCGTGAACCCGGGAGGCGGAGCTTGCACTGAGCCGAGATCACGCCTCTGCACTCCAGCCTGGGCGACAGAGTGAAACTCTGTCTCAAAAAAAAAAAAAAAAGAAAATCATATGAACAACGTGCTGGTGTCATTCCTGAGATGATGAAGATTACAGGAGGGTCAGGCTGTAGGGGAATCAAGTGTCCTGTTTTAGACATTTTAAGTTTGTAATGTAAGACTTCTTAAGAGACAGTTGGCTATACAGACTTTTTTTTGGTAGCAAACATTTTTTTGGGTTTAAAACTTTAAAAATACTTTACTAAAAAAGTCTTCATACAGCGTGATCCAGTTGGGGATCAAACACAGATTTTTTAAATTAGTTGTAAGAATGCAAATGTTCATATAAAAGCTATTATTAAAATTGTTCTTGGCGTACGGTCCCAGAAAGAAATGTTTTTTTTTTTCAGTCACACATTCATGTACACACATGCATGCACACACATAAGCACACATACATGAATCCACAACAACTGCCTAGGTGCCTAAGCAAAAAGCGTTCTGCACACATCCAAGCACACACAACCTAAAACATCTCATCTGTAACTCCAGTAACACATCTCAACTTTATAAACCTTCCCTTTTCAAATAAAGACAGCTTTAACATCAATATAGAAAAAGAAAATACTAATTCACTTATCTTAGAAAACTTTAGCAACATCTATTAAAAGCAGGTTAGAAGAACGATACTAAAAGCAGCAAAAGCAGGGAAAATCTACCAAAACAAGCATCTGTTCACCTTTTGCAGAATTATACATATGCAAGAACATTTTGCCATATTTTGTAACACTTTTTTCCGAACACTAACAGGTAATATTAGAAACATATACTTTCTCTACATCATGTATACATAAAACACAGAGCTACACACATACCAAATACATAAAAGAACCCACAACTCTTCAGGTTATATTAGAACTGCCCTCAGCCCCTCCTTTATACATCTCTCTTTCTGATTGTCTTGTTAAAATAAGAATTCTTATTTAATCTGTAATCATCAGAAGAAATAAGAACCAAATATCTAACTATGTCTGATAATATATGTGGTTTTATGAAGTTAAAATATTTTACAGTCAATTACAGTTAATACAGTTCATTTTTGTTCTAATTTCTGAATACTCTTTCCTACTTCGGTAAAATTATTGATGTAATAGCATATCTATGTATACTTTGTGCTAATAGAGCAAATACACTTAGTTCTCTATTGATCTCCCATAAGATATAGTTGTGGTTACATTTACAATGTTTCATTACTCGTATTTGAATATCCTGAGTACAATTTCTGGATGTATTTGCTTTAATTCCAAAATAAACTGTACCCAGTGGCAGCTCTGTTACTGAGATTTCAGTATCGAGTTCCAGGCTCTTCACCTCCATGCCAACAGTACTACAAAGAAAACACTTCCTAGAGCATGGAGACAAGAATTGGCTTCTCTTCTTGGCAACAGATCCCGTGTTGATGATTTTTAAAAGAATAAGTGTTCAGTTCAAGAGCCCTAGAGAGGCTGATAACTGCAGCTCTGGTCATTTGAGAAAAAAAAGGAAAGAGATTTTTAAAAGCCAGACACAGGGGCATGGAATAATAGACATTTCCTTTAATTAAAAAAATAAAATAAAATAAGCAAAAGCAAGTTTTGAGTAATAACATATGGAGCTCCTTATAATTAGATTAAAAACACATAGATACATACATAGATTAATGTCTTTGATGTGTCTGGACTTCAGATCAATTATGCACATGCTAATGTTCAATTTCCATAAGAATAAAGCAAATGACAATTATATGTTGGCTTAATTTTGTTTGACAAAGACACTCTTCAGACTCCTTAGCAAGAAACTTGGTTCTATTCCATATGAGTTCACTCCTAGAATCTGCAAAACTCCATGAAGAAGAAATTAGCTAATTTGTATAATAAATAGACCCAATCTCCTCTCATCAGACTTGCAGATCTTAGCTATCCTAGAATAAAAAAAGGATGAAGAGTCATAGGGGTTTGTTAATCTCCCCTCTGAATGAAGGCCTCTAGGAAATGACTTAGGTGGTAGATTTCACACAAAAAGGCACTTGGGTCTCTTGAGTGAAGACTTTCAGGACCTATGACTGTCCCTGTTGCTCATTGCTGCTCCTTCCCCTGACCACCATCTTGTCTCTTGGAAGAGAACAAATGCAAGATAATTACAAGAGAAAATTGTTATCTCATATAACTCTACCGTTTTAAAATAATTTCAGTCACCCTGTTGGAAAAGGCTAATTGAAACTTGAGTAAGGGTAGAGTCCCAGAAAAAAATTTTAAAAAATAATAAATCTCGATGGAATAAGAAAAATCTGCTTTCTCATTCTTTTATCTGCCTTTACCTGTATGGCTTTGAGTAGCTCACTTAATTTCTCTAGGTTGAGTCTCTTTTATACAATGAAGGCCTCTGACTAAATTATGTTTTAGGTTATTTCTAGCTCTAAAATTGTATGCTTCCATGCATAAGATGGATTGTTTGCCAGGGAGGTTTACCAGCCGCAATGGGGGAGCACTCACGGAAAATGACAGCAGGACTGTGGCCTCCATCTCCAGCACAGATAAAAATGGAAGCACAGTTCATCTCCATTTCTCAGCCCCTGATGAAAGTGGTGGTGGCTACCCAATCCGGAAACGATGGAATTGACAAGGGGAAAACTCGCCGAGGGAAATCATATCTTCTACAGACTCTCCCTTCTCGTCACCTCTCTCAACAGATGAACTGACATTGAGTGGAGGGGACAAATGGGCTTCAGGGACAGGGATGTGTGTATTGTGCGGCGCTGCAATAGCCACGTAGAATAGTAATCGACTAAAACTTCTTTCCTGTTAAAAACAAAAACAAAAACAAAACAAAAAAGTCTGATTCTGAAAAATATCTTTGGAAATAATGAAAATTATAGCCAACAATATAAAATGATTGGTGAGAAGAGAACCAGAGAAGATCTCAAGAATGCACACGTATCTCAGAAACCCACCCCACAATTGCCCTGTGAGCTCCTGTCTCGACGCTAAATAATCTTTGCTAATTCAAAGCCAGATCTTTAATCTTCATATTACAGAATGCAAATGCACATGTTTATACTTAAAATGAAAGGCAGCTTGATATAAAAGAATCTTTACTTCCTTCAAAATGCTATGTTAAGTGCCACAAATCTCCTGAAGATGGTATTAATTTCCTCTAATAATAATTTCTGGGTCATTAAGTTCATTGCATTTTACTTTATGTGCTCCTTATCAAGTACACAGAAGCCTGCGCAATTTCTCCCAGGAGTCGGGCTGCCATATCAGAAAGGCTCACACTTTCAAAGGATTAATAACACCTCTCTGGTGCTTTTAAAAATCCCTCGCTAATCTCCAGACTCACTTACGCTGCCCTGCCTGGCCTTGCTTCTGTGTGACGGAGGCATTGGTGCGCCGGAGCTAGGGCAGCACTCCAGCTCACAGCAAATGGGGAGCAATCCGCCAGGGCAGAATGGATAAGCCAACTCGTATTTCTTTTATGTCTTTCTCCCCTGGAAAGGGAGGGAAAATAAAGGTCACCCCAATATGAATAAAGCAGCCTTTTGATGAAAGGCATTTGAAGGGATTTCTCTGCTTGTAATAGGAATCCTAATTCAATTGAATGATGTGACTTAATCTAACCAAGTAACTCAGGCTAGTTAGCCTGCAAACTGGCTTGACTGGTAAAAGCAGAATTATTCACTACTTTTAACTGTGTTTTTACTGGTGCAAAACTTACCTTAAGTTGGTATAGACAAATTTTCATTTGCAAACCGTAAGTACTGATCCATGATGATGGTAGTAGCATTTATCGATATCAATCAAAAATCTCTCCAATACGTAGGTCCTCCCTCTCACATACCAGATATTTATTATCTCATCTAATAAGTTAGGGTTTTAAAGAGACATTGCAAATCAATAATATTTTCTATTATTTTGAAGGAAATTATGATTCTTTTGGCTGGTGTGTCTAAATTAACCTAATTAGAATTTGTTAATTTATTAACCATCCAGAGTGTAAAGCAGTGAACAGGAGAAGTGGACAGAGCAAAGCAGACACGGATGTAACATCCAGTTGCAGAGTGCACTCTGGAAACAGCACCAGGGTCGAAAAGTTGTACCCTGGTGATGAATGTCTCAGTTCTGCTCTAGGACTATATCTTCTTGTTAGAGCTATATCTTTTTGTTCAATACCTTTATCATATGTAATAGCTATGCAAACATAAATATAACCACATATAGTAGACTGATTAGTTCCCAGACATTCAGCATGGGCAATCCATGTGTGAAGCATGTTTTTTTCAGAAACCATAGAAAAGTAAACAAACCGTCAAGCTCCAATGCTCTTTTAGTCATTGGCACAATCTGTAAAGTGGGTTAACAGTCCTCTGAGATCTTACAGGATTAAGGATAATATTTTCAAGATTTAAAACAAAATCCTTCATTTCACTTTCTAATTCCAAAGCAGTACACATGTTACATGACGCAAATGAATTTAATATACTCACACGTGCAAAGAAAGTGAGGTTTCTGTGTTTTTTCTAGAATTGATTTCATCTTCCTTGCATGCTCTCACTCCACTGAGGGCAAGGAAACAAATTTGCCAGTTAATCATACCTTTCATGCTTCTCGTTCCATCTCCTCTTAGTTTACAAGCTCTCAGGTACGGGTTCAATATCTTAAAGAATTACCCCTCCACAGCTCCCAACAATGGCAGCTATTGCTGCGGTCACCACGGGGAGTCTCATGCATGTTCTTCTCTGGGTCCTCACTGGCCTTTCTTTTTCTTCTTCTTCTTTTTTTTTTTTTTTTTTAATGGAGTCTCGCTCTGTCACCAGGCTGGAGTGCAGTGGCATGATCTCAGCTCACTGCAACCTCTGCCTCCCGGGTTCAAGCAATTCTCCTGCCTCAGCCTCCTGAGTAGCTGGAACTACAGGCATGGCCACCATGCCCAGCTAATTTTTCTATTTTTAGTAGAGATGGGGTTTCACCATGTTGGCCAGGATAGTCTCGACCTCTTGACCTCGTGTTCGGCCCGCCTCGGCCTCCCAAAGTGCTGGGATTATAGGCATGAGCCACCATGCCTGGCCCTCTCTGGCCTTTAAGGCAAAAATGTTCCTGGTGCTGTGGTCATGGCTCTGCCTGCCTGCAGTGGTGGGGATGCCTACAGTTTGTGAGTTCTGGCCTGTTCCTTCTGGACTGGCTCTAAATCAGTTGGGCACCCCCTGGCTCAGCCCCCATGAAGGCTTGCATGCCCTGTTGCATACACCCAAGTCTGCCTGAGTATCTCATGCCATCCCTAGCCCACAGGCCTCCTGCTCTGTGACTATAGCAATGCCCTGAGCAAGCTCTCCAACCAGCATCATCAGCTACTTTACACAACTGTCCCCAGAGACCATGAGCTCCTGGATCCCAGCCAACTGCAAGAGGGCTGGAGGAGCTAAGTTCAGGCCCTCGCCTTCTGCCTCACTTTACCAAATGGCCGGTTTTACTGTGATAGGCACCAGCGTGTCCCAAATCCAGTACAGGTTAGAGCACTGGTAAGCGTCTGCCTCTGGGATCCTCAGGGATCTGTGCTGCCCCTCCCCACACACTGCCGCCTCGTGGCTCCAGGGCCTTCATTTCTCAATCAGGAACGTGAGGAAGCCCCAGAGCAGGCTCTCAGCATCTCCACAATGAGTTAGATCAGGTTGTAAGAAAGAGAGGATATCTTTCCTGTACTTTCTGTTCTAGTTCCCATAAACAGACTCAGCAGTTGATCTCTCTGGAAAAGAAAAAAAGAAAAAAGCCCTCGTTTTATATCCCAGGCTTAGCAACCATGGCCCTGTGGGGTCTACCTCCCCATAATCTCGGCGGCACGGGTTCTTCTAACTTTCTGCTCTTTTCGCTTCCGGAAAATAGGCTTAGCTTATCCCAGCCACATATAGTCTCTGTTCTGGCCTACCAAATAGTGTAGACAATGCATGTCAGAGGAGCTTATAAATGATAAACAGCTGTGGCTAGAGCAAGAAGGTGACCGGGAGGGAGGGATAGGATACAGATAGGTCAAGAAAGAGACAGTGAATCCAAATTCCTACCAGATGCTTATTTTTTCCTCAAAGTTAAGCTGTTTCTCATCTTTACATATAATTGTTGATTTATTTATTCTTTTCAGGAACGTTTTAAAGTGGCAAATGTGAACTGAAACTCAGGCTCGATTTTATGTTTCATTGACAGATGAGATTTTTTTTATTTCCTGGGCTTTGGAGTATAAATGACACTTTTCAATGGAATCATTTGATGATAAAAAATCTGACGGAATAAAAAACTATAATGTATTGGAGTGCCAGCACCTTTTTCGATAAGTTGAGTATTTCCCTGGAGATAAGCACTTCCCTAATGATGATGTCTCTTCTCTCTCAAAAATATTTAACTTTATAGAATTAGAGAAAGATAATTATCTGAACATCATCAGTGAATCAGTTCACATTTACACAGTGCATTCTCTGGGTCATCAAATGCTAAGTTGTGGAAATACAGCAAAGAAGAAAACAGACACATGATCTTCGTCCTCATGAAGCTTGTCCTCATGGTTCATCACTCCTTTGCTAGAAAGAGTACTAGCTGTGAATTCAAGATAATGGAATCTGACCTGCTACCAACTCATTAGTATCTGTACGATGTTTGTTGATCCTCTGGCTTCACCAAGAGTCAATTTCCTCATCTATAACATGGGGATAATAGCACCTGCCCCATCTATCTTAACATGTTATCATGAAGCTCAGATAAAACCACAAACAAGAAATTGCTTAGTGAACTCTAGAGTTCTCTGAGAAGACAAGGGAGTAGTAATAGCAACAAGAGGGATCGACAGAACCTGAGTTTGTTAATCACAATCCTGACAAAATTATTCTTTAAGCCAGCTCTGAAAAGATATTTCTTGCTTGGACAATACATTGTTTTTTACTTTAGTAGATGTGAGCTTCTTGAATAGCCCTTTATACACATTGAGAAAAATTTCTTTGCTCGCAGCCAAAGGGTATCACCTCTAAAAAGATATGAAACCAAAACTGCAAATCAAATAATAATTAAATATTAAACTGCTGTGTAGCATTCAAAAGTTACTAAGCACTTTCACTTATTTACCTCATTTAGTCTTATTTAATTCTGATCTTAATGTGTTTGGGTTGGCCATTGTGTTACTGTGCAGTGTCTTTGAAATGAATGTTTGACAATGCAAAAAACTTACCCTATTACCTTCTGAAATTGTCTTGAAAGTAAAAACTCCAATGAGCTTTCAGGAATTTGCACATCCAGGACTGCCATTTGAAAAGCTGCCTGTCTGAGGCACTGTTCTTTCCTGGTGCGTTTCCCCAGAACACGCGATGCTTCCCTGGGGCTGTATATCATCGCTGATGAAGACGGAAGGGTCCTGCCTCTAATGTAAAAGGCATCAGCGTGCCTCAGGGCCTTCTGACAGGACACCAGGAGGCTCTCAGTCTCTTGATCCCCTGCCAGGTGATGAGGGCTGAGGTCTCGTCTATGGACACGTTAGTACAGGGAAATGGACCAGCAGAAGAGACTCTCACCATTATTTCTTCCAAGTGAAAGTGGGAGAAACTGACTATCAGGCTGTACAGTACTGACTCAATAAAGATGTTTACTGTAAAGAAGTGTGGAAAAAAACAAACATAATTCTGTATTACACTCTTCTTAGATTTTGACTTTAAGATAATCCAAATGCATAATCATTTCTGCTCTGATGTTTTATCTCTAGTTTATTTTGCGTCTATAAGATATCTTTTTAAACTATGCCTTAAAAATGTTTTTGGTGAAAACTGAAGATGTATGTGTGTGTGTGTGTGTGTGTGTGTATTTCAAAATTGCTTTTATTCTATATTAAATCTATAATTTTTACTCAAAAGGCAATGTTTTATTATCCAAGTAACTGATAACTCTAAAATTTTGTCTTAATTTCTGCATGATAAACCAAGGCCCTTAAGGGTAGAAAGTGGTCCATAGCCAGCATTCAGTATGGTAGTTCCACATATTGAGATACTCAAAAATTGCTTGTTGAACAGGATATCATATCGCAATAATGACTAAGTGCTTTCAAAAACAGTAGCTTAATTTCGGATTGCATTTATAAAAATCATTGATGAGGAAGATTACTTTGAGGAGTGGGAAACTTTTGAAACTGCTTTAGTAATATCTGAAAAACCTGGAGTTCTAAGGAGTAATGCTAGAATTTCGAATAAGTCTAAATTAAGAATCCACTTGTTGGGTCTCAGGTTCATCTATCAAACAGAAAAAGGAGGACTCCAAGTCAGAGGTCGAGGTTGCAGGGAGCCAAGATGGTGCCACTGAACTCCAGCCTGGGCGATAGAGCAAGACTCTGTCTAAAAAATATATATATATATATATATATATATATATATATATATATATATATATACATATATATATAAACTTTATATAAACTCCAAGCTGATCAGAAACCAAGCATTCAACTGAGTACATTAGGTTGTCAGTGTAGAAAGGGACTCCCGCAAACCCAGCAGCTTTACCCTAGAGGAGAAACTCAAGGCTCAGCAAAGTTAGACAATCAAACAATTGCCCAAGATGACAGAACTACTTGGGAGGAAGTCGGGGGGGAAAAAGGGGTTAATCATTCATGTGTCCTGAGGGACCTTATCATAGGCTCCGGGACTGATCATTGCTGCATTGGAAATCTGAACAATTCAATGTCCTCCTAAGTATCCTTAGGTCATTAAGTTAATTTGAAGTTTGATAGTATTTTCATATTTTCCAATAATTGTTTCTTCATAGCAACAATTCTTCATTATGCAACATGTTGCCCACATTCCGGCTATTGACCTTACCCACGTTACCTAAGCTCTCTTCTCTTTAGATACACCATGTGTGAAATGAACAAAACAATCCCTCCTTTGCTACAGCAGTCCCTTCGCTGCTCAGCAATATTCCACTTGTCCTATCTGGACACATGATAGGGTCGATTGAACTTCCCACTCCCCTGGAATTAGGCAGTGACTGTTTTACTAATGCATGGCATCCAATGTGAGCACATTGATATGTTTCACTTCAAGGCAGCAACGACTAACAGTCTGCACAATTTGCTGATTCTCTTTCCACTGCCACAATGATGGTCAACGTTCCAGGTGAAGGGGCCTCTGTCAGCCACATCCCTAGGAGGAAATGACATGGAGCAGAGCAGTGCTGAGTTGAATGGACATATAAAGTGAGCAAAAAAAAACAGAGAAAACAATCACTGCTGTTTTAAGTCACAAAGTACTGGAGGTTGGTTTATAATCACAGCATAACCTAGTCTGTCTGAAGTGATGCACTTTTGGTATTCTGACATTTAAAATAACATGTGCCAAAGGAAGAAACAACAGATGCTGGGGCCTCCCTGAGGGTTGAGGGTGGGAGGAATGAGAGGAACAGAAAATAATAACTATGGGCTATAGGCTTAGTACCTGGGTGATGAAATAATCTGTACAACACACCCCCATGACATGAGTTTACCTATGTAACAAACTGGCACATATGCCGCTGTACCTAAAATAACCTTATTTTCTAAAAACTAAAAATAATGTGTGCAGTGTGGCCTAGCCACCGCTTTGGCTCCCATAGACCCTCAACCCAATAGTATCAACTAGTTTGATGGCCAGTGAAAAAAACCTTTCATTTTTAAATAAGAAGTTATGAATTTTTTGAAACAAAGAGGATGTTTAAAATTTGAAAAATATGAAAACAAATGGAGACAACTCTCATAAGTAATAAGCCTGGCTAAGCAGAATCCTGTGTCTTACATTCAAATTGCTCCTAGAAGTGGCAAAACAAATTTTTTCACGTCTGAATTCCATCAGATGTGGTGGGTGAGTTAAGTAATCACACTAAATAGATCCTACAACAAGTAATAGCACTCATTGATCATAGCTGAATTGCACACAAGAAGGAAATGCAGTTTCTGTACCAATAACACATCCTCCCCACTACACATATGCACATCCTACATAAATACTAATAATTTATAAGTGTCTAGGTCTTTGTCCTGCCCAAGCATTTTAAAACCTGTTATTTCACTTGGTCAAAAATAATAGTGAAGTATCAAATACTATAGTAAAATGCTTTTAACCTATTGTGGAGCAACTGCCCTGCCTAAGAAGCTCCTGAAAACTAGGGATCCCCTCTCCAAAATATCACTTAAAACCCCAAATATACATTGTGTACATAGACGCTGGAAACTTGCTGATTCACTGTAGCCCTTAATAGATCCTCGGTCAAGAATAGTGGCATTAACATTTTAGGATATTTTCACTTTTCCTAAGGATCTAGAGCATAATGGGAGATTTCAGAGGTCACTGACCAATATTTATTAAACAAGTCATTGATCCAAAGCATGTGAATAGGCAAAGAAAATTTTCATGGAACTGTCAAACACATATTCCTTCTTATGTATTGTGTGTGGGAGAAGCTCTGAAAACCCTGCTCTTTTATCCATAGCTCCTGAAAGGAATGAGAAGTTCTTTCCATTCCCCAGTATCTGAAAATTCCATGCAAACAATAACTTTAGAATCGTCACAGGCAAAAGAATTGTAACGATTAAGGAAGGAGGCAGAGACAAAAAGTAGTGCGAAGTGGTGCTGAGGGGAGTGGAGACAGTGTCTGAAAATTGGAGTCTCCACAGAACTGCTGCATCATTCAGTGTCAGAAGATGCCTAGAATTGTTGTCATATTTTGAGATTTTTTTGTCTTTTCTCAGCCTAAAACTAAGTATTAACCGGCTTTGAACTGGCACTGCAAGGACCAGTGCTCCAGTGATTAAGGACCAGAATGAATTACCCATCTTTAGTCTTTGATCTAAAACAACTGACCTGGCAAAGATACTGCCTAATTGTCTGGGACCGCCAATGGGGAGGGAAAGAGGAACTGCAAGTCCGTTCAGCAAATGAGATTGTCTTCATTGTCCATTTTGTAAGCCTGTAGACGTAGACTACAAGAATGAAGATATCTTCCTCATTATTGAATTTTATACCCTGGATTTCTCAGGAATCTATATTGACCTGAATTCACTCTCAAACCAGAAACAGATAGTAGAATTAACTCTAAGACAGAAGCTTAAATTTCCAGTAATACAGATAAGAGACTAAACATTTTTGTAGAAAGTGCCCAAGTGTATCTCTGTATTATATCTCCATGTTGTAAATGAGCTGTGGCTCTGAGTCAGACCGGTTCTGCGTGCTATCAGCCTCTATGGTACACATACAACACACCATCAGAAGATAAAGGTTCATTGATCTTTTGCAGTACACTAGTTTGAAACCGCAAGTGTTTTGATGAAGATAGTAAAAATCCACATGGAGAAGACTTAGCCCAGCACTCACATGTTTGTGATACTTTCAGTAGAGAAGACATTGCTCTTTCTTCTATTTACCCATATGACTTTGCTTACAGCCATTGCTTATCAGTGTGTGTGTGTTTACAGTATGTTACACCATTTTCACATTTACACACACATACGTACACGTACACAAATGAGGCATCAGGATCCAACTCTTGAGAAATAAAAAAATTCTGTATATATTGTAAATACATTATATACTGTATTTTCCTACTTTTAAAATTTATAGTGCATCTTGGAGAGCTTTCATAACATATAAACTACACTGTCTTTTTAGACAAAAGATAGCAAATACTGGTGAGAATGTGAAGGAAAAAGAACTCTCATACACTGTTGGTGGGAATGCAAACTAGTACAGCCGCAATGGACAACAGTATGGAGGCGCCTCAAAAAACTGTAAATAGCACCACGGTATGATCCAGCCATACCGCTGCTGGGCAATTATCCAAAGGAAACGAAATCAGCATATCAAAGAGATCTCTGCACCCCCCATGTGTATTGCAGCACTATTCACAATAGCCAACATATGGAACCAACCTAGATGTCTAACAACAGAGGAATGGATAAAGAAATGTGGATGTGTACACAATGGAATGCTATTCACTCATAAAAAAGAATGAAATCTTGTCATTTGCAACAACATGGATGGAACTGGAGGACACTAAGTTCAATAGGTCAGAAAGTTAAACACGGCATGTTCTCATTTGTAAGAGGAACCAAAGAAAGTTGATCTCATAGAAGTAAAAAGCAGAACAGAGGATACTAGAGGCTGGGAAGGGTGGAGGAAAAGAGGGATAGAGAGAGATTTGTTAAAGGAGACAAAATTACAGCCAGATAGGAGGAATAATTGGAGTCATAAATGCTAGTGTCACCTGGCACTGTAGGATGAATATAGCTCATGATAATATTTTGTTTCAAACAGCTAGCTAGTTTGGAGCTAGCTAGGAGGATAGCTAATGTTCCCAACACAAAGAAACAATAAATATTTATGGTGATGGAGATGCTAATTACCCTGATCTGATCACTATACGTTATACGTATCAAAACACCACTAGGTACCTCATAAATGTGTACAATTATTGTATGTCAATTTTAGAAATAAAGTAAAAAAGAAGAAAATAAGCTGTCTTTAAAAATCAATCATATAAAGCATAAGCATTGTAATGTTTAAATCAAACAGTATAAAAGGGAAAACAATGAAAACTGTGTCCCTCTAATCCCAAATCTCTAGTCTCTCAGTCTCTTTGCCCAGAGGCGGACATTATGAAAGTTGTTCAATAGAAAAAAATAGAAATAAATATAATAGAAAAAGAAATGAAGAGAGAAGACTAAAGATGGCTGCAGATTATTTGCTAACCCTCCATGCACAAGTGGAGTATATTTCCTCATCTCTTGAATCTGGGCTGGCCCTGAAACTGCTTTAACCAACAGAATATGGCAGAAGCACAACAGTCCCTTTCTGGGCTGAGGACTTTAGGGGGACAAGCTGCTTCCTCTTCTTGGAAATCAGATGCCATGTAAGACAGACTGACGTGCTGTGGAAATAATACCCATCATGCTACACACCAAGTAAGTGTTTAGGAATGGCTGGATTATCCACACCCTTGTCAATAAAGTGTTTTATGCACTCTAATTTGGTTAATATATTTTTAACTCTGACTAGCTTAAAAGGATCTTTTTGCTGCTTTGACAGTTTTGTATATGAGTGTGTGTGTTTTTCTCTCTGACTGTAAACTTGTTTTACCTTTCATATGGTTAATCCTTTTATTGAATTATAATGCTTTTACACAATAAAAAAAAATAATTCATTTTATGCTATGAATATTTATATAATCAAACTTCTCTAACTTTCTTTTATGGTCGTAGTTAACATGACTTTTCCACTATAATATTAGCTCTTTTATACATTTTGCTTTAGCTATTTTATAATTTCATTTCTTGCATTCAGTATTTAAGAGAGTTCTAATTTGTGTTGCTGTACAAGTAATGTTGATATCTAGTTTTATCCTTTTCCAGGTTGCTATCTTCCCCTAATTATTTAAATGCAAATTTCATATACTAACTTCTCATGTCTATTTGGATTTTTTCTTCTTTTTTTTATTCATTCACAAATTCACTGCTGTTATTTATTTTTAATTTGTTAATTTTCAAATATGAAATAACAAACGTATTTAACACCTGGAGATGTCACTAATACATTTGAATTTAAAATTTCAAAAAAAGTTTCTAGCAGGGTTCATACAAATTCCAAATGGACATTAACTCATCATATTATAAAATTAGCTTCAAAACTATAGAGAACTTTTTAAAAACAAGTTCACATTTCTTGAAGCGCAAAAAAAGAAATGGTTATTGTCACTTAATGCTTGTTAACACAGAAACACAATGGTATGTTTTGCCATTTTTTGTAGAAAATCATGTGAATTAGCAAAATTAATTATAAATCCTCCATATATGGGTCAAGCAAAATGAAAGTTTAATTTATTTGAATAGGCATGGGTCAATTTGCTCTGGAAAGATAAAATTAGCCAGTGAAATAAAACATTCCTTAAAATCACTGGGAAAGCCCTAATCACAGTTGCATTACAGTTCCAGTTTCTTCTGCATTATATCATCATTCATTTTAAGATGGATGTTCCTCTTTTCTTCCATGAATAGCGAGTTTAGTTAGTAAAGATAGGAAAGTAGCTTATGTATCTTTGAATCTCCTCTGTGCCAATCACAGAGCACTGAATATAATGTATGTATGTGTATGTGTGCTACATAAATGCCAGATCAATTATATGAATGCATGAATTCAATATACATATCTATATATCTATATATCTAGATATATATATATATCTATATATCTAGATATATATATATATCTAGATATATAGATATGGAGACAGGATCTCAATATTGAGACAAGGTCTCGTTCTGTCGTGCAGGCTGGAGTTCAGTGGCACAATCTCATCTCACTGCAACCTCTGCTGCCTGGGTTCAGGCTATTCTCGTGCCTCAGCCTCTGAGTAGCTGGGATTACAGGTGTGCACCACCACACCTGGCTAATTTTTGCATTTTTAGTAGAGATGGGGTTTCACCATGTTGTCCAGGCTGGTCTAAAACTCCTGATCTCAGGTGATCCGCTCGCCTTGGCCTCCTGAAGTATTGGGATTACAGGCATGAGCCATTGCACACTGCCCAATGTCATGTATTTTTATGTAAAACTTCATTAATCTTCCAAAGTCAAAGACAAAGGATGTTCTAAAAAAGTAAACTTTTAATATGAATGTTCCAAAATATTTTGAAATGTAATAGTGATTTGGGAATTCATTAATCAGTCATGTAACTAATATATTAAACATGTCTTTGAATTAATTGATTCATTAAAGATGTGTTCATAAACTATTTACACCCATGCCCTCTACTAGACTATGGAAAACACAAGGTAAGAGGTCAGTCACAGAGGCTGGAAGGGAAGACACTGAGTAAAGTCTTTACAACAAAACAGGAGCAGAGCCATAAGCACAGAGGGACAGAGGAAGGAGCAAGGGTACACACAAAGGACACCCAACAGAGCTGATTCTTGAAATAAAGAGAGACGCATACTCCAGCCAGAGGGAACCACGGCTAAATAGTACTGTCGATAAGCTGAACAAAACAAATAAAAATCATTGTTGGCTAGGGAATCTGTCTACAGATTTAGGATTAATAACTATGTGTTTTATGTTCCACTGAGAAAACTTCACATACATATGTTTTTCTCCTTTTATTTTTATCCTGGCAAAGAATAAGTTCAGAGACTTCCAGTTCAAGTTCAGTGCCACCCTGTATACAAAAGAGAAGCTCTGCCTTGCTATTCAGTCGTGTGAGACATGAAATCCTACTGAAAAGAGCAGGAAAAGACTTCTTTAAAAGGCAGTACCACTTTATTTTACAAGGTAAAAAATAACCACGTAATAGCACTATGAACACATGGTTGTTGACAATGTAAGTGCCATGTAACCATAGAGTAATTATCCAGTTCTCTCCTTCTTTAAAACAAAGACCAAGCTGAAAATCTAAGAGCTGCAAAGTGCATGATGATTATTCCGTTCATTACTTGGTAACTGGAAGTATAATTATCAAGTAATCTGCATGAACATAATTACGTATTTACATAGTCTTTGCCATGTAATTACAGAGGAGTTCAGTGATTACACAGTACACTCCTTGAAAAAGAAAGTGATACCAAAAAACAACAAAAAAAATTCTATGTGAAGTAGTCATCTCAAACAGAAAAAATTAAACATGAGGATGATTTATCTTAGAAAAGTCCTAAATCATAATGTTAAGTGCAAACAATAAAAATTAGATCAATTTCCAATCACGAAAACCAATCACAGTCCTTTTTATTTTTTTTGAATTATGGAAGCCTGCTGGGACAGTGAAACCATTTCATTCTTTAAATGCTCAGGGAAAAAATGGAGAGTTGGCTTCCTCATTTCAAAATGAAGGGGTTTTAAAAATATATTTATTAGTCTAATCATCTCTGGCTCAGTCTTCTTTCACCCACTATTAAAATCACATGTCTCTTTTATATTCTAAGATGTTTAATTAGTAGGTAAAGAAAAATGAGAGGGAATAAAGAGCAGTTATTGATCACTTAACAAAGTTCTGAGGCTTTCTTTCTATATCAAAAAGTATTTTAAGTCCTTAATCTTTTAAATCTTTAATATGAATGGTTTATGAAACGATGTTCTGAAATGTTTAAGTATTTTTGTTGACTACATCCTTATTACTAACATCTTTCTATTAACTGATCATTGACTCTTGCTCCCTGTTTGCAATGATTTGGGTCACAATGATTGGGTGACGTATTCTGCACAGTGGAGATTATTATTTTAGAAAGCCATTATCTAAAAGTATTTGCATAAAACAACAATTCATACAGAAATGAATTAAAAGTGACTCTTGCATATATACCATTGATGGTTAATAAACTGTAAGCTGAAAAGTAGATACATAAAAGAAACAATTGAGAGGTGTCTATTTCACATTAGTCACTATCCTCTAAATGGAGATATTCTTCCAGTACGTGCTAACTCCTGTTTGTGTCTAACAAGCTTGGCAAGTTGACTCTCAGTTCTCTAAATGCTATTTAACATGTTCACATAGTAATTTACTGCCATTTTTCATAGTTAAAGCAACATCTAAAGGTTGGTGACTAGCAATAAAAAAGTAATCAAATAAGAAACAATCAGAATGTAAGGCTTTTGAGAATCTTCATTGCAGATTAGCATATAAAACATAACGGTAGCCATTCTCAATAAAGACATTACAAATTAGTTTTAGTATTTCTTGTGAAAAAATATCACAATGTCTTTAAAGAATCCCTACTCCTAAATTTTAAAAAAGTAACACATATTCAACGTCTAATCCCCATCTTTCTTTAAAAAGTTTGGGCCAGGCATGGTGGCTCATGCCTGTAATCACAGCACTTTGGGAGGCCTAGGTGGGCAGATTGGTTGAGCCCAGGATTTCAAGACTAGCCTGGGCAACATAACGAGACCTTGTCTCTACTAAAAATCCAAATAAGCAAGTGAAATAAAAAAGTAAAATGTTTGATTCTTTTATAGGGATGTCATCCTCTTCCTTCATCACAGGTCACAGTAAGAGTAACCAGAGCAAAGAAAACCTCCAAAAAAGTAGCAAGGTGTCTCCTGTTAAAGTGAACTAAATATGGCCTGAGAAACACTCCATACTTGTTTATTTGAGTCCTCGTGGAGGAACAGTAACCTAGCTTAGTATGCAGACAAGATTGAAAACCTAACTTAGTAGTATGCACCTGTAACAATAGCTGACTGAGTGTTGGCCAATCCCAGAGGCCATACTTCAGCCACTCATAGACTGCTGAGTGTTCAAACTGTGTTCAAATAAGGCAAATGCTGAGCTAGAATCAATCCCACTGTTTCTGTACCTCACTTCCAATTTCTGTATGTCAAATCCTTTTTTGTGTCTATAAATTTGTTCTGACCATGAGGCACCTCTGGAGTCGCTCTGAATCTCCTGATTCTGGAGGCTGCCCTATTAGCGAATCATTTCTTCTCTTTTCTTTCTCACTTAAACTCCATTAAATTTAACTTGTCTGAAGTTTTCTTTTAACACCCCTAACCCCTCTACTGTCTACTCCCTGATTCAGAGACCCAGCTATTCTACCAGCAAAGGAAAACAAGAACACTGCCACCCTCAAACCCTGGCAAAAGCGGACTCCAGCCCTGGGCCTTGCATGTCACAAACACATACACCAAGATTACTTCTACAGGGACACACGTGGGCTGCTCCTTACCAGAGATTTGCCCCATGAGTCGCACCATTCCAGCTCCCTGGAGACTCTTTTCCACACCTCTCGCCTGTGTTTTTGAAGCAGATGTGAGTTTTGTTTGAATGTCCTGGTGGCTTGTGAGGTATGCCTCTGCTTGCATCCAAGAAGGACAAAGTGTGGAGGTGCAGGGAGAAATTAGCCAGCAGAAGCACT
Source organism: Homo sapiens (assembly GCF_000001405.40). Lineage (NCBI taxonomy): Eukaryota > Metazoa > Chordata > Mammalia > Primates > Hominidae > Homo > Homo sapiens. Next base: position 106,249,393 of record NC_000013.11, read on the forward strand.
TAGGAAAATGAAGAACAAGTTAATAACACATGAATTTCTTCCTCTGCAATGGCATGTGAATGCAATAGACTGTGGTCCATTGTATTGTATTGATGAAGTGCTGCGTTCTGATGGGGACAGGCATCCATTTTCTTGTTCATCATTGATTTGATCCACCTGAACATGGTAGCTGAGGAATTCTCATGTCATGGAACAATTTAAGTTACACTGGAATATGTGTGTTGAATTTCAGTGTAGATTTTTGAAAAAAAGCAAATGTAAGTTTTTCAAAGATCAAAATTTTAGTGTTTAGTTTTATCTAAATGTATTTTAAATGTTCGTAATCATCACTTATAATTTATACTTCATATTTAGTTTAATGGGCAATTTTGAATTTTTAGAAAAAAACTTTAAAAATCAAAATAACTGAAACTTTCATTTCGTAATACTTTATATTTTAATCAAAATCTATCCAGATTTTGAACATTCTGAATACAGTCACTTTTTTTATCTTTCAATCACTACTCTTAAAAGAACAAAAGTCTTGTGAAGGTCTGTATTATAAAAACAAAGTGATTTTGCTTAATTGAAGATGCACAAAACTTATGAGTACATAATAAAAGTATAAAGTGTGTGTGTCATCATTTTACACTCTTCAAACATCACTGGTCTCTCAGTGGAACGGAAGTTCAGTCACATTTTGCCAGCATTCAGTTGTATAAAAACCACAACTTTGGACACACTTTTCAATTTTGACATTCTAAGGATATATTTTCAAGAAAAGAGAATAAAACATCTTTTATTTAGCATTTTAAGTCTGTCTCCTAACTTTTAAAAATTTAAGCATATGGCATCCAGACTTACATTTTTTTTGTCTCTCTCTGAGACCCCAAAATATTCAGAGCTCTGCAGATCTCTTTCTCTGCAACACAGGATGTTTCTGACCCCAGTACTGCCCCTTCAATGCCGTCACCACCACGGTTGTTGCCTTCCTATCCTAACTCACCGGTGCTGCCCATGTTTATTTATATTCCTCCTAAAAGTGTCTTGAAAAATAATGTGCCCTCTGACACATTCTAAGTAAACATCTAAAATTATTTTTATTATAATTATAATTGTTACGAAGTATGATTGCTGGTGTTTTGTATGGGTGTATTAAACATACTTCCATTGAAAACATACAGCTTTGTATGTATATCATCCAACTTGTTTTAAATATTCACAGTAATTTTGAATTGGAGAATCTAGTCTTCATAGTAATACCAATCACCTAAATTAGACCTACCATCTATCTAATGAAAATCTGATTTTGTGGCCAGGTGCGGTGGCTCACACCTGTAATCCCAGCACTCTGGGAGGCGAAGGTGAGTGGTTTGCTTGAGCCCAGGAGTTCAATACCAGCCTGGGCAAAGTGATGAAATCCTGTCTCTACAAAAAATTACCAAAAAAATTAGCAGGGCATGGTGGTGCACAGCTGTGGTCCTAGCTGCTTGGGAACCTGAGTGGGAGGATCGCTTAAGCCTGGGGAGGTTGAGGCTGCAATGAGCCGTGATCATGCTACTGCACTCCAGCATGGGTGACAGAGTGAGATTCTATCTCAAAAAAAAAAAAAATCTGGCTTTACATTTCAATTTAAATAAATTAATACCTTCATAATAATGCTCTATGTTTTCAATTTTAATTTTGAGATGATAGAAAGATAGATGATAGATAGATAGATAGATAGATAGATAGATAGATAGATAGATAGACTTGCCAAGAGGTTTTGACATGGATAAATTAATGTCCTGCCCTCTTAGCCATCTCTTCCCAAAGTTGTCTTTGCTTTGCTCTCAGGGAACTCCTCCTTAAGGGCTATGTACTCTCCAGTCATCCCCATGTTTGGCATTCCCAGGTTGATTTGGGTTTGGGGTTGTTTCTTTGTTGACATTGTTAACATATTCAGACAGCACAGCACTAACATCTTGGTTTCCTGGTTTTGTGGAACAGGGGTGAGTGTGAAGGGAGAAGAGAGAAAGGCAAACGACAGGAGCAGTTTCTAGGTAGATCCATTTTTAGAAAAGATTATCAGGAAAGTTAAAGCTCAGGAAACTGCTTTCCATAAACTTCCCACGTTTCCTTAAAATCACCTAGGCTATCATAGGAACTATCTATGCCCTTTTGCCCCAGAGGTATACACCCTCAGCTTGATCTAGAATCATGCACCTTCCAGAAAAGCCTGGGCAGGAAATTAGACGTGAATTAGAAGTGGTTCATTGCATCATACAAACTGTACCAAGTAATATTCTATAGAAGTGAGGGGAGATAGGAAGAATGTTGGTATCAATGCATGCTAGGGGTACTTCAATGGTTAATAATATTTGGAAACAAGCTATGGGGAAAGAAAGTATTGTACTCGTGGCATATAGGAACATAAATAAAGACCTGTGTGTTAGAAAGCCACACCACGAAGATCTAAGGATGAAGGGGATATGTTACAAAAATAGCTTCCATTCTTCATCTCCTCCCCATAACCATGCCTTTCGCCAAGTAATTCTTCAGTTCTTCCTATTCTGACTCTACACTTGCCCATGACAGTTGCTTTGGCCAAACGTGTGAGGAATAAGCTCAGGCCAACCCACTGGCCCCAGGAGGAGGAAGAGAGATGAGGGCAACAGGCCCAGACCACTCAGTCAAGACCAGTTTACATCAACCAATATTCAGTCGGCTCCTAAACATGTGAAAAAGTGAAGCCGAAAATAGCAGGATCACTTGAATATCCCCCAGCAATAAATGTTTTTAGGTGTATGTCAGGCAGCAATAAATACACATCAATATACACCATTGATATATCGCAGTTATTTGTTACACAGCATTATTGTGGCAATAGATAACTGATACAATGAATAAACAGTAAAAAAACAAATAGAAGGCCTATGGAAAATACTAGAAAATAAAGCAAAAGGAGTATCATGCTTAAAACTCCCTTAGACAGCATTCTGGCAACGATGACCTACATGGTGAAATAGAAGAAAAATTTCAGGAAACTCTTTAGCATTCTGGGTAGTATGCTTGAAGCCCGGGCCTGAAAAACACAGGGCAGAATATGTTATGGAGAGAACAAGGTGAAGCTAAAACAATGAGATGAAGAGAAAAGAAAGGTAACTGAGAAAATAGAACATTGTAAGCCAATTAAGAGTGGCATCTGATCAAAAATCCATATAAGAGACAGTGAAGAGCAGAATTCACAGTGAGGAAAATTCAATCTGTGGCATGGAAGACAAGCTTGAAAAGCTGCCCCAGAATGAAGAGGAAAATGTCAAAGAGATGGAAGTCATCAGAGAAAGAAAAATAGCCAAACAAAAGACATATAACAGGGATAATTAGTGTTTCAGAATCTTTTTTTTTTAAATAGAGTCTCACTCTGTCGCCCAGGCTGGAGTGCAGTGGCGTGATCTCAGCTCACTGCAACCTCCGCCTCCTGGGTTCAAGTGTTCAAGTGATTCTCCTGTCTCCGCTTCCCAAGTAGCTGGGGCTACAGCACCCACCACCACACCCAGCTAATTTTTGCATTTTTAGGAGAGACGGGATTTCACCATGTTGGCCAGGCTACTCTCTAACTTCTGACC